>NC_000007.14:36490242-37115242 GCF_000001405.40 Homo sapiens | reverse complement strand
GTTAAGAACTACTCCTTCTGCTTCTACCTTCTGGAACAGATTGTAGAGAATTGGTATCATTTTCTTGTTTAAATATGTTATAGAATTCACCAATGAAACCATCCAGGCCTGATACTTTCCATTTTGGAAGGTCATTAATTATTTATTCAATTCCTTTAATAGATATAGGTCTCTTCAGATTGTCTATTTCTTCTTGTGTGGGTTCTTGTAGATTGTGTCTTTCAAGGAATTGGTCCATTTCATTTACATTATCAGATTTTTGAGCATAGACTTGTTCATAATATTCCTTTATTATATACATGAGATCCATAAAGTTGACTCTTCTTTCATTTTTGATGCTAATAATTTATCATTTTCCTTTCATCTTGTTGAGCCTGGCTAGAGATTTGTTGTTTTTATTGATCTTTTCAAAAAACTAGCTTTTGATTTTACTGATTTTTCTATATTGCTTTCCAGTTTTCAATTTCACTGATTTCCACTCCATTATTTTTTTTTACTTCTTTTCTTCAGCTTACTTTAGATTTAATTTGTATTTTTTTAGTTTTCTAAAATGGAAGCTTAGATGCTTGATTTTGTATATTTTTCTCCATTGCTTGAATTCCTCATTGATATTTTGCTACAAATATCCTTCTAGCAATGGCTCTGCCTTCCATAGGGGTTCAGCATGGCTAAACCTACTCAGAACTTTGCTATTTAACTGTTTCATGGCGCTAAATATGGGTTGCCTTGATAAGGCAACCCAGTGACTAAAGTCTCTGGCTCAATGAGTTACTCTTTATTCCATTAAGACCCAGTTACCAACAAACTAACCCCAGCAAATTCTATTTACTCTACTTTCAATCCTATTGACTCTACTTTCAAAATCCTATTGACTCTGCTTTCCAGAAACCTACCTCCTTTCCCCACTTCTACCACCATTACAGTAATCCAGTACATCAAACCTCTCTCCTGTATCTCCTGTAATAGTGTAACAGCCTCTGATTGATATTGCCTGCTCCCACACTTGCTCATCTTTTCTGTCTTCAACACAGTAGCCAGAACGTTAGGAAAGATGCCATAGTGATTCTTCCAGTATTGGTCAGATCACATCACTCATCTGCCTACAACCTCCAGTAACTCAGAGTAAAAACGTTCAGCACTTTTGCCACAGCTCTCAAGGCTCTGCAGTGTTCTGGCTTTCCAGCCTTACGTCCTTCTATCCTACTCCTTCCTCCCTCAACTCCACCCACAGAGATCAGCTAGGGCTGCCATAACAAAATATCACATACTGGGTGGCTTAAACTACAGAACTCTATTTTCTCACAGCTCTGAAGGCTGGAAATCTAAAATCTAGCTACTGGCAGGGTTGGTGTCTCTGAGGCCTCCCTTTTTGGCTTGTAAACGGCTGCCCTCTTGCTGCCTCTCCACATGGCCATCCTTCTGTGCACTCACACCCTGTTGGCACTGCTTCTTATGAGAACACCAATCATACTGGATTCGGACCCTACCCTAATGGCCTCATTTGATTTTAATTACCTCTTTAAAGGCCCTATCTTCAAATACAGTCACATGCTATACAGCGGGTTGGAGCTTCAACATGTGAATTTTGGAAGGGTGCAATTCCGTCCATAGCACCCTTGTTGGCCGTGAACATACCAGGTACCTCTGGTCTCTGGGCCTTTTACTTTTTGCTTTCTCTCCTAGGAATCTGTTCCTGGGTAGCCACATGGCTCATTGCCTCACTTCCATTAGTCTCTGAGCAGCTTTCTGTCACCTCCAGATATAAAGTACTGATTTCATCCTCTTGCTCCCTGTCTACCTTACCTCCTTTATTTCTCTCAAAATTTAATGTTTCTTACATGCTCGATATTCACTGTTTTCTTTATTTCCTGTTCACCCTTACTAGCCAGCAAACCTCATAAAACCACAGAGTATCCATGGTGTCACTGCGGTACCCCAGTGCCCGGGGCAGTGCCAGGCACACAGAAGACAGTCAGCACATATTTGTTAAATGCATGCCTGGATTGAGTGAGTGGCAGGACTCTGCCCAGAGAGTTCTGGTGTTCCACCTTTTGGCAGGATTCACCCCATGGATGGAAACCACAGAAGTAGATCTCTATCTGGAACACGCTCTAACCTCTCTGGATGCAGCTGCCTTTCTGGCCTTTGTCCGTCCTGGAGTGAAAACCAAATTAGAAACTATATCGGTATGCCCCAAAATGGCCTTGCCCCAGATATGCTGATGCTTGGGCTTGGGTGAGTCACTGCTGTCTTCCCTTTTTGAATAGGATTCATGTGACCAGAGCCCAGCCAGTATTAGCAACCTGCCTACCAAATCAGAAGGGATTTTGTATTGGTATAATAAAATTTAGGTGGTAATGTTCCCAAATGTCCCTTTGTATTAGTTAAAAATAGCTTCCCCCTTAGGAACTATGCTGTACACCTGGTGCACCCAGTAGTGGTTGACATTGTCAGATAATTTTATTTTTTCATTGACCTTAATTTTATCAACTTTTTCCCTGCACTGGTAAAACCCAAGGTTCCAAAATTTGGCATACATCATAAATAATAGACAATATTTTTCTTGTATTTTATAAAGCAACTGAAACAATTTTAATAACAGATATAACAACCCTAACAACTAACTTCTCTTTGGTTGGTTTATCAAATGCTGCTCTGTAACACTGGTCCTGATACCTGGAGACTTTTCAAATCTAAGACTCCGGTTAATGTCATTCACACCTGTCTGCAAACTTGCATTTGCCAAGATCAGGAAGGCCAGCCTAGCCAATCTTTCAGTACTTGACTGGTGATGCTCCTATGCCACAGGGCTCTTGCATGTGCTTATTCTGCTGACTCAGCTCCTGCTTTCTCCATCCCTTCCCTGCTTGCCCACTTATCCCTGGATTAATCCTGCAGAACCTCACCCTTTAGGCTCCTCTTTCATTAGTTTTGCTTCCATGTCACTCCCTTTATAGCACTTAGTTTGGAATTATATAATCGTATGTTTTACTATTTGATTATTATCTCTCTTAACATGAAATTTTTGAGCAGGAACCATCTCTTTTGCCCTATGCCCTTACTTTCTGTCACTGGACCATCTAAATTAAATGAATGATGAAAGATAGGATGTGTTGAATCTCTGAACAGGGTTGTGTTCCTCTTTTTTCCCCCTCTGAAGTCCTTTATGGCCTTAAGTGATATTTTTCAGAAGATCAAAACTGAAGCATAACTTGGAAGGAATCTCTTTTTCCTTGACCTGGTGGGACCATCAAATTGGGCAGAGTTTGAGCTACACAGGATAAAGCCTTACAACAAATCTCAGTTATGAAAGCCATGAAGATGTGCATATGTTCCATGAGCAGACATGAGTTCTCTATAAGCCAATGATGAAGAAGACCAACATTTAGTTAGTTTTCAACAGAAGGGTCAGTTCTGCTGATAGCTTGGCAGCTTGGGGCTCTACTCTGCATATGGTAGGAACAAAAAGAAAGCTAAACTATATTGAGTAGTGAATGTTTCCAGGCTATGGTTATGAACATTTTATATGCATTACCTTATTGAATTCTCACTATCATTGTACCCATTTTGCAGATGAGAGCGCTGAGGCTCAGAAAGGTCAAGTAAATTGCCCATTGCTACAATAGATAGTAAGTTGCAAATGGGGACTTTGGACCCAGACAGCTCTGGTGGTGACTTTTTAATACTTTACATTGAATTTGGTAGTATGCTAGTACAAAAGTTTTTCTTAAAAGAAAATCTGATTAGTATTGCAGCATTTGCTGGTTTCTGTGGTATCAATACTCCTGCTGTGGCCGATTTCAAGCTCCCAACAGTCTATGGCCTGTAAGCCTTTTGAAAGTGATGCAGCAGCTGGTTAGCCTGCTCTAGCACCAGCCACTGGATCTTGATGGTGCTTTTGCCTTCTCATGCATTATCCCATTTGCTCTTCTTAGCAATATGAGGGACTGTGGAATGGGTGAGGTTAACTTACGTGTGCTGATCTTTTCAATGGGTGAGTCATGTGTCCAGTCCATAATGCCAAGTCATGGCCTGAGGTGAGAAACACTCTCTTACTGACTCTCTCAGGGCAGGAGCCTGCAGAGAACGCAGAGCTGGACCAAGAGCCCCAAGGAACCTACTGTCAGAATGGCTGAGGTACAAACAAAAGAGGATCTGGACAGGAAGAGAGAGGCCCACATGGTCCTGGGGCAGCTGATGCTGGTAGAATGTGGTGGTAAACGGGGTAGGAGAATGAAGTAACTGAGAGTCTTTTCTGAATTCAGAATTTTCTTAATTCTCTGAATTCATAAATATGTATTTGATGTAGGAATTCTTCCCCAAAGAGCTTACC
This sequence comes from Homo sapiens, assembly GCF_000001405.40. NCBI lineage: Eukaryota > Metazoa > Chordata > Mammalia > Primates > Hominidae > Homo > Homo sapiens. Next base: position 37,110,909 of record NC_000007.14, on the reverse strand, counting down.
AAAAAATCCCCTACGCTCACCACCATACCCAGCCATGCAAGGGTGCAGCTGCTTGGAGGAGAGGAAATCCTGGATTCTTTCAGGATTAGGGAGTGGCTGTCATGGTCCATGGCTGGGGAGAGCCACAGCATGGGGCTGATTGGGAAAGTCTGGGGGGCCCCATAGCCCCTTTCTTCTTCCATCAGAGGAGACTGTGGATTTTTCTTTCCCATGATAAATCTAGGTGAGCCGGTGAAATGATTTTAAAGGGAACTCCTCCATTGCTTTGGGAAGTGTGAAATGACATCATTTTTAGATTATGGTTTATCAATACTTATATATATATATTTAAATTATACTTTAAGTTCTGGGATACATGTGCAGAACATGCAGGTTTGTTACATAGGTATACTTTAAGTGGCAGAAATGCTGAGACCTTTTGACTTAACGTTTATGTTTTTAGAAACGTACTTAAAATAAATCATTTTGCAAATCAGCGTAAAAGTTGCTGTGTAAGGATGTTTGTCATTAGCTCCAGTCAGGTGCAGATGTGAGGACCTCTGGGCAGAGGTAGGGGACCTGGAGATGAAGCTGAGAGTGAGGCTGGTGTTCCCTGGGCACCTGTGCAGATACAAATACAGCCAGGCAGCTGGGCCTCTTCGCCTTGGCAGGCTTAATTAAGCACATTGGATTTGTGTCCTTGTATTTCTTAAAAAAGGAAAGAATTCTGAAATGAAGAAAAAAAGTAGCCTTTTTGGCATGTAACATCTGCGAGATAATTAATCTCCCTGATATTTCAACACTGAGGCTGTTTATCACGGAGGCTGCTTGGGAACCAAGAGCAGCCAGCCTCTCTGCAGTACCCACTACATACCTCATGTGGCAGGGGAGGACCTGGTTCATCCCAGAGGGCAATCTGGAGGCGGTCAAGGTTGCTTCCTGGTAAAAACCACGAGCGTTCATTGCTGTGGCCTGCAACACTCTCTTCCCTTTTCAGTTCATATCATCAGAGGTCTTTGTCCATTGTTGAGGAATTAAGAGAAATGTCCCATGCATCTTGTTCTGAAGAAATATATTTGAGTCTCTTGCTTTCCACTTTTTACTTTTCACCTGAAAGCGTCCAAGAGTTAACTGAGAGGCAGGCCAGTCTTCAGGTGGGGAAGACCGGGTGGGTGTTGAGGCAATGTTTCCAGCTGGAATGGGGGACTTGGAATCAGAACTGTTAACCAATAAGAATGAAGGGGAAGGAAATCCTATTAGGGGGCGTCATCACCTAGGAAACACGAGTCAGTTTCCTTTTCTGCACTCCAACATGGAATGCTGAGCCTGGAGGCCCCTTCACAGATTGTCCCTTCTCTGTTCCCCACCCTCACACTCCCGGATCCCCTGGGCCTTATCTGGGGAGGGGGGCGGCGGAGGAGTGCAGAGTGGAGGCAGCGCGTGGGGTGTGTGGAAGGGAAGGGGACATTCTTTTGCTGTGGGAGTTGGCTCCCTCTCATCTCATACATTTTCCTGCTGATTCTCACTCACAGCATTTACAGGAAGCATTTATAGCAAATACTTGCCAAATGTTTTCCATAAACACACAACGAAGGACATTTTTCACACATTCCAATGTTCTGTAAATGTTTATTTTCACAATACACAAAGAAGGTTGAGTGTATGGTTTTCCTAAACAAGCCTTTGAAGTGTGGGCTTTGGCCCAGGGAGATTTGCTTCTGAGTGTTTTCATCCACGTGGCCGCATTGTCCCTGGGGGCACACCAGGCACATGCTTCAATGCAGAGAGTCTCCAAGTGAGTTTTCCCCCCAGCTTGTATTCTCTGTGGGAATACGTGCCCTGAATGCTGAGTAGCCTCTGGGTTCTGAGCCTCCTCCTGATGAAGAAGGAAGTTAGAGGTTCTCAGTGCATCACATAAACCCTTGCTTCTGATTAAATCCACAAATGACATAGAATAGGGAATATGGAGGACAGGGATGACTCACTTAAGATGCATTTGAACATATAGTTGTAATAAGTTATGGAAACACTCATGCTAAAGCCAGGCAAGTTGGTATTCATGTAAGGGATGGAGAAGGTGACTGAACCTTCTGTGGGCACTGCCAGCCTCACCAGAGGCCAGAGTCATGACTCGTACTGTCCATGCACTTGTTCAATAACTGCTTCATTACTGAGCACCTACTGTATGTGCAACTCTGCTGCAATGTCAGAGATTCACAAGTGAGGAAGTGGTTCCCAACCTCAAGGGGTTGACTCTATCAGGGAAGGTAAGACACCTATACTTTACCATAATTTGGGGGCATAAAATGGGAATTGTTTTAAGAAAGATACAGATAAAAGGTTATCTCACTTGGGAGAAAACTCACTTGGAAAGTCTCTGCAATGAAGCCTGTACCCGGTGTGCCCCCAGGGACGATGTGGCCATGTGAATGAAAAAACTCAGAAGCAAGTCTCCCTGGGCCAAAGCCCACACTTCAAAGGCTTGTTTAGGAAAACCATACATAAGGTTTTATTGCATAAGGTTTTATGGAGAAAGTGACATCTGGATTGGGTCTGAAGGAGAGGGAAAATTGAGACAGGTGTGGGAGGGGCAGTGTGTCAGGGAGGGGTGTCGGGGAGGCAGTTTCCCTAGGAGGGAGCCATGTCTGGGCCTAGCCTGGTAGGAGAGCTGTACCAGAGGGAGATCCTTCCTCTAGCAGGAGTAGGCAAGATTTATGATTCATACACAGAATGAGATGTGATGAGATGAACTCCATTTAAAAAGCTAGATGTAATAGGAAGAAAATATTTCCTTTTCACATGCTTTTTTAACCTCAAGTAAAACAACTTATGGCCTAATTTCTTAATTAGGTTTCAGTCAATTTTTTCATTGCAGCTAACTTGTCATGTGCATAATCAGAAAATTAACATTTTCTGTTTGATAATATGTTCCTGAAATGGCCAATTTATTATTTGTCCAGAAGAGGATAGTAAGAAATAGTTCTCTCTCCTCACCTTTCCATCTTCTCAAGTCCGTTCTCCCAAACCAGAGTGAATTTCTAAATCAATGTGCTAAGTGAGAAAGTGAGGTGAGTGGGAGCTGACTTAGACAGATTCATTTTATCACTAGCTTTCCTGGAATGTGTTTGTTTTGTAAAATGAATTATATTCAAATATGTTTCAGACAATATATGTGGTGGTTAACTTTGCTTTAAGACAGCAGTAACTGTTCAGACAATGGTGACAATTTCTCAGTAAGAAGTCAGGGTTGAGAAATGTCAAGCTTAATTTTTCATCCAACAGTGACGGTCAGACAAAAGCCAAACCTCTTGGTATCTTTGCACTCCGGTGAAGGAGATGTGAGGCATTTGTATTCAGTAATGTAATGTTGAGCGAGTCAAAACCCTGCCATGTGATCTTGAGATTTGTTGCTTAATACTGCCCAAGATGCATAGGGGCTTCTCTGCTTTTATTCAGCATCCATTTTCCCATTGTAATTAGTCTTTCTTGCATTCCACAGCTCACTTCTGGTGTGGAATGTTAAAAAGATGCCTTAGGAGAGAGTTTGACATCAGTTTCTTCTTCAAGGTTGAACTCAAGGCTCACCCTCTCCATGAAGCCCCGTCTGCCCATTGCATCTCATGTGCACCTTCACTGCACAAAGTGATACTTCCTTGTGAAAAATGCAAACAATATAGAGGTACATAAAAGGAAGTGAAAGTTGGCCCATCTTACAAATCCCATGTCCTTGTATCTTCCAAGTAGATTGCAAGACCCTCAAAATGGACTTTTGTTCATACATGTATTTTTAATATCTAGCAAGTTGCTCAGCAATAATTGCTTAAAAATATTCATGGAATGAATGAATTGGTCAAAGGGTAATACACTGTAGGGATGTTGGGAAGGACTAGGGCTAGAATTCAGCTGATAGTTTGGGGAAGCAGTGCCTTGATTTTCAAAATATGGACCCTGGACTTGCAGCGTCAGCATCATCTGGGAGCTTAGAAATGTGGGACCTCAGGTCCCAACCCACACCTACTGAGTCAGAATCTTCATTTTAACAAGGTCTCCAGGTGATCTGTGAGTACTTTAAAGTTTGAGAAGTACTGGGATTGTATATGTCTGCAAAGTAATTTACAATGTGAACTTTAAAAAAAATTACAATGAAGTGTGTGTGGTTTGCATTAAAGAGTATGCAGTAGAGGAGTTCTGCCTTAATGATACCACAGGACTTTGTACCAATGCCACACTTTGTTCCCCTCTGTATGACAGGGCACACCCAATGCCCTGTCCTTGGCTGTCCTGTAGGACTGTCATCCTGAGCCATTTCAACACCTGTAGTGTCTTCGTCTATTTTTGCTGCTTTAACAAAATACCCTAGACTGGGTAAGTTATAAACAATAGAAATGTATTTCTTATGGTTCTGGGGACTAGGAAGTCCAAGATTAAGGCATCAGCGGGCTTGGTGTCTGGTAAGGGCTGTGCTCTCTATTTCCAAGATGGTACCTTGGCGCTGCATCCTCTGGAGGAGAGGAGCATGATGTCCTTTCATGGTAGAAGGGACAGAGGGCAAGTGAGAGCCTCCTTTCAATCACAGGCCCTTTTATAAGGGTGCTAATCCCAGTCACGAGAGAGAAGCCCTCATGACTTAATCACCTCCCAGAGGCCACACCCTTAATACTGTTGCATTGGGGATTAAGTTTCAACATGAACTTCGGAAGGGGCACCATCATTCAAACCATAGCAGTGTTCCTTCTAAACAGCACGCAACTTGTTTAAGCTCTAAGGCATGGCTTCCTCATCTGTAAAATGCAGTCCTGCTTCAATGGCTTGTGAGGACCAAATGAGCTAAACGCTTGAGAGTTTGCACATGATAATCATCTAATATGTATTAACTCTTTTTTGTTAATCGAGATGAAGTGCATATACCATAAAATTAACCATTTTAAAGTAAACTGTTCAGTGGCATTTAGTACATTCACAGTGTTGTGCAATCACTACCTCTATGTAGATCCAAAGACATGATCATCATCCCAGAAATAACCCCATACCCGCTAAGCAGTGGCTCCCCATTCTCACTTCTCAGCCCCCGGCAACCACCATTCTGCCTTCTCTCTCTATGGATTTTGACTCTTATTAATGATTTTTTTATTAGTCACAGGAAAAACAAAACAAACCAAAACCAATCAGATTTATTTCTTTTTTGTCTACTTTCATTGCTTTGCATGTCTTTAAAAACAAAAGGTTTGCTAATGATGGAAATTGGGAATGTAGATGTGACAGACCTGTAAGTCAGTGGTTCCCACAGTGTGGTCCAAAACTGGCAGATCTGTGTTAACTGGGAACTTGTTAGAAAGGCAGATTCGTGAGTACACCCCAGAATGTCTGATCATAATTCTGGGGGTGGAGTCCAGCAATCTGCATTTTAATAAGCTTTTAGAGGATTCTAATAGAAGCTCAAGTTAGAGAACTATTGCTTTAAATAAACCTGGAGTAAAGCCTACAGGTGCCCCCTACACCTGTACCCATCCTTGGGGCCAGGAACACACGTACTGGCATAAAAGGGGAGATTTTAGCCTACCTTCTTTGGTGGGGAAGTCAGCTGGGGGATTGCCCCTGATACCTCCTGGCCTTTGAATAGTCAGCAGAGCTTGGCTTCCCTCAGTAATGTTGTGATTACTGTGTAGGCACAAACAGAAGTCATCCTGCTGTTATTTAATCCTTTGCCCTCTTTGTGCTACCTGAGGTGATGCTCAAAGGGAGGGCCTTTCGGCAAAACGTGGCTTTGATTGCTCTGTGTGTTTTGCGCGTCCTGCTTTTGTTGCACTATATCAAAGTGCAGGGAGCATTTCTTTTTGGTTGATTAATGTTCAATTTGAGGTCTATTATGAAGCTCCAGGCTTTAATTACTATACCATTACCCAGTCAATTCCTTGCCATTTTATATTTATGGCCTTTATTATGCCTCTGTATGTGCAATTGCCTAATTTTATTCTGGAAGCATTTCACCTCATTAGCTGGGTTTTATACCATTCCTCTCATTTGTCCAGATTGTTATTTATCTTGGTTCCCTGTGTGCGTTTTCTTTTCTTTTTTTTTTTCCACCAGTCTGACTCATTATATTAATACATTCTTTTTCTCCTTTTCCTGGGATGCATTGTTATTTGGCTCTTGGAAATATCGCTTTAAGTTTTTTGTCCTTTTCCCTGGTCGTCAGTTATACTCACATTCTTAACTTGGTCATTTCCAACCTTCTGAAAGCCCATCTCAGCTGCCTGGCAGCACTGGCCCTGTCCAAAGGCCTGAGGCCTCCGCAGCCTGGACATACCATGGATGGCCGCCTCTCTCTAGGTGACCAATTAAAGCTCAGGGAAGGTGAAGGGATGGAGTTTTTACTTAAGGGCATGCTGGTGAAAGTAACTTTTAAATATTCTCTTAAATCCTTTTCTAACTCTCTCTCCCTCAATCCCCTCATTGTCTCAGAAAACTTCAGGACTTGGTTTACTGACTTATTTTTGTGGGTTCCACCTCAGACCTTCTCAATCAAACCCTAGGGGAGCCTCCCAGCAGCCTGCGTTCAGTATGTTCTCCAGGTGATTCTGACACACATTAAAGTTAGAACCACTTTTCTTTTTTTTTTTTCATTCTGAGAATGCTTTATTTTGCAGTACCATATAATTTTAACACACCAAATATATTTTACAGTAACAATTATATTCTTCACTCAGGCATAAGATCACCTGAGTTTGTGGATGTTTCTCAACAGGTTGTTGTCGTAGCATTTGGACAATGTGATTAGACAACACCCGGGGAGGTGGTCATTTCCAAACTGGAAGTTGTCCAGCATTATTAGGAACGTCTTGACTGGAAGAAAATTATCGAACATTAGTTTGGTCCTTTCTCTGTTCTTTTTTTTTTTTTTTTTTTTTTTTTTTTTTTTTGAGATGGAGTCTCACTCTCTCACCCAGGCTGGAGTGCAGTGGCGCAATCTCGGTTCACTGCAAGCTCCGCCTCGCGGGTTCATGCCATATGCCATTCTCCTGCCTCAGCCTCCCAAGTAGCTGGGACTACAGGTGCCCGCCACCATGCCCGGCTAATATATATATATTTTGTATTCTTAGTAGAGATGGGATTTCACTGTGTTAGCCAGGATGGTTTTGATCTCCTGACCTCATGATCCGCCTGCCTCGGCCTCCCAAAGTGCTGGGATTACAGGCATGAACCACTGCTCCCAGCCTTCTCTGCTCTTTTATTTTTTTTATTTAATATTTTTTATTATACTTTAAGTCTTAGGGTACATGTGCACAACGTGCAGGTTAGTTACATATGTATACATGTGCCACGTTGTGCTGCACCCATTAACTCGTCATTTAACATTAGATAACCTAATGTTAGGTATCATAATGCTATCCCTCCCCCCTCCCCCCACCCCACAACAGGCCTGGGTGTGTGCTGTTCCCCTTCTTATGTCCATATGTTCTTATTGTTCAATTTCCACCTATGAGTGAGAACATGCAGTGTTTGGTTTTTTGTCCTTGCGATAGTTTGCTGAGAATGATGTAGAACCACTTTTCTAAAGAGATGCTAAAAGAACTTGAGGAAACCCATGTAAGTCAGAAATATGATTTCATCCAAGTCCTTACTTTACCAAAAAAAGCAAGATTAATAACTGCTACAGCAACCATGTTTTGTTTTCTGTCGTGCTTTTTCAACAGCTTTTCCCAAGAGCGATAAGAATATTTCAGAAATGCAAATAGTAATACCTTGGAACAAGCGTTTATGTAATTATTATGGTGATAGTAGTATCAGTTGTCTCCATCAAGTGTTTGAGGTGTTTCAGGCACTAAGGAAATCTTTACTTCCATTTTGCTTTCCCATTTAATCTTTACGACCCTTTATGGATAAGTATTCCTTCACTCATTTTCATGGAGAAAACTGAGGTTAAGGGATATGTACAAAGTCACCAAGAAGTAGACTTTGTCTGTTAGAAATAGATCCAGGAAGTTTGTTTCTGTCCAGAGCCACAGTGCTGATCACTCCTTTGTGACCATGTGAAGGCCTTTCCTGCTCAAAGCTTTATTACTGTAATATTTCACCCTTTCTGTTTTCAATAGGAATTGGTAACCAAGAATATGTGCTTTGGGGTTAGGCCATCTAAGCTTCCATGCTGGGTCTGTTTATTTCTGTGCTGTGTGACCTTGGACCAGTGACACATCTCTTTGTCTCTGTTTCTTCATCTGTACAGTGAGATGGCTTAGTATTTTGGCATGTGCTGGTACACGTGTGTGGAATGAGACAATCTGTACAAAGCCCTTCAAAGAAGGCCTGGGAGAGAAATGCTTTCTATAAATGTTAGCTGTTAGCTGTTTGTTGCCTTTTGCTGCCATCTTGATGGCATCCCTAAAGCTTTTTTCTTTTGGGTTTATTTACTTCCAGGTCTCACTTCCTTTCTAGGTAGATCTGGTGAACTAGCAGCCTGTGGTTCTGATCTGTTCCATTTTGTTTGTGTGCTTGGCACACTTTCTATAATTTTAATGTTCTTCTTTCTCTGCTCATTTAAAACCATCCTATTAGGGCTTGGACATGTTTGTTTAATTCTCTGGACTTGATTGAAATTCATGATCACAATTAACTTCTTGTGCAGCCCCCTTGAGGCAGCTCAGGGTTCTTTCTCATGATGGTCTTCAGTTTTCTTGGGACCAATCATCATTAGCATTGGCACCAAGGGAGAATGAAGGAGAAGTGACTCCCGAGTCTCCATAAGAGGAATCAAAACTGGGCTTATTCTTTGACCCTGGGGTAGGTCTGGGTCTTGGGATATGATCTAAGGACTAACACTTCATTCTGGGGAGTTGCCTGATACTATTCCTAAGGGGACATTGACCCTGTGTTGGAATGTGGGGAGATCTCATTGATACTGATAAGGCTTCTTATTTATTTGTTGATTTAGTATGGGAGAAGATCTCCAATGGGTCAGGAAACAGATTTGTGACATTGACAAGGATTCTGAGGACAATTGCCCTATGGTGGCTGGAACGCTTTAGTTTGAGGACTTTATTGCCAGAAACACCATGTCATGCATTGACTTGTTTTCTGCGGTTGTGATAACCTACCTTGTTTTAACCTGAGTGACTCTCTCCTAGGAGAGAGAGCCAGACAGACTCCGTTTTAGTGTCTTCACTCGCAGCCCCCTTTATCCCCCTTAAGAGAATAACCAGTGCAAGCTGACTCCAAGCACATCCAGGAATGCACCTGCTGATAAGATACTGAGGCAGGCTATACCAGCAGCTCCTGGGAATGTGCTCGGTGGAAGGTACCTAAGAGCCCCTGCATTTATCTCTTAGTGATAGTTTAAGCCCCTGCACCTGGAACTGTTTATTTTTTGTAACTGCTTCTATAACCAATTAATTTTTTAACTTTTTGCCTGTTCTGCTTCTGTAAAACTGCTTCAGTTAAACTCCCCCTCCCCTATTTAGACCATAGTATAAAAGAGAATGTAGCCCCTTCTTCGGGGCCAAGAGAATTTTGAGCGCTAGCTGTCTCTCGGTCACCGGCTAATAAAAGACTCCATGATTTGTCTCAAAGTGTGGCGTTTCTCTGTAACTCACTTAGTTACAACAGGGTCCTTGTTCGTTCTTCACACTATTGTCACCCTGCATTCCTGCGGGAGAGCCCTGCTTAAACAGCAGCACATGGGACTTTTTATCTTGCATTCTTGGTGTAAGCAGGTGAGGACCTACTTTTATCTCTCTCTCTGCCTGTCATGCTAAAACAACCAGAAGGCCTCTGGTTTACTTTCATGAGTCCCTAGAAGCCTGTCATCAGAGAGCCAGTCTCACTGCAGTCATGATTTTGGTTTAGCTGCTGGTAAAAGTGTTGTGTGAAATGTTGGCCATGGGCCATGCAGAAACAGGAAGAGAGAGCACAATAAAGAGATAAAAACACGAACTCTCTGAAGGCAGTTTTAGGGACTTTGCCTTTGTTGTGTGAGTTGATATGCACGACAGTCCCATGAATTGGGTTTTATGTAAGGTCTTCGTATCTCACAAAGACATGCAGTGCCTCATGCAAGTTCATCCTAGTTGGCGGCACCTTTGTCCAAGGTCACCACATTATCAGTGCTTCTCATAGCTGCTTTGTGTCCCCTCTCTTTGCAGACAGTACCACCTCACACACACTGTCCTTCGTGTGGCCTGTGGGGAGGCCACTATGCCTCACCTGACCCTAGGTTAAGTCAAAGTGAAATGGAAAAAGGTTCACAGTGGAAGAGAAGCCTCCACAGGTGACAGGGCATGGAAGAAGCCCTCAAGCCCTCAAGGGCTGGCTGCAGGAGGCACAGAATGAATTGGGCTCTCCCCCAAAAGAGAGAGCTTCAACAGAGAGTGGAAGAGAGAGTGTGTCAGAGACAAGCAAGTGAATATAAATCAGCCATGTGATGCTGAGGCAAGGAGGGCAAGAGAGCCAGAGAAGGGATTCATATTTGAGTGAGGGTGGCCTTGGACTCAACACTTCATGGTCATGCCCAAGCCATAAATGTTCCTGATCTACACAATTGGAGAAGAGCGACAAGAAACACAGAGCATTCAGAGGAGAGCCTGGAATTTATGGAAGTAAAGTCTGTGGGGACACTGCAGCAGCTTTGGTCACTCACCATGAGGAATTGTCATCTTCAGGGGATAAATTAGATGACATAGAACCTTATAGCTTTGTCTAGGAGGAACAGGGCTTATAGACAACTTCAAGGAGACAGAAGAAATTGACCAAAGTCCCCTTAGCTTCTTTAGACATGAAACCTACTGATTTTCATGGTAATATGTATGTGAAGCCAATTTGTAAACTATAAGGAGACAGGAAGAGATTTGGTCATTGGAGAGGGATCACCTGAGGTCTGGAGTTCGAGACCCAGCTCGGCCAACATGGTGAAACCCCGTCTCTACTAAAAATACAAAAATTAGTTGGGTGTGGTGGTGGGCTCTTGTAATTCCAGCTACTCAGGAGGCTGAGGCAGGAGAATCGCTTGAGCTTGGCGGGGCGGAGGTTGCAGCGAGCCGAGATTATGCCACTGCACTCCAGCCTGGGCAACAAGAGTGAAACTACATCTCAAAAAAAAAAAAAAAATTGAACTCCAGGACTGACACAGGCTAGCTCTGGGATGCTAGAAAGTCACCTCTGCCTTTTGTTTCAGCATTCTTAAGAGACTAATAATACCTACTTTATTAATGGATGGACTTGTTGGAAATCAATTGATAGAGAATGTATAAATATACTCTGTAAACGATGAAGCATTTTATAAAAATATAACTTCACATTGCACGGATATCCAGTTTTTTTAAATAAAATATGCAGAAAGAGTTTATTTTGGTGTTTGATATATTCTAAGATGAGTGGTAATAGCACCTTTTAGTACTTCATTTTGATTTCTGTTCTAGCATATTTGCTCTTAAAACTGAAGAGTAAGGGGAAAATAAAGATGAAAAATATGCTTTGATATTTCCAAATGGAGCTTTTCAAAATGTCTCCGATGGACATGGTTAATATCAGAATGTTGAAATTGAATGTAGATGTATCAATGTGTTAAATAAAAGCTATTGTCCAGCTTAAGAATTATCTCTCACTATAGTAATATCTAACTAGTAGCATTCATAATTGTAATCTTTTCTACAATATTTTTGTAAGAAGGTTGATCTTAAAAGTTACACAAGTAGCTTTAAATATTTGTGTCTGCCTTGACAACAGAAATCAGTCAAGAAGGCGGCGGGTTTATTTTTCTTTAGGTGGGTAAGTATGATAAGATGGATGGTGCATTAAAAAATAAAGAGCAGGACTTCTCCAAGCTGATTTACATATTGATTACTTAAATTACTACTTAATTTAGTGCCTGCTAATAAACTGTGCCTTGGAAATGTTTCCCAAGCATTTATTGGCTGCAGTAATTCTACCTACAGTGTATGCAGATCACAGCCTCATTAAATATTAATGTGCTCATGAAATGTTAATAGAATGTTAATGTGAAATACAAGGGAATGTGCTCGCTGGAAGCTGGGAGCCGAGGAAAACTACCTGTCTTCTGTCTTCTCTTTATGTTCTGTCTTCTGGCTCTGTTTCTTTTTTTCAGTTCATTTCTCCCATCATTAGGAGCTTCAGATTTGCTCTCTGATCTGGCTGTCTCAGATACAAAATATTTAGAGGGGAGATAAAATTCACTGATTAATGGAACTTATTCTCCCCTCCTGCTTTCTGGAATGGGAATTTCTGGTTAGAATCAGAATGGTTTCCCTGAAAAGGAAAAGGGTGATTCAGGCTGAGTGAAATGAAATTGTCTATGCTTGGGCAGACTGAGTGCATATGTTTTGGGGAGGCCAGCCCACTGCCCAGCTCACCTCAGTGGGCTCTGACCTTCATCTCTATCTGGAATGTTCTTTCTCACATACCTTGACATAGCAAGGTCTTTCTCATCGTTTGATTCTCAATAGTCCGAGAACCTTCCTTGATCACCTGGTTATCTAAACTCCCCTCCCCAAGCATTCCCTGTTACTCTCTGTCACTCAACAAGTTATTTTTTATTTTCATAGCACTTGCGATAAACTGTAACTACCTCTTTTGTTTTTGTGTCCTTCAATTAGAATGAATGCTTAATGAGGTCAGGGCCCTTGTCTATTTTATGGGGCTCAGCCATCTTCCTGGTGGATAACAGGTGCTCAATTAATACTGTTGACTAAGTGAATAAAACACCTGTCCCTGCCACTGAAGAGTTCATATTCTGTGGAGGTGACAAAACAGTGAGTCACTGCACAGCATCATTGTAGATGCTACTGAGAGATGATCATTCAAAGTGGTGTAGCTATTAAGGAAGTCCCAGACAACTCTTACTGGGGATGAGTTTTGGAGAAGAAGCTTTAGACATGGATAAAGTTCCATAACTTGAGAGTTTTGTTATTTTGTTTTGCTTTTGTTTAATCTATGTGTAGAGTAATTCCCTTAGTTGAGAGTGTTAGGAACATCTCAAATTAGCTTAAGAAAAGAGGATAATTTATTAGATGGACAAAAGGATTTTCAGAGGAGGGATTGAGCAACGAAAGGGGAAAGACAGGGAAGTAGTTGTGCTATAGGAACAGGGGGACCAGTAGGAATAGGTGGAACCAGTCTCAAACACTTCTAGGTCTCTTGCTGTCTCTTGTCTCTGTTTTACTTTGCATTTTAGTTTTATTTTCTTTTTTCTGAGGGCCAACATCCAGGTAACTCCTAAGTCCACACTCCAGGGGCACCGTCAGCATAGTTGAGCCAGTATTCATTCATTCTTTCATTCATTCATTTTTTCTTTCTTTCTTTCTTTCTTTTTTTTTCTCTTTCTCTCTTTCTTTCTCTTTTGAGGTGGATTCTCACTCTGTCACTCAGGCTGGAGTGCAGTGGCACTATCTTGGCTCACTGCAACCTCCGCTTCCCGGGTTCAAGTGATTCTCCTGCCTCAGCCTGCCCCCTAGCTGTGATTAAAGGCACCTGCCACCGCACCCAGATAATTTTGTTTTTATTTTTAGTAGAGAGAGTAGTAATTTTAGTAGAGATAGTTTTTATTTTATTTTTAGTATTTTATTCGCCATGTTGGCCAGGCTGGTCTCCAACTCCTGACCTCCAATGATCCGCCCGCCTCGGCCTCCCGCAGTGCTGGGATTACAGACGTGAATCACCATACCCGGCCCCAGTTTTTCTCTTAGTATGAAGTCTCAGGGAAGGACTGTGATTGGTCCATCATGTCACATTTTCCAGGCATGATTTATTCAACTGATGCCAGAGGGTAAGATCTTGTAAGAATATGGACTTCCTTGGAAAATATCCTATTGAAGTTTGAGACTGAAGTCACAGAAGGAGTTACTATTCCCAAGAAAAGAGGACAGAAATGGGAGGACAAGAGAGTTGTTTGGTCACTGAAGTGAAAAAGTCTTTATTGTACTATTCCAAAACACTCTCCAGGCTTCTCTGTGTAAATGGGAACGAACAAGCAAAATATCCTCTTTTACAGGGTTGAAGAGGGTTGTCAAAGATTTGGGGGGGATAAATGAGACTTTTCGGTCCTGTATACTTGGAGTACTATTTTGTCCTGGCCCCAAGAGTCTTCGTTTGGGGATCTGAAGTGGATCTATGTATTCATCTATTGGAATGAAGGTGATATTCTTGATGTTTTCCACAATTGAATTTCCTTTCTAATCTGTTCCCTTTCCCATTACAGATTGTGCTTGAGAACAGTAGTCGAGAAGACAAGCATGAATGTCCCTTTGGCCGCAGTAGTATAGAGCTGACCAAGATGCTATGTGAGATCTTGAAAGTGGGCGAGTTGCGTAAGTATACTTATTTCCCACATGGGTGTGAAGCTGGCAGAGTCCCAGCTTCCAGGGTTGTGCCCCTACCTGTGTGAAGAAATCCCAAGATGCCGACAGCTTCTTACGGTCATCACTGTGGATAGGTTGATTATTATTTGGCTCAGGTTTACAGCATACATACTTTTGCATGTCTGGTCTGGAAGTAAATGTGATTAAAACCTATGGGAATGGAGAAATTTGCAGATCATTGTGGCTGAGTTTCAAATATCATGAAAATGAGTACATATTAAAACAGGCTTGCTTCTGTTCAGGAAAAAAAAATCTATGGATTTCTTTTTTAAAATTCCAGTTTATAACCTACCAGTAGATCATTTTCTTTTCTTTCTAAGCAATTTTTCTCTATAAAGAAAAATTGAATACCTTAATGAAATTCTCTTGCTCTCAGTGTTTCTGTTGTTTGGAATACTTTCTCTAAGAAAGAAGAAATTATTAAAGAAAATGGGTAGCTGAAAATGAAAAATGTGGTCAGCAATATTTTTATTGCTCTTTTTCTTATATCACAAAATTTATGAGAGTACATACAGAAAAAGAAAGGATGATAATTTTCTTGCCTTTTGTTCATTGGCATAATTTAGCTTTAATCTACCAAGGTGGATATGATTTAACCTGTCCCTATTATCATTGTCGATGTTGAACCTTCTTAAAGTGGTTTACTTCCATTCCATCCAACATCTAGAAGCCAGCACACATATAAATCTTTCCGCACAGGCTTAATAACATGAGCACCAGAAAAGACTGTTTATACCAGAAAAATGTTGGGGTGTTTGGTATTACTGTGAAAACATAAATATTCAGTTGCCTGCTCGAGAGCTTAAAATAATGGCCTGAAATGATTAATGGGAGGAATCTGATGATTACATTGGAAAGAGAGTTATGTTTTATTTACAGTGTAGAACTGACTACAGGTACTGCTGAAATAAACTAGAAAATTTAATACTTAGTAAGGAAAAATACTAAGAAATTGAGCCTGGTTGGCCAAGTGGAAAACTTTATCATCTTCCAGTGTGGGCTCATGGGAGGAAGCAGCCAATGATGACATGGAACATGAGCATTTTTGCATTAGAACAGTAGCAGTGTAACCTGAGAGATCTCTGCATTCACCTACTCTGGTTTACAGCTCACCAAATGTGAAGATTTCTGTTTACATGGATCCTTGACTTGAGTTATCCTTCTTACTCCCTAATTACACTAACTCGCTGAGATTTCAGTGTGCAGTATTGCTTACTGTTTACTCAGCTTAAGGATGTAAGTCCTAAATCAAACAAATCCTGCTGAATTCCTCTGTCTGATAACTGTGACTGTTTCATGTTTATCTCAATTTCATGGGGGAAATTGGTGAAAGTTGCTGGCTGGAAAACATGTCTGGACCATCTGGGAGTTAATTTTCAGTAACTGGAGTGAGTAGTGGTGTTCTACCAGGCAGGTGTTTCTGTGTCCAAGGTACTGCTCTGCACTGCCCTTGGTTGTCTCCTCCTTTCTGATGACAACCTTTGGCTGTTTATGCTCATCTTGATGGCAGCAGAAGGCCCACTCTCCATGTGTACCTTCACTCATGTTCTATGACATGCCGTGCCCAGCTATCTGCTCTTCTCCTTTGCCCAAGGGACATATGTCTGTCCTGCTAAAAGTAAACACATAAGAGTGATCTGGTGTAGGAGGTAGAGATTGCTGGGAATAGAGGGGAACTGAGTTCAGCTCTGCTACTTAGGGCCTTGTGTCCCTGAGTGAATTACTCACAAACCGCACTGTGCTCCTACACCTCCAGGTTCTCTCCAGAGCAGAATGTCTAGAAATGGATTGGAAGTATTTTGGGTGGTGATTTGAGTAGTTGTGTTCATTTTCTGGCTGAAATTGCAGTGATCTCAGTGAGAGGAGCTCTATGGGAACAGTCTTATTCAACCTGGGGGGAATAGTTTGGAAGAGATGGTTGAATTCCAGAGCAGGTGCAGGCAGGGTAAACATGACCCTGATGTGGGCTGGCCTCTGGGTCAGTGGATCCCCATCCAGTGGGTGGAGGGGACCTCAGCTGGCAAGAATCTGGGCAGGTAGTCCTCCTCAGGTGAATGTTCATTTTGTGCTTGGGGATGGGGTGGGGACAGAATAGGGGATAGAGCTTGACCTCTGGCAGGTGTAGAGTAGCCCTCCTGGCCTTTCCAGGACCTGGTGGTCAATCCAGGAATCAGGGCAGAACTCCATTTGTGGGCTGAAGTAACAGAGTGGAGATGAAGGCAAACACCTCGCAGGTCCCTGGAGATGCCACAGATGCTCTTCATGCACTGAAGACTGTTCCATCTCCCACCTTCTGATGGAGAGAAGACTCCCAACATTCTGCCACAACTCACTCAGGCCTGGTTTCTGCATTGAGACTGGGCTTGGACAGCTGAGGCCTGGCATTGTCAAAGCAGTCTCTCTTCACCTAAGACGACAAACACATTTATTAATTTGTTCAATGAAAATCTATCCAGTACTTACAACATGCCACAGACTATGAGGGACACTGCAGGTACAAAGGAACCAGATATGGTCCTTGTCCCCGAAGGAGTTCAGAAAATTTCCTATACACTTCAGAAAGTGGAAGAATGAGCTGGGACTGATACTTTTTCCTATGAGTTTTGTCATTATGTTTTTTAACGCATGCCCATCATCTGTCCTGAAGAATAATTTCCCCAATGTTGTGATAGTCATAAGTTTAAGTTTTTAGTTTGACTTATTGCTTGCCATCATCTGCAAAGCCCATTCTGGAAATTTGTCAAGGCTTACAAAACACATTCATGTTTCTGAAGCCTACATGCCCAGATGAGTTGTTTTCTGCTCATAAAATATTAAGGATTGTTACTTTCTGATTGAATGCTAGACACCAAATGATAAAACACCCTGTGGTAAGAGCAAAATTGCTTTTTAATGGATTGCTTTTTGCCCATTGCCATATTAAATAAGTTACTAATATGCAAAGCTAATCTGAATACACCCTTATGTTGAAAGAAATGCCTATTTTTCTTCTGAGGAAAATTAGATTTACACACAAATCTATCTTCACTTGGTTTGTATGTGATTATTTTTCTCCATTCCTAAGTTCATAGTTCTGAACACTTCTCAGATTTGTGTTAATAATTAACCTTGAAGACCATGGTCACTTTAGTTCTATAAGCAAGTGCTAAGACCAAAGAAGTACTCAATTAAAAATCTAACTGCTGGGGAGAAAGGATGTTTACAAAAGTAGAAAGATCCAATTTTCTAGAAAGCATTTCTCTTTTGATTTTAATTTTTGGTCTGTTGAGGAAACCCACCTCTGAAATACCAATTATATTTTGGTGTCTAAAGCAAACATATTAATGTTCAATTAATTACTGATACCAAATATTTATGTTCAGTTTTCTAAGGTTGCTTTAAAAAAAAAAACAGCACTATTTTCCTGCTTCCCAATTATTGACATTGCAAGAAGCAAATGTTACCTCTAATAGCGTGGTCCAAAATAATGTCTATTTACATTCTCAGAGCACTTTGTCAAGGTTATTCAGTTGAAGGCTGTAACACTCTCAGGAGTTAATCAAGAGCAATGGCATCTATGTTTATTAGTGAAGGGAAGACTTACTTGCACCTACTGCGTATCTGAGTTTACTGAGCTCAAACTGGAATTTAGGAAGCCAAAAAAAAAAAAAAAGAAAAAGAAAGACAGTGTAGACAGAGGCAAGAAAGTAGAGTGATTGCATTTGGGCATCTGAATGACCCATCTTGGAATCACAGCTCAGTCACTGGCTGTATGCCTTGAGAATGTTTCTTCTCTGTTCTGAGCCGCTGGTTCCTTATTTATGAGATAAATGAGGAACTGTGCTGCACGCAGTTGGTTGGAGCCTGAAATGAGATAATGGATGTTGTCCTAGTTAGAAGATGAGTAATTTTAGGGCCGGATGTGTTGGCTCACGCCTGTAATCCCAGCAGTTTGGGAGGCCAAGGTGGGCTGATCACAAGGTCAGGAGATCAAGACCGTCCTGTCTAACACGGTGAAACCCATCTCTACAAAAAATACAAAATTAGCCGGGCATGGTGGCGGGTGCCTGTAGTCCCAGCTACTTAGGAGGCTGAGGCAGGAGAATGGTGTGAACCTGGGAGGCGGAGCTTGCAGTGAGCTGAGATTGCACCACTGCCCTCCAGCCTGGGCGACAGAGCGAGACTCTGTCTCCAAAAAAAAAAAAAAAAAAAAAAAAAAAAAGAATATGGGTAATTTTTTTTGCAAGTGATAGAACCTCACTTTCCATGAGCAAACTGAAAGTTAGGTGAGGAGGGTGCTGTGGCATAAATGACAGCTGGATCTAGGGCCTGGAACAATGTCCCTTGTTTCTTTATCTTCTATATATTGGTTAAAAGTTTTCTTTTTAACCTGCTTTATTCATGAGGCTCTTTTGTGAGCAAGACATATTTTCTCTTAGTTTCAGTTTCAAAAATTACAAAGAAGAATACTTAGGGACCTGGATGTGGTCACATATCCCCATAGCCTGAATTGGATAATTGGCAGCCCCAGTCAGAAGAACAAGATTGAAGATTGAGGGATGATATGGTTTGGCTGTGTCCCCACCCAAATCTCATCTTGAATTGTAGCTCCCATAATTCCCACGTGTTATAGGAGGGACCCAGTGGGAGATAATCAAATCGTAAGTGTGGTTTCCCCTGTACTGTTCTCATGGTACTGAAAAAGTCTCACGAGATCTGATGGTTTTATAAGGGGAAACCCCTTTTGCTCCGTTCTCATTCTGTCTTGCCTGCCGCCATGTAAGACTTGCCTTTTGCCTTCCACCATGATTGTGAGGCCTCCCCAGCCACGTGGTGCTGTGAGTCCATTAAACCTCTTTTTCTTTATAAATTACCCAGTCTTGGGTATGTCTTTAGCAGCAGCGTGAAAACAGACTATTTCAAGAAAGGAGCAAGTCTTCAAAAGAAGAGTTATATTCCCTGCACACTGACCCTGTGTGTGCAGGGTCAGTGAGAGTGGAGGGGGCAGGGAGTGGTGCCCTTACAGAAAACAGGAGGCATAGCACAGATGAATACACATGTGCTTACTGTCAATGTGAAGTCATTAAGAAGATGCCCAGCTCCTAGCTGGGGAAAAAGAAATGGTAGCTATTTTTTATTGTTGTTATTAAAGCACTTGTCCTGAAAGAAATAATAAATTATTGGCTGGGCATGGTAGCTCACGCCTGTAATCCCAGCACTTTCAGCGGCCGAGGCGGGTGGATCACCTGAGGTCAGGAGTTCGAGACCAGCCTGGCCAACATGGTGAAACCCCATCTCTACTAAAAATACAAAATTAGCCGGGCATGGTGGTGCATGCCTGTATTCCCAGTTACTCAGGAAGCTGAGACAGGAGAATCACTGGAACCCAGGAGGCAGAGGTTGCAGTGAGTCGATATTGCCCCATTGTACTCCAGCCTGGGTGACAAGAATGAAACTCTGCCTCAAAAAACTAAAAACATAAGTAAATAAATACATTGTTGATGAGTGCCAGGAATACTTGATTTCTGGTACAAATGGATCAATTACTCTCTTTTGAATAGGTAGAACCTTACCCAATTATATTCCGATGTCAGGTACAGCTAAGATATTTTATTTTCCTCACTCATTCATTTATTCACTTAATAACTGTAGGGCACCTCTATGAGTCAGGATCAGGGTCACTGTGGACATGGATTTAGAACCCATTCTCCATCCTCAGGCAGCTCACACTAACTGGAGGGTCCTTCACATAAATAAATGATTATAAAACATTTTTCCATTTGTAACATTACATTTGAGTCACATTCATATCTCTGGGAGGCAATACTTCATTCCTTCTGTTTGTGAAGAACTGGGCAGGGCTGGGGAAAGGAGAGTCTTGCAAGGTGTGATAGAGAAGAAGAGATACCTGCACGTGGGGTTCACAAAGACAAAGAGATATCAGGCAGTCATGGCTGTGTGGATGGTGGGAGGCGGCTGTTGAAAATTCCAGGCAGTGAGAAATGGTAGGCTAGAAGACCTGGAGGTTCAAGGGATTCTAGTTCCATGTAGTTAATGCAGAGGGTTTGAGGGAGGAAGCAAAGGGCAGAGGTGCTAGCAGAAGCAGTTGTCAGATCACAAGTATTTGCCATGCAGAGAGTTTTGACTTTACCTTACAGGCAGTGGAAACCAATAGAAGGATTTTAATAATGAAAAGAAATGTCCCAGTTATGGGAATAACACGCTAGAATTAGATTATATTTTCTGGGTGTGACAGACTTGTGAGCATGATGGTGTACAGGCTCACCCCAGTCCTGGCCTAATAATGCAGCAGTTAGGACAATTTCAGCTACAAGTAGTAGAAATCTCAACTCAAAATGTCCTGCCAAGGACATGTATTGCATAAGTCCAGAGTTGTGTAGATCCTAGAGCTGGTTAGCATACCTGTCCGGTGATGTCATTAGGGACCCAAGTTATTTTCATCTTTCTGTTCTGTGTCTGGTAGCAAGATGATGGCTACCTTCACATAGTCAGAGGAACAAGAGGCCATCTCTTCCGGTGGATCTCTTTTAGGTGTGTAGAAGTGTTTTTGGAAGACTTTCAGCACACTTTCTCTCGTGTTTTCTTGGCTGACACTTTGGCGTGTGACTGTGCCTAGCCCAGCCATGGACAGGGAATGGGACTGTCCAGAGGTTGGATTAGCCATTACCCATTACCCATTAGTATAACATACCTCTCCTGAGTATGTTATATGACCACAGGATGTTAGATATCTAAAGAAAACTGGAGTTATGTTAAGATGGGATAAATAATTACTTGAAACCCTTAATTCTGTCTCTTTACAGTCTTTTCTGCAGTGTCCTTACTGATGCAGAAAACCATAACAAATTGAAGCCAGATTACAGTCCTCTGTCATTTTGTCTTCATTGAGAATTGGGGAAATGCACTAGTATCTTTTTAAATGCAGCAATATCAAAGATTGCAGAAAAATGGAAATTGAGGTTTGATTATAATGCATTTCTTCTTTCATCACTAAGATGCTAGGGCTCCACTGCATTACTGTCCTTTTAGCAAATGGATATTTCCACTTCTTCAATTATGCTTTTGTGTGGGGGTTATTCTCAGGTGTATTTTGAAGAGCAGAATGGACATACATTTGTGATTGAAGCCTTGAAACAGTTTTGCCAAATTCACCTGTTTGACCGTTTATAATTAGATTACAATTTAATACTACTGCTCTGGGTTTTTTTTTAAAAAAAAGCAAGAAAGAAACCTACATTACACATTATGAAAATGTTCACCATTTCCTTACTTTGTCTTTCCATGGCAATATTTATTATAATACACCAGTGGTGCCGAGTGGAGCACCTTGTATAATTCATCACCCAGACACCTCTGCTTTAGCAAGTAAAAATAACACAGATGAGCAACCTGAAGGACTGTTTGGAGTGCAGCAGCAATTAGAATAGACACTTAACTCTGGGACATTGGTGTTTTTGTACCTTGAGAAGTACCATCCGTCACTTTCATTCTTGGGGAATACATTCTGGCTAAAGAAAACTCAAGAAAATTAGCTTTTAACAGTTAAATCTCTTAAGGACCTTTTTTTTTCTCCAAATACGAGCTTGTACTCTTGCTTATGCAAAGTGGAATGCTCTCAGATCTTGATTCTGCCCTGAATTTTCACGTTCTACTCTTACATTCTATTTCAACCTTAAGTTTAAAGTAAAACAAAAACAAATGTTCTAAAGCCTAACTTTGACATTAGGAAGTTGCAGACACTTTTGGTCTAAATTAAAATCATCATAGGAGAGAGCATAAAAGTCATTTGAAGGTGATTGTTTTAAATAATTAAAAAACTAATAGTGGGATTTATAATGGTATTCTCCAAGGCAGGAGAGAACTTCATGTAAAATTCTTGCATTCAGGATCAGAAGCCCTTGTGATAGGCATAGTTGATACGAGGACTTTTGCCATGATGGTTAACCTTCATCTTGCCCCTTACTGTCCCCATCTGTAACATAGGGATATCATCATCAGTCATCATCAGTCATGATCGTCATCATTCTCATCTGAGAATCAGGTGAGGAAATGTTAGTTAAAGTGCTTTGTTAACTGTAAAATGCACTATTTGTGGAAGAAATAAATTAACTTGAATATGCACAAGCTTAGAGATACCAAGATGCATCTTGCAGCAAAGCCAACTGTTTCTGTGCATTTTGTGGATATCCTAAGAATCTGAAGTTCTGTGGTGCTTTGTTTGTGTTTCAGAAAGCAGTACTTGGAGATACTTCTGAAATTGCAGGAAAATGTTCATCCCCATAGGAAGTGGTTACAGAGAGCAACTAAACTTGGCAGTTTAAAAGGAGACTATACTAAGCACATCTCAATTATAAATGGATGAAAATAATATTTATCATAGACTTTTTAAGGACTTATTCCTTTTTACATTATTTCTGAAAAGATATAGCTGGCCCCAATCAGCATCCATTCCTGTTGTCTCTTAGAGGTCATGGCTAAGAGGTGAGCCTGGTAGATTTGCCCAAGCTGGTAATGAGAGATACAGACCTGTTGAAAGGCACAGGCTCCCATTGTCTTCTTAACGCCTTATAGAAACACTTCTGGTTCATCTCAAGCATCGTTTGGGTGACTGTTCTGATTCCTCGCCTCATCTTCACTGTGGGAGGGCATTACAGCTCCCTCAGAACTCCTGTAGCACTTTATCTGTGTCTCTTTGTTATGCTTTCTACTGTTTATTAATACATACCCTTTTCTTTTTCTTTCATTCCTGGCCTCACTTCCCCTAAAAATTGGGGTGGTTTATAGGAAACCTTGAAGATAATAAAAAATAATGATAAATGGTAAAAACCACGGCAAATAAAAAGTAAAATGAAAAAATGGATGATGAAAAGTACATGTTACAAAAGCCTTTGCATTTGCTAGCAGTGGACACTGAATTTGGCTCAAATATTCATTTGTCTCAGGGAAGCAAGAGGAGCTTGAAAATATGAAACAGGTCAGTGCTCCATCTCACATGAATAAGCTCAATGTGAAAACCCAGATGCTAATTTCAATTTAAACCCAATAATGTTAAAATAGTGTTTCATAATATTTAATATATTCATTAAAGATGATGGACTAGGACACACTCTTATCATTAAAAAAAAAAATCTGCCAGAAAGTGACAAGCTAGCATCATTCTTAAAATAAAGATACCAAAACAGCTTTCCCATCAAAAACTGAGACTAAACTGGGATGCTATATGATGCTGATTATTATTCACCATTACTATTTCTCCTTGATCTGGAAAACTTACAAACACATTAGAGGTAGAGTTCATCGATAGAAACAAATATTTTAAACTGTAGGTAATAAGACTTTCTATCCCTGAAGAAGCAAAGGATAAGCTAATGTGGTTTAGAAGAGTAGCTAGATAGTGAATAAACGAAACTTAGTAGATGTTCCATATGTCAGCAATAATTATAAAATGGAAAAAAAAGATTATAACAGTAGCAATGAAAATGTAAACTACTTTGGAATAATCCCAATGGAAAACATCTTGGAAACTTAGGTGAAGAAAACTGTAAGACTTTGCCAAAATATACAATAGACATTTCAAATAAATAGAGAAGCAAAATGTTTTCTTCCTGGTTAGAAAACAATATGCAAAGGTTGCAAGTTCCTCTACATTAGTGGACAGGCTCATATCACATTCCAAAGTATCACTGGGAATTAGGATGGAAACTTCACGGGATGACTCTAGACTTCATTTGAAAGAATAAGGGCATGAGAATTGGTAAGGGAGAATTGATATTTTTTTTTGGCAAGAAAGTTCAAAGATTTCTTTTTTTTTTTTTTTTTTTTTTGGAGACAGGATCTCACTCTGTTGCCCAGGCTGGAGTGCAGTGGTGTGATCTCGGCTCACTGCAACCTCCGCCTCCTGGGTTCAAGCGATTCTCTTGCCTCAGCCTCCCGAGTACCTGGGATTACAGGAATGCACCACCACACTGGGCTAATTTTTGTATTTTTAGTAGAGATGGGTTTTCACCATGCTGGCCAGGCTGGTCTCGAACTCCTGACCTCAAGTGACCCGCCTGACTCAGCCTCCCAAAGTGCTGGGATTACAGGTGTGAGCCACTGCGCCTGGCCAAAATAACTCATTCACCCAGGTTCATCTATAGTTATGCCAACATTTTGCCACATATGTTTTATCATTCACCCTCTTTTTCTCTCCTTCTCTTCACACACACACACACACACACACACACACACACACACAGTCATGTATTGTTACAAAAATGTTTCTTTTAGCCAAAAAAATTGTTTTAAAAAATATAACTTGAAGAAAAATTCAAAATAGAAGTATTTAAAATCAGTTCTAACTCCGGCCTCTTGTGTCTGAAAGAGCAAAAGGTGCTGGAGCCCTGCCTGGCAGGAGGCTTGCCCGGGAGGGCTGTGGAGGAGGAAGGGACTCTGCTGCCACAGAGTGAGGCTCCATCTGGAAGTGGTGTCCAGAGCCTGGCTGAGCACCTCTGCTTGCCCTTAGAGATCTGAGAGAGACGCACTGCCGCCTAATTCTTCCCAAAGCAGGTCAACGGTGTTGCTGTCAGGGACCTTCCTTGGATGAAACTTACATCCACCTTCCCTTCTGGTCTTTTCCAATGCTAGTGGATGTCGTTTTCCTAAAATCCCAGTGGTTATATACATGAGGAAGTTTAAATTCAGGATACAAGCATCTTATAGCAGGAGAAACATCATAAAACAAAATCACAAATATAACAGGATTCCAATCAATGACGGAGGCCATTTGCAGGATGACATCATCACGTCTCATCAGTAAAATGAGTATTAAAGTGACTAGTCTCATTCCAAAGGTGTAAAGTGCAAAAACCATCTTTCCCTAGTTCCAGAGATGCCAGTCTCTTCTAAATCTCAAGCTTGGACCCACGGGTTATTTTTTTTTTCCAAAGCAGTAATCACTGTTCTCAGCATTTCTTGTAGGATCGTGATGTACCAGGCCATACCCTTCAAAGTCCTCATAAGTTGTAAAAGTAGAATATTAGTATGGAAGGCAGCATGAAATTGGAGGGAAAGTATAAGCAGAATGCTAGAAGATTCTAATAGATAGTAAAATAAACTAACCTCACTAAAATAAAGTAAAACAACAGAAATCAGGATGTCAAACTGCACTGAAAAGATGATGAAATGCTAACTGTAAAGTTTTCAAAACCAAAATATACATGAGTGAAACAAACAAATGGAAAAAAAATAAAAAAACAAAACAGAAGCATACCCACAGCTAAAGTCTTTAAAACACTTTTTGCAGACACTGTGGCTTCCTACAGTGTCAGTTTTTCCCTCAGGGAGTCTGCAGTAGTTAGGGGAGCAGCTTGAGGACAGAAAGCTCTAGAATGCTTTTATTTCTCATCCTTAACCTGGAGCCTTTGGTTGTAAAGATTTACCTGGTGGTTGGAATAGATTAGAAGGTGGATGCCAATCAGGTCTCCCAGCCTTGGGCACTTGAACTTCAATCAAAAACCACTTGCTGATTTTGGCTGGGCAGGATGGCTTACACCTGTAATCCAACCACTTTGGGAGGCTGAGGCGGGCAGATTACATGAGGTCAGGAGTTTGAAACCAGCCTGGCCAACATAGTGAAACCCTCGTCTCTACTAAAATACAAAAATTAGCCAGGTATGCTGGTGGGAGCCTGTAATCCCAACTACATGGGAGGCTGAGGCTGGAGAATCGCCTGAACTCGGGAGGCAGAGGTTGGAGTGAGCCAACATCATGCCACTGCATCCCAGCCTGGGCAACAGAGTGAGATTCCATCTCAAAAAAAAAAAAAAAGGAATTTGCTTTTTTAAAAAGAGGGAGACCACTGCCATTTATTGGATGCTTTCTATGTAACAGAGAATTCCCAGAGTCAATAATAAGCACACGTTACCTCTGTTAACCCCTGCAACATCTTCATTTACAAATAAGGAACCTGAGATGAAGGGAGAGGTTAAGTAGACTGAGGTGATGCAGGTATTAGATGGAGTGAATTATTGTGAGATTCTCCTGTGCTGTTTGCCCTTAACTATGGTGCAATGCTATCACCCACTGCTTTCACTTTCTTTGTAAATATCCTGTCTTCCTTACAGACTGTAAGCCCTTTGAGGACTAGACTCTTAGTGAATTCAGCTTCCATCTTAACTTCTAGCACAGTGTTTTACATGTAGTCTGCATTTAATAAGCGTTTGTTGCATGAATAGAGTAGCTTTCTGTTTGCTTCAGGGTCAGTTCCAAAAATATTCTTCAGACATTGCTAAATTTTTAATAAACTTTGCATTTTACCCTGAAACCTCTCAAACAACATTCTTGTTTTCTTCTAAAATAAGTGAGAATGAGTTATACTAAAGGGCTCCTCTTCATCCCTCTCCCTCCCGCTCCTCCTCAGGGTAATTTGGTTGAGAAGGCCCACTGAGTCCAAATTTGAATTAGAAAATATCAACACTACAGTATGTTCCCCCAAGAGGAAAAAAATGATCTATTTTCAATCTTGTGTTTCAGAACACACAGCTGTGTGACTTCCTAATTTATTATATCCCCAACTGCCTCCAGACAGCTCTCAGCTTGCTGCTTTTTTTCTACCCACTCCCGCTCTATGGGAAATGGGTTCGACTTTAACCAGCACAGAGTTCAATCTCTGTTCTAGGCAGGACTCCAGTGAGGACTCCGAGAGGCCAGTAAACAGCACTTTTCCAAAGATGCCTCCTCCTCAGCAGGTGCTCCTATCCACCAGGACTTGATGGGAGCCAGGTCCCTTCAGATGGTGGCTGTAGGAAGCCAGGCTATCAGGGGCAGCTCCAGCTGGCAGGTCTTCTGGCTGCCTGTCTCTCTGGAGTGAGCTCGCTTTCTTCCTCCCAGAGAGGGCTTTCTGGCCTGTCTGCAGGGAGCAGGACACAGTTTTAGATCCCAGCAAACAAACCCAATGTGGCTTCCCTTAATTTGGCTTCCCAAGGGTTTTGGCCGCAAGAACAGATTGCAGCTGTGGCCTGAGCATCTTTAGAAGTGTGAATCACATTTTTTTTCCCTGAAGAAGCTATTTTGAGCTTTATAATTACATATTTCCATGTTTTTTTTTATAGAGTGAGTAAGGAGAATGACTTGCATTTTTTTAAATGGAAATCTGCTGGTTTCTTTGCTCTTCTGTCTTGTATAACTTAGTCCAGTGATTCCTGACTTGGCTGTGTATCAGATTCACTTTGGGGAGCTTCTGTGAAATGCAAATTCCTGCAGGGGAATCCAGAAATCAGCAAGCTTAATAGACTCTGCAGTTGATTCCTAGGCAGCCCGATGGCCCCCTCCCAAGTTTGGACCTACCCTTCCCTGGGAATTCAGATCATGGCTAAGTGGATATTACTCTGGGGTGGCAAGAGCCACTCACAGTGCCTAAGAGAGATTAAGCATTAGAAGACCTGGATTCTAGTTCTGGCTCCACTACCAAGCAGCTCTAGACAAGTGTCTCCTGTATGGTCCTCATGTTCCTAGGCGGGGAAATGCTGGGATTGTCCAGGTGGCCCCCAGCTCTAAAGCTACTGTGGTACTCCTTGTTATGTAACCAATATGCTGACTGTAACCACTACATTAGTTATACTTGAACTTTGTTGTCACCTGTTCTTGAGTGACATATGTATAACCTGAACTGACTATTCCATTTTGTACAAGAGAATTATGGAAATGCCCACAGGCCTTGTTATAAAGGGCTCCTGGGGAATAGGCAACCTCAAAGCACGGACCAAAGGACTTACCTCTCCCATGCAGGTGTGACGACTCTCAGCTTTTGGACAGAGAATTAAGCAAAATGGGCTTTTCTGTTTGTTTGTTTGTTTGTTTGTTTGTTTGAGACAGGGTCACCCGGGCTGGAGTGCAGTAACGCAGTCACAGCTCACTGCAACCTCTGCTTCCCAGGTTCAAGTGATCCTCCCATATCAGCCTCCCAAGTAGCTGGAACCACAGACACATGCCACTACACACAATTTTTACACAGACACACTACTCTACACTATACCAATTTTTTTTTGGTAGAGACAGGGTTTCACCATGTTACCCAGGCTGGTCTGGAACTCCTGGACTCGAGCAAGCTGACTGCTCTGGCCTCCCAAAGTGCTGGGATTACAGACATGAGCCACCGTACCTGGCTGTGAAATATGCTTTTCTCATTCTGCATGTTTTTCTCCTTTGAAATATCAACCATCAGAATCTTTTGAGAGGAGTTAAACATTAATTTTGCCAGAACAGATATAGGAAGTGGTAAAAAAAAAAATCCCTCTGTTTTCATCATTTTCTGCCCAACTGATTTCTCCCCCTCTATTTTCCCATGCAAGCATCCTCTGGGCTAGGTTTGGTGGCCACTCCATTATAATGCCAGTGCAGCTTTTGGGGACTGTGGCAGGTGCCTGGCCCATCTTTACGTGGAAACAGCGGTATCTAAATAAACCTGACACATGGAGGAAGAAATGAACCTAAATGCAAATGCTATTAACATTTCTGCAAGTCATACCTATCCCCAAGAAGCATAGCTCTCATGTTTCTTAGTCTTTTATTGGCAATTTAATTGTTTGAGAAATTGCTTTTTACCAGAGTCCGTAAGAATCCTACCAAAATGCACTGACTTATTTTCCCATCGACTTGCCCGGGTGAGAACTCAGCTTGCTGCTTTTCTGTGTCATTACCATCATCAGAAGAAACTTCAAATGTAAGGCCTCGCAGGGTTCATTGTTTTCATTATTTTTTTTGTTTTTGTTTTAGATCAAGAGTTTACCTTAATGCACATCGTATTAGTCCATTTTCATGCTGCTGATACCTGTGACTGGGTAATTTATAAAGAAAAAGAGGTTTAATGGACTCACAGTTCCACCTGTCTGGGGAGACCTCATAATCATGGCCCAAGGCAAAAGGCACGTCTTACCTGGCAGCAGGCCAAGAGGGAATGAGAGCCAAGTGAAAGGGGTTTCCCCTTGTCTCGTGAGACTTGCTTATTCACTACCATGAAAACAGTAAGGAGGAAATTGCTCCCGTGTTTCAGTTATCTCCCACTGGGTCCCTCCCACAACACATGGGAATGATGGAAGCTAAAATTCAAGATGAGATTTGGGTGGGGACACAGCCAAACCATATCACATATACTGTACCAAATTCTCCTAGGTGATTTTATTATAAAAATGAACTAATACGCATATTACTTTATATCCTGATTCTTTTCACTTAATGTGTTAGAGACATCTTTCAGAAAATATGTTCATTCAAAAGTTCATTCAAACTTTTAATAATTGCATAGTATTCCATTTTATAGATAGGGTCATTTTGTGGATATGGATATAAATAGTATTTCATTTTATGAAAGTATGTCTCCCATTGACAGGTATTTATATTGTTTGCAATTTTTTTTCTTATAAAGAGCACCGGGATGAACATTTGCTCAGTAAATACACTTAACATGTTAGCACTGGGGCTATAGCAGTGAAATAATCTGACTACTATCCATTCCCTTAAAGAGCATATATTTTAGTTGGAGAAAGGTAATAAACAGATAAAGAAGTATGTCATATGGTGAAAAATGGAGAAAAATGCAGCAGAAAAGGGAGGACTCATGAGATTGCCTCATTGAGATGGTGACATTGATCACAATTATGAATGAAGTGAGGAAGTGGGCCAAGATAGTGTCTGGAAAAGAGTTTTCCAGAAAGAGGGAACAGCCAATGTGAAGACCCTGAGGCAGGAGTGTTTGCCATGAGAAAGTAAGAACACAGAGGCCAGTGGGGCTGAAGCAGAGAGAACCAGGGAAAGATAGTATAAGAGTAGGCTAGAGGGTGGCCGGGCACAGTGACTCACACCTGCAATTCCAGCACTTTGAGAAGGTGAGGAAGGTGGATCACGAGGTCAGAAGTTCAAGACCAGCCTGGCCAACATAGTGAAATCCTGTCTCTACTAAAAATACAAAAAAAAAAAAAAAAAAAAAAAATTAGGCGTGGTGGCAGGCGCCTGTAGTCCCAGCTACTTGGGATGCTGAGGTGGGAGAATCGCTTGAATTCGGGAGGCAGAGATGGCAGTGAACTGAGATCACGCCGCTGCACTCCAGCCTGGGTGACACAGCAAGACTCTGTCTCAAAAAAAAAAAAAAAAAAAGTGGGATGGTGGGTGAGAGATTCTTCAGGTGCTTGTAGGCCCTTGTAACCAATTTGGCTTTTACTCTACGTAGAAAGAGAAGCCGTTGGGCAGATTGAGCATACATGTGACATTATGTGATTTATAATTTCAAAGAATTGTGTGGCTCATGTATTGAGATTAGACTGTGGGAGAGCAAGTTAATATACCCCACTACAATAAGCAAGTTGAGAGATGATGGTGTCCTGAACCAGAGTGTTAGCAGTGGCAGTACTGTAAAAAGGTTGGATTCAGGATTTATGTTAAAGGTAGAGCCAACAGGATTTTCCTGGATGATTGGATGTGGAGTGGGGAATAAGAGGAGTGAAGGATGGATGACTAGAAGCAGGGAGTCATCACTGAAATTGATGGAGGGGCATAGAAGATTAGGAGTTCTGTTTTGTTTGTGTTAATTTTGAGATGCTGTTTAGACATCTAATTGGAGATGTTGATTTCATAGTTGGATATATGTGTCTGGAGTTTAGGGGATGATTTTGAATTGGAGATGTAACTTTGAGCATCAACAGTATATAGATAATAGTTAAAGCTATGAGACTGAATGAAAGCATTGAAGAGGCCCTAGAATTGATGCCTAGAGCACCCCAAGATTTAGAGGCTGGGGAGAAGAGGAGGCTGGGGAAGGAGTTGAGTGGGGCTCCCAGGGGCATAGGAAGAAACTCAAGAGAAAGTTCAATTCAAGGTGAAGGAGAGATTGCAGTGTCATATGCTGCAGGTGATGGGGTTAAATGAGGACTGAGAACTGACCATTGATTTTTAGTAAGGTGGAGGTCAGGGTGACCTGAACAAGAGTGATTTCACCGGAGTGGGGGAGGAGAGAGCCCAACTAGATGGGTTAAGAGCAAGTAGGGGCAGAGGCAATGGGACTATTAGTAGAGATGCATGCTGCTCAGTGTGGGCCACTGATGGCTGTGAGGAGATAGTGAAGAGGAGGCTTTTAGAAACATTTACACCATTTGACATCACCACAGCCTTCAAGCCCATGATCCTTTTTCTAGTGGTTAATTTTCATTATACTTTTTCAAGAGTGTCTGTTTCTAATCAACAAGTTAGACATTGAAAACAAACTGGTTTTCACTGCAGATAGTTTGAGAGGTACTGATACAGATGACCATTTAAAGGGGCTTTGCTTCACAGTGATACAGAAAATAAGGTAGAAGCTGAAAGGGAAGTTATAGTCAAGTGAGATTTTTTTATTGGTGGGAGAAATAACAGCATGTTTATATGCTCCTGGGGAAGATTTGGTAGAGAGGGAAAATTTGATGAAGACGGAGACCTATATCTCTGTCTTTACACACATCTTAATAATTTCCTTAGCCAAGTGTCTACCAACAGATTCTGAATTAGATAGTGCACACTTTTAGTATTTTTAAATTCACAGGTAATATATGCTCAATGCTAAAAAATTTAAACATGTAGAGAAGCAGAACCAATAATTATCTATTATTCTGCCACCAAGAGGGATTCATATATACCTTTGTACGCTTTTTGGGCATTAATACAGGATTAAAGCGTGTATTTTTAAATATTCTATTATTTAATATATTGTAACTATCCACGATAACAAAAATATAATTGTATCATTATTTAATGTCTGCTTAGTGT
Source organism: Homo sapiens (assembly GCF_000001405.40). Classification (NCBI taxonomy): domain Eukaryota; kingdom Metazoa; phylum Chordata; class Mammalia; order Primates; family Hominidae; genus Homo; species Homo sapiens. Next base: position 37,078,795 of record NC_000007.14, on the reverse strand, counting down.
TTCATTGTGTGTATCTACTATAATTAATTTGACTAGACTCATTGCAGGATATTTAAGGATATTTCCTTTTTTCATGAGAAATAGCACTGTGATGAACATCCTTGTAATTCCATGTGATTATTTCCTGTAAATTAATTCTTAGAAGAAGTTCTATGTCAAATGGTTTGAAATCTTAAAGCTTTTTATTTATTTACCAAATTAACCCCTAGAAAGGCTGAAGCATTTGCACTTCACAGAGCAGTCATGTAGATTCAGATAAAAGGCAGTTTTCAAACTAATTAAAAAATTGGAGGTAGAGGAAGAAACCTAACTGAGATGGTGGGATTTGGGGTGATCATATATAGGGAGATATTAAGATAGATGGATCATTAATAGATATAGACATGAGAGAGACTTACAGATGTAGGCATGGTAGATTTATGCATATTTATGATAGAGATTTATAGGTAGAGATTTATAGATAGGGATTTATGGATGCTCTTTCTTCATCTACACTATAGCCATATTATTACTTTCATGTGCCCTAGGTACTTTTGCCTTTGTGGGTCCCTTCCTTCATAAAACAGTATTAAAACTTAACATTTTATGACTGCATTATTATAAAGATGAATATAATCGTGCCCGGATTCATTATTATATATTCATTATTCTATTTACGTTTTCCTTCTGATTTAAATTGAACTTAAAATATTTTCAGGGGCCTCTGAAAGCATCATGGGCCTGCAGCACTGTGGCTGCTGGGCCTCCTGACTAGGTCATCCTGATTCTGCTTCTCTGTACTCTTTATATTTTTGATAATGAATAGACATTACTTATGACATAAAAAATAAAAGAGGAAAATATCAAACTAAATGTATAAATATTCATGCTTCCTATGTAGGTTTCTTTCCCTTTACTCACGAAGGCAGGAGGTACATTCCCCTTTGCTCGTATGCTCTGGATCATTTCTCCCTAACAGTGGGTTAGACTGGAAGGCCTGGCTCCTGCAATCAAGAAAAAGTGAAAATGCACTAGCTCCTCTCTCCACCTGTGGCTCCTCCTGACCCCTGGGGTCACCATTTACCCCGTTGTTGGCGCCTGAAACTTGCTGCCATCTTCAGTCACTGCCTCACATCCACAGTCAGCCAGCGGCCACGTCCTGTTAATTCAGTACCCATATTTCTTAAATCTCCTGATTTTTCTGCATATGTACTCCCATCACTCTAATTCAGATCACCATTGTATGGCCTGCATACTTGCCTCCTCCAATCCGCCCCTGCTTCATCCTGCAACTGTGTATTTTTTCCTACAGCATTGTCAGACCTGTCTAAAACTCCCATTGGGCCATGATTCCTCTTAGGCTGAAGCCCAAACTTCTTTGCAACACCACCACGCCCCAGAAATCTCAGTGTGACGTGCTTCCTCTTCACCCTGGGCCATGGCCCACACTGGGTCCTCATTCCAGAATGTCCTTTCCATCCCTGTGCTTGTACAATTCAGACCCACTTCTCAGCCTCTCTCCCTGAGGGCACAGCTCCCTGAGACCTGGGCTTAATCCTGCCCTTCGCCCTGTTGAGGCACATCTCACACTGTATTGAATTGCATATTTGCATATCTTTCTTTGCAGCTTTTCTCCCGCCAGCTCCATCTGCCCCATAATTAGTATCAGTTCCATCCCAATTCTAGTATAAGATTGTCCTTTAATCCAACATGTATGTAAAGCTTGGAGAGGCTGCACGGGTTGGAGCGGGGCAGCTAGTGGCTACCATACTGAACTGGACAGAAGACAGTTTTGTTAGAAAGTTAAATTCTTTGTTGTCGGGGGCATAATTGGGACAGTAAATAATCCGTAAAATCTCCCAGTCAGCACAGGCAGTTACATGAGATAGTAGAAGGCAATGGGAAGGCTCTTAGCCGCAGTGCCAGATACACAGCCTGTGCTCAGCAGATATTGCCTGTCACTATCATCCTGATGGAGGCAGCATTGGGAACCTGGCTGGCCAGAAGTGGGGGCTGTCTGTGGTGGAGCGTTGTGCACCCTCAGGATGATACCATCACTGGCAGTCGGAAGGAGGTGAGAAACCAGCAGATGGGTCCTGCTGCTGCTAGATACTCACCAATGGAACTCAAGATCTTTGTTCTCTTTATGTGGGATGGAGCCCCAGATTCTTTGCTGCCCCTGACCTTGAGGAAAAGTTAGAATCATAGCCAATAACACTTACTGAACTATTTTGGCTAACTAGAGGTTTGGGTTTTCAGGTGATAAGGAAACAAATTTAAACAGCCAAACAAGATCAATCTAACCTTCTGGTTGTTGACTGTGTTGTTTTTCCCTTAAAACACTGGTCATCGTGGCTGGTGAGATGGGCAAAAGAGACCGTTTCCTGAACCTTTATTCTTACTTCATCGGATCCCATGCCACATGGTTGTCTGTATTTATGCTTAAGATAATACTATAATTTCTGTCATTTTTGAGTATTCCTCTTTAGTCATGACCTTGAGTCCTTTGATTTCTAGCTTTGAGTAGTTCATGAGATGTGGTTGTGGAGGCTTTTTATCTCAAGAAATAGGAAAAAAAATAACTGGAAGGAGGCAGTCAAATGGATTACTCTCTGGAAGTAATTGAGAATAGTGACTCATCAGGGGGTAACGAAATGACTTTAGTGAATTTTGGATAGTGGTTTCAAAATGGAATAAAATAATTTTTAGAGTGCCTCACAAGTAGCAAAGGGAAGTGTTTCATTAAATCAGTTTTACATTCATCTGCCTGTGTACTGGGATGTAGTACAAATGTGTTTCATACTGTAGGTCACAGCTGAAAGAGTTTAAAAAGTTCCCCTCAACCCCCACCCCATTATAAGGCAATTCACCTTGAAATTACTTACTCAACAGAGCATTGTCTGTTTTCACATTAATGAATGCATTACACATTTTTTTATTCAAATTCATTATTTTGTGTCAGGGTTTATCTTAAGGGATGAGTTGCCTGGCACACAGTGATACAAGGAAGGGTGATCATCATCTGTCACCATGCAATTCCTGCTCACAGCCTTTCTGTTGGTGCCACTTCTGGCTCTTTGTGATGTCCCCATATCCCTAGGCTTCTCCCCCTCCTAGAAGGGCTTCTTGATAGATTAGAAAATAAGAATGAGTGACATTTCCTATGTGCATATAAGAAGGAGCCACAAGACATGTCTTTTAAATAAAAGGACAGTGTCCATCCTTTTAGCTGCCGAATAGAACCTTGGTCTCATCCTCCTGGAGCTAGGCCTTAAAACAGCTTCTGTGTTTCTCATTTGTCTCAGTGTTTTGCCAGGGTTTTATCGGAAAGATAATGTTCCGTTTAAAATATTTCCTAATGAGGCCGGGCGTGGTGGCTCACGCCTGTAACCCTAGCACTTTGGGAGGCTGAGGCGGGTGGATCACGAGGTCAGGAGATCGAGACCATCCTGGCTAACATGGTGAAACCCCGTCTCTACTAAAAATACAAAAAAAAAAAAAAATTAGCCGGGTGTGGTGGCGGGCGCCTGTAGTCCCAGCTACTTGGGAGGCTGAGGCAGGAGAATGGCATGAACCCGGGAGGCAGAGCTTGCAGTGAGCAGAGATCGTGCCACTGCACTCCAGCCTGGGCAACAGAGCGAGACTCCATCTCAAAAAAAAAAAAAAAAATTCCAAATGAAAGCCATCAACTACTATCTACGTAAAAGCCATGTATCTAAAACCCAGGCAGAAATGGCTGGCTAAGTGTTACACACCTTTTATTGCTCGTGGACATCTTCACACACAATCCAGGGAATGGGAATAAGTGCGGCATGAGAAAGCAATTTCAGGGTTCCGACTAATAAGAAAATGATTGAGTAGTCATTCACCCCCATTCAAGCCAAGGTCTGTGGAAAAACCCTTACTGCTTTGGGCCTTGAAAGTCTCTGTAATCTGGCTTCTGCCTGTTTTTTGCCTTAAATTTCTAATGCAATTCAAAAGAAAACTAACAACCAAAATCAGCTTGCATTTTGCCCATTTGCAACTCCCTAAACAAGCTAAACCTCCTCACTTCTGACTCTGCTCTTTGGTACGTTCTCTCCCTAGCTGCTTCTGGTCTAATATTAACCCCACATTCATAGCCGGGTTATTGCCACCACCACACAAAACTCTGGGGGCCCTGGATCCAGGCTAAGTATAATTCAGTGCACTTCTGTGGGGCACCTACTGTGTTGCAAGCATGATACTCAGATAGGACAGCAAAGACAAAAGGATTCTTGTCTTCATCCCCTCGCCCTCCTGGGAACCCAGGCCACAGAGTTATTAGGCAAATACCTACTGGACATCAGCTATGTCTCAGATCTCATTCCAGGCACTGGGAGTTTATTGATCTGGTGAAGATAACCGAAAAGTGAATCATGAGTTATTTCTTATTTGTTTATATTCTAACACCATTTTAAGCTACTGAGCAAAGAGTAGTTCTCTAGAAGCAAAACAGAATATTAATAAAGCTGTTTTACCCACAGTAATCCTTTGATTTCTACCACTGTTTAGACAAGTGACATAGCATAGATTTTATTTCCAAATATTTTCTATTATATTTAAATTATACTATATATTTATACCCTATATATGAATTTATGCATATATAAAATATATAAATGTATTTACATATATACATAAATATATAGTATTATATTGATATATAAATATATTTATATACTTAAATATATATTTTTGCATACTATATATTTATACTATATATTTAATTATACTGTATTATAACTTTTGAGAAGATCAGTATTTTCATTTTTTAAAATAGTCACATAATTGTTCTTGAATTCTTTTCTGCCATTTCCCTACTTCTCCTAAAATATCACACAAAATCTGGACTGTATAAGATACATAGAAATATATTTTAATATTATAAAATCAATACATTAAAAATTTTAGTGGTCAGGTGCAGAGTGGCTCTTTCCTGTAATCCCAATACTTTGGGAGGCCAAAGCCGGAGGGTCTCTTGAGGCCAGAAGACAAGTCTGGGCAACACAGCAAAACCCTGTCTCTACAAAAAATAAAATAAAATTACCTGGACATGGTGGTATGTGTCTGTAGTCCTAGCACAGACCCAGGAGTTCAAGCATCACAGTGAACTATGATATGTTCGTGAAGGATACAGTGCCACCGTACTCTAGCCTGGACGACAGAGCAAGACCCTGTCTCTAAGGAAAAAAAAAAACATGCACACACACACACACACACACATACAAAAACAACAATAAAAACCAGATGCTTGTCCGCTGTTGAAAATGTAGAAGTTTTAGAAAATGGGAATGATATTTAAAGGAGAAAATTAAAGCCCCTTACTATTCTGCCACCATGAGATAACAGTGTAGGCATAGTGATGTGTTCCCTTTTAGCCTCTACTGTATCTATATTTGTATCCTCACATTATCTGCATAAATACATGTGTTTGCATATACATGTATATATAAAAAATGTGGGATCATACTGCCTCTGAAGTTCAGAATCCTGGTTTCTTTTTTCCTTCCCTCAAAATTATCATCAGTAACTTCTTTCTATATCTTAAAATATCCTTCAAGGGCATATTCTTTAATGACTAGATAGCATTATGTTCAAAAGATGTCTATTTCTATATATTGAGATTGTTTCCAAATTTTTACTGTAAAAAACACCTCTGGCTATATCTACCACCAGAATTAACGCAAAGGATTCATTTTTAATGTTTTACTTAGAAGAAATTCCTAGAAGTGAAATTGCTAGTCAGTGGGCATGTATGTATAGTTACTTAGATAGATGTTGCCTAACTGCCCTCTGAAAAGTTTCCTTTGATGTTTCTGGCCCCTTAGCAGGGATATGATAAAATTATAGCAACAATAAAAGAAAACCAAGAAACCTCTTTGTCAACTTGAGAGTTCAAGGTATTGTCTCATTCTTGGCTCTTTTATGAGAAAGGTTAAACATTTTTTGACATATGTATTGTCCATGTGTATTTTGTGTGTCCAAATGGTTGGTTCTGTTGTAATTGCATGTGAGTGGTACTCGCCTTATGTTTTATGAAGAAGAGAAACCAGTGGCACCCCCTCACTGCAGGCTCCTCCTAGTTAATGGTGACGCATGTTATTGATGTAGGAACTGAAGGTTGACTCTTTAAGTAATAAGGGGAATGGATGATTCCTCATTTGGGATGTGTATGGAGTGGTGGTTTTACTTACGTAGTTTACTGCTTTAAAGATATTAAAATAGAGGAGCTATATTGATTTGCATTCCGAGTTCATAAGAAGTTAAGTATTGAGGGACCTATATTGTGTTTTCATGCTGCTGATAAAGACATCCCCAAGACTGGGCAATTTACAAAAGAAAGAGGTTTAATGAACTTACAGTTCCACATGGCAGTCACATCGTACGTGGATGGCAGCAGGCAAAGAGAGCTTGTGCAGGGAACTCCCATTTTTAAAACCAGCCGATCTTATGAGACTTATTTACTATAATGAGAACAGCACAGGAAAGACCCACCCCCATGATTCAATTACTTCCCACCAGGCTCCTCCTACAACACGCGGGAATTGTGGGGGTTACAAATCAAGATGAGATTTTGGTGAGAATACAGCCAAACCATATCAGGGCCCAAGCCCAATTTTCAGAGGAGACCCTTTTTTGGTGCTTCATGTACTTTAACACTCTTTGTTTTTTGAATTGCCGAAAGCCTATAGAGTAGTTGGATTAGTAGCTAATTTTTGTAAGTTTTAGATTATTTTTGAGTTAATACTTTTAGATTTAAAATAAAGAATGCTCCTCCTCATTCTCAAGAAGAACTTGTTTACTCTTGAGCTTCAGCTCCCAGCTGAAGAGCTCTCCTGAACCTTTTTAATTGAGTATACTAATATTATATATATTGTGTGCGTGTGTGCACGTGTGCGTGTGTGTGTATTTAAAAGCTAGATAATATTCCAAAGAAATGTCTGACCTAAGATAATGTTTGAAATGGGAGCATTAACAAAGTTAGTTTTGCCTGAAGGGAATTTTTCTTATTTTAATCTACTAGCAAAATTAAAGAGCCTGGGGGATGATATTTTTAGCTATTGTTAGTAAATAAAATATGGTAGCATGAGTTTTGTTTTTTTCAAGTTACACCAAATAAAGGAAGATGTTATCAAATTGTATTGTCTTCCTTACTTGTTGAATGTACTTAAATTTTTTAGCTTAATTAAACCTGGGGAGTGGGGAAGGTAGAGACTATGTGTACACCACCATTGAGCTCTCTCTGGAGTTGAATTCTCCTTAGGAGATTTGAATCAAAACACCCAAAATTGATTCTGTTCTTGAACTATAGTCCCACTCAAGACTCTGAAACACAGTTATGAAATCTCTTGCTAGTTTCTTTTTGAGAGCGTGAGGCCAGCTTTGGGAAAAATACATTTTTTTTCCTAAGATTGTGGGCATGGTGAAGAATATGAGGTTTGAATGTGTAGGGGTGGAGGTGGAAGGGATGAATAATTTATTCTCTTTCTTTTCTACCTACTATTCATGTAAATGGAACCCTACAATGTGTAGCTTTTTGTGTCTCTCTTCTTCCACTCAATATACTGGTTTAATGCCAGTTGAGATTCAGTTTTCTTTGTTTCTTTTGTTCTCTTTTTAAGTCAGAGTCATCGAGGGATAATTTATACAGTAAAACTTACCCTTTTTTGATGTACAGTTCTTTAGTTTTGGTAATTGTATACCATCATGTAACCACCATCAAAATCAGGATACAGGCTATTTTCAGTTCTCCTAAAAGTTTTCTCTGGACAATGAGTTTTGCCTCTTTGACTAGTAGTTCTCAGTTGGTGGAGGATAATCGGTGGGGGAATGTGGTGAAAGTAAATCTAGGCTCATTGACATAAATCTCCACTAATCTCATTGAGTTAACTGTTAGGATGATGCACTGATTCCTTGATGAGAGTATGCCTCCCCTTTGTGAATTGTATATAAAGGAATGTCCCAGAAGAGAAAATACATCACAGATGCTCCCCTTAACTGGATTACCCTACTTAGTTTATTAATCCAGGTGTGGTTAGTTCCACAGGGTGAGCCAGGAGCCCTGCCTGACAACAGAGTAAAGCTGGTACCCATCATTCTGAAATCCATCATGTCATCTTTCACTAGAAGCCAGGAATGGCCAGACCAAACAAGAAAGCCTTGCTCAAGACACGTGGGACCACAGATGAGAACAGGAGGCTGGAAACCCGTGTATTTGCTGATCTTGGTTTCCAATTTACAGCTGTTATCCCAGACTGATACTTAAATATGTGTTTTAAGTATAACACACACACACACAGTTCACAAATTCCAACGGAAATCAAGAAAGGGTGCAATATTTTCAGTGAACTAAATTGATAAATTTTTATGGTCTTAGCCCTCTACTATAGATGAAAAAGAAAGAAAGAATACAAGAGGATTGCATCTTCATATGAATTTTTCCCAGCCTCTCATATTCTCATATCCTCTTCTCGTCTGTTTAATCACACTCCCCAAGATGTGGAAGGCTTGTGAAGAGCCACAGAATGAAGAGACTTAAGCAGCATGGGCTCCTCTGCCATCCAATGGTGCCAGGAACGTAGGGTGATGAGGATGTAAGAGGATGCAGTGGCAGTTTTCCCTCTTTTGCCTCCTTTGATTGCTATCTCCTTACCCCCTAGAGAAATATCTTCTGTGTCTGATTGGATGAGGTGAAGAAAAGAAAATTGCATTTATTTGAAGCTTAAAGTTTAGCCAGATGGGAGCCAGCTTAAGTTTCATTTGAATATAATTTTGTTTTCTCCCCTCGTCACCCTCCTATGTTGAGTTGCCTCTGACAACTGATAAAATTCTCATTTTCAAGCAAATCTAGGATTTAGATATAAATATGCAGAGAGAGCACAGAAATTAGCTCATGTTCTCAAAGTTAAAAAGGGTGAAATTGGAGTAACTTCACATAAGAAAAATTTCAACTTATGCTGGTAAGATGGATCGAAATAGAATATAACAATATTTTAGTTATAAAATTCTTCCAATTCTTAATTTTTAAGTCAGTAGAACATTCTAGCAAAGTTTATTACTAATTCTGAGACCCATTTTCTCATCAACTTTTAGTATGAAATCGGAGATCGGTTCCATTTGAAACATTTCTTCCAAAGATTGAGCTAAAAGTGCTTGTTATGAAATAAATTATAAGTTTGGGGCATGTTATGAGATGTGAGACTTTAGAAATTTTAGCACCTATTAGTCATTCACTTTTCTTTGCTACAGTGAGGCACAATTTGAGAATTTCTCTTCTAGGGAATTTCTTAATTTCATGTTTGCAGCTGCTAGAACTTTTCTGATTTTAGTAACTCTGGTTCTGGATTTTTCCCCTGCCTCATACATGAAGTGGTTGGGAAGTGATGGAGTGGATTTGTTTTGACTTTATCAGATCAAGAATTAATTTACTAATTTGAGTGGTTTTCATCAAGAAACATATTCTTTTCCTTCTAAATAGATCGCTTAGATCTATTTAGAGAGGTCTTAGGACCAGACTTGTAAGGTGTAGATAAAGCACATTTTTTTAATGTATTCCTTTTGTCTCTAGTTAGACTTACTGGGGAAGTGGGGAGGGGCTTACTGGCCAACCCTGGGAGTAAATGGTAACCATTTATTGGAGCTCTTAGTGGTTTAGAATGGGATTGGAGCTGTTCCCACCACTGGGAGGCTCCCAGGGAGCAGCAGCTGCAATCTTAGAGGAATGAAGGAGTGTCCTACTGTCAGGATAGAACCCTGACTCTTACACGGAGAGATGAGGCATTTGGAGACATGTGACCATCATTTCAAAATGAGGTCATTAACACTTTTATATTTCACATGTAGAATTGTCACTTAAATTCAAACTGCTGTTTTATAATTATTTTGTATTAGCCACCTTTATATTTAAGATTTATAGCCTTCAATAATTTGGGGGACCATCTCATGACCTAGGAGTCGGGCTCATTACTATGTAATGTTTGCTTGTGGGGCCCAGACCTCCTAAAGGGGATTTCTGTAGGAATCCCTCAAGCTGTCTGTGCTTTAGTGAGCACCACTATCTCCCCTTTTGTAAACCAGCATGAACACTCCTTAGTTTCATTATATCATTATATTGGGTAATGAACCAACTGTAGTTCTCTCTACTCTCTCAGTTATATAAGTCTGAGACATTGCATGTTAATTTCTGAGTTACCTGTATCCTAAATGTTTTGTTCTTTTATGAAATTGATTTTCTTATTTGTGTTTTACTGAGGCATATGCTAAAATTCATCTGCCTTAACAGAGTGGGCCTCATAGTTATACTAGCAAGTGCAATAAGAAGAGATGGGGTTATGTCCTGGGAATTAATGTTGACAATAAGTGTCATATACATTGGCCACTGTCAACTGTGACCTCATCACATCTTAATGGTCACAAATATTCTATTACTAAGAATAGGTAAAGTGCCAAAGGGTACAGGTGGTTTCCTAGAGCGGGTTCAAGAATATCTCTTTAACGTCACTCTCACTTGCTAACTTACTGTACTTTCCTGAGACAGGGAGACTGGGATAGAGTTTCACCCGGACAGCTGGGAACTGCTTTACTGCACAACCCATCTCATGTTACCACAGCCTTCATTTAGGGCCTGCCTGGGGAAGGGATGAGGCATGTGAACTTTCCCATGTGTCAAAGTGGAACACGTGACCCACAGTCAGTTCCACTTGAGAGCAGTAGACCTGTGCCCAGGCCATCTGTGCCTATTACCTGTTGGTCTTCTCCATTCTCTTAGCCCAGTATTTGGTCTCTAATGTTCAAATGCAAATGTTCTGAGTACCTCCATAATACTGAATTTTGGATTCTCATAACCCCAAGCAGAGTTCGAACTGTTTTATTTATGAGTGAGAATAGCTCGCCTAGAGTTTATATTTCAACTCATCCTTCTGAGATTTGTCAGTGACTCCAGTCCGAGAAGAGCCTTCAAGAACACATTTATTAGCCACATGAGTTCTTTCAAAGAAGCTTTTTTTTTAAACCTTTATGGTGTTAATAACAGGAAAATTCTGTCTTTTCAAAAAAAAAAGAAAGATTATGTGAGTTTCAAGCTGTTGCAGACTAACAATTTCTATTTCTAGTTTGTTAATTTTATAATTCTAAAGTTAATAGAGATAACTTAGAAACAAGGTTGTTTTAATGTTTTAAATGTCTGAAATCATTTCTGAAATTATCTCTCTCGACATCTTTTCCTTAAACAAGGCTCCGCTTCTTTTCCTGATGATGAAACAGATGACTGTACATAGTAGAATAATTAGAAAAGGAAGTATGGGAAGAAAATAAATATCTGTACATAATACAATAATTAGAATATGAAGTATAAGAAGAAAATACTTTGCATTTCTGTCGCTCTTTGTTGCACATACGTTTAGATATTTTGTTCATCGCTGTACCCTGCTGACCAACAGACCTGAAAAGTAGTGAGATGCTCAGCACATATGTGTGGACTGGATACTTTTTTCCATGTTGATTTCTTACTTTCTTTTCAATTGATGGGGCACCTTAGCACCATGTGATCAGAATGTTTACTCTCAAAGCATCATGTCTGTAGATGAATGCTTGGGTTGCGTGCCACCCTCAGTAATCAGTGGCATCTATAAATTTAAACCTTTACCTAAAAATGAATGGATGAGTTTCTGGAGAATACATGGATTCTGATTTTTATGAGATCTTCTTTAAATTCTGACAAAGTTTGTCTCATAAATTCAGTCTGTAAAAAATATTTCCTGCCCCAAAAGTTTCCCAGATAGAGAATTTACTCCTAAGTCCTTTTGATGGGTATTGCTGTCTAATCAGTCAAAAATCTTGTAGGTTATTGTGACCCACTAGTTTTGCTTAGCTGGGTAATGCAAGTGGATTTCCAAGTATCAGAGCAGATGAAAACATAGTGCCCTCAGTTTCTGGATTTTTAAAATTAATTTTGTTCTACCCTAAAAATCATGCAAGCTCTTGAGTCCAATGTTCTCTTTATCAATAGCTCTTTTATTTTTTAATTGGCAAATAATAATTGTACATATTCATGGGGAACACAGTGATGTTTTGATATATACTAGGTATAGTGGTCAAATCAGGATAATTAGCATATCCATCATCTCAGTCATTTATCATTTCTTTGTGTTGGGAACATTCGATATCCTCCTTCCAACTTTTTGTAACTATATATTATTATTAACTATAGTCATCCTACGGTGGTATAGAACACTAGAACTCTTTGAGGCTCTTTGAGGCACAGAGGCCTACTGGCCTGTAGCCACAGTGCCTTCTTTGGAGAATGACCCCAGAAGGCCTGGGTACTGGGTACCAAGGGACAACCCAGTGGCCACAGCCAGGAAAGGGCCTGCATCTGTGCTTGGAGAATCACTTCGTGCTGAGAGAGATTCAGTTTTGCCTCATTCTTGCCATTGCCCTCAAATGGCTAAATACTAGATTCAGAGAAGTAAGGCTGTACACCCAGGCATAAGTGCTTGCATTAATGGACATGCCACACTCAGTGCCCTACAGTTTTGATTCCATCTCTTCCTCATGTGGTTGTGACTTACCTGGCTGGCAAGTTTATTCATCTGTTCTCACGCTGCTAATAGAGACATGCCCGAGACTGGGTAATTTATAAAGGAAAGAGGTCTAATTGACTCACAGTTCCACATGGCTGGGGAGGTCTCACAGTCATGGCTGAAGGTGAATGAGGAACAAAGTCATGTCTTACGTGGCAGCAGGCAAGAGAGCTTGTGCAAGGGAACTCCCATTTATAAAACCATCAGATCTTGTGAGACGTGTTCACTACCATGAGAACAGTATGAGGGCAGCTGCCCCATGATTCAGTTATCTCCACCTGGCCCTGCCTTTGACATGTGGGGATTATTACAGCTCAGAGTGAGATCTGGGTGGGGACACAGCCAAACCATATCAGTGAGTCACAGACATAACTTTTCAGATTGTTTCTTTTTCCCAGATTGCGTGAATGTTGTTAGGGCAGGCAGTGTCTCTATGCTTGTTTTGTTCCTCCAGTCCACTAGCACGAGCGTTTTCATTTTCAAAATAGATACATTCAGACAGAGAACCCTAAAAGAAAACCTATGCAGAGAAAATAAACTGGCACTTTTTTCCATGTGGGTTGGTACTAAAGTTATGAGATGAGTTAAGATTGTCTCAAGAGAATTTGGAGTGGGAAGAACAGAGGTCCAGCATGCAAACCCATGGAAGACCTTCATTTAAGGGCTTCTAGAGGAAGAGGAGGGTGACCACATGAAGGAGTGACTTGAGGGGGAAGGGCAGAACCAGAAGACATGGAGGTACCAGTGAATGCTGCTAAGAGTCAAGTTAGAAGAGGACTGAATTGTTTCCTGGAGGACACTGGAGTCCTTAGCTAGCGCAGTTCTCATGGAGGGATGGAAGGAGATGGAAGGCAGAGTAGATGTCAGGCCGGGGGTGATGGAGACACCTCTTTTCAAGATGGTAGCCACAGGTGGATGCATGCCTATAATCCCAGCTACTTGAGAGGCTGAGGTGCGAGGATCCCTTGAGCCCAGAAGTTCAAGACCAGCCTGGGCAACATAGAAGGAGTCCACCTCAAAAAAAAAAAGGGTGGGGGTAGCCATGAAGGGGAGTGAAGAGATAGGGCAATAGCTGTTTGGGGTGGGAGGTGGAGGTGTGTGTTAGAACCCTGGCTGGGTTTTCATTTTGTTTTTGTTCATGGTGGTGTTTGGGAGTGAGTTTTTGTAAAGATGAGAGACACTCCAACATAAATCACCAATGGACTAGAACCAATTATTTTCAGCAAGTTTGGTAGCCAGTCGTTAAACAGTGGGCAGCTCAGAATTGGCTATGGTGGGAATATTTACACTACAGAAACTGGCAAACACAACTAAGACCTTACCATCCCCACCAAAAGCTAGCTGTTAAACAGGTACTGCATACTGCTGAGCATATCTGAATACAGATAGACAGGATCCACTGTAGGCAGGAGAGACGTGCAGGAGAGAGAGGAGACACTGATGGAGCCTAGTCTCTGCAGATGGGGAAGGAGATAGGATCTGAGTACTTACGGGGAGATTGGCTTTTAAAAGCAGGAAGGGTTTTAATAGGGTAAGTAAGAAGGATAAGAGAGGAGAGAACCAAGATTCATAATAACAGTGATAATTATCAAGGCTAACATTTCTGAGTGCGTATTGTGTGCCAAACACTGTTCTGCAGGCTTTGCCCGTATTATTTCCTGTAACAGCTACACCACTGAGGCAGGTAGTGTCCTTGTGTCTTCATAGATGAGGAATCCGAGGCACAGAGGGTGAAGTAGTTAGCCCAAGGCCCACTGGCTGTCAAACCTTGGACCCAGGATTGGAACCTGATGATCTGATGCTCCAGCCCTCATACATAGTCCCTGCAGTTTCTACTGCATCGCAGAGGATATGCAGATCCCAGGGCAGGAGCTCCCTGGGACCCAAGCTCCATACCAATGGTTCAATTTTCTCTATGAAGGATGCAGCATCACCCTCCTAGCATGAGGGGAGTCAATGAGCAAGGTTTAAAGACAGTAGAAAATTTATGAAATGATGTTGTGCAGCATGTGAGAGCAGGATGTCTAGAGGAACACGAGAAAATGCCCAGGCAGTGTCAAGGGCCCAGGTGATGGTTTGGATCCTGACTGTAGTGAGGCCATCTGGTGGGACTGTGTTCTTGCAGACACTTCAGCTGCTCCATGTAGGCCCAGAGAAAGAAGCCCATGGAGCTCCTCTATAGTTAGGACTATGACAAGTGGATACGGCAGACGACCCAAGGATGAAAAAATTTAGGAATTTAGGCAATTTGGCAGAAAGAGCATGATTGTAATAATGGACCGTGGAATCTGCATGGGAGAAAGTGGTTGTGGTGGCAGGAGGGGGCTGGTTGAACTTGCGGTTTTGCCCCGGTTGAAGAACTACAGCAGTGGTACTTACTACTTAAGGAGGTAGGAGAGGAGGCAGTCTTCAAAAACTTGAGTGTTGCAATGTGCTGATTCTGGTGAACGTGCGTTTTCTCAATACTCTCAGCTCAAGGGTGACTGCGGAGGGAGATAGCGGAGGGGAATCGAGTGAAGGGTCATTGGAGATGAGGCCAAGGGTCATACAAGTGGATTTAAAAGCAACCCAGGATGATGGTAGAAGCTGTGATGAAGAGAAAGACTGTGATCATGGCTTGAAAACACTTACTATTAAATAATATGTCATTTGACTTCCATATCTATTGCTGATACTATAGGTAATGTTTATAGTTTAGTTCCAAAACTAATTTGTTGTATTCCTTAGGGAAGGAAAGCATATGCCTATCTTATAATTTTTTTTAACTTTGTTTAGTACTGACTGTAGGACCTTTTATTAGTTTTTATTTTGAAGATTTAGATTCCTTACTGAACCTGAAAATAAGTAGCAGCATAGTAAAGAAATCTTAATTGGGTGAATTTTCACCAGGATTTAGCTAGTCACCAAAAGCTGCTTATTGATTTAAAATACAACCTACAGCCCTCCTCAGGTAATACAGTCATACTTGGTCCAGGTGTAGACTTGGTCCAGGTGTGAGCATCCATTTGAATGACAATCACATAAGACTTGAAGCTTGGACTTTCACATAAGTTTCAGATTTCTGTCCCCTTTTCTCTGCTGGTCTTTTCATTGAATCCTAAGAGAACTGGCATTCAGAAGTAGTAGTAAGGTACACCACAGGTATGGTAGCTTATTTTCTTACCGGGAGGATTAAATAAATTCTCATCCTGGGCCTGCATGTGTAGGGGAGCTGTGTCTGTTATTCCCTCTCTGATGCCTCTGGAATGTCTAGGCTCCCACTTATTGGGCTGTCAGCTGGTCAGGTCATACCAGTTGAAGGAAACCTTTCTTTTCCTGGAAAGTAGCCTGCAGTGAGCTGCTCATGCAACTGTCTTTTCCTCTGGACCTCATCTTGAGGAGAACTTGCTACTCAGTTAATACAAAGTTCGACCTAACTGTGGTTTCCCTTGCTTAGGGGCAGTGTTTCCTCATGTTCTAAGTGGGATTAATTTTCATAACTTAATTTACCAGGTCCAGGAGGCAAGCTGCAGTTGCTATGGGAACGGTAACTGAATTTCCTGGCTTTTGTACATTTAACACATCAACAGTGACGCTAAAGTGACATAAGTATTTATCCCTTTCCCCACTTTCATTTCCTTTTCCCTTTGTAGATGGATTATTGTTGGGGAAAGGAGAAAGAGGATTTAATTTCACAGCCCAGTTTATCTGATTAGTGTGTCATAATATACACTCGGTGAGCTATTTTCATGGTAGTTACATGTCTAAAGGATGCACGTGTCTAAACCACTTCCCACCTTTGGTGCTGGTTTTGACAGGCTTTCTGACATCCCAGAGATCCACGTAAGAAATTTAGAGAGAAAAATGTTCATCCTCATAGCATTTATTGAACTTAACATGGCTTTATGTACTCTGGTAAGTGAATTGCAAATTTAGAATGCTGGGCTCATTCTCATTTCTTCTTAATCACCATGAGTCATTCCTTCACTAACATTGAAAGGCCTATCAGGTTAGATATCTATATACACACAGAGCGTGATTGTCAGAGAAATACTTGCACTGCATTTCTAGGCCACATAATCTTTAGCCTAACATTTGCATATTAATGCATAATTGTAAAACATTATGTAAATTATACATGGTGGTGAATATATTATCAAATCAAATGGCCTTTAGGGGTAATTACAGGATGCTGCTATGTCAACTAGGATGCTGCAGGTTGAATGCTGAACACTTCTCATAGGATGAAATATAACCCAGCCAGGGTTTATCTGTGTCCAAAGTCACGAGTTGCCTTTCAGTGTGACCCTCCATTTTTGTTAAATGAAGCACATTTGGGGTCACAGAATATTAGGAATGAAAAGGATAAAATCCTGAATGAAAAATATTAAAATGTGGAAACCTTTTAGGTTGGCAATTAATCTAAATATCGGAGTCATAGAGAAAACCCCATGAGTATTGATGCCATTCGGTGTATTTATTTCAGTATAATTTGTTTATTGTTCTTTTTTATTTTTAAATAATCCATGCTCGTTATAAAAGGCAGCAGACAGCATAGTCTCCTTAGGGTACCCCATTGCTAAATGACTTGATTCTTTTATTGGCTGCTTACGTGTCCCCTCCTTGAAGACCACTGGTTGATTTATCACTCTTCTCCACTAGTCCACCTCAATGTCTGTTTTGTATATGGTGGCCACAAAAGCATTGTGGACGGAAAAAAGGACGGGTGGGAGTGAGGGAGGAAAGAGATTGGGTCAGTAAGTGCTACCACCATGGGATTGAATTCTGGGGGCAACTCTAGTCACTTTGTTCCACTATTCGTTAGGCCTGCTGTATTCTTTGTTTCAATAAAGCTTCTCTCTAGAACGTGCCTTTTGCATTAAGGAGATCTCTACTTTGTGGCTGTATCCAGTGCTTTGAAGGAAGGCTAACTCTATGTAGAAACCCTTAGTTTTATACAGTAGGTGACAGACCAACTGGTCTCTAGGACCAGTTATGTCTGTTCCTTTCAAATCCCTTGTATCTTCAACACGAAGGAAAACTACCTTTTCTATTCTGCTAGATGTCCATGTAAAATGACGCCCCCCATCCCCATTAATCTGTTTCTGGTTCTCTGAGCACTCTGTTCTATCAGTGACAAATGAAGGTAAAACAGTTTATGCCAAAGCAAACCTAAGGTTGTGACAGGTATCATCTTTGCAAAACCAAAATATAAATGATAACCAAATTTGGGAAATCGAGAGTAGTCATTGACAGAAATAGTCATTCAGATGTGTACTTGGAAATCGGAATCTTAGTGTAGGAGCCTCTGTGGACAGAAACCTTCTGTGTCTCTGTCCTCCCCTCTCCCCTCTGTGCCTCCCTCCTCCCTAGCCCATCACCAAATTGGGCCAGAATCCAGTGACTTGGGACATTACCCCAAATTTTTGACAAATTAATTTATTTACTTAGTTTATAGTATAAATGAAATTTTGAAAAAGCCAATGACCTAATATTTTATGGGCAGTAAAACTCAAAGGAATTATTGACTGAAGTTTTAATGTTTTGGTCACTTGGGTTTTTTGTTATTTTTTATTTATTTATTTTTGGACTTTTAGGTTCAGAGGGTACATGTGCAGATTTGTTACATGGGTAAATTGCATTTTACTGGGACTTGGTGTACCAGTGTCACCCAGTTGGCATAGTATCCGATAGTTAGATTTCAACCCTTGCCACCCTCTCTTCCCTCCTAGTAGTTCTCAGTGTCTGTTATTCTCCTCTTTGTGTCCTTGTGTACCCAGCGTTTAGCTCCCACTTATAAGTGAGAATATGCAGTATTTAGTTTTGTCTTCCTGGGTTAATTCACTCAGGATACCGGCCTCCAGCTGCATCCATGTTGCTGCAAAGGACATGATTTCATTCTTTTATATGGCTGTGTAGTATTCCATGGTGTATATGTTTGGTCTATCGTTTAAAATTCCGTACACCCATTTCCAACTGAAAAGAAAAGAACTGTGCCTCATTAAAAGACAAGTCTTCACTTTCTCAGGGCCAAGGCTGGAATTACATGATTAAACTTTCACTTTGCCTCTTGCTGGTTCTGTGACACCTGACAAGTTACTTAATTTAGGTTCTCTTTATGAAAGCATGGGTAATAATTCTTACCTCATGGGACTGTTATGAAGGTCAGTGTGATCACAGATATGAAAGTCCCTAACAAAGGGCCTAATCCATAGTAGGTGCCCAATCCACATATTTCCTTGTAGGTATCTTGTTTCCATCCTCTTCCTGAGGTGGTATCACAGAAAACTCTAAAAGTGATATTGTCAGAAATAAACGCCAACAGGTGGCCCATGTGTAGTTCTGTGCCTGCCCCTGGGCAAGTCATTTATTTATCATCCCTTTCGCTTTTCACATTTCCAGCTCTGAGTGGTAATTTGGAGCCATTGGGATCTAATGAGAAAATGAAAGGCATTGTTACCATTATTGCTCTGGTGCCATGAGGTCTCTGGTGGGAACATTTGAGAGAGGAAGACAATAATAAAGAAAAAAGAAACCTCCCTAGAATTCAGCTGTACTGTCTGGGGCCTCCTGCACATGACTTCAAAGCCACATTTCCTTAAGTGGCCATTAAAGTCTGAATCTCCTTCCCAGCTAAAAATAATTTCAAATGATTAACATAACAGTGAATGATTTTTGGCTCTGTGAGATATTATTGATGGCAGTTCATACTGAAAAGCAGTGAAACACAGAAATGGCTTCTGTCACACAATGAAAGAGGAAAAATATAACAATAGTCCATAAAATAGTTTCTACTATGCTATACTAGAAGATTGACGCACATAATATTAGTTTTCAGCAAGGATAAGTTATCTGATTTTTATGATGTTCCCATAAAAAGCTGACACATTGGCCCTAAGCTTGCATTCCTGCCTTGAAATAATTTTAATCTTCCACTCTTGACAAGCACTGCAAAGGGCTGTGACTTGCTGGAACCCTGTTCCACAGAGCATCTGTCTGTAAAAGCCCCCACTGGAGTGATATTTTCCCTGGTGGATCAGAATTGGCTCCCTTGGGTTTATTTAAAATACTCATCAATATGGGAAATATATTGGAGTGAATATAAAGGAGCCATCTCAGGGTAGTTCACTGAGCTTTGGAAAATATTCCAGCATGAAACTCTCATCTGAGACTCTAACCACAGGGAGACCTTTCCTTGCCTCAGGTGGCCCGAGTGGGACATCCTGAGCCAATGGGATGCCTCGTGTGTGGCGATACTGTGCCTAATGGGTATAGACCCTTCCCCAGCATCCCCCTTGGTCATTTCTTGGGTGTCCCCATGAAAGGAAGAAACCCACAATGGGTTCCAGAAATCTCTGAGAAATCCTTTTTGGGTATGGATGATATCACACTGCTAACTAAAGATTTTCGGAACATTTCACAATCTTTGAGGAGTCCTTTAACCAAGTACTCTCAGATGAGGATATGGGCCATGTGGAATCAGGGCCAGTTGGTTTCCTAGAAGTGTCTTCTAGGCTTCCTTGGTCCTAGAGTATCCCCAGGGCTTCCTGCATTGAGATTCTCCGGAGGAAAGGTCATATCACACTCCCACAGAAGGAATGGAGCCCTCATAGAACCTTCAAAAGGTGTGCATTTACTCTCATGCAGACACAGAATCATTTCGCGTCAGTACCTCCAGTCAGTCTGATGAAAGCCTGGACAGATTCCCTCCTTTTCCTCACTCTCTTCTCTGCCCACTTCTGGTTGGCATGTCCCCCACCCCAGTGCAGCAGGAAAGTGAAGGGACAGGTTAGGTGAAGAGAGCAAGAGAGAGAGAGGTTGGTGCATGGCCTCTTGCCTTTTAGGTTTTTTAAGTGAATTTAAAAATCTACAATGAAAATATCATAAGCTAGCTAAAAAATCTCTCCTACGAGGGTGGGATTTTTTAAATTTTGCACCTCTGTTGCTGTGACTTGAGTGAAACATCCCAGAGAAGATGACTTTACATTTATATGAAACCAGCCCACAGAATCAAAAACAGTGAGAAGGAGAAGGGACCTTAGCATTGATAGAGTCGAAGGAACTCTAGACTGAAGACCTTGCTAGCCTGGAGTGGAGTTTCACTGTTCAGTAGCCAGTCATATGTACACTGTGTGTGAGTGTACATGCATGCACTTACCTCTGTGCACACATGTGTGTGCCTGTGTAAAGTTGCCCTTTGTCTTTTCTTCGTAGCACTGAAGGAATAACCTTTTTCTGTAACCAAGTCCTGCCAAGTTCTTTAGGGTTAATAACATCTTGCTCTTTATTAAATGGTGGTAATGGTATAAGAATTTTCAAATGGTGTTAGCTGACACAATAGGAAGTTGGTAATATTATGGCAATACACAAATGTAACAGAAAATGTTTTCTGGTCTGAAAATAGAGATCATTAACTCAGTGAACTGCCAGTACTCCCCTCCTCTAAACCCAATTTTTAGATGAAGCTTGGAAATGTGAAGAGAAGTGTTCTCACTAATCAACCCAGAGGTCAATTCATGGTGGGCATGTGCGTGTGTGTGTGTGCACATGCACACATCTGCGTTGAAAAGGACAAACTAGCTTCTCCTCTACTAATGATGCTCTGAATTTGCTGGGCTAAGGTGGTGTTACTGAAGTGGATAAAGCTTCTGTATCTTGGGGACATCTGAATGAAGGAGTAATGAAGGCCTTGTAAAGAACAAAGCTCATGAAAGCATGAAAGAAGCTCTTGTGTAGATTATTTCATGAGAACCTGATGGCTTAAGGAGAACTTGATGTCACTTCAAAATCATTTTCCCATTTTCTACCTGGAGTGAGAGGTGGTAGGACACATCTACCCCACAAAGGGCAGGCTGTGCCTTCTGGTGATCACTAAGGGAGTCAGTCTTCTAACACTTCATTCTCTTTAATCCTATAAAGTTAGACATATTCCTAAATGGTTCTTAGTTTTTTTTTTCAAAACACATGACAACTGTGTACCACAATATCATTGATTTTAACATCTTATATCAGAGTCAGGGTGTAAAGCCCGCCACAAATGTATTAAAGGAAAAAATAATGTAAAACCTGCGATTGGTAATATAATTTCCCACAAAATGATTAGAATTTATTTCTGTCTGGTTACATGTTTGTTTTCATTTATTTAACAATTATGTGTTAAGCCCCCTCTTCCTCATCTTTTCTATATTATACCTAACCTACTAAAAATATAATACAGATATTTTTGAGTACTTATCTTGTGTTGGACATTTTTGATAAGAATTTTTACATTAATTATTTAATACTGAAGCCATCCTATGAAATAGATACTATCTTCATTTCCATTTGACAGATGAGAGAACCTATTCAGAGGTGCAGTAACTGGCCCAAGATGCCCCAGCTGAAAGTGGACCAAATCAGAGCTGGAACTCAGGACTCTGACCACCAAATCCCCCAGTGGGCTCCCCTGTTCTTGCCCTGAGTATGTCATTGTATTTCTCCCCCTGCCCTCCCCACCATCACATGCACACTCACACAAGGATGAAATAGGCTGTTTGGATGATAGACGTTTCCATCTGTTGGTGCCAGGGCACCTTTCCTCTAAGCGTTCAAAGGGATCCTGCCCTTGGTGCCTTTCAGCCTGCTTTTCAAGTCAAATCTGTTTGCTTGGAAACAACCAGAGGAAGACTATGCTTCTTTAATTTTCCATGTCATCCTTTTCCTCTTCAAAAACTGATGGATTAAATAAACTCAGTTTGTGGTAGGGATATCCTGTCCTCTTTTCTGACAGTCACCGACACTGCATCCTAATGGAGCATGATCTGGTTTAAGCTTGTTCCTGGGAGCTCTGCTTTGTCTAAGCCAAGAGGTTGCAGTAGGAATTCTAAAGGATGGTGCTCCAAGAATTATTTATCTCGTTGTGAACTGACATGTGAAAAGCTGACCCTGCCTGGTGCCCCTGTCAAGAAAGTCACTTAAAAGAAACTGCAACTGTTGTTGCTTTTTAATCACTGCATTTCTTCCCTCTTGGGTACACAACCTTGTAAAGAACTGGCTAGGGATCTATAGTCAATAAAAATAGCTTGTGTTTATAAATCACCTTTTCCCCAAAGTGTGAGAACGACTCAACAAATTTTACTAGAACTAAAATCTTCTTGAAATATTATTGAGGAAAGCTGGACCACTGTAAATTGTAAATTCTTTCTGGGTAGGATTCTGCCTTTACATTTCTCTTGTTCTTCTTAAAGCACCAAATGTTTCTGAATGTCTTGTGATTAATTGGTTCCTAATTAAAGTTAAGTTGAATGCTAAATCTTAATGAATTATATGGAATAAAACATGAAAATTTAGGGCTGCCCTTACAGCCGAGACTACAGATAGGACAATCTCCCTTAGAAAGATTGTGGCTGCCCACTGTACCTGGATGGTGTAACTCCAGGGTGCGTGGCTGACAGGGACAGTGAGGATGATGGTGCCCACTAGAATTGGCACCACTCAACTGGATGCAGTGGTCCAGTTGTGGGTACTGCAGGACCCAAGGCTTAACACAGATGTGGTGAGCATGTGTGTTGCCTAGAAGCCTTTTACCCTCAGAATTCAGGGAGACAAAATAAAACGAATGAGAGATTTCCACCCGCAGGAGGGCTGGAGCTAACATCCTCTTGAACATTGACTCACAAGCTGATTGGGGCAGATCCTGCAAAAAGTGACCACATTTCATTGGCTCTTGGGAGGATATTTGGGCAGGTGAATGTGGAAGGGGTTAGGTAGCTTGACTGCTACAACTTTGATTCTAGATTTACACACATACTTGAAAGTCTGAAGTTTGCATAATTATGGACCCAGGAGTCTTTGTTTGTCTCCTGCTGTAGTCTTAATTGCCAAAAGATGAAGCATTTGAGGTTCACAAAGGGAAATCAGCCTGCCCAAATCCACAGGACTCCTAAGTTGTTAGAGATGGCATTCACCCAAATCTTTAAAGCGTATGTTCTTCACTGTATATTCTGTTGCTTCTAGTCTGGACAGTGTCTTTTCTATAGATGCCTCAGCTCTTTGTTTCTTGTTGTCATTTCTGTATCTGCATCCACTGGTCACAGAAGCCATGTGCACACATTCATTTTAATGTCCAGTGTTTATGTTGCAGGATGAGTCACAACCGCTTTTTGACATGGCTGAAGGGAGACGTGGATGTAGTGGGAAAGCTAAATGATAAGCTTTTTAGAAATGTGTTCCCTGGGTGATGGAATATGCTCAGTGCTATTGTTTTTAAGCAGTAGCATTCCTGCTAGGACAAGAAATGCAATACATATGCTAATATGTTCATGAATGGTTGGAAAGATGTTTGAATCAAAGAAGCTTGTCTGTTTCACATTTACAGCCAATGGAAAATGAAATTTTTATAACAGGTTTTCAATGAAGTTGGGAGAGGTGCCAGAAACTGGAGATTGCTACATAGTAGTGCCTTCCTCTGAATTACTGTAGGCATGCATGCTATCTACAAGGGGTTGGATAAAATGGCTGCCAGCTTTTTTGAAACCCAAAGATTCTCTAAAATACTACATGAAATAGACAGATCTCTCATATACATTGAGTGTAGTATGAATAAACAGAAGTTTTTAAATTTACCTTGAATTGTGATTATACAAAATGATAAAAATTTTCACATTTTTCTCAAGATTTCCTTAAAATATTTAATGAAACATTAGTACATTTCACCTATTATTACTAACCCCAAAGCAAAATGGCCCCTTGAAACTGTATTTCTTTATGATAGATAACACACACTACCTTCTTCCTTGCAGTGCCGTTCTTATGCTCATAACCAATCTCCCATTCTTCCAAGATCTTTGAAAATACAGGCCATGTCTTATGCATCTTCTTGGTAGGCTGTTAGTTAGTGTATGCTAAGGGGCTGAGGGTGAATGTCATCATTATCACAGTCTTTAAAAGTAGATTCTGAAACTTGCCACTGACATTTTTAAATGGATTTTGGAAAAGACTAGGTTTTGATGATTAAAAGAGAAAGTAACAAATACTGGGAGCCATTTTAGGTATACTAAATTTAATTTCTACCAAAAATAAATTTTTTATGTCATAAATATTAAATTACACAGGTATCCTAAATATAGTGTATCTTGGATTTAGCTTAAGGACATGTTTACAGATTTCTGAGAATCATTTCCCTGGAGGAAGCATGAGTCTACCCTTAGCTGCGTATTTTTTAAAGATTTGAATCCATAATCTGAATAAAGGAATGCAAACTATACATTCAGACTTTTTAGGATACCCCAAACCAAGAGGAGTATTTATTTCATAATTAAAGATTTTTTAATGTTCTAGTAGACTGAAACCATGGGACAAATATCAAGATTTGTTTAATTTGATATAATTCTGTAGACTTATATCAAATAAAACATATCAAATTCTATAGACTTAATCAATTGCACATTGCATACATGTAGAACTGAGGAGACTTTGATCAATAACCCGAGGAGAAAGGACTTAAGCATTTTTGTTGACAACCCTGTCAATCTAAGCCATGGTAAATGACTGCTAAGTAAAACCAGTGCAGTATCCGGCTACACTCACAAAAATATAGTTTCCAGATCCAAGGAGGGAGTTAATAGTCCCGTGATAAATATACTTGCCTCAGATAATATCTGGAATATTAGGAATCATTCTGGGGCACAAGAACACATCCAGAAGAAGGTAATGATGTCTGGAAGCAACAGTCGATGAAATGGGGTATGATTAGCCTTGAGTAGGGAAGTTTAAGAGGAAACACATGAACTCTCTTCAAGTATTTCAATAATCATCAAGTGAAAAGATATTTGACTTACTGCATATAACTCTAGAAGATAAATCAGGACCAATGTTTGGAATTGTTAGGAAACCAGACAATAGTCTTTTGTTGTTGTTGTTTTCTGTGTGTGTGTGTGTGTGTGTGTGTGTGTGTGTGTGTGTGTGTGTGTTTTAACAAATGAAAATGCCCTGCAAAGTTGTGGGGCACTTCTCTTGTGTAACCAAAATTACATGGCAGTCTTTCATGGACATTGCTATGATTCAAGTTAGAGTTTCCTTTTTGTCTTTTGATTTTTGGCCATGTGCATATGTACTAACTTCTCACAAAATAAATAACCTAAAGACTTTTTTAAATGTGTTTTGTCCATGTCTGGAAATGAATGCAGGTTCTTAGAGGAATAATCTGACAAAAGTACTTTCAGGGATATAAAAGCAGAGAACTGGATTCTTTCTGCCTGACACCCACCCAACCCCAAGACATCTGCTGAACATTCTGTAAATCACAGACACTGCTATCAGGCTTTCTTTATGGAAGAGACAGATTGCATCATTAGGGAGCCTCAGACAAACACGACCTGGGGGGTTGGTGCTCTCCTTGGTGCTGAACGGAGGCTGGGCCTTTGGGCTTCCTCCCAGGCTAAGGTTGGCCCTAACCTTATCCCTACCCTGCAGCAATTCAGGTTGCACCTCTTGCCTGTTTATCTGATAATTCTGCTGCCTTTGCTAATTCCAGCTGGTACCGTGACTACTTTGATTCCCCATTCAGTGACCTCTCTCTCAAGAAAGATGAGTTATGCAAGAGGTTTGAGATTTGGATAAGGAGCTGTGTGGCAGGTGAAACATCACATTCATAGGTCTATATTGACTTATTAAACAGTTGCGTCTTCTATAACTTCCAGAGTCGTCCCATGGTATACATTCATTGAATCTTAGTAGACTTAGATATGAAGGCAAATATTGGATATGGTGGGTTGCAGCCTGAGAAAGAGGGCCTTAAGGGTTCGATGAGAGCTCTGATAGAATAAATACAAAAATTGGAATTTTTAAATGTTTTTTATTTCTCTAATACATACAAAGCACTGTTCTTGATGGCTGGAGATAGCAGTTCTTTAAACTAACATGGCTTTGCATGAAATGAAATAGCTTTGAGTAAATGTCACCAAATGACAACAGGAATAACTTGACAACAAAAGCAGAGATCGGATGAACTTGGCCTGTCTGGAGTAGGCAGTCATATTCTCCTGATAAGAGGAGAACACTGCTGGGCTAGCAGGGAAAGGTGCTTCTGCCCTTCTGTGGGGTTTCAACAGACAGAAATTCACTGGTGTGAGCATTGCTTCCCAAGAGCCCAGGCAACTGGGATTGAGCGAAGTGAAAGCATCTTGGAGATCTCAGAATTAAAAGGAAGAAAAAGAGATGCTAAAGGAAATGAAAAACATGGATCATAAGGGAATGAAAGGTCTGAGAACCTCTGCTGTTTAATGACCTCTGCCCTACAGAGGGCAGCTTTCTTTGAATCCCATGAACAAATATGACAAAAAAAGTCTTCTGACCTGAGCCTCTGGTTTATCTAATTGTCCTAGAGAGAAGGATACAGCAGGCTCCCAAGAAGAAGCCACATTTGGGGCAGAGCAGCTCTGCACCTTTCACATATTTGCAGATTAGCTTTTATAAAAACCTGCACAGAAGACAAACCATTTAAGTTTCATAAATTATATAGCCAGATTTTAATAGCAAAATTCCTTGAGGAAAGGATTCATTTAAAGTAGCTAACTAGTTGTAATTTATAGAACAGTGTTACACCCAATTATGTAGTTAGTAAATGCTTTCCACAGTTCATGTGAGTTTGGTAGAAAGAGAGACAAAAAAAAAAACACCTTTAAGTATAAGGGTAAATAAAAACAAAGTTTCAGGAAACATAGCAAGTGAAACATTTAATCCTCAGAATTCATCAGGTGAGATTCTGTGATTAATATTTCACAGAAAGAACTTGGAAAGTGAAATAATTCATACTGTCTCATAATTTAAGCCAGTCTTTTAATATCTGGTCAAACTCAGGTTAAGATTTATTAGTCTTACAAAAATTATCCAAATTAGGAAGAGTCACTAAAGAAGCAGCCCATTTATTGAATAGTTTAAAACCTTTTTATCCTGAGTAAAATATTCTTCAGAGCTAAAGTGACCCAGTGTACATTTGCAAAGCTCTTATTATCATCTCACCCAACATGCATAAGAGGCCAAGTAGACACGGTTCATTTTTTATCACTTCTCATTTCTTCTAGCACTGCAGTTCTTTCCAAAGTTTTGATGCTACTTATATCTATTCTGAACAAAAACAATATCCAGTCATTTGTTTCACAGAATGGCTCAGATCAATTACTATGCATTTACCCAAAAAGGAAGGAAGCTGAACACGTCAAAGAAAGAATTCTTATGGGAAATACCATAGTTTATGACAGGGCATCCTGTCTGAAGCCCTTAGAATAAACCATGATGCCTTCCATATTTGTTATCTTCTGTGGTTAAATTGTCTCCTTGGATGGTCATTAGCCTTGGTTGGAGCAGACTAAATATTAGGAACAAATGTTTGACATGTCTTTCACTGAAGTGCAGATAAGGTTGTGATTAAAAAAAAAAAAACCTTTGAACTTGGCTTCTACATCTATCAAATAGGGTTTTTTTTTTTGGTAATTGTATGTATTTAAGGTGTACCACATGATGTTTTGAAATACATATACATAGTGAAATGATTTCTACAGTCAAGCCAGTTTGGCTTATTTCACATAGTTACCTTTTGTGTGTGTGTGTGTGTGTGTGTGTGTGTGTGTGTGTGTGTGTGTGTGTGTTCAGAGCACCTAAAATCTACTCTCTTAGCAAATTTCCAGCATACAATACAATACTATTGACAGTAGTCTCCATGCTGTTTTTTAGGTCCCCAGATTTGCGTGCACTCCCTTGCAGAGTTGTTGTAAGGCTTGTGCACCATAGCAGGGGAATGGCTAATTCTTGGTTTTCTTTCAAGGCTATGATTTGCACTATTAAGAAATAGAACTGGGGGCCAGGCATGGTGGCTCACGCCTATAATCCCAGCACTTTGGGAGGCCAAGGAATCCCAGTACTTGGGGAGGCCAAGGTGGGCGGATTACCTGAGCTCAGGAGTTCAAGATCAGCCTGGAAAACATGGCAAAACCCCATCTCTACTAGAAATATGAAAAATTAGCTGTGTGTGGTGGTGTGTTGTCCCAGCTACTTGGGAGGTTGGGGCACCAGAATTGCTTGAGCCTGGGAGGCGGAGTTTGCAGTGAGCCAAGGTTGCACCACTGCACTCTAACCTGGGCAACAGGGCAAGACTCTGTCTCAGAAAACAAACAAAAAAGGCTGGGCGCGGAGGCTCACACCTGTAATCCCAGCACTTTCAGAGGCTGAAGTGGGCAGATCACCTGAGGTCGGGAGTTCGAGACCAGCCTGACCAACATGGAGAAACCCTGTCTCTACTAAAAATACAAAAAAATTAGCCAGGCATGATGGCGCATGCCTGTAATCCCAGCTACTCAGGAGGCTGAGGCAGAATAATCGCTTGAACCTGGGAGTCGGAGGTTGTGGTGAGCCGAGATCATGCCATTGCACTCCAGTCTGGGCAACAAGAGCAAAACTCCATCTCAAAAAAAAAAAAAAAAAGAAACAAAACAAAACTGGGGAGTAAATTTTTATTTCTGCCAATCAGTTTTACAGCTCTCAAACACCTGGATATCATTTGCCTCTGGAAGTCTTCCACCTTCATAGGAAATCTGTGATGGACCCCTCTCCTCCTGAAGAAAGCCTACAGAGGGCAGCTTTCTTTGAATCCCATGAACGAATATGACAAAAAAAGGCTCTGACCTGAGCCTCTGGTTTATCTAGTTGTCCTAGAGAGAAGGATACAGCAGGCTCCCAAGAAGAAGCCACATTTGGGGCAGAGCAGCTCTGCACCTTTCACATTTTTGCCCATGGTTTCCTTTGGAAGGGAAAAGCTGAAATGCAAAAGGAGAAGAGAGCTGGACGCATCACATAGTTTTAATTGGTTTCGAAGGGTCACCAAGCAGAATCCTTTCTGTAGCAGAATAGCTTTTCCTTGGGAGCTGGTATGGTCAGAGAAGAATCCCGGCCCAAGAGCTGAACCAGGGGCCCTTTGGGGAAAGGGCCTGGGGAGTCCCAAAGCGGCACTGTCCCTGCTCGGTTGCAGGCAGTGACCCTCTCCCCACACCCGACTCAGTGCCAGCTGTGTCCTGAGTCCAAGGTGGTACATTAGGTGCTTAATGTTTATCCCTTAACAAGACAAACATTAACAGGGTGGTCGCTCTTAAAACATGGCCTTCCCATTCCAGTGGGAAGACAGAGAAAACAAGTTAAAAAGAAATTAAATAATTATAAATTCTACCAAGTTATGAATCAAAAAGAAAGCAAGGGCTTGCTTTCCCAGTGGGTCTCCCTCACCACGTCACTTCCCCTAAACTCATTGGGAATCGCCATTTCCATTCTGTTTTCATGTCTGTGAAAGAGATAAAAAGCTGCCCACATCAAGAAATGTAATTCAACCCCTTTCAGCAAATACAGGATATTCTGAGTCAACTGAACTTTAACTATCCAAATAGGTTACTGCAGGTACCTAGGCCCTGTTTTTAAGTCTTTTAAAGGACATTGGCTTTGTGATTTTGAGCTAAGGTAATACATAAGAAAACATCTTGAAAATGTTAAAGGAATCACTCTGAAGATTGTCTCATGAAACGTGTTTAAACAAGTGTTTAGGCTAAGTCTTTCCATGAGAACGCTCAAATATACATTGTTTACTTGTTTGGTTTATTTGCCCTGAATAAAATAAACGATCCATGTTTTCGCTTTAGAGTTGCCTGTGGGTTAGGTGGGGGAACAGATCTCAAAACAGAGGCTTCTACTCTCTGGTACCAAGGAGTCAGAGTCTTGTTCAGCATTTAAAGTCACAGAATAGTCATAATGATTATGCAAATGCACAGGAATCCTCTTTCATTTGCTGTCTTATGAAAGAATTGGAATCAGTTATATAATGTAACTGGTTGCCTTATTTTTTATAATTTAAGGGAATTTATTTTATAAGTGCGTAATTGGTAAAATAGATTTTTATGCTAGATTTTACTGTGTAAATTAGTGACTCTCAGTGAGTGTTGGTTTTGTGCCCCAGGGCACATTTGGCAGTGTCTGGAGACACTTTTGGTTGTCCCAACTTGTGGGGGTGCTACTGGCATTCAGTGGGGAGAGGCCAGGAATGCTGCTAAACACCCTTCAATGCACAGGACAAGCCTCCCTCTCAACAAAGAATTAACCAGCTCCAGACACTAATAGTACTGATGTTGAGAAACCCTAGCTTAAATCAATACTGTTTTGTTGTAAATTTCAAGATGTGAAGATTTAGTTCTACAAGGCAAACCAATGATTTATGATAAGAGTGGAATGATTTTTCAGATAAACCATGATTGTAAATATTTAAGGTACTGACATATTCTAATCAAAGAAAGCAGGGTTTTTTTAATTTTAAAATACGTTTTTTCAAAAAAAAAACTGTCACAATTTTTTTTACTAGGAAAATTGGGAAAGAGAAAACTAGTCTGTACTGTATGAATTCTTTCCTGGAGATACTTATCTGATAGGCTC
This sequence comes from Homo sapiens, assembly GCF_000001405.40. NCBI lineage: Eukaryota > Metazoa > Chordata > Mammalia > Primates > Hominidae > Homo > Homo sapiens. Next base: position 37,047,791 of record NC_000007.14, on the reverse strand, counting down.
AACTGAATGCACAAAGATCTCTTGCTGACAAAGAGATAATTTATGTACTAAAAATTATATACTTTATTTAGGGAAAAGCCTTTCCAATGCATACACAGTCTGTTTAGCCACAATTCAGACACGTTTGTAGTGACAAGCCATGGTTACGCTTTATGGCATTTAACTAGAATAAGCCCAACGACCCAGTCAGGAAAAGAGGTGGCAACTGTGTTGCAGCCAGAATTTCCTTACTCAAAAAGATCTGGAATGTTAATGTATTGATTCTATGGGGAACAGGTGACGCTGGAGTAGCTGAACCTGCCCTGCTGGGCATTAGTCCTCCCTTACATATCTCTCGTGCTTGTAAGCCGAAATGAGCCCAGCCTTAACTGGGGCCAAGGTGTCATGTCAGTCCAGTTTTGAACCTGAATCCACTGTTGTGGTCAGCCCAGCTGTCTTGCTTAGGTGTTTTAAAGCAAACACCAGCTATAGAGAGAGAAGGAAAGGCAGAGACAGGAAGGAACACCGATTAATGAGCTATTTCTGATTTAACAAGCTATTCTGTTAAATTGGCCTATAAAATGAAATGCCAGGTCATTTGTATTCAACAAACTTGTATTACAGACAAAGTGCTATAGGGTGGGGACAGAAAGGTGAGCCAGCCATAGCTCTATGCCTGTAGACATTCATTTTGGTTCAGCTCTTTCTCTTTCTCCTTTACAAGTTAAATAAGCAACAACAGTGACTACCTAAGACCAACTATGACATCTTTCTAAAAAGTATAATATTTGGAAAATTGTGATCCTAAATCATAATTTTCTTATCAGTGAATCTGGCTTGTAAACATAGAGGGAAAATTTCTATTTCATTAGCAAGCACATAGTGAGTTGTTCCAGTGTCTCCCAGTGCCTTTCACAAGCTTGAAAAGGATTTGAAAACCCCTTTGTTCTTTGTACTGGAATCACTTAGCATTCCCAGGTTCCCTTAAGAAAAAATCAGAAGGTGAATTTGTGTTAGCTGTTATTTTGCTCCAGAAACTCCCTTGATCTTTCAAAGATGCCCCTTCTTGACCTAAGAAAATCTGATGCAAGATACACATTGTGGCCTTCCCCTTGATCCCTCCATGAGTTTCAGAGAATTAAGATTAACGGCAGACATTTCCTTCATTCTTTGATTTGTCTCATACTTTGATTTCTTTTTGTTTTGTTTTGTTTTCATCATTCTCATTCCCGTGTTTGATTCACCAATGATTGCAAAATATCAAAATATAAAATGTAAACTGCTGGTCTAAAGAAAGAAAGCATACTGGGGTTCTTTCTTTGGCCAACTCAAAGCCTGAAAAGTAGCTCCAAGTGGGTCAGTTCCACACTGTCGTTCTTTTACAGGAAGACCACTGGGCAGAGGCCTGGGCTTTTTTTCTCATTACTGAGGACTAGTATCTTGGGATTCCTTATGAGCAAAATGATGCTTGATGTTTCTGGCAGTGTCATCTGAGATGTTCTGACTTACTTATATGTGTAGAAAAGCAGTTTCTCTCTTTCAGAGGCCAGCCCTGAGTTAGTCTATTGAAATTGTGCATAATAATTACTGGATAGTTATACATATTCTCTATAATTTTAAAAGGAGTCAAGAAAAAATTTGTTATAGGCAACAGTGAAAGATCAACTGACTCTTTCTTGGCTTATTTATATTCAGGAAGCAGGAAGATTGTGTGTAGGTAAAGGTGGATATGGTGATTATAAACTTAGGATTGATTTAGATTTTGGCAAGTTGCTTCTGTGGGCTTAATCCATTCAAGCCTGCCTCCCATGAGACAGCCTGGGCTCAAGGGCCAGCTGGGTGGAGGAGCAATCACGGGATTTGCAGGAAGCAGACAGCTCTGCCTACCTAGGAAGGCTATCCTTCGCCTCTCAGAGCCTATGAGATAGGGATAATTCTAAACCTCATAGTGGTTGTTATCTAGATAATGTGTGGTAAGCTGTGGGGAAATGCTTTGTTAACTCTGAAGCATTGCATGAAAGATACTTTCCATCATAGAAATATAGACTGTTTCATAATCCTAGACTATTTTAGGGAATCTGGGAAAAGGAAGATGTATTTAACTATTTTCCTTTTCTCTTAATTCCTTTGTGGAATGAGGCACTGCATAAATATATATTTTTTTAAAAAACCTCTTCTTCCTCCCAAGTTCAAATAAGTGGTATTTTTACTTCCTCTCTACTAAAATTTAGTAGAGAAAAGAGGAAAGAGAAGTTGCTGCTGAGCAAAAGAAGTGAGCAAAGGAGAAACATTTTTAGAAAGTTTTTGAACTATTGTGATTTGGGAGAAAAAGAGAAGTTTTTTAAAATAATAATAACATGCCATATAAGTTCTGGGCAACAGGCAGATAATGCAAATCCTCAGAATCTTATACCACTAAAAGGTTTTTTAGTGAAAGTTTGTTTTTCAGTCCAGTTCAAGAAAAACACAAAGAGAGCACACTGAGTTCCCATGTCCCCTGCATCATTTCTCCTGTTATTAACATCTTACAGCAGTGTATTATATTCATTACCATTAGTAATAGTAATAGTAGCTGAAGTCCATACATTATTCAGATATCCTTAGTTTTTATCTGATGTCCTTTTTGTATTCCAGGATTCCACCCACAATACCACATTGCATTTGGTCATTGATTTCTATTCCAGGTGGTCTGGATTCAGTCTTTACTGGTAGTATGCGTCTGTGTGTAAAAGTAGTTACTCTTTCTAAGGGTCTCTATTGACGATGCTAGTAAAGCATTCATAGCTTCATACCGGCGTAGTAATATTAACCTCCATCCCAGAGCTTAGCTGTATAGCCACTTTATCTAAGCAAAACATAGGCAACACCTAGCGTGGAAATTAAAAAATAAATAGCCCACAGCAGCCACAGCAAGTGACAGCACATAGCTGCTAACATTACTTCTCTAATTCATACTTTATTAAAGAAGGGAAGACTAGGGAAGGGGAGGACTTGAGGATGGAAGCCAAACAAACATCCAGGCTTGGATGTTACATTTGAGATTTCTGTGAGACATGAGAATGCAGATAGTTGGAACCATGCATCTCGCTGCAGAAAGAGGGAGGAGCCAGGAGACTGGGTAAGAGTTCATCACCCAGAGAGTGAGAACAGGTGTTGGAGCAAAGACCAGCAGACTGACCTCCAGGTTTGGACATTAAGAATAGGAGGGGGAGACAGTGAAGCAGGCACCCATCATAGGGAGAGCTGAGAGAGAGTGCCGTCCACATGGGGAGGGCTGGTCACCACCTCAAACACCGTGTTGGGCGAGTGAGATGGTGACTTACCAGGCACCCCTGGATTTGGTAATGTGGAGATGGTGGGAAAGCTACAGCTGCCTCATTTTTAACTGAAGACAATAATAGTGCAGACCTAGAATGTTGTGAGTATTAGTATATAACACATGTGAAGTACTTAGTGCAGGAAGTGTACACTCACATTAGCTTTTTTAATGGGATACAGTTTACAGATGACTTTCATGTGGGTTGGCTGCTCTGAGTCTTCCATGTGATCTGAAAGAGAGGAGTGGCCATTACAATCATAGTCCCTGCTGACTAGTAAGGACCCTCACCCTCTGGCTGTGACAGAGTTGTCAATCCATCCCTCATTGAGCATTTTCACACCTAGCCGGAGCATAGCCTTTTTGCTGTATTTTGTTTTGTACAAAAATAAAAACAAACCTGTTTGTTGTAATAGTTTTTTAAAATGAGTGGGCTCTAGAGCTTTTCCCTTATAAATAAACATCTCATGCTTCACCCTCCTCCTCGTTGAGTCTGTCTGACATGTATAAAAAAGACTACTTCATTATTTCAAGTCTTGGGGAATGGAGATGGCATCACCATTATAAAGAGACAGAGGAACTTGGCTCATGAACCTGAGGACCCCCGAGTTCTTGATCTAAAGCAGGCAGCAAAGGACGCCTGAGTTCTTGATCTAAAGCAGGCAGCAAAGCTAGCCTTTGGCCCCAGTTCCTTGTGTGCTGGGCTCCCTGCTCTGTGTGACTGTCTTGCTGCCACAAGTTCCAAACTCTCGTTGGTCTCCATCCTGCCTGCACATTAGATTCACCGGGAACCTTTCGGATAATGTTCATGTTCTGGCTCACACTCTGATTTTCTGATTTAATTCGTCTGGGATAGGCCCAGACATTAGTATATCATTGTAATGAAGTTTATTGAGATATAATTTACACATAGTAGAATTTCCCCTTTTGAGTACAGTTCTCTGCATTTTGACATGCGCGTAGGCATCCATTCATACGGCCGACTCCACAGTCAAGATCTGACCATTTGCATCACTCCAAAACCTCCTGTGTGGCCGCTTTGCCATCCTTTCCCCCAACACCTGGCCCTGGCAGCCACTCCTCTGCTTTCTGGGGCACCACTAATTCTTAAATGCAGGTGATTTTTAATATGCAACTGAGTACAGCTGCCTGGCAGCCTTTAATAAGATGCTTGGGGCACAGGGACGAGAACTGCTGGACTCAGTTAACACAGTACAGGATCATCCATCAGATGATCTTAGACTTAGGCTTTCTTATGGCTTTTAGCTGAGACAAGACAGTTCTATTGCCCACTCTTGCTGCTGTTGTTTCTTTATTTAGTGGTAATTGGAAGGGAGAAGGGACTGGAGTGAGAGGAGGCTCCCGGCATTGTCTGCGGAGAGCAGGCCTCCTGAACCTGCCACAGTGAACACTGTGAGGGCACCAGATATGTATGCAGCCATTTTTTAGGTGACTGGCACTGTTCCCAGCAATGTGGACACGATAATGAACTACATATACAGCTCAAATGGGGCTTGCTTCAAGTGCATGGAGATAGGCAATGAACAAATAAACATACATGCAAAGAAGAAAATATCATGTATCAGAAAATGTGATGCGCAGAACTGAATCCAAGTGATATTCCAGAGTGTGGGGGCTAGTTTAGATTGTGAGTGGCCCAGGAGAGCTTCTCTGAAGAGGTTACATTGACGCTGAGACTTGAATGTTACAAAGAAAGCAGCCATGAGGAGTTAGTGAATATTCCAGGCCAAGGGAACAGCCAGTGTAAAGGCTTTACAGTTGGAAATGAGGCTCATGGGCATTAGAACATAAAGAACGATGTTCTCAGGATGTTCAGGATGTCTCAGATTTTGGAAGTGAACGTCTGGTCACTAATGACCCATTTCTACTGTCTTCTGATAGAGCCTGCATCTTTTCCATACATATTCCCAGTCCCTACCTGGAATTACAGCTGACCGGGCCCAAAGACATTCAGCTGTAACTGTGGCATCACTCACAGGGCAGTTGAGCAACTCTGTTTTGGGCTGATGGGCTCCTGCAGATTAGCACAGGAAAGAAAGAAATCAGAATTCAACTAAGAGAAATCAGTGCCTACCAGCAGCAGTAGGGTTAATATGGAAATATTTAATTCATCACTACAATGTGCCCCATACAAACTGGGTTTAAAAAAAAACCATGGCTCTGAATATTCCTTTACAGTGAAATGTAAAATTATGAAACTCAAATTCCCAGTGCATATGTAACACTCACTCTTTCTTTCTCTCTCTTCTTTTTTTTTTTTTTTTCAAAAGTCAGAAAAACAGAGTCTCACTCAAACAGCCAAAGTTGGAGTTGGAGTGCAGTGGTGGGATGGTTTTTGTATTTTTTTTTTTTTTCGTAGAGACGGGGTTTTTCCATGTGCCCAGGTTGGTCTCAAACTCCTGAGCTCAAGTGATCCACCTGCCACAGCCTCCCAAAGTGCTGGGATTACAGGTGTGAGCCACCATGCCCGGCCATGTAACTCTCTTTAACAAAATAGGGCTGTCAAGAATACACTAAAACAATTACATATATCGTGAAATGTAAATGATGAATCTCTCTACTTTTGAAAGTGTAATTAGCGACAAGTGTTTCATCAACATAGAAAATAAGGTCAAGAAAACCCGTGTCCACTTTGGTGCAACTCAGTGAATGAGAAAGGGTGCCGTCGCAGGGCTCACAGCCAGTGTTCCTGGGGTGGGGGTTGCTTTTCTGCCACGTTAACTCATGTGTTCTTGTTGGCAAGGTCACCACCGAGCACAGCTTGATCCTCATATCTTCATTCTCCTTTCTTCTGCCAGTATTTCAGGGGCTGTGACTTCAATTTAAATTTATGCATTTATTTTACACGTATGTGATAAACTCATCCTTTTTGTCTCTGGTGATACTTTTCAAACAGTGTCTCCCCGCTTCCTTGCTCCCCACTTCCTCACTCTGTCTGTGAATTTCTGGGAGATGTTGGACTAGTGAAAAAAAATACAAAAACACTCACTCCTGATAAACGTGTGTGTCTTTCCTTTGGCACACATAGACCACTGCTGCAATCCCAACTCGGGGCCACAGTAGATCAGTGAGGTGGGCCAAGACCTTCCAGTTTGAAATAGACCTTGTATATTTCAGGGTCCTCTAGTCTGTCCATGATGAATAAGGCTTTATGTTGTTCAGGTTATGGCTATAAAATGACAAATGATCACATTAATCTTTGTGTTATTCCTTTCCCCTAAGGACATTATAGGGACAGCCAAGGTCAGTGCAACAATGTAGCACGAGAGTCGTTTTTCCCTCTTTCCTATAGAGAGTATTGACATTACCTATTGCATATGCCCCTCTTTTCTCTGATCTCAACTTCCTACTCCCATATAGCTTTTATTTATTTTATTTTATTATTATATATTTTTTGAGACGGAATCTCACTCTGTTGCCCAGGCTGGAGTGCAGTGGCATGATCTCGGCTCACCGCAACCTCTGCCTCCTGGGTTCAAGCGATCCTTCTGCCTCTGCCTCCTGAGCAGCTGGAATTACAGGCATGTGCCACCACGCCCAGCTGATTTTTTTTGTATTTTTAGTAGAGACGGGGTTTTGCCTTTGTTGGATAGGCTGGTCTAAACTCCTGACCTCAGGTGACCTGCCCACCTCGGCCTCCCAAAGTGCTGGGATTAGAGGAGTGAGCTGCCACGCCCAGCCCCATATGACTTTTAGAGTGCTAGAACGCTAATAATACAGGAATAAGGGAGGCACATTTGCTGCTTATACCCACCAGGATATAGCTGATGAGGCAGCTACATAATGCCCTGTTCCTCCTTCACTGATGGAGAAATACACTAACAGGCAGTAACATTGTGCGTGAAACATATACTACTTTAGGTTTGTGACCGGCTGTTTTTGTTCCACTATAAACAAAGCCGTACACTGGGGAGGAGTGGGGATTTGGCATCCACAGAGTTCTGCGTGTCACATCATGCACATGCTGATGGCAGCTGGGTGCTCCTATGTTTACATTTTTGCCATTCCTGTATCAGTTAATGTTTTTGTCATAATGATGCTAAGTCCTTTACATGGGAGTTCTCTTCTGTTGGTCTTGCATTGGAAGACCTATTATGCAAGAACTGTTTGTACAATATCACAGCTACTTTTGTCCTTAACAAAGTCACCATATAATCATTACCCCTGGGGGTAATCAGGAAAATGATCCCAAACTATTTGTTTGGCTTTATTTAGTTTTGTGCTTTGAGGATGGTTTTTGTCTAGTGGTAGGTGTCTAAGTTGAACACCTGTCTCTCTAAAACTACTGTCCAGTATATTAGCCACTAGCCACAGGTAGCTATTTAAATTTGAATTAAGTAGAAATAAGTAAAATTTTAAAATTCAATTTAATTCCTTAGTCACACTAGCCCCATTTCAAGTGCTCAGTCCGCACACATACACACACACACATACACACAAACACAAACATTTACATTATCACAGGAAAGCCTACTGGACAACATTGTAATATACTGTAATACAATGTAATGTTACATTACAGTACTGTCCAGTAGAATTTTCTGTGATAACATTTTAAAAATCTGAGTAAAATTTAAGAAGTTTACATCTTTGCACTTTTTAATTATTCTGGATCAGCACCTGTAATTTATCTTCAATCAGCATGATGTTGCTCATGTAGAGAGAGATTAATTCATGTCAACAAATAAAACCAACAATTTTATTTATCTAAATAAACCGTGTGAATTTTAAGTATTTATTGTCGATAGCTAGGAAGAGGAATTAGACACAGGCTGAAATAGAGTCAACTGGCCTCAGGCTAAAAAAGAAAATTTTCCCCTGAGGAGAAGGTGCAGACTGAAACAGCTTCTGCTTCCCTGTTTCCATAAGGACAATGTTGAAGGGTTTGTGTGCTCATATAGTGCTTCCTTCTGATGCTGTAACTAGAAAAGTCCAAACTGCCCTCTCAGCATTTCAGTACCACTTATTGTTGAGTCAGTATTAAGACAAACTGGAATGATAGATCTGTTCTCCAGTTTTGTGGGGAAAGGAACAAAGACACAGTTTGCTGTGTGCCCTGCCCACGAGCAGGAGCCTGCTAGAAGAGAACCTGCCCTTGTATCTCCCCCTCCTCATGGCCTGCAGTCAGAGTGCCCAGGAGGCTTCTAGGCGTCAAAGCAGCTCTTATTATTATGGAAAGAATGTCAGCATTTTGAAACAGAGAAAACCAGTTGACCTCAAACCATGGCATGTCATAATCTGTACATTCTGCCCCTTGATAAGTATATAATGTAAAGGACCATTCATTTTGTGAGCCTGTTTGCATCCATGTGGTTGTCCTTGCAAACTAAATCTTTTTTTTTTAAAAATTGGAGCAGTGACTCATTTTCTAAACTTCATAAAACTTTTTCTAATTCTTTCAAGAAAAAGCATGAATCTCAGAGTTTCCAAGTGCTACTAACTTAAGTGTGTCCTCCCTCCAAATGTATATTTTGAAGTTCTAACTGGCAATGTGAAGGTATTTGGAGATTGGGCCATTAGGAGGTAATTAGGTTTAGATGAGTTCACAAGGGTGGGGCCCTCATAATGGGATTAGTGCCCTTATCAGAAGAGACACCAGGGAGCTTGCCATCTCTCTCTTTCTACCATGTGAGGAAACAGCAAGAAGGCTTCCATCTGCAAGCCAGGAAGAAGGCCCTCACCAGAACCCAACCATGCTTGCACCCTGATCAAGAACTTTCAGCCTCCAGAACTGTAAAAACAAAGAAATTCCTGTTTTTTAAGTCACTTAGTCTATGGTATTGTTTTATTGAAGCCTGAACAAACTAATACACTAAGTTTGGAAGAGTAATATTGGAAGAAAAATCTCTAAGCAAGAAGGAAGCTTGTCATACCTTTTCATTTCCAGGCTCTGCTACTGAGAATCCAAGATGTAGGTGATGATTAGAAAATTCAAAAAAAGCAATGACTTTTATGGTAAGAAGGAAGATCAAAAAATCTGTCCCAAAATACCTTGAGCATCCTTTGGGTCACTGGTGTGGAGTTAATTTCTTGCCTCCACAAGGCTTCTATTAAAATAAGAGAAACAGTTCTGGGAAACTAGGGTGCCCCCTGGGTGAAGCTCCAGGGGTCATGAGCTTGCACAGGCAGGCCAGCAACCTAAAGCATCCAGGGACAGGATGAAGGTGGGGCTGAGTTCAGGTTGTTCCCCCTTAGGTGGGAGCCAAGTGGGCAGGAGAAAAGTCAGGAACACCTTGAGCAAGGGAGACATGGGAACCAATGGGATGGGGAGGGTGAGGATGAAGGTGGAGCTGGAGGCTCTGGGAAGTTGTTGTCAAGGGGATCGGGACCAATGCTTGTTTTGTTTAGCTTTCAGTGACAGGATCTGTACATGGTTTCCTGATTGAAAAGCACAGAGCCACAGAGACAGCTAAGGAATATATCTTTTTAAGATATAGGGGATGATGGGCAAGGCAGGTGCATCCACTCAAACATGGTATCTGTGTTAAGTTGGCACCGTGATCCCTGAAAACATTTGTTTCACTCTTGATTGCAGTCTTCAGGCTGTCTTTCCAATGTGCTACCTTTTCCATAACTTCCATAGTTCTTTTATTTAGTACTAAAATTTTAAGGGTGTCAGCTGCCCAGATTAACAATATCTTGAAGCCATATACATTCACGTGTCTGTGTGTGCATCTCAGTATCATTCATTCAGACAAAATGAAGTGATGTCATGAAACAAAACACAAAGCTTATGTTTTGGGTTGGTGAGGGAGTCGGACTAGTGAGCAATTCTGTGAGTTCTGATACAAAACTTCTGTTGACCCCAGCTCACTTGATACTAGCCCCTTCCTCTCTTCTACTCTGTCTGAATTTTATTTAGAACAGAGTTTGCTTCACTTGACTTTATTGTCAGTCCCTTGCTAGGGGCAGAAAACCTGTGCCCAGTGTGCTCAGGCCTTCCGATGGCCCGATTCCTGGCACTGCTTCCTAAGTCCTCACCACAGGAAATGTTTGTGCCTTCCTAGGTAGCAGCTCAATTATTTTCCCATCTCCTCTGTCATAGGGGTTAGCGGACAGAGTTGGCTGGAACCCAGTAAAAGAATGGCCGATCACTTTTTGGCTTGACCTGGGGAGGGAAATGCAAGCATCAGTGTCAGCCTGTAATAAATGAAAGGTTATTGAAAATCACAGAACAACGTGTGGCTCTTCCACATAATGCACAGGAACTGTTGGCATTGAACATACTCACTTGAGGAACTTCTTCATCTCAGATTTTCTTTCATTAAAACATTAAAGGGCATATTCTAGTCTTTTATATAGGAAAGTCACCATTTGATTGGCTGTGAGTTTAACTAGTGGATCTGGAAAATTCCACAAATTAACTTTCAACTCCTCATTTATTATTTCATTAGAAGAATATCTTTTATTCTGTAGTAACCCCATGGTATTTCTCTTTCCTTCTCATTATTTCTCCACTTCTTTCCTGTGCCTGGCTCCTCATTTACACTGGCCACTTCATTCTCCTGTGATTTCTATGAACTCAAGCTTCAGAGTGACCTTTGTTTCTTTTATCTTCTCTTCCACATAAAATTTGCTGAGAAGTTCTTTTGAATATTTTCTTGCCTTGGGAGCCAAATCCTGGTGCTATCACTTTTGGGTCATTGGATCCTTAACATAGCTTTCCTCCAACTCCAATATCTTGCATCCATTTTAAAAAGAAGATGAAATTCCGGCACCTACATGTGTGGCCCCCATTGGTGGACTTCCTCCTGATTTCCCATCATTTCCTGGAAGTAACCTCCTATAACAATCCTAGGCCGGGCATGGTGGCTCATGCCTGTAATCCCAGCACTTTGGGAATCTGAGTTGGGAGGATTACTTGAGGTTAGGAGTTTGAGACCACCTTGGGCAACATAGTAAGACCCCACCTCTACAAAATAAAAAATTTTAAAAATTGACTAGATGATGTGGTGGCACTTACCTGCAATCCCAACTACTCAGTAGCCAGAGGTGGGAGGATTGCTTGAGCCAGGAGTTCAAGGCTGCAGTAAGCCAAGATTGCACTATTGCACTCCAACCTGGGTGACAGAGTAAGACCCTGTCTTAAAACAAATAAATAAATAAATTAGTAACAATCCTGACATTTGTATGATATTAAGCATCTTCAAAGGTACTTTGTATACACATGAGTTTGCTAGGGCTGCCATGACAAAGTACAGTTGACCCTTGAGCAACATGGGTTTGAATTGCATGGGTCCACTTATGCATGGTTTTTTTTTTCAATAAATAGGTTGGAAAATTTTTTAGAGATTTGCGACAATTTGAAAATACTCCAACAAACTGTGTAGCCTAGAAATATCCAAAAAATTAGGTATGCCATGATGCATGAAACATATGTAGATACTACTCTATTTTATCATTCACTACCATAAAATATACACAAATCCATTACAGAAAGTTTAAATGTATCAAAACTTAAACATTTACAGACCATACATGGCATCATTCACAGTCAAGAGAAATGTCAACAAATGCAAAGGTGCAGTGTTAAATCATAACTGCATAAAATTAACTGTAGTACATACTGTATGACTAATGGTTTCATAGCCATCTCCTTTTGGTGTTGCAGTGAGCTCAAATGTTGCAAGTATCTGCTTAACACACCATGTGATGGTAATCATCTCCAGATAAAGTTTTCTCTCTGGTAAATTGTGTATTACAGTGAAAAATGATCTCTCATAGTTCTCTTTTATTTCTCATCAAGTTTAGTGTAATCCTTTAAGCCTTGAATAACATCATGGACCCATAGGAAGTACCACTAATCATGCTGGAAGTGCTTCCAAGAAGCAAAGTCATGATATTATAAGAAAAAGTTGAATTGCTTGATATGTACCAAATATTGAGGTCTGCAGCTGCAGTTGCCTGACATTTCAAGCTAGATTAATCCAGCATAAGGACCATTGTAAAAAAGAAAAGGAAATTCAGGAAGCTGTTTCTGCAGTTATGCAGCAGGTACAAAAATCTTTCACTTTTTATGAAATACGTTTTAATCTCATACTGAAAATGCAGCTTTTGTGTGGGTGCAGAATTGCTATTAGAAAAGCATAGCTATAGACTTGAATATGATCCAACCAAAAAAGAAGTCATTCTGTGACAACTTAAAGCAAAAGGAAGGTGAAAGATCAAAATCTGGAGAATTTAATGCCAGCAAAGGATGGTTGGATAATTTTAGAAAGAGATTTATCTTTAAAATTGTCTAGCTAATAGGAGAAATAGCTTCTGCCAACAAGAGGAAGCAGATGAGTTCCAAACCGCCATTAAGAAAATCATTAATGGGAAAGGATATCTGCCTGAACAGGTTTTTAATGAAGACAAAAGTGCCCTATCATGGGGGAATGGAAAATGCCACCAAGGAATCTATTGGAAAGGAAGAGAAGCAAGCACCAGGATTTAAGGCTGGAAGGACTAGGTTAACTCTACTGGTTCTGGGCAAATGCATTTGGGTTTATGATCAGGGCTGCCTTTATCTATAAAGCTGCTCACTTCCAACCCCTGAAGGAAGGAGATAAACACCAGCTTCCAGTCTTCTTGTTGTACAAGAAGGAGCTCTGGACAAAAAGAACACTTTTTCTGGATTGGTCCCATGGATATTTGTCCCTGAAGTCAGGAAGTACCTTGCCAGTAAGGGACTGCCTTTTAAAGTTCTTTCCATATTGGACAATGCCCCTGCCACCCAGAACCCCATAAGTTCAAAATCAAAGAAACTGAAACAGTCTACTTGCCCCCAAACAACATCCCTAATTCAGCTTCTAGATCAGGGAGTCATAAGGACCAGTAAGGCTTTTATCTGGTTTACTTTATTGTAATAATACAATATATAATACATATAACATGCAAAATATGTATTAATCAACTGTTTTTGCTATCTGATAGGCATCTAGCCAACAGTAGGATATTAGTAAAGTTTTGGGGGAGTCAAAAGTTACACATAGATTTTTGACTGTGCAAAGGGTTGGTTCCCCTAACTTCCATGTTGTTCATAGGTCAACTGTACCACAGACTGAGTGGTTTAAACAACATAATTTTTTAAAAAAATCATGATTACAGAGGCCAGAGTCTGAGATCAAGGCATTGGTTTGTTCCTGGGGCCTGTCTCCTTGGCTTGTAGATGACCATATTCTCGTGTGTCTTCAAATGGGCCTCCCTCTGTTCATGTCTGTATTGTAATATCCTCTTCTTATAAGGGCACCAGTCCTATTGGATTAGAGCCCACCCTGTTGTCATTTTAACTTCACTCTTTAGAGACCATTTCTCCAGACACAGTCACATTCTGAGGTACTGGGGTTAGGACTTCAACATAGGAATTTGAGGGTGGAAGGTCACAATTTAACTCATGTTATTACACATTTTTTTCCCTCTGATCTCTCAACTGTGTGAAGTTGTGAGGAATTAGAAGTAATTCATCTCCTAAACGTATATCTGATTTGTACATGGGAATACAATGTAAGTAAGTCCACTAATGCTCTAATTTTTTTTTGGCACAGCACTGTCTCTCTTATCTTAAACCTAATTGAGAGAGTTACTAGCTAACTGTTCGCTTCCTCCCTTTATCTTCTGTTGTCTTTATTCCGCACCCCTGAAGATTCTGAACCACCCACTCCCTTCTGCCTCGGGCAATGAATAGTCTTTCTCTTAGTTTCCTCCACATCTCTTCGCAGTTCTTTAGGGATCAATTCTGATGATCTTAGTCTCCAGTATTCATGTCCCTGATCTCACATCATGGGACAGATTTGCCTTGCAATTTCTTTTCCAAATTCTGTATTCTTATCAGAAACATCTGTCATCAAAACACTGCATTTGCCTCATTTCATCAGATATTCAGTGTACCGGGACCCTTGTAGCCCTACTCCCTGGGAAGGGACATTCAGGCCTTGACATTGGAATGCTGGCTTGCTGGAAAGTTATAATCCAGTGTCTGTTTGGTGTATTTTTTTTTTTTTTAACACTAAACACATGGCCTAGACATTGGTTTTGCTTCATTTTCGCTCAACATTTATGATAATAAAGCTTTGTTTTCATAGATCACTTATCTCCTGAAAAATTCACACTGCCGTGAACACGATCCAGCCTTGCAGTGTGTCTCGGAGGTAAGTAGGTGGCAAGTATTTTTATCCCCTTTTATTAAAGCATAGGCAGAGCTCACTGCACAAGGATCCCCTGGAAGGGGGAACAATTTGGACTTAGCCCGTCTGCGCTCCTCCTGCTCCGTTTATTTGGGTACCATAAACCCACCCAGAACTGCACACAGAAGTGTCTCCTTTGCAGGCAGACGTATATGCATGCATTTCAATGGCTTCCAGGAGACAGCGATTATGGAATGTGGAGTCTGAATGTAAATGGAATTTGAGATGAGCCTGACTAGTAAATTATTCTGAAGGAAAAACACATTCAGAAATATGATTTTATCGCTTCTCGGCGTTTTGGCTAAGATGAAGTGTAGAAGTATGATTTAGATTCCACCCATCCTTAGGTGCAATTCAAATGCCAGTTTCTCTAAAAAATAAAGCCAACTCTTCCCCTGGACTCTCCAGACACTTGACCTGTCCTTACTTTGTGGTGTATAACTCACTGCACTTTATCTTGTTGCTCTCCTGGTCAGAGTCTATGCCTGATCCATCTCTGTGGATAAGTACTCAGAAATGTTTTCTGAAGTGGAATGAAAGGAACTAACCTCTGTTGTTTGTAACTGGCACAGAACCCAACAGTTTCTGCCAGTGACAGGTCATGAGCATCTTGAGGCATCCAGAAGATTGTCGTGGTTGGATTGTCCTCTCACTTTGCTTCATGCTCACTGCTTGACCACTGATTATTTTGGAGAATGTCTCTCTCCTTGGCCAAGGCTTTGGGTATTATAACCAAGAGAGGATGATCTAACCAGCCATTTTATCAACAGCGGCTCTGAGAGCCCAGCGTTGGGTGCCAGCCCTGCAGAGGGACATTGCGAAGTATCTTTATGTCCTTCGAGCATCCCTCCTTTCCATCAACTGGCAGGGTGGAGCAATAGCATCCAGTTACTGACCTTCCAGGAATAATGTGAGCATTGGATGTATTAGGCCTCCAAAGTATATCTGTGCTGCTCTGATGAAAGGTGCTTTAAGTAGGGTTGCTTGTTAAAAATAAGTAGTGCCAATTCTCAGGCTGCCCCCTGTGTTTTCCTTTCCCTTGCTCCCTTAGATGTTTTTCAAAGGTGCCAATAAAGCCTGCAAAACATGGGTAATGAAAAGGAAGGGAGAGCAAGTTCTTTTTGTCATAAGCGTGAACTGTGAGTCATCTCTTCTGAGTCACCGTGAACATACAAAGGAAGCCAATCAGTAGGGGTGCACTCTAATAGGATGTTTCTCCAATGACTCACGCAGGCCTGGAATGAGGAGCAGCCTGAATCAAGCCAAACAAGTATATTTTTAAATCTGGAAGGGCGCGCTTCCTGGTGCAATATGATGATCAGTCCTACACACTTACATGCTTATTTTAGCCCAGGCACTGAAATGTGTGGGCATGGTCTCCACGGAGCCTTCTCCTGTGGTCATGTTTTGTTTTGCCAGTGGGGAAGGATGTTTAATGATTAACTGTCACTATCAAGAATATAATATTTCAGTGCAATATTTCAATGTGAGGAGAAGAATAATTTTTGAATGTGGTGACTTCAAGAACTCGGCTCCATTGGGTAAGGCCTGCTTCACGTGTAAACATGCATTCCACAAACATTTTTTGAGGCCCTAAGTACTGAATATATAAAGACAGAGAAGGCGTAGTCCTAAGCCTCAAGGGTATTAGAATTTCCACAAGGAGACAAAAAAGCAAACAGAGCATTGGAAAAGTGGCAGAGGGTCAGATGGAGACACTTAGAAGGCTCAGCCTATAGAGAATGGGCGTAAAAGAATCCCCTGGAAGTGGGAACAACTGCTCTGGATTCTGAAAGACCTGCAGGAGTTACCACTGAGGAGCGAATTGAGATGAGGAAGGGTGATTAAGGCAGAGGGAAAAGCATGTATTAAGTCTAAAAGTCTTCCAAACAGTTTATGTTTTTCATTATTGTCTTATTTTCTCAAAATTTTGCAAATGCAAAATTTTCTTCTTTTCCCTTGGCAAATGCATTCTGGAAACATTTTTTCAAGCTGACCCAGAAACCATCTCATTCAGGGCGAGTCAGGGTCCGTGTTGTGAAGAGGCGTTACTTTATCTGAAGGATTTTAAGCAGAGGCTATACATGTGGCTATAGTTAGGTTTTGATGAGCTCCTCATGGAAGACAGTGAGGGAAATGGATCTGTCCCGAGACTGGGAGACCATTGTAGCCTTTTGTCTTAATCCGGAAGAGCAGTGATGAGCACCTGAACCAAGGTCAGTGGCAGTGGGAAAGGAAAGGAGTAAATATAATATATTTGTGAGATGGTGATTGAGAGAAGAGTCAACTGAGCAAAAATAGCTGAGATGGAGAACCTAGTAAGTTTGGATAAGCCATAAAGAATAGGAGTTATGTTTTGTCAATTTTGACTTTGAGGTGGCTAAGAGATGTGGCTAAGATGGGCGTGTCCAATAAGGAGTTGTCTGGAGCTCAGGAAACTATCTTGGTTCAAAATAGAGATTTGGCATCTATGAATGTAGAAGCTACAGGACCAGATTAGTCCTCCTAGTGCAGGAGTGAAGAGTGAGAAGAAAAGAATGGTGAGAAAAGAACTTTGGGCAGAAGGAAAACGAACAAAAACAAAAAACAAATCTATGAAGGAGACGAGAAAGAGCAAGGAGATTGGGAAGAAGAACAATTATCCAGGTATCTCTTCTCCAGTATTAGTGAGCTGATGCTTTTTTCCCCTGTGAGGTAGTAATGACTATCAAATAATTTTGAAGCCATTCATAAGGAATCCACAAGAGTATATACACACTCGATAGAATGTCTTTCTTACTAAGAACCATGTTGTCATATTGGGTATCTTATTGTACGTTATATTAACCATATAAGATATCCTGGGTCACTGCTATGTGTTGTAGAATAGTAAAAATGCTCTCTTGTTTTAGAGAATTGGCAAGTGTTTATAAAATGAAAGTTTCAGAATGCATTTGTCAGGGGAGAGGAAAAAAAAACAGTTTCAAGTATTAGTAACAAAATTGAATGACTAAGAAATGAAATAAAATATCTGTGAGGAATAGGAACAAAAATGCCTGAGAGTATCAACTTGCATTTCACATAGGAGGAAGTTCTGAACAATTTCATCAGTATTTTTCTTCCTTTAAAAGCATCTTATGTTTAGTCTCATCCTTAGGTTTTCATTAAGTTGTTTTCTTATCTAAAATGGTCTCTCCTTAGTGAAGATTTTTAAAAAGAGAGAGAGAGAAAGATGGCCGCCAAGAAGCTGGAGAGGAAAGTAGCCCTCACTGAATTTGGTTTAGGGCAAATTCTCCTGGAGGCAATGTCTGTGATTGGATTATAGCCACCTGAAAAGACTTGCAGGGATCTTATAGAACCTTCGGGGGTTGATTATCATTATAAGTCAGTAAGACTGAAGAAAAAAAGTAGCAGACATCGAGTATTACGAATAACTTAGGAGGAAACTAAGGTTTTAAAAAAGATCTTCACCCATTAATTTAAGACTCTAATTCTTCACAAACATACATTTCTAAGGCAGAATCTATACATGCCTCCATCCCAGTGGCCCAGGAATAAAAAAAGAATGTTTTATTCGTAGGAATACCAATTAGCTTACGATGCTGTGGAGAATGAAAAAGTAGACTCCTTATACCAATAACAAGAGTTTAAGCCTAATTTTATTAGGGCATTTTTATGGTGCAAATAATTTTTATTAACTGCAAAACCAGATTCCCTTCCAGGATGTCTGTATGTTCAATACATTCTGAGAGCACACCCTAGTGAGTATGCTGTGTTATACTCAAATTTATTTCCCAAAATACCACCAAAACACTAACATCTGTTGTGTTTGGTTGTTTTGGTTTGGTTTTGAGGCTCTTTCTGTGAAATAAAGAAATCCAGTACTTACATAATCTTCATAATCGCCGTGATTTTTTTTTTTTAAAGAAATCAGTGTGCATGGAATTGTTTGTAATGATTCAAACTGATATAATTTGGCTACTTACTGATGAGAGATTCTAAAACCTGAGACACCTGGGGTAATCTTTGATATGTATGTGATCAGTCAGGATCAAAGAGGCCTGTGGTCTTTTTATGTGAACTGTGGGCAAATTCACATCTCCTACTGCATAATGGCAGCAATTATGTATTTATTTAGCTTCTGGGCCAAGGAGACCTCTGAGTACACTGGTTGTGCACAGATCTGGTTAAGATCACAACCTCTGAAAGCTGCTTGCCTCCTGCACGTACGTCTGGCTCTGCCTCTCTCTGGCTGTGTGACTCGGGCAAGTCACTTAGCCTCTCTGTGACTCATTTTTCTCACCTATGAAATGGAAATAAGACCCAAACCTGTCTTATGGGGAGTTCATAGGAGAACTACATAATTTGATAATTGTAAAACACTGAGAACAGTGGCTGTTATATATTAAGCACTATATAAATGCATGGCAAGAAATAAATTGGTCTGATTAGCTTGATTTTCTTAATCTTTCAGGATATTAGCCTTTTATTAAAGGAAATGGATTTGGTGTCTTGTTTACTAAAATCAGAATGTACAGCCTGGGCAACACAGCAAGACCTTTTCTGTACAAAAAATAAAGAATCGGCTAGGTGTAGTGGCACATGCTTATAGTCCTAGGTACTTGGGAGGCTGAGGCGGGACGGTCGCTTGAGCCCAGGAGTTAAAGGATGCAGTGAGCTGTGATCATGCCACTGCTGTCCATCCTAGCAAGACCATAAGACTTTCTCTCAAATAATTTTTTTTTAAAGAGCAGGATTTATAAAACCAATAAACAAATAAGTAGTCCTTGAAATGAAAAGTCTGTGAATTGTCTACTTTTCTCCCCAGTAATATTAAAACAATAAAATTTCTATGGGAATACATGTCTGCCATGGATAAATTGGAAAATTCTGTGCTGTTTTATCAACTGTAAGGATTGCATGTCCAAAAAATTATGATAGTTGGCAAGATCAAGTCTCCATAAAAATGGTAGGTCGGAGGAAAAAAGAAGTGGAATCAACTGTTTTTAAAAATCACGGCAAATAAGCTTTCTAGAAAGTATTAACTTTCTGCCTTAAAAATTGTCCATGAAAGGAAATACTTCTCCAGTGAGCAGCAAAATACCGGGAATTCTGTACCCAAACTGGTGTTAAACCCTGGCTCTCCCTCTTGTTAGTTCTGTGAGTCTGGGCAAGATCCTTTACTCCTCTGTGCCTCTGTTTTCTCATCTGTACAATGGGGATGATAATAGCTGCACTAACTTTGTGGAACTGTTATGAAGATTAAATGAGAAAATACTTGTTAAAAAAAAAAAAGACAGTTCTCGTAGTATGGTCATTGCAATATTCTAAGATAAACAACTCACCTTTCTAGGCTGCTCTCTTAATTTGCTGAAGCAGATTCCCCCAAGTGTCATGTTACTCAGATTATGTCCTTTTCAAGTTTTCCAGCCAGCTGTTACTGGTTTGATATTTAATGCCTTATCCTTTAGCATTCCTTTTTTTTTTTGGTAAATCTCAGTTAAGTGCCTGTGTGGAGCTTGACCTTTTCCTAAATTGTTATCACAGTGCTGGAGGATATGCTTCTTGGGGTCTGGGGTTGTGTTCATGTGCTAAGAGCGCCTCTCTGTGTTCCACTCACAACCTTTCCCACACGAGCTTGGGTAGCAAAGAGCTATGGTCCTTGCCACCCTCACTTGTTTAAGGGACTGAACCAAACAGTAAATAGGCAAAAATATTAAAATATTTAACTCTATTTTTGTTTACTAGTATACATCTCTATCCTTTCGAATCTCACATTAGCAAAAGCATGACTATCAATGGATCATTCCCTTAATATCCCCTGCGTCTCCCTTAAATGCCTTTGTCCAGGATTAACACATAGTTGACAATGTTATGCAGTCCTTGAGGTGATATGTTTATCATGACAGAGGCTGAGATGAGCACTAAGCCCAGTACCCCTGCTCAAAGTAGGTTCCTGTAAATGGGGCAGGTGGTGCATGGTAAAGGGAATCCCCTTGCTGGGGACTAGGTGTTGGCAGTTGTACAGAGGAGGGCTATGTCTCTGTATTTTAAAAACGTAATCAGATTTGCTTTTGTTTTCTGTTGAATTTGTGCAATGAATTTGCTTCTTTGTGATGTTATTCATTGTTCTCTTTTAAGAGAACACCTACACTCAGTTTCAGAAAGTTGGGGGAGAGAGGGAGGAAGAATGGGTCATTTTGAAGGATGAACTATTTTAAGGCAGTGGGTGAAGCTTGTGGGGAGCCTTCCAGAGTGCTGTGTGTCTGTGCTGGCCCAGCTGCAGGAGGACTGTGGTGTATGTTCAGGGATACTCCACGATCTGTGCCTGAAGTGGAACATAATGAAAGCCACATAGAAGAAAAGCATGTAGCTGGAGGCATGAGGAGGCAGGAAACCAAGGAAGGGAGTGCAGTCATGTGTTTCTGGAAGGCTGGCCATGTGAGAGCCGTGAAGGATGCAGACATGACAAAGCCAGCCTCTCCACTTTCCCTAGGTTTCTAATCAGGCGTGGGAATCCAAATAGAAGGAGGAAATGAAAGACCTATGGAAGCATAAAGAAGTGGGACAGAGCTTTAGAAGTGAAGTGCCATTAGCAGAGGTCTGGGCTTTGGAGGTTGACTCAGTGGGGTCCAAGTAGAGGGAAAACCAAGAGCTAAGCATGTGGAAATGCAATCAGGGGTGGTTTGTTTGACACAGAGGTATAAATTATGGTTGAATTTAGGGTGCATTCACAGAGAAAAGCAAGAAGTAGTGGAGTGGGCTCAAGTTTAGATGAGTGTTGAATGCCTTGCTAAGGTATTTGCATTTTTTTCTAACAGCTACAGGTGATCACTACAAGGTAATGACTTTTGAAGGGGAGTCAGTTACAGAGCACCAAAGATAAGAAAGAACCTGTTCAATGAGCAATCCTTGGCATTTATCCTTAAATTCACATTTATCCAATACAGAATTGCTTATTTTTAGCCCATTTTGCCAGCTCCCTAGACGTGGCTAATGCTCTGAGCCCCAGGTTAAGGTGTAATCTAAAGTCACACCATGGCTCTGCAAGACAGACACAGTTCTTACTGGGTCTTCAGTGAGGGACATCCCAGCTGCTCATTAATCTGCCTGTATCCCAACATAATCCTTGGGTGCCCATCTCACATGGTTGGACAGGCAATTACTTATATCCACAGTAAATTTGCCATATGACAGTCTCTTAATGCGCCACTTCTCTGAATAATTTTCCTCGTAAAGAAAGTTTTAACAAGGGTATGCAGAAATCACTTCTTGCATATATTTTCCTTTGCCCTGCCTTGAACTGTTTACCACACAACTAGAATTTTCCTTTTCATCTTCTGCTCCTCCTTCTTGTATTAGGGTTATCCAGAGAAACAGAATCAATAGAAAAAAATAGATAGATAGATAGATAGATAGATAGATAGATAGATAGAATATATAATATATATATTTGGAGAGACAGAGAATCCTTATAAATCTCATGTATATATAGAATATATATGATATATATGTATGTAAGTATATATATATGAGATTTATCATTAGGAATAATCTCATGTAGTTATGAAGGCTGAGAAGTTCTACAAACTGCCATCTGAAAGCTGGAGACCCAGAAGAGCTGGTGGTGTAATTCAGTCCAAGTCCAAGGACTTGAGAACCAGGGGAACTGATCATGTAACTCCCAGTCCACAGGCAGGGGAAAATGAGACGAGATGTCCCAGCTCAAGCAGTGAGGCAAGAAAAAGGGCTAAGTTCCTCTTTCCTCCACCTTTTTGTTCTATTCAGACCCTCAAGGGTTGGGCGTTACCCACACACCTTGGGAAGAGCTATCTACTTCATTGAGTCCACTTATTCAGATGTTAATCTCAACTGGGAATACCCTCACAAACACACTCAGAAATAATGTTTAATCTGGGCACCCATTGGCCCAGTCAGGTTGATGCATAGAATTAGCTACATCTCCCTATGCCTCATCAATACCACTCCCAGAAGATAAGTAAAATCTATTTAGCAAGATAAGTGTTTCATACTCAGTTTTGCATTGCTAATTCACATCACAAACTTGATACTCCTCTCCAAAAAATTTTTTCATTGTTGTTGTTTTTTATTGTTATTTTTTCTCTTTGGGCCAAGAACAGCATTTCCTAGACCTAAAAGCAGCTCCAGTAAATGATTATTTTGCCAACGGATGAAGGGTAAATGATCCAGCTTCTGTTTCTGTGCACATCTTGATTGTTTTCAACTGGAGGACAAAGGAAAAGAGCAAACACAGAGCCTATTGGCAAGACCATTTTTCAATTATAAGCAAATTCCCAGGGGTTACTTAGCATGCACTTACCAGAAATCTTAATTTGCTGGAATTTCTGCATATTTTGCCTTTCAGTTCAACATCTCACAAGATGACCTTGGGAATGCTGCTCTATAACTTTCTAGGAGATCAGGGTACCTTTCTAACGCGAAGCTAAGTAAATAAGATTTCACCACAAGTTAAACCTTAAATCAAGGACTTTTTTGAAAAAAAAATCATATTTGTATTCTGTGTAACATTTTATGACTAATATTTATGAAGTGCTTACCAAATGTCAGGTGCTGGACTAAGCATTTTATGGGAATCTTTCCACTATATCTTCAGTCAATTCTACAAGATATGAGTTTTTGTTATTCCCATCATAGTAGAAGAGTCTCAGGGACATGAACAGACTTGGTTGGGATCACACAGTTAAGTGGCAGAGGGAGAATTCTAGCTGCAGTCCTAACTCTAGAATGACACTCCTATCCACTTTGTGCTAAGGTATTTACCTGGTTCATCACTCATCCATAATACGCTGAAATATCAGTTCACTGGATTCCAGAATAACAAGAATCCTCAGATCACCTGAATTTTAATTTCATTAAACAGAGACCAAAATAAAAGTAAGAAAAGAGATGGAAAGTTGTCACTTTATCACACTCCTATTTTAACCCCTTTAATGGCTTCCCATTGAAGTTCACCTCCCTAATGCAGTCTACAAAGCGTTGTGCGAACTGATGCCTGCCAGTTTCTTCAGCCTTGCCTTTTACCAATCTGTCCTTGCTCATGAGCTCAAGGTCACACAGATAATAAGTGGCAGTGCCAGGATCCAAACTCAGACAGACTGGCTCCAGGGCCATGCTCGTGACCGTCTTGCTAGTTAGATGGATGGATGGACCGACCGACAGATGGAATAATGTGCACATGAATGGATGGACAGAAGGAAGGAGAAAAGGAGGGAAGGAGGGAGAAAGGAAGCACCCATAAATGGATGAAGGAAGGGAGGGAAGGAAAAAGAGAGGGAGATGATTTGAAAGAAACGTGCAACACTTCTTAGAGTTCATACACAACTAGTCAAGTCTATTACAGTTTTTGCATTGACATCTGCAGTACCCTTCAATAAGACTGGGATCTCCATTCACGAAAGAAAATGCATTCATAGGCCGGTGGCTCATGCCTGTAATCCCAGAACTTTGAGAGGCTGAGGTGGGCAGATCACTTGAGGTCAGGAGTTCAAGACCAGCCTGGCCAACATGGTGAAACCCTGTCTCTACTAAAAAAAATACAAAAATTAGCCAGGCTTGGTGGCACGCACATGTAATCCCAGCACTTGAATCCAGGATGCGGGGGTTGCAGTGAGCCGAGATAGTGCCACTGTACTCCAGCCTGGGTGACAGAGCAAGACTCCATCTCAAAAAAAACAAAATGCATGCATATACTCGTTTATCCATCCAACAGATGAAATTAAACTAAAGTTTAGGTATGGAGAGGTACCCCCTGCCCAACTTCAGAAGCTGATAGCAGTTAGGTGATTGGTCCAGGATGCCTGCATAAACCAGTTATGTAGTTTTTTTACCCAGCCAGTAAACTTAGTTACATAAAATGTCAATCCCTATTTCTAGAGGTGATGGGCAGGATATACACACTCATTCTGAAAAGCCCACTGAAATCATATGTATGAAATGTTATAGTTTTATCTTGTCTACTGGATAGACAGGATATCTGCTCCTGGAAAGCTCATATTCTACCTTTTTAAGTTAACTTTTCATAAAAAGTGTAACTTACATAGAGGTGTTCAAATCCAAAGAACACACACAACTCAATGAATTTCCAAACCGCCAACTGCCCATGTAACTGCTATCTAGATTAAGAAAAGATATTAAACAACCCTCAGAGGCCCCCTCTTGGGCCATCTTCCCACTCTCAGTTTCTTCTCTCTTCCAAAAGAACCAATACCCTGTTTGCATTATCATCTGTGAATTTTGCCTGTTTTGAGCTTTAAATAAATAGGATCATATCCTATGGTCTCTTTTATGTGGGGCTGTTTTTGCTCCACATTATATTTGTTTCAGTTCATTCATGCTATTGTGAAAGTTATTTGAATACACTCATATTGTATGTAGCATTTTTAAAAATAATTTCTTTGTAGTAAGTATGCTGCTGTATGAATAAACCATAATTTATTTATCCAATCTGCTGGATGGACATTTAGATTGTTTCAAGTTTTTGGCTGTAACAAATAGTGCTGCTGTGAACATTCATATACATTTCTCTTGGAATGCGTATGTATGCATTTCTGTTGGGTTTATATCTTTGGCTAGAATTGCTGTATTATAAAGTAAGAATATTTTAGCTTTAGTAAATACTGCTAAACTGTTTTACAAAGTGGTTGAACAATTTTACACTCCCATCAACAGTGGATGATGATTCCATTTGTTCCACATTCTTATCAACACTTCATGTTTTCCATCTTTTATTTTAGCCCTTCTGGTGGATGTTTAAAAGTAGCTCATTGTTGTTTAAAGCTGCATATTTTTTTCTGTGACTTAAAAAGCTTAGCTCCTTTTCATGTGTTCATTGGCCACTTATATGTCCTATTTTGTGAAGTGCCTATTTACGTTTTGCCCATTCTTCTACTGGGTTGTCTGTCTTTTTCTTAGTGACTTATAGGAGTGGTTATATATCATAGATACCAGTTCTTTATTAGATAATGTTGAAGTTTTTTCTCTATTCCAAAGTTGCCATTTTTATTGTATATTTTGACAAACAAGTTCTTGAGTTTAATATAATAGAATCAAACAGTTTTCTTATGATTAATGATATTTCTGTTTTGTTTAAGAAACTTTCGCCCACCTTAAAGTCATGAATATATTCTTACATGAAAACAACTTTATTGTTTTTCCTTTTGCACTGAGATCTATAATCCACGCAGAACTGATCTTTGCAGATGGTATGAGGTAGGGAGTCATAATTCATTTCTTCCAGATGCATATACAACTGGCCCAATTCAACCAATTGAAATTCCTTTCCACTGCAGTGTCATTTTTGTCATAAATCCAGTGACTGTATATATGGGTCTCTGGACTCCCTATTCTGTTCTATTGTTCTGTTTTTCCATCCATACACCAATACCACACTGTCTTCATTGCTGTCATTTTACAAGTCTTTATATTTGGTCCCAAAAGTTTTCCAAATTTGGCATTTTAGCTAGGTACAATAATAATTACTTTGTTATTAAAACTAGTAACGACTGACATGTATTGAGTTCTTTATCTCGGTTAACATATGAATCACTCTACATTTAATCTTAACAGCAATCTGATAAGATAGAAACCATTGGTTTTTCTTTTTTTCTTTTCTTTTCTTTTTTTTTAATGGGGATATAGAGGCCTGGAGGAATTTTAAGGTGATCAAGGTCACATTGCTATTAAATAGTGACGTCAACATTTGCATGCAGGCCAACCTGACTGCAGAAGCTCTGCTCTTTTATTAACTGTGTGCCTGGGATGTGGCCTCTGATTACTTTTGCTGAATTGGCTGTCTTTTGGTGCTATGAGGCTGATTTTCAGCCTTAACACTAGTCGGTATTTTTTTTCCTCTCTCCATGTCCTCAAAAAAGGCCCAAGGGAAGGTGAACAATGAAGCATTGAATAAATTTCATGCTATTTTTCAGTATAAATTTTATACTATTTTTAGGATACAAAAGACTATCCAGAGTTCTATTAAACCAGACTTCAGGAGCTGAGAAGAGCTGCGAAGGTTTAAAGCCTCTGATCCCCTGTCCTGAAATAGCAGGGGTGGTAGCTTCTATCTAGGCTGAACTCATAGGCAGTGAAGGAACTTCAAGTTCTTGACCCCACTCTCCTCTTTTCACCTCTCCCACCTACAAAAGGTTCTGAACTTTTAGCATCTCCCCACGCAGTACCACCTTCCAAAATCAAACTGTTAAGGAATACCAGGTTTAAAAATAGAAAACTCAAAGTTTTCTAAGTACGGTAAGATTATTTTTATACAAAGGAATAAATATACATCTGCATCAGAGAATTCATAAATATATTATCCAGACTGACCCTAGAACCACAAATAGTTCTAATGTAAGTTTCTGTGCTGTGGATCACCAGGCAGATTTTAATGACTGCTCTAACAGGTTTTCTGTGTTAAATGCCTTTGTGTGTGTATGATATATTCCATTTTTCCTGTAATTCATAATTTTACAACAAAACATCCATTGTGTTAGGCCAGTGCGTGTGTTTTTCAAAGTGCACCATTTCCAAAGGCAGTTGCAATAGCTCATGAAGTCATGGTAAAAAATATTCATATTTGCCCAGTGCTCCCAAATCTCTGTTATTTGTAAATGGGTTCAGAGTCTCTCTTAGCATCACCAAGGTCATAGAAAGGATGGAACAGAGCTTTTCAGCATCTCAAAATGTGTATTTGTCTTTAGAAAATTCCTGTGAGAGCGAAAATGGTATGCATTTTCCCGTCGTCTTATCATTCTATCATTAGTCAAGTAATTTCCTTATGAAATGGTCTGCATTAGGTAGGATTAACAAGTTGAGAAAGTGTAAAAACAATTGGCGATTTTCTTACGAAAGAAAGAATAAATCCTTGCTCATCAAACATTTGCTAAACCTATCAAATACCACTCTAATGTCTTCACACTCTAAATTAAATGTGTAGTCATCCTGTCAATAAAGGAAATAGTAGTTTGGGAACTAAAGTTCAGTGCAGGCAGACTCTCTAAGTTCTACAATTTTGGATGGGCTTTGGGGAGTTGAAGATGTATTATCTGGCATCTATGTATATGGAGACTGCTGGAATTTTGGACTTGGCAGGGGTCTTACAAATCCATTAGCCCAACTCATTTGCAGGTAGGAAATCTGGAGCCCAGGGAGCTGCAATGACCTTTGTAAGGTTATGGTCAGCTCTAGACCCATTCCCTACGCTCATTTTTCATTGCTTGTTTGCTACAGTGCAGTAACCCTTGTTTTCTGAGAGCCAGTGACAATACCTGCCCCACTACACATTACCCAGTGAAAAATAGGAACATATCTACTTTGACAGGCAAAGTGGTACATAAGTGTACAGCATTTTATTTTTATTTTTAAAAATATGTATGTTCAGGTTATAGCTGCTTTCAAAGCTGGCTTGCTTATAAGTGAATGAGATATCAGCAAATTGTACCCTCAGTCCTGAAAATATCTTAATATTCCAGACTTAAAAAACCATTGTGTTGGGTTTTTAAAATAAAGTAAAATCTCATTGTGTTAAAAATAGTGTGATTAAAACAATTTCGTTTTTAAACGTCTTACTATTTTTGTCCCATTGAAAGTGTCTCTCTAAATTTCATTTATAAAATATTGTCTGCTAATTCTTTTTTCTCAGTAAGTATTGTTTTCCTTTAAAAACAATAATAAACCTCACCCTTCCTGGTTTTCTTTGTTTATTTAAACCTAAGAACTCTATTCTTAGACTTAGGCTATCTCTGCAAGGTGACAAGCTCTCGTGTATAAACGTGTAGCCTGGGAGAGGCTCCACTTGATAAATGGTGAACATGGCCACCGTGTTGGCCCACACTTGGATTGAGCTTGCTGTCTTAGTCACTGTTCCCATTTGATCCTCACAGCGAAATGATGAAGTTTGTATCCAAATACACAAAAGCCTTTTCACTGTTTCTTTTGTTACCTGTCAAGAACCAAGTTATTCTTACTTTGTTATTTGCCTGTATCTCCCTGCAAAGGAGGAGTCTTCAAGAATCTTAGAATGATGGCAGGCCAACCCCTTCATGTGGAGGTCAGAAACACCAGTGCTGGAGATACAATGCTGGGTTTGATTTCTGGCACTGTTGCTGCTAGTTACTCATCTTCACAGTTCCTCAATTTTCTCATCTGTGAAACAGGGATGATAATAATAGGACCTTTGTCGTTGTTACACATTCAGAGAGTTCAGACAGGAAAAGCTCTTAGAATATTACCCTACACAGTTACCTCCTCATGTGAAATTTCAGCTTTGAAGTCTGAATAGTTCAGTAGGTTTTTGACATATCATCAAGAATGATTGGTTGACTCTAAGCACCCCCGCCCCCCGCTTATCTATGGGACCCTAAAGGCCATTCACCAGATTCCTCTTTCCTTCCTCATCTCCTAGAATTGTTGGAGTCTTTAAGAGGCTATATAATGTGCTGAGAATGATGATTAAAAATAGTAACTAATAGCCACCGTTTACTAAGCCTATGCCATGTACTTGATTACAAATAGTAACTAGCTGTGCCTGATGGCTTATGCCTGTAATCGCAGCACTTTGCGAGATCAAGGCGGGCAGATCACCTGCGGTCAGGAGTTTGAGACCAGCCTGGCCAACATGGCAAAACCCCATCTCTACTAAAAACACAAAAATTAGCCAGGCGTGGTGTCGTGCACCTGTAGTCCCAGCTATTTGGGAGGCTGAGGCAGGAGAATCGCTGGAACCCAGGAGGAAGAGGTTGCAGTGAGCCACGATTGCACCTTTGCACCCCAGCCTGGGCGACAAAACAAGACTTCATAAAAAAAAAATAGTAACTAATAGCTACCATTTACTAAGCCTATGCCATGTGCTTGATTAAAAATAGTAAGTAGGCCAGGCACAGTGTTTCACACCTGTAATCCCAGCACTTTGGGAGGGTGAGGCGGGCAGATCACCTGAGGTCAGGAGTTCAAGACCAGCCTGACCAGCATGGAGAAACCCTGTCTCTACTAAAAATACACAATTAGCCAGGTGTGGTGGCACAGGCCTATAATCCCAGCTACTTGGGAGGCTGAGGCAGGAGAATCTCTTGAACCCAGGAGGCGGAGGTTGTGGTGAGCTGAGATCACGCCATTGCTCTCCAGCCTGGGCAACAGGAGCAAAACTCTGTCTCAAAAAAAAAAAAAAATAGTAACTAATAGCCACTGTTTACTAATTCTATGCCATGTGCTAGGCACTTTACTGCACACTTTATATACATAATCTAACTTGATGCTTACGGACTTTATGTAGTTATATATTTCACAGATGAGGAAACAGGTTCAGGGGGGTTTATTTGTCTAAAGTTCTATGGCACGCTAGGGGGCATCACATTTAATTATTCGAATGCAAGTCTGTCTCACTCTCTATCCTGCCTCCTCATTCCTGTGTTTTCTCTGACCTCCAGTGATCTTGAGCACATGTTTTCTTATGCTATTGTCAATGTGCTTGCTTGGGTTTTTTTTAATATATTAGTAATTTCACATGGCTTAAACAAATTACATACCAACAAATTGTGTACAAAGAATTACATTCAAAAGAATTCCAATTCCATTTGCTGTGGTGTCTCCACAGTGTCATCAGGAGCTCCTACTAACTGTCTAGGGTATAGCCCTCATTTTTATGCTGACAAAATGGCTGCAGGAGCTCCAGTCATCAGTCCTGTGTTCCAGACATGAAGAAGTTGAAGTGGGGAGGCAGAGACAAAAGGCCACAAGTCAACCAAGTCTTTCCCCTTTTAAAGGTCTTTCCTGGGAACAGTGCCCAGCAGTTTTCACTTATCTATTATTTGGGATTGGGTCATATGACGACTCTTAATCACAAGGGAGGCGCAAATTGTACTTTTTTAGCTGGGCACATTGTTGTCATGAACAAAACTCAGGTTCTATTAACATGAAACCCAGCTGGTGAGCTTTTTGAAATAAATCAAATACACTCATTCAATGTGACCTTTCCCTAGTGCCTGAGTACCTGGGGAAACCTTGATACGTTAGAGAAGCTGAGAAAGATAAAATATCTTGAGGAAGAAAAAAGGGTTGGTTCAGCAGAAGCTAGGAACCAGGTAGATGATTTCTTGGCTGCTCAGCAAGGTTGAGAGTGCAGCTTTGCCCAGACCCAGGAAAGGAGGAGTAAGGTCCAGAAGGGGAGCGTAACCCTGGTATTCCAGTCTAACTCCATGTAAGCCACAAGTAGTAGGAGGAAAGCAGAGGAATCTTACACAGTAAATATACATCAGCATTAATAGGTGAAGCTGTGCCTCTTGTAAGGTTTTACTTCATAAATATTTTCTGTGGATAGAAAAACAATTGTTTCAGATTTGTGTTGGTGGAGGTGCATTGGAGGCAGGGTTAATTGAGAAACAGAATGAGGAAAGCAAGTGAAGCAGAATAATGATGCGCTTTGGAGCCAACTCGACCTTGAATTCTAGCACCACCACTTGCAAACCATGTGACCTTGGAGAAGTCACCGAGCCTTTCTCAATCTCCTATTTATAATCTTAAAAAGAAGTTAGTAATATCTTCCTTTTGTGCCTGACATAATAAGTGACTATGAAGTCCATCATTCAGTGCCCGGTGCGTGGCTGCTGGCGGTGCAGGCCTTGGTACTGCTATCTCATGGCCGAGTGTTCTCAGTCAGCAGGCACTGGCTACGCACTTGCTGTGATCCACATTGGACTGCAGGTCATGATCTGGGTTTATGTTGAAGGAGGAGTACGGGAGACCTAAGAGAATGGGTGGAGGAATTAATTTTCAAAGCAGCAACCACAGAGAAATGCAATGAGCTCTTGATGTCAACTAAAGGAGGAAGCCTGCTGCTGGGTCAGCTGACTGTGGGTTTCAGACGCTCATTTGGGGCCAACTAAAAAAAGCTCATGATGGAAGGTGTTATTTATCCAAGTTTTACCTTTCTCATATATAAAATGAGGATGTCCATAAGGCCTACCTTCCAGGGTTGTTACAAGAATAGTGCTTGTAGAGCTGTTGGCATGCCATATGTACCCAACGAATTATCTAGTTAATTATTAATGATGTCACTTCCCTCTTTACCCAAGCAAGAGTAGGACTTGCAAGTCTCAGCTTTTTCTGGCTTTCTTAGCTCCACTCATCACATAAAAACTTTAGGGCATAAAGTACACAAATAATCACACTAGATCCAAAAATGATACTGTGATAATGTGATTAATAACAAATTCTTAGATGGCAATAGTGTTTTAAGGTACAGCTGAAGATTTGTAAATTTCATTGGCTTTGGTGCTTATAAAAGGGAGACCAACCGCTCATTGCCCAGGGCAGCAAACCACACAGTCTGCCAGTGTTGATCTTCTGAGTTTCTTAAATAGCTTTGTATCGCAAGTCAAAACTTCACATTTGCCATCTCTCTGCTAGTAACACAGGCTGGGGTGGGATCACTTATATGTTTTTGCTTCTAACTGTTGAAATGTGAACAGGCTGGACTAGGAATTAGTGTGGAAAAATCACAGAAAAACTCACATTCCTGGAAACAGTAGGCAGGTGCAATATTTATTGTCATCACCACCACTTCCCTCCATATCGGTGTTAACTTGTATCCTGTCCAAAGCACTTTGCCCTCAGTTGGCTTATTTGATCTGCTTTGAAGCCAAGGGAGAAGGCAGAGGGGACTTCATTTCCTATTTTTTCTTTTTTTCTGTTTTTTGGGAGACGGAGTTTCGCTCTTGTCGCCCAGGCTGGAGTGCGGTGGTGTGATCTCGGTTCACTGCAACCTCCAGCTCCTGGATTCAAGCGATTCTCCTGTCTCAGCCTCCAGAGTAGCTGGGACTACAGCGGCATGCCACCATGCCCAGCTAATTTTTGTGTTTTTAGTAGAGACAGGATTTCAGCATGTTGGCCAGGCTGGTCTTTCAAACTTCTGACCTCAGATGATCCACCCGCCTCGGCCTCCCAAAGTGCTGGGATTACAAGTGTGAGCCACTGTGCCCAGCCCTCCATTTTTTTAGTTAAGAAAATTGAAGCTCAGAAAGGTAAAATGACTTGCTCTGGATTGGCCTGGGCTGCACTTGAACCCAAATCTTCTGTCCCCCCACCCCACCCCCGGACTCTTCCTACAGGACTGTGCATTGCTCCAGGCCCATGCCCTTACTTTATCTGGAGGAAAACAGCATTACCATATCTTCAAATCGGGTTGTGCCCTTTAGAAATGGTGAGCTGTGCAAATAAACACCACTTTGCTGTTGTTTTAAACTGTTAAGAAGTCTGAAATTCACTGTATTCATGAAGGTTGAGGAGAGAAGAGGTTGGTGTGTAATAGCTTGGTAGCCGTGTATCCTTGAGTGTGTTTCCATGAGGCTTGATCAGGGTTTGTTCACTGGGGGCCTGCTCTATAGGATTCTAAGTAGATTCGCTGCTCATCCACATGGCAGGCACCAGGGCTCTCCCCGAGAACAGAAGCTCTCTGCTATAAGCCTGCTCCCACCCCTCCCTCCATCCTGTCCTGGACTTCCAGGGCCTGAAACCCTTCCATTCTGAGCCTTGAGGATGAATTGACCTTAAAAGAGATTCCAACAGCAAATGAAACACCTTGTGTTCTCACTCAGAAGTGGGAGTTAAACAATGAGAACACAGGGACACAGGGAGGGGAACAACACACACCGGGGCCAGTTGGGGAGTGGGGGGACTGGGGGATAGAGAGCATTAGGACAAATAGCTAATGCATGTGGGGCTTAAAACGTAGGTGATGGGTTGATGTGCTGCTGTTTAAAAGCCTGAAAGTCATCCAGCTCTCATGCAAACCACCATGTTACATATATACCTATGTAACAAACCTGCACGTTCTGCACTTGTATCCCAGAAATTAAAGTGATATTTTTTTTAAAAAAAGAGATTCCAAATAAAATAGAAAGACTTTCACTGTATGTAACAGCATATATATTTATTTTTTAAAAACCTTAGGGTATTGGTTCTGGGGGTCACAAACCTTAGTTCCTTGGGCTCCACAGTATCCTCATCCATAAGATACGAGTGGTAAGAGGAACTGTAAAGATCAAATGAGGTATAACTTACAAAAGGGCTATAAAAATGTAAGCTTGACAGATGGGATGATGGGAGGGGCTGAGGAGGAGGAGGAGGAGGAGGAGAGTAGGGACCAGACCTAAAGTTCCGAGCACTAGGTGTGACCCAAGGAAGCTCTACAATGGGGGCTTGAAGGCAGTTTTGGCTGATTTTATGATTTTGCCCAGGACTGGACCAGTTGCCGCCTTCAAAGCTATTCAGGTTGCTTTGACTTCCAGCCATCTGTGCCTGGAAATGTAAAACAAATGGTTAATGGCATCAGATGGTTAATGATCTCAAATGTTCCCTGCTTACTGCCATGAGAGAGAAAAGAGCCTCCTGGAGAAATAATCATGGATGCTGTTTCCAAAGTTGCAATTAATCGTGTATTCAGGAAAACCCATCTTCTGCCAGTTATTCTGATAAGAAAGAGGAAATTGAGGGTGACGGAGGAGCTGTGCCTGAGAGGGCAGTTTGAATAATCTGTATAAGGTCAAGAAGGCAGATATAGGGCTCATAATCAACACAGCAGTTTTGGAACAAAGCCAAGAGGGTCTTGTCCTGGCATGGGTTAGGGACTGACTTTTATGAGTCCAAAAATATGTGTCTAAGGCTAGGTCTGACTATCTGGCCTTAAACTTCCGAGTTGTATGGGGGCCATCCTTTGGTTGCTTTTTTCAAAAATACTTTTTCACCATTATTGCCTGAACCAAAGATACCTCCGCTTGTCTCCCTTTGGGGCACATACCTGTGGTTATGTTCTCGTGTTTCACTGTTTTAAAACTTTTTCTCTTATTTTCCATCTCTTTCCTCCAGCTAGTGAGACCTGCAACGACTTCCACCCGATGTTCTTCACCCACGACAGATCCTTTGAGGAGTTTTTCTGCATCTGTATCCAGCTCCTGAACAAGACATGGAAGGAAATGAGGGCAACTTCTGAAGACTTCAACAAGGTAATGTGGATCTCGGATAGAGGCAGGGGATTCCCGCAGCGCTAAAGGGGCCTGCTGCATGGTCCCTTGGCTGTGTGCAGAAGGCAATTGGCAAGGTGGGGAAATGAGGAAGATTGCAATGATAGTTGCTTCAAGAATGGAGAAAGACAAACATCCCTGTGTAGACATGAATCTGTGTGCTGGGGATGACCTCATCCCTCTGGGGGTACGCTTGGAGCAGCTTTGTTCCTTTGTCTAAGTTGGAGCCACCAGCAGAGAGTTTTTCTTGGGACACGTTATCAAGGCGAATGTTTTCTTTCATAGCATTAGTTTGGGATGCCTTGTCAATATTGCAAGATCTGTCGGGGAAGGGGCCTTCCCTCCACCTGTCCAGGAGATTGGTACAGAGCAAATGAGATCAGGAATACTGCTCCACCTAGTCCGGTGGTTTCTTTGTGGATTATGGATGTGTTGTGATCATCTGCCCCGAGCTACGTCAAGAAGAATTTTTATTAAAATGAAAGATCCCTTTCCAAGAACTGAGTCATTAAGGTTATATGCAACATTTCTTGGTTTACAGTAAGCATTTGATCCTTTGAACTGAGATGTCCTTTAGTTTTCTATATCATAATGTCTCACAAGAGTGTGACTTTCACATTTCCATTTGTGTGTGAATAACCAGCAGAGGGAAGAGCATTGGCCAACTTAGAGCAGAAGCACTATCCATGCTTTCATAGAGAAGCAAAATCTTTGTCCTTAGATAAAGGCCTGATTAGCAATAATAACTATTGCAGCCTTTAGTACTTTTAATTTGCTGCTATATACAGCTGTGACTGTGGTCAGGCCCATCACCCATGACCACTCTCACCCAGCACTAAGGGCTGTGACTGTAAGAGTCGAAGGGTCTGGCCCTCAGTCATACTGTGGGGCTTTCATGGGCGTGCTTGGTGCATAACATAATCTCTGAATTTCACCTGCACTTAATATACTTGTTGGTCATTGCCTCCCTGTCACCTTCTCCCTGGATATACATCTCATCCTTGTTTCCCACTATATTTCTCATTTGTGGCATCTTGAACCAACACCAATTGAAAAGAAAGAAAATCAGGAAAAGGACCTAAGCTTCAGTCAGGTCCTAACCTGAGTTTCTTCCTCAGCACAGTGATCTCACTTGCCATATCATCTCTGTCATCCCAACGATCTGTCCTTTGCATCTTGGTCATCGATTGAATTCCTTGAAATAGACCCCAGTAATGCCCTTCTGTGGAGAGCACTGGTCTGGAAGCTGCAATCCAGAGCTGTCATGTGTCTGAGCAGCTATGCCGGAGGACAGGCTTGATTCAAGAAGGGAAGTGGAGAAAAGAAGCCCATTAATTTCCTTAGGATTATAACTGCAGCCTCCTAAGTGTACTTCGCTTGATTGTGAGAGACTTTGCATTTCAGGTGCAAATCATCCCTGGGAAAGAGGGAAGGAGGAGCAGGGAGGCCTTTGTTCAATCAAACCAAAAAAGAGAATTAAATCAGTAGTCTTTGAAATTGGCTAAGGGACTAAGGCCACTTTGCCCTGGATCATTTCAGCTCTTTCATGTGCTGCTGTGTGAAAGCCATCCAGTCCTCAGCTTTGCGAGCTGGGGACACCTGTTCCTCCAGGAGAAGGAGACCTCACCAGTTGTTACGGATTTGGGCATCAGATGTCTGCTTTCTGAGAGATCTCATTTATCCTGCTTTTCCTAAATTATAAATTCTGCATTTTGCAGAATAATATCTGCAAATAATAATGTTTCAGATATTATTGTTGTTGATCTAGGCACAGATAAGCTGTGTAGAAAATATTATGAAAGTTCTGCAGAGGACTGACTCTGGGGATGAGCATTCAGACACTTAAATCCTATAGAAGTTACATTTTGTAACATGAAGCACCAAGAGTTCCTTGTTAGCAAAGGAAGCCGGAGGCCCCAGGATGGAGGAGGTGGGCACAGCTGGTGGAGGGAGGTGACCATAGCTCTAGGGTCCCTGTGGCTTATCATGGCCATGTGCTCAGATTGGTGGCAGACATCCTGCCTGTTCAGGGCCCTGCCAGGTGACAGCAAGCCCCCCAGAGTGTCACTGTGAAACTTTTATCATAATTAGCCTATATGGCTGTGAAATCTCTTCAGCAAGACCTAAGAGCCAGGTTTTGGGTGCAGTTTCTTACCGTAGCTCTAATGCCATTTTTTGCATTGTTTACAGATCATAGACTAATGCTGGGGGTCACA
The DNA here is from genome assembly GCF_000001405.40 of Homo sapiens. Classification (NCBI taxonomy): domain Eukaryota; kingdom Metazoa; phylum Chordata; class Mammalia; order Primates; family Hominidae; genus Homo; species Homo sapiens. Next base: position 37,011,064 of record NC_000007.14, on the reverse strand, counting down.
CCTCTATTGCCAAGTAGGGATGACAGTTTATGGCTCAGGACAGGCAGCTCCAGGCCTGAGGGCCAGAGGTTCCTGCCTCACATCCAAATAGCCATCAGGCAAGAGCAGATATCAGAGGAAAATCCAGGATGGGAAGGACAAGGAATTTTAATTTTCTACATTAAATACTTTCATCGTGTTTGCTTTTTTTCTCTTTTTTTCAGTACTATGCATGCCTTACTTATGTAACCAGAAAAATATATCAGGTATTTACATTTTTGTCATGCGTATATAACTTTTCTGTTGCTGATACAACAAATTACCACAAATTTAGTAGCTTAGACAATGCAAATTTATCTTACAGTTCATAGTTCAGAAGCCAGCAATGGATTTCACTAGGACAAAATCAAGGCGGCAGCAGAGCTGTGTTTCTTTCCAGAGGCTCTAGGAGAGAATTTGTTTCCTTGCCTTTTTCACTTTCTGGTGGTCACCTGCATTCCTTGGCTTATGTCCTTCTTGTCCATCTTCAAAGCCAGCAAAGACAGCTTGAGTCCTTCTCAGATGCCATCCCATCACCCTGATCCCTCTTCTGCCTTGGTCTTCCACCTTTAAGGACCTTGTGATTACATTGGGTGACCTGGATAATCCAGCATCATCTTCCCATCTTAAAGTTGGCTGATAATAACCTTAATTCTGTCTGCAACCCCAATTCCCCTGTGCTGCAGAAGGTAACGTATTCTCAGGTTCTGAGGATTGGAATGCAGGCACCAATGGGAAGCTGTTATTCTGCCTATTTCCAGTGTGTATTTGATTTGCAGCTATATTAGGTTTTTAGATGTGTAGATCAGTTTAAATTAATGAAACACGGACAGAGGAGCCTTTTGTTTGCTTTTCTTTTTGCTGGTAGACATGATACCTGTCACAGAGTTCTGCTAGTGACAGCTCAGATGCAGATATAATTATGTCCCTTTTCTTTTATGGCCCTGTTCCGCCTCCACTAGCCTTTTTAAAAAGGAAGCCTCTTTGTGACAGCTTCTGGTTCATTTTGAAGACTGCCTTTCTGATTTTTTTCTGCTGCCCATCTATCAGCCACTGTTCTGCTTTACTTGATAATAAGTTGGAGAAGAGAGAAGAGCTGAAAGTTAAATCAGTTCACTTTTCTTCTTGTTATTAACTTGGTAGCAGAGGAGATTGAATTTAGGAACAAATGTGAGTTGTGAGTTACTGATAGATTTAATGTTTTTTTCTTATTCTCTGACTGTCCAAATTCAAATTCAGAAATGTCTTTAAAAAAGCCCAACATGAAACATAATTTCTTTTCAACTTTCTTGGACACTATCTCAGGTTCTTGCCACTGTAAACAGAGCATGGAAGGTGGGTTTATTTGTCAACCCTGAGACCCAGGGCTCTGTGAGCAGGGCTTAGCTATCTGTCTTCTTTAGCTCCTCACTGGAGAAGGAGTGCCCCTCAATTTAAAATTTTGATTTGCCCAACAAACTATGCTGGATTCTATCAGAGGCAGGAATAGCTTCTGCAGCCCGCCTTCCTTGGGACACCAGTTTATAGATATCTAGTGCTTGGTAGTTAATGCCACTGCTGGAAGAGGGTGTTTGGAAAAGCAGCTGTCGTCTGCTCTTCCGGGCTTGGGAAGCAGCAGATGGAATGTTTTTTATTTATATAAGAGAAGTAGAATTGAAGAGTGATTAAAATATTTATGCTTTGAAAAGTACTTTCTTTCAGTTTCTCAATATAGCACTCTGCAGAATAATCCATTGATTCAGGCCATTGAGTGTGTGTTCTATCATTACCAATATTTTAGAGCATGCATTATTCATTTTTATGGGCATTAGAGAAGAGCTAAACTGCAGCTGGATACCTCAGCACACAAGTAGCCCCATAATCATTTCATTGAAATCCTCATTTTTGAGCGGGATAAGAAAGGGGACACAAGTAACTTGGATATTTTAGGTATGGGAATCTCATTTAAAGCATGTGTGGCTAACTACTCCACTGTAAAAAAAAAATGTAATGAGAGTATACACTTTAGAGTATATGTCTGTGTGTAGCAGTGTTTCTCAGCTTTAGCTGTACGTCAGAATCACCTGGGGGCTTTTGAAAACCCTGTTATCCCACCGGCCAACCGCACCACAGATTAATTAAATCATCGGGGGTGGCGGGGGAAGCTATGAATGAGTATTTTCATTAAGGTAGATTTGATCATTAAAGGTGATTTATGTTAATAGAATCGCCATCATTAACACATGTGATACTTATCACAAGCTACTGTAAATTTCGTGCATTGATGGAGTAGGATGCTTGTTGACCTGTGTGACCCAGGTTTTCATCCTGGATCTGCTATTCCAGAGCTCTATGTCTGAGAATCTAAAAATAATAATAGTTTTTAAAAGGATACATCACCCTGTCTTTTGGTGGGGTGATAATAAATTGAAGTAATTACTGTAAAAATGCTCTGAGGAAGTAAAAATGGTATATGTAGTTGTGGAGTGTTCTTTTGTACTGAATAAGATAAAGCCTGTCTATGAAAAATGAGTAAATTGCCCTTTTCACAAACAGACATTTTTTGGCTATGTTAAAAAAAAAAAGTGAAGCTATGAATTTCACAGTAAATTCTGAACTGAATTAGTAACCCATGTAACTTTGACAAAAATAGGCTTTAAGCTGAAATTTTCATGGATTTTGGAAGTGTCTTCCTCCAAACAACTTTATTAGGTACCTTAGTTTCCCGTGTGAAACACACGGTAGCAACCTAAAAAACAGCAGGTCCCATGATTTTCACATATTTAATGGCTGGTGAGAATTAAGTCCTCCCCAACAATTACTAGTTGCCCAGATCTCTTCGCTGATGATTGACGCTTTTATAAACCATCAAAATATTTGTTCCTAGCATTGGCGTTACTTTAGACGCTATCAAAATTGACATTATAAGCCAAGATCAGATGATTGTGCCATACTTTCAGATTACCAAAATGGAAGAAACTAATTTGAAAAATGAAGTCACTCTAGAGTAAAAGCACTATCTTGAAACTTTATCTAGCAGCATAATAAACTAAGCGCACACAATAGAGCTTAGAATCTCAGGCTTGCAAATGAAAAACCATCCCTTAAAATAGCAGAGACTGTGCACAGGGAGAACCCAGGCCCATTAAACAAAGCTGCAGCTGCCCCTGGCCAGGCTGTGAGCTTCAACCGAGTCAATGGGAGAAAATCTCAATTAGGAAGAACGGGAGAGCAGGACAGAAGGAAACATCCTGAGAAATCTCCTATGAAGATTATTCATAGGAAATAACCACCAGCTAGTCACATCTAGTGGATTATAGTGTGGGATAGAAAAGGGATTGTGTTTAAAACCTTAAAGGCAGCTAACACATGAATAAAAAAGGGAAATGTGTTTGCTTCTCAAACTGTTTGCAGCTTACTGACTTTCTGTGCATGCTTTTCAGGGGACAATTATATATTCAGGAGTCTCCTTACTAGGGCAGTTCAACTTCATAGTGGTGCAGACGGCGCTCTGTTGGTTAGCTGAGCTGGCCTAGGGAATGAAAGGTGGTCTGTAAGTCTCATCATGAATAAACATGAGTCTCCTCATTTGCGTGAGGCAGGTGACTGTAAAATATCTTGGAGCAAGCTGTGAAAGGAAGCTTTGTGCATCCATGCCCAGGGGAAGCTGGGAGGACTCAGCGTTGTTTATCTTCATTAGAATTCCATCTAGTGCTGCTGTTATTGATCTGAACTGGGCCTGGTGTGGCTAATAAAGTAGGTGTATGTTTTAATTGAAACATGAATATTTGAGTAGAGGAGAAGTCTTTTAAAGAGCCCTAATGTCCTACACTGAGCTTTTCCATTTTTCAACTGTCTAGGCGATTAACAAGCATTTTTTTTCAAAAGGCTTCTGATGTTTCACAAAGGTCTTAGGTTTGCCACACAGGCAGTGGAACCTCCTCTAGAAGCAAATGCATTATATGAATAGATTTAATTATTATTTCTTTGATATTCCCTGTTGAATAGGTAGCAAAGAGTTTCATATGTGTGTCTGTGTTTAAGCTGTTCATGTAAGATAGTGTTACCTATTTCCATGGAGTTTGCCGCTTTCTGTTGGACAGCAATCAAGATATGTCCTCTCCAATCCTTACCAGTGTCAATTATACTATCCAGAGACAGCAGAAAGACCGGGAAAGTGACTTTGGTAACTTATCTTTTTCAATAAGTGTATGTTCAAATAGACCCCAATGTCATACATAAACAGATATGTGTTAATAACAGGTAACATAACCCTGGCCAAGTCAGGGAAGCACTGTGGTACAGAGCAATATTTCTCCTTCTCTTTTGCATTATCACCCCGCTAGAGAGTTTTATAGGTATTTTTCCCCAATCACCCTCCCCCTGAAATTGTAATTACAGATATATTGTATATGTCTTTGTGTATGTATACCTGTGCCTGCTGTGTAAAAAGAGTAATATTTACTCCTCCAAGAACCATTTTTGTGCCCTCCCTAAGGATGATGTCCCCACTCCCTCATCAAGAATGCATGGTGCAAAGGCAAGAACCAAGGCTGAATTAGCAGGAGGATCTGGTGGCAGTCCCAGTTGGCCCCTCACAGCAGTGTGACCTTGAGCTTGTTCTTTAACCACCAAGTCCTTTCTCACCTGTAAACCGGTAGTGGCAATAGTAATAAATAATACTTCCCAGAGTCACTGTGGGGATTAAGCTCTCATTAGGTTTGCTTTGCAAATTGTCCTATACAAATAGGAGGTCCTAATCTCAACAGGCAAAACCTAAAGTGTCAGTAATTTGCACTTTATCATGCAGTGTAATTGAGCTGCCTTGATTTCCCCAGATAGTTTGTTCAAATATCCATAAATACAGATTGTTTTATACCTCTGTATGGGGGTGCGTTGAACTTTAGTTTGGCCACAGAGGGGATTTTGACCACTGTGGTCACTCCTCCCCAGCCCACCCACAAACAGATGTACTGCAGGTGAGGCAGGGGGCTGGGGACAGTACATAAAAATGCCAAGGGCCTCCCTTCCAGCTGGGTAACCTTGTGCAAGGGACTTGGTTCTGCTGGCTTCAGATTCCTCATCTGTGAGATGGGAATAGGTAATTACCCACAGCTAGGATGGCTGTGCGCCCTGATGACATCAGGCAGATAAACTGGCAGGCTCAGCACTGGCCTGGAGCCAACACCAGTCCACAGTAATGGAGAGCAGGGAGAAGACCAGGTGACACGGGATTCCAAATGCCTCTGAAAAGGAAAAGGATGCTCATGGCAACACTGAGAGCAAACATCTTCAGGAAAGGTGGACAAGCTGCTCCCTCAAGTTTAGTGATTAACTTAGTAGTGACTCTTTTTTTTTTTTTTTTTTTTTTTTTTGAGACAGAGTCTCGCTCTTGTCACCCAGGCTGGAGTGCCATGGCACAGTCTCGGCTCACTGCAACCTCTGCATCCTGAATTCAAGTGATTCTCCTGCCTCAGCCTCCCAAATAGCTGAGATTACAGGCGCCCGCCACGAGGCCTGGTTAATTTTTGTAATTTTAGTACAGATGGGGTTTCACCATGTTGGCCAGGCTGGTCTTGAACTCCTGACCTCAGGTGATTCACCTGCCTTGGCCTCCCGAAGTGCTGGGATTACAGTTGTGAGCCACCATGCCCAGCCAGTAGTGGCTTAACTTCTAAGTGTGCTGCCGTGGTGGTCTCAGCTGCATGGGGTCCATGGCAGCTTTTATGAAGAACATAGAGAAGACCTTAGAGGGTGACCAATTTTCAGGGACTGTCCTGGGGTTGTGCACTGTACCCTGCATCTCCCAACCCTCTACCCGCTGAATTTACAGCCCTGGCAGCATCTCTTTATAAGGAAGGAGCATGCGAGGAATCTGAGTCATCCAGAAAGAGTTGGATTTTGTTGACCCTGTTCATGTAATTTTCTTTTTTTCTTTTTTTTTTTTTTTTTTTTTTTTTGAGACAGAGCCTTGCTCTGTTGCCAGGCTGGAGTGCGGTGGCGTGATCTCGGCTCACCGCAACCTCCAACTCGCTGGTTCAAGCGATTCTCCTGCCTTGGTCTCCTGAGTAGCTGGGATTACAGGCACGCACCACCATGCCCAGCTAATTTTTGTATTTTTAGTAGAGACGAGGTTTCACCTTGTTGGCCAGAATGGTCTCGCTATCCTGACCTCATGATCCACCCGTCTCAGCCTCCCAAAGTGCTGGGATTATAGGCATGAGCCACCGCGCCCGGCCCATGTAATTTTCATAAAAATGGTTAAACTATTTAAAAACCTGTTTAAAGGTTGACTGCTATCTTTAGCTGAAGGCATTTTTAATATGTTTTGCTTTCTGGACATTTTCTATAACAGGAGCATTTATAAAAATGGTCTTGACCAAGAGTGAATCTTACCATTTTGAATAAGCCTGACAGTAGTAAATATACTTCTTGGGTATTCCTTTGTGTTCAAGATTTTGCATGAGGTGCTTCTCATTTCTGAAGTCTTTCTAGAGCCAGTGTCTATGTTTCTTTGCATGTGTAGCACGTGCTAACTTGAGATTTGCCAATTAGGAGGAGAAAATAATTGATTTGTTCTTCTGCTGGACAGCAGTGAGATATATCAGTCCCTTGGTTCAATTTCTGACCATCCCTGAGCATGAGAATAATGATGACTTTAGGTTAACTGCTTTCCATAACTCTGTTCAGTAACTTCTGAAACTTCTTTCATTTTATTAACTATACATTGGGGCTGTGTAGAAACCAGTTGTTAACTGGTTTCTATGACCTGAATTCCAGATTCCGTTGTGGATTATATGAAAGGTTTGATAATGTCACAGAAACCATTTTATTAGTATATGTCCCATTAAAAGGAAATTACCTACATTTTAAGTAAGGCATGATGAGATTTAGGCATTTTAAATTAAAGGGCAGATAGGAACCAGAGTTGGATAGCTAAGAAGGGTACCATTAGGTGGGAATCTCTCATGAAATACAAGGCCTCATTGATTTAAAAAAAATATTTATCTTGTAATTGCAAAGTAAATGATGTTACATGGGAGGTTAAGAACACATTTCCAAAAAGAGATGAGTCTCCTAAGGCAGAACAGAAGAGCACATAGGTGCTGTCATATAGGTGCCCCCTATTGCCAACTGAGGGTACCAGATGTTGTGATGAATGGAGGGTTGAGGGCAACAAGGGGCCCTAGACAAGATAAACCAAGCAGTCAGAGTGAGAGAGTGGGATCAGAAGCTATTTGCAAAGACGCCAAAACAAGAGCTAGAAGAAGTTAGGAGATCCTAAGTGAGATTTCCAAATGTTTTCTGCGGAATACCAGATCCAGGTGCTTGGTAGTTAAAATATATATTTAATGACTAAATCATAAAACATGCATATTCAACTTCATATGCATATTCAACCTCTAATTTACATTGGTTGTATGTCTGCAAATTTTTCAGAACTGTGCTCTTTTATCTGAGCAACAGTGACTTATGGGTCAAGATTATCTGCCTTCATTTTTCCAAGTAGGAGCTGAACACTGATCTTCCTTGTTCAACCCACACACTGACCCTCCTGCTCTGTCACCAGCATAGAGCCAAGTCATTAAGTCAGACAGGTCCGAAGCAAGGACAGAGGTTGAGAGGCCAGAAGAAGATATCAAAGTAAGGCTACATTTGGCAGTGGTTCCCTCCTTCTTTTCTCTTTTCTTTTCTTTTCTTTCTTGTATTTGAGACGTTGTCTCATTATGTTGCCCATGCTCATCTCAAACTCCTGGCCTCACACAATCCTCCCACCCCAGCCTCCCGAGTACCCGGGATTAAAGGTGTGAGCTACCACTCCCAGCATTCCAGCCCCTTTTTGGCAATTATTACAGGGAGAAAAATGAACATTAGAACTTGAATTTGAGAGATGATAATTCCAAACCGAATTTCTTCTTCTGCCCGCCTCCTTCTTCCCTTTATTTTCTGGTTTCTATGTGTTTTCTTCCTATTCTAGTAAAGTTAAAATAATAGATGATCAGGCCAACTGTGTAGGAGGAAGTCATTTAGGCAGGTAATCAGCTCAGATATCAATCGGACCACCACCTTCCTCAGGAAAGTGCTCAAGCCTGCAGCTATCACTTTTGGCAACAACTCACTCAGATGCCCCTGAGTTGTCCCTCTTGCTTTGTCCCTAGGAATACCTATACCCTAGAACTTATGTCAGTGAACTGCAATTGCCTATCTGGCTTCCTAAGAGCAGAGCCTTGCTCTTTCTGTATTCTAAGTATCTAGCACCATGCCTAGGATCTAGAAGGTACTCAAAGTTACTATCTCACCACCATCATACATACAGCACAGCCACATCAGCATTCCACATCTTGGTTAATAGGGTCAATATCCAACTTACTCTTCAAATGCTATTCATTCTTTCAACAGATATTTATTTGTGTCTACAACACAGTGCTTGTGGTAGACACTGGGAGTACAGAGGTGAGCAAGACAGGATGGTTCCTGCTGTCATAGAGCTGGCAGTCTAGTAAGTTTCTACTTAGAAATTTATGGGCTAGTCCCTCTTTGTGAAACTGATTAGTGGCCAAAGTCGGTACAATCACCACATGGTCCTTTACCTTTTCATCATTGCCTCAGTTTCTGTCTTCCTCTTCTCTCACCCCAATGTGATAGATTGAATGGCTGGTCACAGTTCTGCACTGCTTCGTGGTAGTAGCATACTTCCAAATCCTTGCCATGACCTCATGATGGGTGAAGTGAATTTCCTTCACCCTTTGACTTTTGTCTTGGCCAAGTGAACTTGCTTGGGCCAGTTGAGATGTGCATGGATGTGAAACGAGCAGAAGCTTGACTGTTGCTCAAGTGATTGAGCTGGGCTTTTGCACTTTTACCATCATCATGAGAACTACATACCTTGGTAGCCACTGCTCCTTCAGTGTAGGTCCCAAAATGAGATATATGGAGCGCAGTTTTTCCAGTCAGCCCACAGAGCTTGAAAGAGCCACCTCAGCTGACCTGTAGATCTGTGAATGTGAGAATAACTTCTTACCTGTTGGAGTTGTTTGTTACACAGCATTAACATGACAATAGCTGACTAAGACAGCAACTGTTACACCAACTTATCTCCCAGCTTGGAAACCTTTCCATTTTCCGAATCTCCTCCAACACAGATCTGACCATATCATTCTTGCTTTTAAAACTTCTGTGGCTGTTCATTGCCTGACTCATTAAATTTTGTGGCCTCAGCAAGATGTTCAGATTTATCTTTAATTCACCTAAAGTAATTTTTCTGCTTTATCTCCATATCTTCACCCTGCACCTACCCTAGGCTCTACCTGAACTGCTCTTGTACGTGCAATTGCATTTTCATGTCTCATTCCCTCTACCAGAAACGTCTTCCCCCATTTACCTGTTGAAATTTCACTTATCCTTTAGGATTTTGCACAAGTGCCACCTTAGCAAGATAGTTACCATCTCCCTTTTATTTATTCAGAATGAAATTTTGTATGTCTACTCCCACAGCATGGAATTCAAAATTTTTTGGAAAATATCTTCTAGTTCTATAGCAGTTGTTTATTTTTAAGTCTGTCTTCCCAAATAAATCATATATTTCAATATATCATTGGAAGCAAGAGCTAGATTTTATGTCTTAATATCCTCCAGGTGCTTTTAAGTAGTATCTGCTCAAATACTTTGTGTTGAGTGTTGAATTAATTAATGGCCAGAAATGTTTAATTCAATGATCATTAAAAATGGTCCACCTGACCAGTAAGCTGAATTCATATACACCGTCTTAATATGGGGTGGCCACCGTTGTTCAATTCCTGAAGGCCATGGGTATTTTGAAATTCCACACAATAAAGAATTTTCTTGCCCCAAATGCCAACAGGCCTTATTGAGAAACACTTCTAGACCCCTCCATCAGAATCTCTTCAGATGCTAATACTCTGAGGAAGTTATGAAATGATTTTGCCATCTGTTTCTTAATAAAAATGGCAGTTGTCATTATTTTTCTGCCTATGTAGCTTTATATAAGGTGAATAGAAAGCTTCAAAGACATTGAACTTTTGCAAAAGAAACTGAATTGTTCTTTTTCCAAGAAGATTGGTTGGAACTCCTTGTTAAAAAACGTGTGTGTGTGTGTGTGTGTGTGTGTATACACATATACATATATATATGTATATATCCCTCTGTTTCATTTTCACCTTCACTCATTTATTATATTGCCCTTAAGCCTGCTTAACCCACATACCCTGGCCATTCCAGGAGCACTGTTTTTCCCACTAGCCTTGTTTCCAGGCCAGTGGGAAAAATAACATCAGTAATGGCGCTTGTTCTTTCCCAGGATGGCTGCCGAGAGACCTTCCAGTGCAAAGGACAAATGTGACTGTCAACCTTCCATCCCATGTAGGGGACTGGTACTTAGCCAAGCATGCCTAGGAAATACGTGCTTGTGCAGCAGGAATGTTGAATCACATGTGTGAACACATCATGCCGTTCACAAAAATTATCTTTTGTATTTTACCTTTACCTCCCGAAGTTATCTTAAATTGGGGGGAAAAAATGCATCCCCCTTAGAATGTCATAAGAGTGGGAAGACCCAGTTCTTGCCACAGTGAGAGTTTTAAGTGCTGGAGGCAATCAGCTCCCCAGAACTCTTCTGGTCCTATTTTCCTTCTTTCTCTTTCACATATTTGTTTGCGTGGCTTGGCTGGATCCGAGGTGTATGGCATATGGCTTTTTGCCGCTTGAGCTGCCACAGAAGTAAATGTCATTGGCATATAATGCCAGATTTCCATTTTGTGAATCACAGAGCACGGGATTCTGTCCGAAAGCTCCCTGGCCACTATGTGTTCTTAAAGCAGAAGTAGAAAAGGAAAAGACCCACGCATCACACAGAGATGCTTTTCCTATTAAAATGTATTTATTGCCACAACAAGTATATATAAAATGGACATACTTTTGCCCCAACGTGTGTTTGAAAAAGGTTCTTGGCTTGTTTTATTGTGGTTTTGGCACTGGGCAAGCCTGGACATTTGCTTCCAAGCCTCAGCTGAGCAGATGCTGGTCGGTCAGGGAATCAGATGAATAAAAATTTGCTTGTGCATGTACCAGAAAAAAAAGGCTGTGAGTAAAAGATAATCAATGTTTTTTGGATGCAGTTTACCAGAATTTTTTATTCATTAAATTTTCAAGTTATAAAAGCTTTTAGGCTGATAATGGAGACCTGAAGCTGCCACAGATGCAGCCTCAGCCTTTGCTCCCCTGCATGGCTGAGAAATCAAGAGAGAGATTTGCAGATTCAAACACACACACACACACAAAGATGACATGGAGCCATATGCAACTGCCAGTATTGGACTGTTTTTGTCTGACAAATACAGCAATTTCAAATGGCTCAACCAAAAATTATTGTACATTCGTGGAATCAGTTGTATTTACCCATAAGCATTTACTGTTGGTTTCTGACACAGTCTTCTTCTATTATTCACAGTACCTATTTCTCTTTCTTTATTCTGTGATCATTTAACTCACCATAATAAGTTGTAGTAAAGTCTAAGTCAGGAGCATTGGCCCTGGACCCAAGGAGTGGGATTCACACCCTAGCTCCTTCGTTTCCTTGCTGGGTGAGCTTGAGCAGGTTAATTGCCCTGCCCTGTATCCCGGTCTCTTCGTCTAGAGACTGATCGTCATGGAGTTGTTTTGAGGATGAAATGAACCAAGATTAGGTGGAACCACATGAAATGGCCAATATTGGACCACGTCTGAATGGCAAAATTTGTAGTTCTGTTCTGCTCATCTTAATCAATGAAAAGCATTTGGGGCCATTCCCATGAGGGAAATGACACGAAGATCACACAGCACACATGGCGCTCCAGATGAGGCATGGAGAGGCATGGATTCTAGTCCAGCTCTGCCTGTGACCTCCTGCGTGACCCGGGGCTTTTCTCCTATCCTGCACTCACCACCCTCCCTCCTAGACAATGCTGTGGCCCCGGGGATGGCCTCCTTCTGTGCTTTGAATTTCATCCCCTCTCACCTGCTCTGGGGCTCTGTCCGTTATCATTTCTAATCTTTGCATCATTAGTCTCTTCCTCTCACATGCTGTCTTCTCACCAGAATATAAACACACACAAATCTCCCACATTCTTAATAATAAATAAATGATTTTCTCAACCCCCTATTCACCTGTGCCCCTGCAGCTCGGTTTCTGAAGTCATTGCCTCAGTTTCCCAGCTCGCCTTTTCATGTATTAATCCACTGCAGCCTGCCTTCTGCCCACACCGAGAATATAACTGAGCAAAAGAAGAGAAATAGGACTCTAAAAAGCACTAAAATATAGTGTCAGTCCTTGAAAACCTCTTTAGCCACAAAAGTCACTGATTTTGACAAAGAATGGCCTCCGGTGGACAGTTTTAAATCTCAATCTTGTTTGCCACCTTTGTAGCCCTTGACCCTGTGAACCACTCTCTCCTTAAAAATTTTTTTTACTGTGACTTTGGAAATGAACATACATGCAAGATAGATATAGATATACAGATATAGATACAGACATATATATATTTATATATGTATACAATGCACCTAAGATATATGTACAAATGGCACATTGAATATACGTGGAAGAAATAAAATAACTATTATTGTTCCAGTTACTAGCAACATTTTTAGAAAAAAAATTAAAGGATAACTAAAAATATAACTGAGCTCAAGAGAAGAAATACGACTCCAAAGTGCATTAATATATATTTTGAATACTTGAAAACCTCTGTAGCCACAAAAGACATGATTTCTAAGAGGCAAGTGGGAATTGAGAGGAGTCGTTGAGTTGTTCTAAATTTAAGACTGGAAAGAAGTCACATTGTTCTGAATCCCTGCTCTGATGAAGAAGAGAGACATCAAAAAATTTATAAAAATACATCTTTTATCCCTTACACCTTCATGCTATTCGCATCCTCCCCCACCCCCATCTCTTCTCTTCAGCCTAAAAATATACCAAAATCATTCCTTTCCTTAAACAATATTTTCCAACCCTGTTCCTCTTTCAAGTTCTTATCCAATCTCTGTCCGTCTCTGCACTGCCAAATTTTCCGGGAGAGAATGACATCTCCACTTTCCCACCTCCTCACCTCGACGTGGTCTGATGTTCACCCACACCCACCTGCTGCAATTGCTTCATTTAGCTCAAGGTCATCTTCTGATTGTTCTTGTTCATCCTGTTCCCTGGCTCTGAGGCATTGACTTGTGTTGCCTCCTGTGCTTCCTGGGATCCTCTCCATTCCTCATTCCCATGGCACTGACCCCTTTAGCACAGGCATTCCCTGAGGCCCTCCTCTTTTCCTCTCCTACCACTGCCTCCTCCCCACCTTCAACCAGCACCTGAGGCAGACAGAATTCCACCCTCATCGTCTTCTGAGCTCCACCCCTGTGGATGGTCTGCAGACTCCTCAAACTCGGGATGTCCAAAGCTAAACTCTCCATTCTCATGGCTCCGTTCCTGCTGCTGCTTCTGTGGGCTCTAACTCCAGGAGTGACACCACAATCACCCCATATCTTGGACTTGAAATCCAGGAGAGATCTCTGGCTTCCCTACCTTTTCTCTCTAGTAGGTCCCCAAGTCCTACTGATTCACCACTCTATGAGAAGGGCCACCTGCCTTTTAATGCTGTGACTCCACTTTCCTGCACCATTATCTCAGCCCCAGTCTCTGTGCAGGAACACATGCCAGCATGAAAAATCAATTGGCTTTTGTCAGGCCATAAATACCACCAAAAGAAAATCTAAAGGTGTTGTTAAGACAGAAAAAAACAAAATCATTTTCCTTCTCTCCTGGAAATAGCTTAAATTTTTTTTCTGGTCTTAAAAGAAATCATTCCTCTCAAGAATCACTTTCTCCTGTCATAGCTTAGCCACCCTGTGCCTTTCACTTATGGACTCAGTTTGTTCTGTATCCTGCCTTCCCGCCACCATCATCTCTTGTGTAGACGATGTGTTTGTTTTTTAATTGGTCTTCCTAAATCTGGACTTGACCCAAGCCTAAGTTCTCTCTCCCCTAGCTGCCAGAAACACCTTTCTAGGACACAGCTCTTCTCATGAGACATCTGTCTTCAAAAACCTCTGGCTCTCTCTTCTTCCAGCAGGATAGAAAAACTCCACATTCTGTCCTAAACCACTCTTCCAAACAACATGTCTATTACGTCTAGCAGCACACCTCCTACTAACCTATCGTTAGTCATACTGAGTGCCCAGCATGCCTTGCACTTCCCAGTATCTGTCCCTGATTGTGTTCCCTCAGCAAGGAGGAACCTTCACTCTTTCCGGTGAAAAATCTGCCTGTCCTTCAAGGCCCAACTCATGGGCCCTGCAAAGTCCCTCCATGGGGACAGGAGGAATTTTCCCTCTTATGTTCACTTTTCTTCCCCTCTCTTGTAGCACTTAACTTACTCAGCTATATGCTAAGTTCGGAAACTTATTTTAGCCAATTATCTTTGATTTAAATGGGTTCCCATTCATTCTCTGTCCCACCTCATGGCTACCTTGAGGCAATGCTGCAGAATTCCAAAGGCTTGAAAATCATATCTACTCTCTCTGTTTCTTGACTCTACCCCTAAGAACCAGGACTGATTCTCACTCACCTTTCTACCCCAGAGTGCCTACCAAAAAGAAAGAAATATATATGAGCTTAACAAATGTTACTTAAATTGAATTTTTATCCTATTGTTGAAAAAAATAGCTAATAATGTTTATTTTTAAATCAGCTGATAAGGTCTTAAAAGGAAAAAGCACACTCTAGGACAAACTTTGCAATCTACAGAACAAACAGTCTTATGGACTCAGTTTGGCATTGAAGGGCATTGTGTGGCTATGACAGGAAAAAGAGTGATTCTTCTAGTGGCGATTTCTTTTAAGACCAAGATGAAAAAAATTAAGCTATTTCCAAAAGAAAAGGAAAGGGAATATTTTTTTCTGTCTTAAAAACGTCTTTGGATTTTCTTTTGGTGATATTTATTGTCTGACAAAAGCCAATTGATTTTTCATGCTGGAATGTGCTCCCACACAGACAGGGCTGAGATGATGGCAAAGACTTCCCTTCCCAAACCACGCTGGGCTGAGTCTGGAGATCCCTGGCTTCCAGCTGTTTGTGAGGTCAATTACACCCCTCTGCATGGGGAGGAGACAAGGTTCCTTTGGCTCATCATCCTTTGGCTCAATGTTGGAAATTCACCAACATTGATTATCTCATTTGTAGATTATCTCATTTGTATAATACAGCCATTTAGAATCATAGTCATTCAAGGGGGGAAAACAAAGATGTGCATATAGATGTTCATTTCATTGTTACTTACGAGTGAGAAATTGAAAATAGCCCAACTATTCAACAGTGGGGATTGATAAATTAATTTATGGATACATTTATTTATCTGTTAAAATTTTTTTTACTCATTCAGAATGATATTCATGAATAGTATCTAAATATCAGAAACATGTTTTGTAGTATATTAAATGTGAGTAGAGCAGCCTGCAAAATTATATCTCAACTAAATAAAACTACAAACTAAAAAGGATTGAATGATTTTTTTTTTTTTTGAGACAGAGTCTCACTCTGTCACCAGGGTAGAGTGCAGTGGCGTGATCTTGGCTCACTGCAACCTCCACATCCTGGGTTCAAGCGATTCTCCTGCCTCAGCCTCCCAAGTAGCTGGGACTAAAGGTGTGCACCACCATGCCCAGCTAATTTTTGTACTTCTAGTAGAAACGGGGTTTCACAATGTTGGCCAGGATGGTCTTGATCTCCTGACCTCATGATCTGCTCACTGCGGTCTCCCAAAGTGCTGGGATTGCAAGCGTGAGCCACGGCACCCAGCCAGGTTGAATGATTTTAACAATGGCTTCTATGATGTTGGGTTGTGGGTTTGAAAGAAAAATGGTTTCTTCTGCATAGTGTGATTAATTATATTTTTCTTTTTTACTATGTCTTTAATGTTCCCCATCTTTGCTACCTAACATGTATTATCTTACAATCATTTTTTTAAAGAAACACTTTAAATTTTGTGGGTGTGGAACTGGCACCAAGCTCCAGGTGTGGTCTGAGCAGTGGTGTCAGTCTAGGAGGAATTTCTTTATCTTGACATTCCATGTTATAACTTCAGGCTAAGTTTGTTTATTCTTCCTTGAAATAGAGCCTGGGTTTGGGCCAGCTTTGCCAGCCCAGCTAGTGCCCAGCATCTTAGCCTGAAGTTGATTGGTACTGAGATCAAAAGCCCTTCAGGCTTGATTCAAGAAAGACTCATTAACTGGAAGGAAGTTCTAAGCAGATGTGATACACTTAAGAAAGTAAGCCACATTGCAGACAGAGCTGGACCCAGCACCTAGAATGCTTGTAAAATGGATTTCTGAAAGGGGTAGTGTTCAGGAGTGCTTCTACACAGAGCACCCTAGTCCCTCTCAGACTGAGATTGCAGGAGTGGGAGGAGGAAGGAATGGGAGACAACAGGGGATGAGTCATTGAGATGTTTTCAGATATCCTCATCCCCATGGCTGTACCTACGATGCTGGATAGAATGACAGAAGTACTCAGAAGAAGGCTTGTATAACCTCTCTAAGTTTAAGGTTTGCAGTAGGATTTTGTCTTCTTGGCTAAGTTAACAGATACATCTAGAGATGGTATTCCTGGTGTTGTATTAGTAAAACCAGCCCTAGAGGGTTCCCAGTATTGGTGAGAGCTGTGAAAAGAGCTAAGTGTGCAATAGCCATAGCACATATATTGTATGGAAAGAATGCAAAGGAAAAATTACATAGAGGAAGAACTTTATTTAAGGGAGCATCATATGAATAGAAGCTCTCCAGGTGAGCAGAATAGAGTCTGCTTGGAAAAGATATTAAATATAATGAAATTCATGAACAGAAAATGTAATAAATGGAACTTTATTGTTTTCAAGACATTAAGGCTGTATTCTTGGGTTCCCAAGACTTGAAGGAAACACAGGGCGACATGTTAAATTGCATTATCTCAGGCACTTCCTAAATATTACTTGAATAAATGCACCAACTCCTCACTTCCCACTGGGATTTTTTTGTGTGTGAAATATGTTTTCTCAGTGTATGTTCAGAATAGCTGAGAGGTCCAACACAATAGACTCTCACAAAACATAAGCAAGAGCACTTATTCAAGGTTCAGTGTATGTGATTGTTTCAAAGATTTGCTTCGTCGTTCTCATGCTTTTCATTGTGTGGAGAGAATTGTAGGCAATGCATTTTGGAAACCATGTTCTAAATTTAGCTTGAGATGACTTGGTGGGGGTAGGGATACATTTTTCCATTGTATATACATGGATTGGTTATTGCCCTTCAGGGCCAATTTTTATTTTTAATATCAAATTAACTCTTTTCTGCAATTAGTAGCTTCAAGTTGCAGGCAAGTACTGGACAATAAAATAAAATTATATTTTTTTCTAAATTTAATTTCTCCACAAATTATGTTATAGAGCTTATTCTTGATGAAGATTGAGAATAGCCTGTCAAATATCATTTGCTTAGGGGTCATGGTTCACATTTCAAAGCTTCCTTTGATTGGAAGTATTCATAGATAGAGAACAGTTTGAAGCGATCTGGCTCTTACATGCTGTTGCTATTGAAAGATGGGTTTAAGAACAGCAATCCTGTTTTTGTGATGGCAGTGCTGGTTCACTAAGACTAGGCACACACTTAGTTGGTTTGTTTAGAGAGGTTATGTGTTGTTGCTGATATTCATTGTGTGACTGGTTTCTGATAAAGCCAACTTACTACCAAGATCCAAAGTTAAAACAACTGGGTTTAAACAGGACTCACCCTAGAATTTCATATGGTGACTCATTGGGCCTATGGGTACCCTCCCCCTGTGGTTCCATATCTGGCTCTGTACAGACCTCTTGGATCCCCCTTTAAGCTTCTCTGCTTTGTCCACCCCCTTCAGAACATGACCTCCCTGGAATTGACTGCCTTCATCTCTAGTTTCTTCTTCTTCTTCCTTGCTTGCCAGGGTAAGCTGAGTCTGCTTGTGTTCTTGACCTTGTTGGTTTCTGTCTTGCTCATCAGACCCTATATTCTTCCCCGCATCCCTGATGCACTCTTTTCTGATGTAGTGTAATCCCTGTTGTCACAGGAGACCGGAATGCATAGGTTATCTGTGAGCCTTTTCATTTGATAAAATACCTGTGAATGTGTGAGAAGAAAAAGCAGAAAAAGTAAGGGCATGAAATGTCTAACCATTTGAAAAAACATGGTGAGCCGTGGGTTTAATCTCTACACACTGCAATGAAATTTGTCCTCTAATGAGAATATCAGAAACTAGTTTTTTTCTCAAAAGGTAGAATTATTTGCATGTGAAATGGGTGTGTTTTGGAATTGGAAGAGGTTTACTTATTCATTAGATCTGAAAACCAAGGAGGATGTGATGAAGCTTTCCTTTTCCGATGGTGAAGAAGCTGTTTCTCATTTTGCACCATCTAAAGGATATCCTACCATTGGCCCAGTCGCTTTTTGTCACCATATTGCCAGTGGATGCGCTTGGCAAGACTCAGCTGAGAATTTTGGCATTTTCATTTTTCCTTCTGGCTTGATTTTTCATCAGCCTGCAATTCTGGAGTTCATTTCCATGGTATATTTGGAAAATTCAAATTGGCAAGTGATAAACACAGAATTTCACCAACTATCCCTTTGAAGGCTTTCAGCATGATCAGAGATGCATCATGTTGGCCCTTGTTCTTCAGGCCCATGCTCTTCTGGGTCAGCCCATTCACTTATTAGGTCTGTGATGCCCCAAGAACTTCCAGACCTTGACTCTCCAGTCCTGTGAATGCAAATCATGGTCACTTCTCCAAGCCTGGTGCTCTGGAAGAGGCAGGAAGAAATGCATGGGTTGGGGATCTGTTTATAGATGGGTATGCATTTTGTGGATCCTGGTGTTATTTCTTACTGTTCGTAGGTATCACTTACATGTTAGGCATTTTGTGGGTAATAAAAAATAGCAAAGCCCAGGGAAATAAAATTCATATTAATGACTCATATTTTATAACTCAGCCTTAGGATGCTTGGGAATAATCCCACCTGCTCCAGCTGCTTGCTTGGGGAGCTGTGAGGCCACAGTGGGGCGTGCTGCTCAGGGTGCTCCACAGATGGACACCTGAGTTTGAATCCTGAGTGTCCCACTTTACTAGATGGCAACTGGAGACATGTTATCTGAATGTCTTGAGCCTTCGTTTCTCCATTTGGAAATGGGGCCTTTTATAGCATAGGCCCATGGTAAGCACTGCATCTGCATTTTTTGTTACTCTCCTAAGCTTCCACAGATGTCCAGGCTTATCACAGAGAGCTCAGCATCCTGGGATCAAAAGATAAAGTGACAGTGTGACAGGGTTTGCACATTCTGCTCAGGATCATCTCTCCATGAAAATGAGGAAAAGAGATGCAGGTGCCTACGTATGGGAATGTTTCCATGGAATATTATTGATATCTCCCTTTGAGGATAAAAAGAGCTGTAAAAAGGTCTTCTGACTATGTTCAGTTCAGGTTTTGCATATGTTTTGGTCTTAAAAATGCACCATGTAAAATGATTAGAGATAACTGTATACTGGTCAGCCCAAATACTAGAGAAATATCTCTCCAAAGTCTCTTGAATGAAATAAAGTAGTTTCACTGAGCCAGTAGTGGCTACACCTCTGACCCATTGGGGAAGAGTCCCCACTTCTGATCTCACATCCTTGGGAGATATGGTCTGATTCAGTCTGCACTGGGCCTGTTGCTGTTATGGAAACGATATCAGTGTGTTTTATGTGTGTGGGCTCATGCATGTGCACGTGTGTGTATGAGGGCATTCCATAAGAGGGCTGAGATGTAGGTGGAGAAGAGCCTACTGCATATACACCCTAACTGTTTGGAATTTTCATGAGGCTAAGTACCCTGATGACCTCCCTCATAAGAATGAATTAATCAAACAAAACTGGTTGCAGCGTAGCCATGTCGTAAACTGTAGAGACCATTACCATCACCTTCATTGCCAGCAAAGAACATGAATCCTAATGAAATGGATACTCAGTGGAAGCATCCAGTTTGGGACCAGGAGCTGGAAAATGAAAGGAATGGGTATAAGTGCCACCTCTCTTAGTGCCCGGTAAATGGAATCCCTTCATCTGCCTTTTAAAGGCTCAATATAAATGGTGCTCATTTCAGTTAAGACCTATAGGTGAACTAAGGAGAATTTGGACAGCCAGTTTAGAAATTATTCTATAATAGTCACCATATTTTTTATTCAAAAATACATGTATACCGCCTAACATTCTTTTTTGATTTGTGGATTTATTTAAAAAGTATTACAAAGGTATAAGAATTACATCAGATTTAGTAATAATACATTTAATAAATCATGCTTATGGAAAGGAATAAAATTTCATGAGATTGAATCTGCCCCAAGACAATATGGGATAAATGGTACTGACAGTGCCTGCTCCAAGCAGAACAAAGAGTACAGGTTGAACGTGTGAGCGAAATAGAAAGGGATTTCTTATGACCTTTATTCAGATGCCCAGCAGTGATTCCCACCCCACCCCCTGAATTTTCTGAGTATTTGATACTGTGATTCCCTTCTCCTTTTGTGGACAGCACATAGTAAATCTGAATGTGTTCAGAAGCTGGATGATAGGCTACCTATCATCCATGTGGAGCCTGTGGAGTACAAGTCCATTAGGTGTATGCAGAACAACTTCATGCCAGTTCTTGGGAACTTGACAAGCAGTCATCCAAATATGATGCTAACAAAATCTAGGTTTCCCTCTTTTTGAGGCTCACCAGCAGCTCTGTAAGCTTTATGTACTTTTTTCATCACAGTCTAGAAGGCGAAAAAATCGCCAGAAAGTCCAGGTTAACTAAATAGAGCACCCAGTCTGGGATCTCCATAACAAAACCGCTGGACAAGATCCCATGCAAAAATTCTTTGGAAGTTTCCTCGAAGATGCTATAGCTATTTTTTTCTTGAAGTGGACCCTCTGAAAATATCGATCAAGTCACTTATTTTCTAGAACTAAAACCATGACTAGCTAGGTGGACGAAAGAGCTTATTTGCTAGCTTTCAAATAGATGAAGGGGAGAAGGATTGAAGGCTAATATAAAATTATCTGTTTACCTTGCAATTTTGTCTTAAAAATGAGTTTTTCAGGATAAAAATTACCTTAAAAAACTTATGACGTTTCACATAGTGTCAACAATAATAATACATAGTCTTCCTACCTTATTGCTGATGGTTCTAATAACATCTGTATTACCCTAGTGAATGTGTTCTTTGTGAACTTGCATGCTCTCTCTTCATAAACCTCCCTAGTAGGATAACTACCAAGCACCAGACTGTGCTGTCTACCCACCCTCCACTTTAACTTTGGATTATATGATACAACCAGGATTTGCAGTCATTCAAAAGAAAGATGATCTTACTCTCATATAGATGGTCTTTTGTAATGGCTTGAAATAGTGAGACCCTCTGTCCCATTCTCCAAAAACTGCCTTTTTCCATTTTATATGTGGGAGATTAATTTTGAGGTAGTCTTCTCCTCCTTTACAAAAACATCTCTTAGCAGTGGTTCCTAAACTGTGGTGTGCGTAAGAATTCCTGGAGTGCTTGGGAAAATATTCGTGATTCTGCCCCCTGAAATTCTGATTGGGGAGAGATGCACTTGGACCCCAGGAATCTGCATTTAATGAGAATTTCTAATGTAGGTGATCCTTGTGGATCACACTTAAAGAATCTAGAGCTTGAATCCCTTGATTCAAATCCTGGCTCTGCTACTTTTTTGTTGTTGTTGTTATTTCAGTCAAGTTGCTTAACCTCCTTATGCCTCAATTTCCTCATTTGTGTAAATAGTGTAATAACATCTCACAGAGCTTTTGGGAGAATTAAATTGGTTAATCTAGACAAAGTGCTTAGAATGCACTGGATTATGAACTGCTAGGTTAATTCCTGAATTATTAATTGCTGAATTAATTCTTAATTGCTGGATTAATTCCTGGATTATTAATTGCTCAATAAATGTTAGCTAGATCAACCCAACAAATCACAGATGTCTTGAAATAGATTGTTTCAATCAGGTTTGTATTCTGTTAATCTGTCATTCATATCAGCTGAGGAATATATATCTTGGGTTATGTTGGTGTGTTAGGATGGGCAAGGAGTCATTTAACTGGAGCACTGCAATGCATTGTCATTGCTTGTAGGATAAGAACCAGACTCCTTAACTTGGTCTCTAAGCATCTGCTGGTCTGGTCTTACACCATCCTCCCAGTCATTCTCACTGTGATCCATTCACATTTGGCTTCTTTCAGATTTTCAAAGATGCCATGTTGCCTCCTAGCACACATGTGTTTTGTTTGGGTCACTCTTCCCCTCACTCTCAATTTATTAACTTTTACTCTTCCTTTAGATCATGGCTTGATGTCACTTTCTCTGAAATGCTTTTCCTGATCTCACTAAGTGATTATTTGTGCTAAGAGAACACAGAGTTCATAGCTCTGTTTTTATACTCCATATCACAGTTATGCTTAATATTTTTGCCTCCTCTATTAGAGTCTGCAGGTTGTAAGGCAGAAACCTTGTCAGTTTGTTGTATCACTAGCACAAGTGCCTGGCATAGATACTTGCTAAATATTTGTTGAGAAAATTATTAAATTTTGATTGAGGAAGACTTGGATGGAATGATGGTTTTGGCATAAACTGAGGATTTGGACAGCCTTCAAGAGGATGGGAAGGCAAAGGGTGGGTGTCCCCATGGCAGAGGAGACTAGGCAGGACAGTTAAGAGGAGATGTTCCAGAAAGATGGTAGAGAAAACCTGAGCCATCCACCACCCTGAGGGTGAATGTTGTCTGGGCAGAGCTGAGAAAGATTGACAGTGTTGGCTTTGGGTGCTGTACCTGGGTGAGACTTTCTTCCTACACTTAGTGGCATAAAGAGACAAAATGGAAAGCCAGGATTCATATTCTTGAAGGTACAAATCCAACATCAAGACCAATGGGCGGCCAGGCGTCGTGGCTCCCGCCTGTAATCCCAGCACTTTGGGAGGCCAAGGTGGATGGATCACCTGAGGTCAGGAGTTTGAGACCAGCCTGTCCAACATGGTGAAACCCCATCTTTAATAAATATACAAAAATTAGCCAGGCATGATGGCACATGCCTGTAATCTCAGCTACTCAGGAGGCTGAGGCAGGAGAATCGCTTGAACCTGGGAGGAAGAGGTTGCAGTGAGCCGAGATCACACCATTGCACTCCAGCAAGACTGTCAAAACAAAACAAAACACCAGTGGGCTATAGCTGAGCATTTGGAGTTGGATGGATATGGGGTTTATACTGAGCTTCATTTAGGAAGAAAGGAGGCTGAGGGCGACTGTTGCTGTTTAGACAGTGGATGTGTTGTAGATGGATAGTTCAGCTTGGCTTCAAGAATCAGAAACACACAAAGAGCAGGTCCCAGTCTCCTCAGAAGCCTCATCTGGGTCATTACGGGCTGAGGGTCCCAGGCTTGCAGAGACCTTTAAGGAAGAGAAGGTTCTCCTTGAGGTTGTTATGATGCCAAGGCAGATGACGATAGGGCAGAGAGTAATTCTTTTCTCTCTAACATAAGCCCAAATCGGTGCCTTCTGTGACACTTACCATTTTCCATCAATCTCTGTGGAACTGAGGGCTTCCGCAGACCCCTGAGTGAGATTGCCACCTTATGAGCCCCCTCGAGTCTGACCAGGATGTGCAGCCATTCACTGCTCAGTGGCGACCCCTGCTGCTAAGGAGAGAGATGGCAGCACATTCAGAGTTGGTGACATTAATTCTAGTCATGCAACCCGGGGAATTTGGAGCAAGCAGGGGAGGAGTCTGAGGGGATGAAAATGGGCTGAGGAAATCCAGGGAGATCCCTAGTGTTCAGGGCGCCTTGATGAGGTGCTAATGCAGAAAAGAGCTGGGCCTGAACACTCCGTACTTACAAAATCTTCCACAAGCCGCCAGTGTAATCGCTTCATTCCAAAGGTTGGCTAGGAACCACCGCAGTGCCCTCTGAGGAATACCATTGCAAACTTTAACTTTTATTTGCGGAGCTCTCAGGGCTGTTAGGCAACAAATATTTTTAAAGATACCCCTCTAATTCTCTAGGTTAAAAGTTGCAGTAATTTTAATTAGGGGTAGAGGCTGTTTATGTTTGTTTACATCCTGGGTAGGAATTAGAGTATAAATCCTCCCAGTGGGACCCCTGCTGGGATGCTCTGGAATGCTTGCATTCCTGAGTATGTGAGCACCCCTGGTGTGCATGCCTTGTGTGTACATGGCAAGGTATCGCGAGGTGGTTCTATGACATTTCTGGACAAAAACTGTGTGTGAAGAGAAGGTAGGAGAAAGCAAACTCACAATCAAATAAAAGTAGAGAGAGGGGAAGAGATGAGATTGCAGTTGATTATGGGTCTGGCAGCAGATGTTCTGCACGAATCCAACTCGCTGCAGCCAGTCTGTTTCTATGGCAACAGAATCGGTAATTATTGAGCCCAGGCACTCCCCCACTTCTCCCAACAAGGTGGAGGCTGATGAATATGAACTATCTCCAGCCCATCACCAGCTTTTTCTTTTTCTTCTTGTCCTTATTTGTTTTTTAGTTCTTTATAAGAAAAAGTGGGGGATATATTGAGAAGTACCAAGACGGGGAGCTATGGGTTTATTGACAAAAGAGCATAGGACACTAAAATAGAAACGAAGTTATTATTTTTCTCTTGTGATACTCTAAGAGAAAAGCTCTTCCTGGAAAAGCCGATGATCTCTGAAGATGCTAAATAAATGAGCAGGAGTTTCCCTGAAATGGAGGCGCCCTTTGATTGGCTGATCTTTCCCCGACTCCTGCCAATCGGAGCATCCCTGGGCTCCAGCTCCATAAACATAAGCAAAGCTACATGCTTATTCTTCTGGACTTGGAGTGTATACCATTTAAAGGTGTGCGGCGGGTCTCTGTTCACATGGCTCAACTGGAAACCTGTTTCATGAACAAGCTTACTCAGGAACCATCTGGTGGTATTCCAGCACATTGTTCTTCAGGGGGACGACTCTAAGTCGCTTTGTGGTGGCAGCAGCTTAGAATCAGTATTTGTGGTTGGGAAAGATGGACTTACGGGAGCTTGGTGAGTAAACCTCCGTCTCACACATGTGTCCACCGGTATTATCAGCCTGAGCTAAATGTAGCTTTGTCCTATTGTCTGCCGAGAAAACTGAATTGGAACAAGCACATGGAGGAGCGGGCATTCAAGGGTTCCCATGATGTAGGAGACTCTGAATTCAAAAGACTGCATGCTTTGCTTGGGTCTGATCCGATTTGTAGCTGACTGTACATTATACTTGGACATTGGTTGTCTTGTTAGGATTAGTGTAAGGAGCAGAGTTCTGCTTTATTTCCCTGGGTGTTGATGCATTTCAAGAGAAAATGCTTTTAAAGCTACATTAATAATAAGAGTCAACCCTGTGTATTGCTAGGAAGAGAGAAAAAGGTGCAGGCACGGAGCCCGGAGCCGCTTGATTGTGTTGCTGGTGTTTGCATTGTGAAGAGAGATGTTATTACAATGGTCTGTCAAACACTTCTTCAGACCCCCAGCCACGGAATGAAGCATCTCTTCTCCGTGTGCCACTGTTCTCTGCTTGGAAAATGTGTAACTGAGCTAGGTCATGTCCTTTCCTTTTATGAAACCTGTCTCCAAATTGAAATATGTTTTTTAATTAATTGCAAAGATAAAGTGAAGTGCAATTGGAAAGATTTTAGCAGTCAAAAAGCATGCTTCAAAATGACTCTATTTTGCATCCTTTCAAACCCCTGAAAAACCAGAGAGGGTTTGCAAAGTTATATTCAAGGATTGGCTCTCTGCCAGGAAAGGGATGCTCTGAGCTATTGCTCTGCTCCCTGGGGTTTAATTTTCTGACACTGGTGATGAAATTTTCAATTTCGTTGGGTAGAAACAGGAAGAACAAGAAAGCAGTACTATAAACAGGCAATGGAGGGGCAGCGTGGGGAACGAGAAACTCTTTGCCTGTAGGGACCCTTCTAGCTGCAAACTTAAAAATGTATGTGGCAAGATGCAACCCAAGCACCGAGCAGGATTCCAGACGAGTTATAATCATTCTGAACGGGGAGAGGAAAGGTAATGCCATTGGCTTGGGTTGCAGAGAGTGGGGGCTGAAGTTGGGGCTTCTATCTCTGCCTAAGATCTTTTCCCCTGATTGTCTCCTGATTTTGAGGATTCATCATGTTACTTTTTTTAAAATGTGATTTCCTGTCTTATGTGCCTGAAAGTGTCATAGCACACTTGATGTCTTCTATTTACAGTCCACTTGACTTCAAATAATGGAGAGAGGAAAAGAGAATGAAGCATCTGGTTTATGAAGAAATGCACATGAAATAGTCAAACAAGAGAAATCTTATTGGTTGTCCTTTTTAAAAAATGTCCTTTTGCACAGGAGAATGCTGTGGGTCTTCACGTGGCTCTAGAATAGAATTTACTTTATCCTAAATGGGACCTGTGATGAATGGTTACAGAAACAGAAGAGCTAGAAAGCTTTCGCCTATAGAAGACTCAAGGCAGGGTGAGGGCGACTGGGTGTCTGGGAGAGACCTTCTACTCTGTCTATTAAAGAAGTAGGGCTGACGTTGCAGGAGAGGGAGAATTTCCTAACTGCGGGTGACAATGCATCAGGGACACCTGGTCACTTGACAAGGTCAGTGACCTGTTTGTTAGCTGAATGCCTTTCTGGAGATGTAGGCTGCTCTCTGATCCCATGAGGCTCCAGATGGCTGGATACATTGAGAATTCTGCCTGACTGGAAGAGCTTGTGTGCATGTTAACTCTGCCTGCTGCACCACACTCCTCAGTACACCTCGATGCTCGATTTTGAGGAAGTCTGGTTTCTAGAGGATGTGCATTAAGTGACAGTCAGCTCGTTAGAGTCAATGTCCATTTCGCCTTGGCCTCTTCTCTCCCCCACTAGTGTCACTTTACATGAGCGAAGTGCTGGCACCTGTTGGTAAGAATGAGAGAAGAAACCAGCTTTTTATGGAAGCAGTAAAAAATGTTTACAAAAAAAAAAAAAAAATCTAAAACAGTAGTTCTTAAGCTATTATTGGATCATGGAACTCTTTAAGAATGTGAAAGCTATGAACCTCCTCTCTGCTCCCCCCACCTAAAAACGCATTCATGCACAAACACATAACACTTTGATAATCAGGCATTTTAGGGTAAAGCAAGATCCCTGTCCTGGGGGAATAGCCAAGAACGTATCATACCCTGAAGTTCATTGTCTCCTTCTTTTCAGATGGGTCCGCTAAATGCTGCAGCCCCATCTCAATCTGTCCTGAGCATTTACTGTGTGCCAGGCACTGCTCAATACATTTTATATGTAGATATAATAATTCATTGAATCTTCCAGCAGCCCTAATGGGACTAAGTTTTTTTGCCTGTTTTAGATGAGGAAATTTAGTCGCCAAAATATTAAGGACCTTGCCGGTGTTTATCCAGCTAGGAACTGACAAGTGTTTGGTGTTTCATGCATGTCGATGTACTTGTTGCTGCATTCATATGTGGAAGGAGAGTGAGTATATAGGGGAAGATGGTTTCATCAGCCTGTCAGTCTGTCAAGTGGAGTCAGACCACAGGTAGTTGAATTAAACAATCACCACAATAATTAAAGTCAAATTGAAAAGGCATTTTGGGGTGGTTGGGTGAATTATTAATAACGCCATTTGGGAAGTTTGAGCTAAGTAAAAAGCCCATCACAAAATGCCCCATTGGTTGCCCCTTTATGTTACTGTGTGATGCACCATCTCATTCCTGTAGCATTTATTTGCCTGGTATGATTTGGGTCAATTTACCTAGGAGACCAGTTCCTTCTGGGCCATCTGGGAGAGGTGACAGGTCACCAGTGTCCCATGGCTGCCCTTTGCTTACATTTGCCAGGAATGATTTGCAGTGGCCAAAGCAATGGCGAGGGTGATGAACAACTAGGAACAACCAGGCAGCCAGTTTGGGGGTTCCCATGAACTGCAATGGCTGTAGGAATCACCAGGACTACCATGCTTTCTCAAGACCTTGTGAGCAGGGGAGGCGGGCCCAGCTCAGAAATAGAAACTGTGTTCGTCAGAGTTTGAGGGAGGATTGATGGCTGCTAGGGCAATGTGGAGCTGGATGGGTGTGTGAATCCTCCACTCCTGGTTCAGCCACTGCATCTCCCCTTCTATCTGTTTTATAAATGGATTCACAATGAAGATGTAACAATAAAAAAGAGAAAGAAGGGGTTAGGCTGCTAGAAGGAAGAATAAAAGCTATTCATCTTATCTAGATGTCTTATCTGACATAAAAAAATAAGCAAGATTGCAATGCTAAGTGGAAAGGAATCTGTAGGGGTCATGGTAACAGGTTTTTAAACATGGGTTCTTGGCTATGCTTGCCTAGTATTATGCACTTTCTAGTATTATACGAGGTATGTAAATGTGTAGAAGACATTTTAACAAGACTACAAAAAATGTACTACAGGGACAATATAGCAGATCTCATTTTACATTGATGCTGTCCAATGGAAATATGATGCAAGTTAAGTATGTGATTTTAATTTTTCTAGTAGTTCACCTGAAAAAAGTAAAAAGAAACAGGCCAGTTAATTTTAATGATATGTATTATTTTACCTGCTATGTCTAAGTTATTATTTCAACATGTATCTACAAAACTATTAACAAAATATTTACATTGAATTTTTCATGTTAAGTCTTTGAAATATGACATGTGTTTTACATTTACAACACAACTCAATTTGGATACTGGATTTTCACAGGAAATCTGTATTTAGATCTCATAAAATTCATAGTTAAAAAAGTAGATTCATGTGCACAAGTTGTTCCAAACATACATCAAAGTTTTCCAATAAATAACTGAATTGAGTATTGGTTTTTAAATTTAAATGAGCTAAAATTAAATAAAATTTACAATTCAGCTGCACAGTCACACTCACCACACTCACTCACCAAGGCTTCCCTAGCCACCGTGTTTAGTGGCTACTCTACTGGATGGTGTGGCACTAGGATCTCAGAACATTCCTTGCACACTAGGCCAGTAACTTCTCTCACTCCATCATCATACCACAGCACCTTTATCTCTTTTACCTCCACAAGGTACCTGGACCACCTGCTCTGGTAACAGAGAAACAGAATGTTAGTATTCACAAACATGTTAACTTTTACTTTCACCGTTGCTCATGGTGAACTCAAGATGGACAGCTAAATCTTAGTTTCTCCATTACACTGTTTGGCAAGGGGGAATTAAAACAGTATGCTGTTTCCTCTTGCAGAAAGTCGGCACTCATCCATCTGTGGCATTTCTTTCTTCATCCTTACTTATCTTGGCCCTGCTATTTACTGTGCTCTCTGGCCCCTCTCTCAACTCAGTATGGAACGTGGGTTT
This sequence comes from Homo sapiens, assembly GCF_000001405.40. Taxonomy (NCBI): domain Eukaryota; kingdom Metazoa; phylum Chordata; class Mammalia; order Primates; family Hominidae; genus Homo; species Homo sapiens. The sequence goes on along the minus strand of NC_000007.14, from coordinate 36,981,608 downwards.
AATTTTAATTATAAACAAACCATAACTGAGAAGGTAACTCTGTTACAAGCAGATAATTCTTCATGAAGACAAGTATAAATTCAGGCTAAGGAGTGATTTAATTGCTATCATCTTATTCAATTCTACAAATTTTGTTTAGCGAGAAAATATTGACTAAATAGTTCTTTCAGTTAATTTGGTCTTCAAATCCGTGCCTTCAATACCAGATATTATCCTATATCTTCACTCCCCAAAAGATTTATTTTAATGTAAAACTCACCATGAAAAAGTAATCAGTCTCTTCAATAACTAGATCAAAACCATCCTGCAAAGCCTTCCTAGAGGCATCTAGTCTTAGTCTCCTAATGATGTCCCCAGTTGATGATTTCACCCAAATCAAACGGGTGAAATGAGTGAGCTTTGGAAAAGTTTAAGAGGACTGAGCTTAGAGTGAGCTTTGGCCTCCATTTGCCAAAGCTCACTCTAAGCTCAGTCCTCTTAAACTTTCCCTTAGCTCTATTAAGAATTCTGCAAAACAGTAAGAAAAAAAAAATCCATGTGATTAAATACCATCTTTCCTATCAGGAATGCCTTCTGACCCAGTGGTCCCCATTTCCTGCATTTTGGACAGAATTCCCAAGAATGCCTTGTGAATGTTGGTTGGAGTAAATTGTGTGGGTCCTTTACAACTTCTTTCTTTTGATAATATTACTTAACATTTTGTAGTGAAGCAACACTGGTGGAACAAATAGATTAAACCATAGGCAGGGTTGGATCTCAGAGCAAGATGAATTGCTTTGTGTATCTGCTGATTTTCAGCCAAGCCAAGGCCTAATACTCTCAGTCATGAATGGAAATTAGTGATTTGGGATTTCAGTGAGTGCAGAGATGCTGGGAAATAGCTGAACATCACATACGTAAAATTATCATTACAATAAGTATCTTTGGATTACCACAGGATTTGGAAGTCTACTAATTTGCTAGCTCATTTCAAGCAATCTATGATATTCTAGAAATACAGGACTAGAAAATTATTCATATGATGATGAGCAGTAATCTAGAATCCAATGCTTTAAAGTGTGGTTTCTAGCTTAGCATCTAAGTTTTGCAAGTTATTTAACCTTTGTGCTTCTCAGCAACTTTACATGGGTAAACTGAAGTTTAGACTTGGTGACTTCCTATGTCATATATGCGTCAAACTTCTGAACTATCTATCCGTCTGTCTTCTGGCGCCCATGTTCCATTGAAAATAACGGTCTTTCCAGGTGTATCCAGATCGAGCTTCAGAATCCTTCTTAACACAGCACTAAGTCAACCGCTAGTGAGATATCAGAATTGTCTTACAGCTGAAACTGATTTTTCATCCCTCTCTTATGTCCTTGCCTCAGCTCAGTGCCTTGTGCAAGACTTTGAAAAGAAGCATACAGGGAATTATCATCAGTATGCAGGGTTTTGGTGATAAGGCAGACAGCTCTTTACTCATCCTCTTGCTCAGCTGTTCCGTGGAGGTGTTGCCATCTGACAAGGAGGGCTGCAGCCTTGCGCTTTGGGAGCTAACTTCTCTTTTCCTTTGAGCTGTAAGTGATGAGAGACCTGTCAAGGAGAGCTGTTCACTGGCATCATTCCCAGACCTGGAAGTATAATGAAATAAAGTTTCTTTCCAACTTGGTTGGAATTCTTGCAGCTGAATATTTAAGATAGCATCTGGGGCAGTTCTGACGTCCACTTGCCTGGTTGGAAAGAAACACCCATGAGCTAATGGAACTCAGGCCTTCACACTGGTAGCCCAAGTCAGGGCTGCTCTGGGCAACTCAGTTCTAACTAGAGTCATCTAGGCCACAGGTCCCAGCAGGTGAGATGGAGCCCCCTCCTTGCCTAATGAGCCAGCAATTTGAAGTCCGCATTTCAGAAACTTTGTCATATACAAAGAGGGATATCAAAGCAGGAGCTGGTTTGAAAACCACCAACATTGGCACTGTCCCTAGACCTAGACTACTTAATGCTAAAGGTTCCAGGGCACTCTTTCTAGTACCATGAGGGTAGTAGCAGAGCCACACCTTTTAGCTTTAGAGATTGATGGGGGACAAGGGATGACAGCCGCGTCCTAGATTCCCTGAGCCAGCGTCAAATATCTGGGCAAAGTAGGCGTAAGAAGCTTTGCAAAGACCACCTTATGAGCCATGCTTCTGTCCCCTCTAAAATTTTCTGAGAACTGGGTAGAGGGACTCCTTAATCTCTGTGAACCTTAGCTTCCTCATCTGTAGAAAGGGAAGAAGGTACATTTCCCATGAGGCTGTTAACAAATGAAAATATAAATGATGTATGTGTGAGTGATTAGTAAATTATAATATGTATGGGAGGGGAAAATAGTCTGATTCCATCCCTTGGGTAGAAGCCATTTATTTTTCATGTCTCACAGAATGTCTAGTTCTGCTCTTTTGCCATGGAAGTTTCTCTCTACTTTCAGATTATTCTCCTAAATAATCCTCAGGCACTACCCCAACCCTCTAGCATTAAAGGCCACCCAGAGAGAAAGGCACTACACTTACAAGCCAGGGCCTGGGTCAAGTTTCAGCATAGCCACCAAGTAAGATTTAGGTTTCGCCATGTTGCCCCTTCAATCTTTAGTATTTTTTCTCCTGGATAAAAATATAGATCTTATTGACTCTACCTGGTACATAGAAATGTTTAGAGAGCACATTTATTAATATATCCCATGTACTCTGTGGATTGTAAAATAAGGGCTTACTATTATGCTTCAAATCTAATATCTCCTAACAACTCATCCTTGTTTATTGAGGAGGAATAATTGGAAACCTATTTCTAGGGTAGCAAAAGCTCCAGAATGTGGAGCTACAGTGATGTGTATGTAGTTTCCTGGTTTTGGAAGCCAGTCAACATCAAATGATATTGTGCTTCTAGGGAGATGCCTGGCGGCATTCAAGAAGGCTGTGACCTGCCATAAATAATCGGTGGCTTTTACATTTGTAAGTCAAGATGTTCTTGGTCTCAGCAGATGGCCCATAAATCTTTCTGGATAGCTGAGCTTTAGCCATCCTACCCCAACTCTTTCTTCTTCTTGAAGGCATAATGAAAGCTTTGAGAAACATGTACATTTTTGGTTCTTTCACATGCAGGTTCCCAGCCACTTCTTGATGACTTTCTTCTCCACACCCCCTGCACTCCCGCCGGCCATGCACTTCATACCCATGATGTATTCTGTCAAGAGAGGAGAAGGGGTGATTTCTTTCTCTGTCACATCTGGACATCTATTTACTGTGAACTTATAGCATCCTAGATCTTGAAGTAACCTGAGTCCTAGGATGTCAGATAGATTTCATCTGGTGACAACTTAGGTCCCCTGGTGTGGCTTCCTGGGGCTCTACCTCTGGGCTCCATGAGCCAACAGGGAGTGAGGGGAGGGTAGTAGCATGCAGTTACCTTATTACAGGTAAAGAAAGTGAGGTTCAGAAACATTCATTGACTTGCTAATATCCACTGTTAACAAGAGACAAAGTTCACATTTTCTTGCTCAATTTATTCAACAATCAATGTTTGCTGAATGCCAACCCTGTATCAGGTACTGTTCTAGGCCTTGGGATTCCCAGCTGTGAGTATATATGGATTAACCTGCATGGAGATTTATTTTTCAGGCAATCATTAGCCTCAGAGTTGGAATTCCCCAGAATATGGAAGCTACAATAAGAAAAAAATTCAACAAACCACATTTATTTATGTATTCACTAAGTCATCTGTGTATTCACCTATGCATTCATTTCCATGCCTGTTTACCTGACGAAAATTTATCCACTTTCAAAAACTGGGCCCTTGTAAGAGTTGTTTGAAAACTACTTGAAAGTAATCGGTGAAAACAAATTGTCCAACAGCTATCTTTGCCTTCCGCCCTCCTTCCCCTCTAAACACCTAAGAGAAACTGAACTGTAAAAACAAATTCAAGAGGTGTAGCTATCCTAGTTTCACAAAGCAACCTCCAAGGAGAAACCTGGGCGGACCAAATTTTTTCTACTTTATCAAAAGTTTCTGAACTGTTAGAACCGTTAAGGAGAAAGAATTTGCAACTAAAGTGATCTAGAACTGTTGCAATTCCATGTGACTTGGGTAGAAGTATAAATGGCAATGGATATGAAAGTCTCTTATCCCCAAATTTGAACACTGTAGGTAAATATACAATAATCCTATCCACTGTGTGTGGTGATCTGTCTCTGTCTACAACTCTGACTCCCCATTACTTGCTTCAAGGCCAGACCAATGTCAGAAACACTTGCACTGATGGTTTTAAGAGCTGTACTCTCTGTGTGCCAGGCATTTTGCATATTCCTTTAATGGGATTTCTTAAACCTTTTTAAAAATTTTCAGTGTAGTGATCATTTTAAAATTACCACATGGCATGCTCTGTCAAGCAACAAGTTTTATGGAAGAGTACATCCTCCTATGCTCAAAGGATAGAGGGCCAGACTCAGGGAGACTCCAATTCTCAGTCTCTGTCCTTTTCCTAACAGTTTCAGTAGCGTGCTAAAAGCAGTGTTAAAAGGCATTTTATCCCCTTTTATAGATAAGGAAACAGACACAAAGAGAGTTAGCTTATTATCCGGTTAGTAAGTGGCAGAGTGAAGTTCAAATCCAAGTGTGTCTTGATTCCCAAGCCCACGTTTTTACTGAGGTCAGGTGCCTCCATTTCAACACCAACTGTAGGTAGATCTATAGCTAATACACTGGAAAAGTAATCTTCAACCTGGGTGCTCATTCTCCTGAATGGTGTGAAGACTTTTCAAGGGAAAGGAAGGCATGGATAATTAGCCTTACAATAATCCATTTTCAGATTCTCAGCTTCCACACGTACATTAAAACTGATCATCTTGCAACTGCACCTGTGGCTTTCACACCAACTTTTCCCAACCACTGTTCTCCCTCTTGATAAAAGAAAGGCCCCTGCTCACCTCCATCAGGTCTTACTATGATGTGTTGCTCAAAGTATATAAACCTTCTCTGAGAGCCAAACAAAAGGACTTGTGACTTATCTTTTAAATAAGGAACCATAAGTGGGTCCCTGTCACGTTAAGAGATGCGTTCCCAATGGGATACTTCTCTTGGGTTTGGAAATTATGTATCAAAATTTGTAATAAAGTCTCGTTTTAATTAGTTTATACTAATAATAATTATGCTGTTAAGCTCAATCGAGAAGAAAAGTTTTATTAGCACCTTCTGTTCACAGGAAGTATTTTTTAAGTTAGATTTCAGTGTGTATGTACGTGTTTTTGTTTCAGAGAAGTATGATAGGATGATAATAAAAGACTTTTAAGCATAAAATTCCATTATGATAAAATTCTGTATGAGTAGAATTGAGGTAGAGTGGGGAAAATGGGAAGTAAAATGGGAGTTTTGGTTCTAGGTCAGGCATTAGTGGATGATGGCCTGTGGGCCAAATATGGCCCACTCCCTGGACTTGTAAATACATTTTATTGGGACACATCTGTGCCCATTTTTCTGTGTAGTGTCTGTGGCTTCCTTCATACTACAGTGGCACAGTTAAGTAGCTGTGACAGAGACTACCTAGAAAGCCTAAAATATTTAGTATTTCGGCTTTTACATAAATCCTATTGACCCCTATTCAAGGAGGAAAATATTGATAACAATTTCCAACTATTCGAGAAGAGATTATTCGTGTATTTTTGAGTCATATGGATCTCAAATCACTATTGTATGTACATTCAACTATATATTGAAAAGATGACATACAATTTTATCTTTTTTTTTTTTTTTTTTCAGGCAAGTGTCACTCTGTTGCCCAGGCTGGAGTGCAGGGGTACGATCTCGGCTCACTGCAACCTCTGCCTCCTGGGTTCAAGCAATTCTCCTGCCTTAGCCTCCCAAGTAGCTGGGATTACAGGCATGCACCACCACGCCCGGCTAATTTTTCTATTTTTAGTAGAGACGCGGTTTCACCATGTTGGTCAGGTTGCTCTTGAACTCCTAACCTCAGGTGATCCACCCGCCTCGGCCTCCCAAAGTGCTGGGATTATAGACATGAGCCATGGCTCCCAGCCAGTTTTATCTTTTAAATGTCAATATTGTAGTACACTGAAAATTATATTCTTTGAAACTATTTCAACTTTGATGAAAATTTTCTGTTTTGTTTTATTTTTGAGACTTGCTCTGTCACCCAGGCTGCAGTGCAGTGGTGCGATCTCAGCTCACTGCAACCTCCGCCTCCCAGGTTCAAGCAATTCTCCTGTCTCAACCACCCAAGTAGCTGGGATTACAGGCATGTGTCACCATGCCTGGCTAATATTTGTATTTTTTTAATAGAGACAGGGTTTCACCATGTTGCCCAGGCTGGCCTCGAACTCCTGACGTCAAGTGATCTGCCTACCTTGGCCTCCCAAAGTGCTGGGATTACAGGTGTTAGCCACCATGCCTGGCCTGATGAAAAATTTCATCTGTTGACTTAAAAATGTCTGAGCGATACATATAGTTTTTAAAATAGGGAGTGGGGAAATCACTGCTGTGTCCGGAATTGGTGGGTTCTTGGTCTTACTGACTTCAAGAATGAAGCCGTGGACCTTCGCAGTGAGTGTCACATCTCTTAAGGTGGCGCGTCTGGAGTTTGTTCCTTCTGATGTTCAGATGTGTTCAGAGTTTCTTCCTTCTGGTGGGTTCATGGTCTCGCTGGCTCAGGAGTGAAGTTGCAGACGTTCGCAGTGAGTGTTACAGCTCTTAAGGTGGCGCTTCTGGAGTTGTTCATTCTTCCCGGTGGGCTCATGGTCTCGCTGGCTTCAGGAGTGAAGCTGCAGACCTTCGCGGTGAGTGTTACAGCTCATAAAAGCAGTGTGGACCTAAAGAGTGAGCAGTAGCAAGACTTATTGCAAAGAGCGAAAGAACAAAGCTTCCCCAGTGTGGAAGGGGACCCGAGCGGGTTGCCACTGCTGGCTCGGGCAGCCTGCTTTTATTCTCTTATCTGGCCCCACCCATGTCCTGCTGATTGGTAGAGCCGAGTGGTCTGTTTTGACAGGGCGCTGATTGGTGCGTTTACAATCCCTGAGCTAGATACAAAGGTCCTCCACCTCCCCACCAGATTAGCTAGATACAGAGTGTGGACACAAAGGTTCTCCAAGGCCCCACCAGAGTAGCTAGATACAGAGTGTCGATTGGTGCATTCACAAACCCTGAGCTAGACACAGGGTGCTGATTGGTGTGCTTACAAACCTTGAGCTAGATACAGAGTGCCGATTGGTGTATTTACAATCCCTGAGCTAGACATAAAGGTTCTCCACATCCCCACCACAGCAGCTAGATACAGAGTGTCGATTGGTGCACTCACAAACCTTGAGCTAAACACAGGGTGCTGATTGGTGTATTTACCATCCCTGAGCTAGACATAAAGGTTCTCCACATCCCCACCAGACTCAGGAGCCCAGCTGGCTTCACCCAGTGGATACCACACCGGGGCTGCAGGTGGAGCTGCCTGCCAGTCCTGCGCTGTGCGCCCACACTCCTCAGCCCTTGGGTGGTCGATGGGACTGGGCGCAGTGGAACAGGGGGCGGCGCTCATCAGGGAGGCTCCAGACGCACAGGAGCCCACGGAGTGGGGGGGAGGCTCAGGCATGGCGGGCTGCAGGTCCCGAGCCCTGCCCCGCGGGAAGGCAGCTAAGGCCCAGTGAGAAATTGAGCTCAGCGCCGGTGGGCTGGCACTGCTGGGGGACCCAGTACACCCTCTGCAGCCGCTGGCCCGGGTGCTAAGCCCCTCATTGCTCGGCAACGGCAGGGCCGGCTGCTCCGAGTGCGGGCCGCCAAGACCACGCCCATCTGGAACTCCAGCTGGCTCGCAAGCGCCGCGCGCAGCCCCGGTTCCCGCTCGCGCCTCTCCCTCCACACCTCCCTGCAAGCCGAGGGAGCTGTCTCCGGCCTTGGCCAGCCCAGAAACGGGCTCCCACACTGCAGCGGTGGGCTGAAGGGCTTCTCAAGTGCCGCCAAAGTGGGAGCCCAGGCAGAGGAGTCACCGAGAGCGAGCGAGGGCTGTGAGGACTGCCAGCACGCTGTCACCTCTCACTGCCTTAGAAGACAGGATCATGAATGTGGCTTCCATAGTTCAAGACCATCCTAATGATGGACTGGAACTTGTTTCCTTCTCATGGAGCAAATTGAGGCCTATGTGGGCATCTCAGCCCTCACTCAGTCTATTGCTCTGCAACTTAGATGGTAGCTGATAGAGACATAGGGCCCTAATGGGACATTGTTAAAACACAGTCTCCTAAATGTCAGGCCTCAGTTATATAGATCAGAAAAATTTTCCCTGTACTGGCACTACTGATTAGCCAGCTAGGGGAGAAAAAGAACAGCAGTCTCGCTCCAGGAGGCAGAAGGCTGGCCTTTATCCTGATGTACCTGTAGGATGGATGGGAGCCTGCACCATGCTCTGGCTTCACGGATTGGGTTGTACCACTCAAGTGGACATTTAAGCCTGCTTAGAAACCTTGATGCATGTTATAGTTTGAAATATGTCCTCCTCAAAAATATATACCAGAGTCCTGGCCTGGCATGGGTGGCTTACGCCTGTAATCCCAGCACTTTGGGAGGCCGAGGTAGGTAGATCACCTGAGGTCAGTAGTTCGAGACCAGCCTGGTCAACATGGCAAAACCTCGTCTCCACTAAAAATACAAAAATTAGCTGGGTGTGGTGGTGGGCGCCTGTAATCCCAGCTGCTCAGGAGGCTGAGGCAGGAGAATCGCTTGAAACTGGGAGGTAGAAGTTGCAGTGAGCCGAGATCGCGCCATTGTACTCCATCCAGCCTAGGCAACAAGAATGAAACTCTGTTTCAAAAAACTATAGATATAGATATAGTTATATAGATATATAGATTGAAGTCCTAACCTCCGAAAGTTCCCTTATTTGGAGATAGGGTCTTACAGAGGTAATCAAGTTAAAATGAGGACATCAGATGGACCCTAATCCAGTGTGACTAGTGTCCTTATAAAAAGGGAACACTGGATGCAGAGACAGACATGCATAGAAGGAAGATGATGTAAAGAGACACAGGGAGGAGACAGTCATCTACAGGCCAAGGAGAAAGGCCTGGAACAGAGCCCCTTACAGCCTTCAAGAGGAACCGACCCTGCTGATGCAGACTTCCAGCCTCCAGAACTGTGAGACAATGAATTTCTGTTGTTTAAACCACCCAGTGTGCCATACTTCGTCATGGCAGTCCTAGCAAACTGATAGAGTGCACTCAAAAGCACAGATTCTTTTCATGGACTTTCCAAAGCCCAGGGACTTCTGTTTCTTCTAGCTGTGTTTTGAAATTGCGACATGGCATGGGTCATCAGGATACGAGTTGTTATCTCCTTCCCGTAAGAGCAATTAAGGTCAAAGACTGAAGCCAGAGCTCTTGGGTTTAAGTCCCATTAGCTGTGTGACCTCTGGCCCTAATGGTGTCTCTTGTAAAATAGAATAATAATACCTGCTTCTTAGATTACTTGGAGGACCAAGTGAATTAATAACATGTAAAACTCTTGGTGCTCGGCACATAATAAGTGCTCGACAATGAAACGTTCATTGCCATTGTTGGGGGGCCAGAAAGCAACCACTGCCTGAGAGCACCCCAGACCCATGAATCACACAGCAAGAAAGAAAGCCCGCATGGTCCCCTGGAATTCTAGAAGTTTTATTTGTGAAATTACCTTACAAATGTTAGAGAGGTTTAAAAAAAATCTCTGCTTGTCTTTTCTCTTGTTTTATCCTGTCTTATTCTTGGAAAAGTTAATATTTGAGAATAGCTAGCATGTCCTATTAATCCCTTTTTTAGAAAAGGACCCGCTCCGACACCAGTTGGCAGTTAGGTTTCATCAGTCACTCGAGATTATGGATTAACTCACTGATCTTTTTACCCTTTGAGCTAATTAGCCTCTGGACAAATACCGCTAGTCACAGAGGCCAAGCACAGCTGACCAAACACATTTCAAAGAGTAAATTTAGTGAGTAAATAACGCCAGGCTTAGATCTCTTGGTAATACTGCTTTTCTGAATCAGTGGAATCTGGATGATCTTTCCTTCCCAGGGAGAGATGGAAGTGTAATGTTTACAACCCTTCAAACCAACAGAAAAAAATGTAACGAATTAAGTCAGCTACTTCCTCCCTTGACTCCTCCTGTTCCCCCATTTAAAATGATTTCTTTTCTTATGTCTTCAAATAACAAGCTCAGTTTGACTTTAAATGACTTAAGTGTATCCTTTGGGATGGTTGTTTAATAGACCTCTTTCAAAGGGAGGCTTCCCTGTATGCCCAGCTGAAACATAATTTTTCTCAATTTAATTTAATTATCACCACCTGCCAAAACTTTCTCTCGCCTCCACAAAGCACCTTGAACAGTTCATGCCTCACCTTGGTGGTAAGGCCTGTTAAGTACTTGTAGATAATTATCCTCTTAATGTTTGGTGAAACTCAGTGTTTCTAGACCTTTCGTTCTTTGCTAAAGAAGACTTCTCCAGGTAGTCCTTTCCAAGCTCCCTTCAAGTTGTAATGATTCATACACACAACTTCACCAGTGAGGCCTCCATACCTGGGTTTCCACAGTTGCAGGGAGAACATCTCCCAAGGGTGGGCCCATCTCCTTGGCAATGGCAGTGAGGATGGTGTGTCATTCTGATGTCCAGCTCTGTCAGGTACCAGGTAGCTGGAATGGCAAGGCTCCTGGCCTCTCCCCTCATGTCTCCCTCATGTGAGCAGCCTTATCCTGTGCGTCGATGTTCTTCTGAATGCCATGTTTTTTCCTAATCCCACTCTGGAGAATCAGGAGTTTCAGACTGAGTGGCCAGCTCTGACATTGCACAACCACATACCTAAGTAACTCAGGTTTTGTGTTTTGTTCTTGCATTGAGGAAAAGAGAAGACAGGAAGCTATTGTGCTCTTATTTCAGAAGAGTGGTAAAAGTGTGGTCATTTTGTCACTTGTCACCAGTATTCAGTGATTCAACAAAACCTTTATCAAGTGTATACTACATGCCTAGTAATGTGCCAGGGACATGGAAGGAATTCAAAAAGAATACAATCCAGCTTTTGCTCTCAGGGATCTTAGAAAACAGTGAAAAGCTTATAAGATTGTAAGCAACATTAGCTAGTTAACCACAGAGTGGGAAGCCTCCAGTGGACTAAGTTGCAGTCCACTGTTTTGTGGCTACCACATTTAGAAAAAGCACACTCCACACTGGCATGGTTTTCCCAACCAGGTTATCATGTCTGCTGCTCAGCTGCATCTGGATAAATTGTGTAATATGATTTTATTGTATAGAATGCCGTGCATGTGTGTGTATTGGACAGAGGAAGATTACCAAGAAATAATTCATGGAACAAAGAAGGTATTAGGACAGCATTCAGCATATGATCCTTGGTGTGCGTGTGTGTGTGTGTGTGTGTGTGTGTGTGTGTGTGTGTGTTAAGTGTATGAATGTATTTGTGTGTGTGTTTGTGTGTGTGTTTACATATATAAGGAGAGCCTGAAAAATGAATACAATGCTATCAAGAGTGGATAATGATGGAGAATGAGACTGGAGAATCCAGAAGAAGAGTTTTATTTTTAGTATAGTATTCTTTAGTACATATTTTTACTATCGGTATAGTTTGACTTTTATAATAATTTTATTTAACCATCAAAGTAAATTCTTGAAAAATAGAAATCTTGTTAAAATATTAATAAAAATAAAACCCCTTACAATAATATGAACAACAGGGAAGCGACTAAAGGGGTTCATAAAGGGAATGTTTTACTCTTGACTTTAATTATTAAAGAAATATGATTTATTTAGAGTTTGTTTTGGAAATATTTAAAGCAGTGATTTTCATCCTTTACTAGATGTAGCCACCTTTTGAGTCTTTTAAAAATTAAGACCCAGCCCCAGGATCATCCCAGACTTTCTAAGCCAGAATTTCAAGTGAGGCTTAAGCAAGTGTGTTTTTAAACAGCACACACACCTCCTACCCCACACCCCCACCACATACTACACACATATACCACCACCAGCAGCTTCCTCAATCAATTCTGATGTGCACCAACTTAAGGCATAAAACTAGGGAAGTGATGCAAGTGGGGGGAAGCAATTGTGGCTGTAAACATACTGAGTTAAACTTCCTGTGAAATGACACAGATCTTAAATTGGGTTGAAAAACAATATACAATATCATGAATATTGAATTCACCACATATCATTATCACCCAAATATGAGAAAAAGCTAGAAATGCAAGAAGAAATGAATAAAAATATAGCTGGACTGACATTCATTACACTATTACTCTAGTATGTTAAAATATAATCTATAGAATACTTCAATAATATAATTAATGTGTCAACTAATAGGTACATATTGAATTGATACCTTTAAATATAGCTGTGATGGCATGTCTTTACATGGTAACTGTATTATGTTAAAATATAATATATAGAATACTTTAATAATATAATTAACATGTCAACTACTAGGTAGGTACATACTGAATTGATACCCTCCACTGAGAGTATGCCTTATTTTTCAGTATCCATGCAACTTTTTCAAAAATGCATCACTTACATGGCTAAAGATCCTCAATAAATTCTCAAAGGCTTTTAAATAACCACTGAACCAAAGAGGAAATCTAAACTACTACTAAAGATTACAAAAATGATGACAGTGAGAACATCACATGCCAAAACTTATGGGATATAGCCAAAGCTGCCCTCAAATAGTATATTTGTAGCCCCAAAATTATTTTTTTTAATTATTTATATAGAAAGAATGAAAACAAGTGAACTCAGGATATAACTCATTTTAGAAAATAACAACAAAAGCACCCAAAGAATACAAAAGGAAAGATAATGCAAGGCAATAAACTAGAAAATAAAAGAAATAATAGAATCAATAAATGAATCTAAGAACTATTTCTGTTAAGGCAATTATTTAATAGAAATAATTGACAATTGACATTGACAATCTATCAAATAAAATGTAGAGAAAATGTAAGAATTAACAAAATTTAATTGAAAATGACATAGAGACATAGAGCTGATTAAAATATTATTAATGAATTTAATGGGTGGCAATATGCCAGTGTGCTTTACAAAGCTCAATTAGTACACCCAGACACGCATGCCTGCACAAACAAAATAACTATGGGCTATCTGTGAATAATATATTTGGGATAAAATATATACATTGCTCATAAAGCAAAGTGTCATACTTTGCCAGTTGAAGTATAGATTAGTACAGTCTTTCTGAAAATGGCAATATATATTAAGAACTTAAAATTTTCTGTGATATTTATCCTTCTATTCCAAGTCAAAGACTTTATCCTAAGAAAATCAGAAGTGCAGAATAAATATTCTTTGATATTTTAAGAGAGACTTTAGGAAGACTCATGTCATTGGAGTGAGCTGATGATATTAATGGTTGTGGGGAGAAATAAAACCAATAGAATGATTTCATCTAGAAAAAAAAGCATGGAATTATAAACTTAAAAATAATTCTGGAAGACTCTGCACCACAATGTTAACACTCATTATTGCAGTGTAAGGATTACAAGTGATTTTTAACTTCTTCCTTTTATTTTTATATTTCTTTCTAATATTACTCAATTGGAAGGTAATATTTCTATAATTAGATAATAAACTTACTAAAACAAAAATTTAATATAAACATAATGGAAGGGTTATAATAACAGGCAAAGCACATACAAAAATCATGCCTGCATAATATATTGAGACTGAGGATGCCACCAAATCCTGATGTTCCCTGGTTAGTTTGTTTACTTTCCATTTCCCTGAAAGGGGCATGAATGAGAGGTGGAGGGAGAAGATATTAGCTAGGTTGCATTCTCTTTCCAAAGCCTGAATTCTTTTTTATTTCGTGTTTCCATCACTGGGTCTTTTATCATTAATCTCTAAGATGTCAGCTGTTCATCACCAGGTGCCTGAATCCCTACCAGAAACTCCTATTGGTGTTACCTATCCAGGGACACGGATTTCTCTTGCTCTTTCCTTTCTCTGTCCTTTCTCTCCCTGAATCTGAGCTGCTTTCTGGAAGTGGTCAGCAGCACCCTCCCTTTGCCAGAAGTGCAAAGTTTGGCCAACACTCCCCCTAGTGGCAATTTAACAGACTCCTGAACTGACCAACCCAAAAGCCAAGGACGAGCACTGATGCCACGCTGGGTTAGCTGGGGCACTTGTTAATTAAAGACATATCACTGGGCCCTACCTCAGGAGTGTGGCCCAGAAATAGGTATTCTTTTTTAACAAGCATCTCAAGCATGGGTTTTTGTCCCATTTGTACCCTTCCTTTGTCATTTTTATGGAATACATAGTGATTGGGATTCAGTTTTTTATAGAAACTTGATTCCAATTTTTAGTACTGAATGTGAAAAAAAACATTCAAGCTTCAAATCGATTGGCCTAGAGCATGTATTTCTTATATTTTAGAGAAGAGGCAATAGGATAAGAGAGAAGCTCTTGTAAACTAAATATACATTTCTAAAAAGAATAGAGACCAGAGGCGTTTGTTATAATGTCCTCCAGTGAACACTTGTGAAAAGACTAGCTGCTACTTTATTCTACCTGCAGCTATGTCAGTGTATAAATTACAACCAAGCACGTTATACCTTGGCACTGTTGCTTTCTTATTCTCCATGTCTATTTCTAAACATCCCCTATACGTGAAATTTGTTCTCCAGTGGCCAGCGAGCCAGCCTCTTTGGAGCAGCCTGCTGATTTAATCAACATGCTGCTTATCATGTTTTCCAGATGGTTAATGCATCTCTTAAATAAAACTGGCCCTAATTTGAACTGGTGTTTCTATTCTGGTCCTTTCTGAAGAACAATTTGTCTTATGGTCAAAGTTTCTTTTTCATTATTTCTCTGTAGGCTCTGGTGATGTCTTTTTACCACTTCTTTGTTTAAAACTGCCAAGTGGCACATTCATTCAATTCATTGATGCTAATCATACATGGAGGAAAAAGAAGACAGTTCATATTAATATCAACACATTCCTCAAATCATTTATCACTTACACGTAAAGTTGTAGAGAACAGATTTGTCAGAATTATTGATTGAGAAAGGAAAGAGCCCTTTGTTGTGGAACCGTAGATTGGTGTTTTCTCTTCATTGCTGCTTCTGCTTCGAGAAGGAGTATAACCTTGTCACGTGAAACAGCATTATTTGGGGAGCAGTAGATACAGGCCAAGTTTTTAGGAGTCTCAGTTAAAAACCCGTGGTCTTAATATTCAGTGTTACACAAAGGATTCCAAATATAAATAACCTTCACGCTGACCCATAGATTCAGGTCTGATTCCCATTTCACAAATGGGAATACGGCCAAGGTATACAGTTAGGTCATATAAAAGTGACATTAAACTCATATTGGCAGAATTCCATTGTGGTGTGACTTCTGCAATAATGAATGGCTGAAAGTAGGCAAGATAATGTAAGACTTGAATGGGGTTGCATTCTGAAAGGAAGGCAGCCAGAGGTCCTCAGAATTAAATGGAGGACCTGCAGTAAAAATATGGCTCTATTACACCAAGCATTTTCCTCTTTTCCTTTCCATTGCCTGTCTGAGATGATTTGGCAGAGTTTAAAAATAAATGAAGTATATTCATTTTTCCTTCAGAGTTTTTCTTTGAAGGCATTTGGTAAGGGGACAAAATGAAATATGAACACAGGCAGGATGGGGGATCAAGACATCAAAATGTTAGCATTATATCCAACATATATATCCTTATGTGAGGAGGTATGCTTGCTTCCAATTAAGATGACATCATACAGGCGGATGTGATGCTTCCAAGCAGTGTTAATGATCTGCTAGGTAATGCAGAGGAAATGATGTGTTTGGAATGGGTTTTTTTTTCCCATTTGTACCTTTCCACTTCTTTATGGACTGCAACATGTAATGATTGGGATTAGGTTTTTTATAGAAACTTGATTTCAATTTTCAGTACTGATTAGAGACAGGATTCTTTTGCAGGCATATCAGTTATGTTGATCATTGCTTTTCACATTTTATTGTAGCTGCCAAATCCTTATTATAAACAGAGTAGAACCCTACATATAAAACCCACAAAAGGGCAACTCTGAGGGAAACCAGGTTGAGCATCTCGGCAATTCCCCTTACTGAGCCATTTTCTCCAGTGCCTCCCTCTCTTCTCCCATAGCTGAGTCCGAAAACAATCTTCTGGGAGAAAGGATAAGGTTTCTTCTGTATAACCTAGGGGAAAAGTGCCTTTAATTATTCATTCATTCTCTGCTGGAACAAATATTTATTCGGTGCCTATGATAAGCCAGGCCCTCCCTCTTCTAGACACTGGGCTGCAGTAGTGAGGAGGAAAGACAAGGGGACTGTCCTCAGGGAGGCAGCGGGGGAGGCAGCCAGGCCACCCCAGCCATGATGCCATGAATACATTAAGAATGGGGAGAAACGGATCTTAGGGAGAGAACTCATGGGGAAAGGATGGTTGGGTAAGGCCTGTGGAAGAAACCAGGATGCTGAGGAAGAGTGGCCACATCAAGTGCTTGGGAAAAAGTGTTTCAGGCCAGGAAAGCTCCTGAAATCCCAGAGACAGAGGTATTCAAGGAATGGGAAGATGGCCAGAGCCCATCCTGGATGGGGGATGCGGGGGGTGATAGTGGCCAAGAGGTCAGAGGGAAGCAAGGCCAGTTGGAGAACTTGTACTAGGCTGTGATGGAAACTCAGTATTTTTCATTTTAAGTTTGCTTTTAACCTTGGTTTAATTGTTTATTATTAAACATCTTATGACTAAGCTGTTTATATTTGTATTCCTTCGACTTCCAAAATGGCTTTGTGGTAACTCACGTATGCGTTGTGTATGCGCAGGTTCATTTGGTTCATAAAAGCTCTAGACCATGTGGAGGAGGAAGGAAGTAGGTTAACTGTAGGGTATTGTAGTGGGATTGAGAATTTTAAAAGCCAGAGTAGAAAAAACAAAAAAAGAAAAGAATGCCTTACATAATTCTAATTAGTTAAAAAAAGGAAGGCCCTTCATTCTTAAGGAAAGAAACATCTACTACTAAATTCTAAACCTAATGTACAGACTTAAGTTTCCAAATTACAATGGTTCCACTTAAGATTTTCAACTTTATGATGATGTGAGAGCGACACACATTCAGTGGAAACCATACTTTGAGTACTCATACAACCATTCTGGTTTTTACTTTCAGTATAGTATTTAATAAATTACATGAAATACTTAACCCTTTATTATAAAATATACTTTACGTTAGATGATTTTGCTTACCTGTAGGCTAATGTAGGTGTTCTGAGCATGTTTAAGGTAGGCTATGCTAAGCTATGATGTTCAGCATTACGTGAATTTTCAACTTAAAATATTTTCCACTTACGATGGGATTATTGGGACATAATCTCATTATAAGTCAAGGAATATTTGTATTTCACTGAGTCATATACAATAATTCATCAACAATTCTCTTTATGAATATTAAATGCCAAATATACAAAAACTATTGGCACTCTAGGGAGTGCAAGCCTTAATCAGACATAAATTCTGCCTTCCTGGATCTTTCAATTTAATAGGATATATAAAGAACCTACACAAATAACTGTACTACAAGACAGCAGATACAAATATTAGTTTTCATGGGATCTAAAGGTAGGTTATCTAATTGCTTTCTGTCAATTTCAGATATCACATTAAAGCATGACTCTGGGACAGTTCCAGGTGAGGGGAAAGAGTTAAAGTAACCAGTCAGGTTTATAGCTTTTCTGTAATCAAGGACTTAACACACAGTACCCAGGGGCAGGGCAGAAGGGCAGGTTATTTAAGATGTCCTTCAAAGTTGACTCTCTCAGGAGTCTGGGACACAGGTGTTCTGCATAACTAACTGAAGACACATTGGGTATAGACATATAGGTGACAAATCAACACTGTTACGAAATTTCAGTGGTGCTTTTTGTTCCTATTAAGACATATGTTTTATATAGAACTAATTCAATCTTACAGGTGAAAATCAGAGAAACTAGGCATCCTAAAAGGAAAAATGCCTCTAATCCATCCACCCGAAGAAAAACTGCAGGTATTTTGGTATTTATCTCTTAGACATTTTTCTGTGTTTGTGTGAGGGGAGTATCACACTATCCCAACTTTTCTGTGGTCCCTTTTCCTCACTTCTTTTCACATCAAGACATGCAGTTCAAAGATGCCTTTATTTATTTATTTTTTTATTTATTTATTTATTTATTTATTTGAGATGGAGTCTTGCACTGTCACCAGGCTGGAGTGCAGTGGCGCAATCTCGGCTCACTGCAACCTCTTCCTCCCAGGTTCAAGTGATTCTCCTGCCTCAGTCTCCTGAATAGCTAGGAGTACAGGCGCACGGCACCACGCCCAGCTAATTTTTGTATTTTTAGTAGAGACAGGGTTTCACTGTGTTGGCCAGGATGGTCTCGATGACCTCGTGATCTGCCCACCTCGGCCTCCCAAAGTGCTGGGATTACAGGCGTGAGCCACCACGCCCAGCTCAAAGATGCCATTACTAATTACTACATGACACTCAAGTGTAACTCTATCAGGATTTATTTAACCAGTCTTCTAGAGTTGACACATAGGTTGTTCTCAGTTGTACGCTATTAGAAATAATACTGCGTGAACATTCTTTAAAATACATCTTTTCTCACTTTTCCAATTTTCTCACTTTTCCAATTTTCCGTAATACTTTTCCAATTTTCTTTAATACTTTTCTAATAGTGGGGAGAACAGTGATTTGTGATTCTATGTCTCACTGAGTCACACACATACCCAAAGCTTTTATTTAAGATCTTTGTTTATTGATGCTAACTGCAGACAATGCTAAGCTTTCCTTTTTGCAGAAGGAAGGAGGACTTCAAAGCACCTAAGGAGCTCATGAATTTTAGATTTCCTTTGTTGTGCTTTTCTTCCCACCCCCACCCCACCCCCGTTAATTCCCTTAGATGCATAACTCAAGCCAGAGCTTGGAAGGAGCTTTCACCTCCTTCTGTTTACTCAACACCTACCACATCCAATTAGTCACCAAACTCTACATTCTTCCTCCTGAAAAATGCCCTGACTCTCATGCTTACCTTCTTCCCACATCATTCATCTTTCCCTGGTATTTTTCTGTAGTGACCCAGGGTCACTACAGGAACTTCTTCAGTGCTCTCCGCTTCTTGGGTTTGGCTCCCACGCTAACCCATCTTCCATACTTCATTTTCATGTCAATCTCATGATGCATTCCCCTGCCTCAAAGTTTTTAATCGGTCCAAATTGTTTTCTAGATACACTTCAAACTCCTCAGCTGGACATACTGGCCTTTGTTTCTGGATCAAGTCACCTAGGCTGAGGCCTGAGAATCAGTATTCTTTAAACTTCCCCTGTGATTTCAGTTCAAGCAGCTTGGCTCTTCAGGGGCCCCCAAAATGGGCACTGTGGAAATACTGGTCTGCTTGGAACCAACACTAGGTCACCAGGCCAGTTAGAGCTGGAAACTTCCCTAAGCTACAGCCAAAAATTTTCTAGTACAGTGTGGTTATTTTAGGAATAATTTAAAGAGCATTTCACCAAAGAGCAGCATTTTTGCAAGTATAGATTAAAAGATCATTTCCATTTAGGAAGCCTAATTTAATTAAGTCACACAATTTTTGAGGTATGAAGGCTTTTCTTGCTGAGTCAGGATTTTTTGCTTCTCTGCTAATGCAAAGCAGGTAGTTGAAACTGAAGATTTGCTCTGGGACAATACTATTTACATGCCTGGCCACATTAAAGGTCAGGGTAGAAAGTACTGTTCTGTGGGACAGAGGGGCAAGAGGGTATTTTGTTTCAATCTTATTAGAGCACTATGTTAAACTGTTTTTTTCAAGTAGAATGTTTAAATTTTAGGTTCTTTATGAAAAAATGCTTAAAAGCTATTTAATGATTTGTGTTTCTTATAGGCAAGGTATTCATAAATATCAAACCATTAAGAAAAAGAAAAAGATTTTTGAGCAGTTAGATGTTTCCATTCAATTAATGGTGAGGTTTTCAGAAAAAGTACTTTTGTGAAACTGAAAAGGATATTGCAATAATAGCATTTTATTTTCTATTTTATCTTTCACTCATCTTAAAGTAGTTTGATGGATTAAAACTCTGTAATTTTCATACCATGTAATGTGAGCTCCTAGTATGGCTACTAATATTGTTAATATCACTTCTGAAAAATAGAGAGATTAGCTTTTAAAACAGCTTTGGTTGCTTTTCTTTCTCTTTTTTCCTCTAGTTTGTAATTACCACAAAGACTGTCTCTGTCTTATTCATACTGTGTCCCCGTGCGTGGGTGATGGCAGGCCCAGGGTACACATCTTCTGAGCTAATGCCTGCATGATGAAGAATGGAATTTTGTATAACAGGCCTCTCTGAGAAGGTATATGGGAAGGAGAAATTTGATCCTTGACCTAGAGGAAGCTTATAGTAGTGGAAAATACTTTTTCCTAGCCTGTCTGAGTTTTCAAAGTATTGTGCTATTGATATGGCATCAATGACTGGAGGAACTGCAGGGTGCTTGGTCTTGCGCCAGTTTAGATAAAACTACACAGACACACGTGGGATGGTTTTAAGGAGCCGAGAGTTTGTTAGGCAAGAAAGAAGGAAGAAGAAAATAGCTCCCCCGTACAGAGACAGAGGGAAGGGGGATTTGAACAAAGAGAAACCCCAAGTGCGGCAGAAAAGTGGTTGCTTATGTTGGGATGCTGGAGGAGGCGGTGTCTGGTTTGCATAGGGCCCAGTGGATTGGTTTGGTTTGACTAGGTGTGTCATTTACGTAACACTGATCTTCATCAAAGTCTTATCTAATTCAAGGGATCTCCAAGCTGCCTTTTTACAGTACTATTTTCAGTTTGTTGAATGGTTATTTCTTAAAATATAAGATGTAAGTATTAACAGTATAGATAGATGGGTGGATAATGTTGTCTGGTCATAGAAGTGTCATAGAAAAAAAATAAAGAAGGTTTAAGGGGTGAGTGAGTGGGGGGGATGGGGGGCTGCTTCTTCAGTCATGCTTGCTGAAGGTTGTTTCTCCAAGGAGGTAACCCTTGAGCTGTGAAGAGAGAGCTACAGAACTACAGCTGGGGGAAGAGCATTTCAGAAACAGAGAACAGGCTTTAAAGGGCTTGAGGTGGACAGCAAGCTTGGTGTGTTTATTTAAAAAGCAAGGCAAAAAATAAAATAAAATAAAATTTTAAGAAGCCAGTTGGTCATTGTGCCTGGAGGGCAGTGAACAAGGAGAGGCCTGTGAGTGGTCTCAGAGAGCTAGTCTTAGAGCAAAGGGAATTTCCTCTCCGCCCTCTGAAGTTTCCATAACTGAGTCTGCTGTCATCAACTGACAGTAGACCAATTAACTGGAGAAAAGGCAAATAAAGTTATTACCTGTGTGGGGGCACACAGTACTCACAGGAAAGTGAGTACCCAATAACTCAATGAGATTTAGAAATGCATGTACCCTTCTTCATTTGAAAGAGGGAACTGGGGGCTGTAGGCACATTTAGAGGAAAAGTAAATGGTTTTTAGGGGAGACCAATGGACAGGAGGAACAGACAATAGACTGAGACAAAGTTCCTGTAGGCCGGGTGTGAATGTCAACTCTGGTCTTTCCTGGGAGTTAATCTTCCTTGTTTGATGAGATTATATGCTTTGGGAGGCCAAGGTGGACAGATCATTTGAGGTCAGGAGTTCAAGACCAGCCTGGCCAAAATGGTGAAACCCTATCTCTACTGAAAATGCAAAAATTAGGCAGGCATGGTCACACGTGCCTGTAATCCCAGCTACTCGGGAGGCTGAGGCAGGAGAATCACTTGAACCTGGGAGGCAGAGGTTGCAGTGAGCCGAGATCACGCCACTGCACTCCAGCCTGGGTGACAGAGTGAGTGAGACTCCGTCTCAAAAAATAAAAAATTAGAGAAACTTTTTGAAAAGAGATTATAGAGAGGGAGCTCAAGACAATTGCATTGCTTCTGGAGGAAATTCCCTCAGTCAGACAAGGGAACTTCAGGGAAAGCCCCTCCCCTCACTTAGGAAGAGGCAGAGGGGTGAGAAATGGAGACAGGAGAGGGCAAAAGAGACCTGGTTTCTGAGGCTGCTTCTTTAGTTCAAAGTACGCAGATGTCAAAGAGCCATACTTTGGGGTATTATTTTATGAGCCTCAACATTAGCCAGGGGCCAGATTTTTCAGGGGCTTGAAAACTGTGGTCAGGACTTTGGCTTTTATTTTGAGTGAGGCAGGGAACCACTGGAGAGTTTTGAGCACCGGAGTGACATGATCTGCCAGATTTTAAAAGACCACTGAGACTGTAGGGGAATGAGGGGACATGAGGCAGATGAGGAGGCCCCTGCTGCAGATCTGGCAAGGGCAGATGTGGCGTAGACTAAGGTGGAGGGGTTAGAGATGACAAGGAGTGGGCATGCTCTGAATTTATTTGAAAGGTAGAGCTGACAGGATGCACTAACTGGATATGACAGATGGGCAGTGTGGTGGGAGAGACTGATGAAGTCAAGTATGACTTTAGGTTTTGATGGCACCACTCATAGAGATGGGGAACGTAGATTCAGGCAAGCAAGTGGAAGAAAGAGTTGAGCTTGGAACTGTTGGCTGTGAGATGCCCGGATAGACACCCAAGTGCAGATATAGAGAAAGCAGTGGAATAGATGCATCTGAGTTCAAGGCAGAGGTTGGGACTAGAGACATAATTTGTAGTTGTTCACACATAATTGATACTAGATCAGATCACCTAGGGAGTGAGTGGAGACAGGGAAGGGGTCCAAGGGCCAAACTCAAGGCATTCCAATCTAGTCAAGAAGATGAAAAAAACCTAGCAAGGGAGACTGAGGAGGTGATGCTAGGAGGCAAGAAGTATGCAAACAACAAGTGTGGCGTTTTGTAGTGCCACGAGAAGAAATGCTCCTTAGGAAGAGGCCATTATCAGCTGTTTCAAGTTCTATTGTAAAATGAAGATGGCAAGTGATCAGATTTGACCTCATGGAGGTCACTGGTGTCCCCAGTGAGAGCAGATTCAGCTATGATTCACCGTCTGATTACAGAAGTTATCTTATGATTGCTTTTAGTTTCTTAGTGAAATGAGGATCTAAGTTATCTGATGAAAAATGAGGAGGGAGGGAAGGACTCTGGAGGTTTGTGAATAGAGGAGAAGCTGTACATAGTTGTCTGAGGAGTGAATCAGCTAGAAAAATACAGTCAGATTTCAAACAGAACTAAGAACTCTCTTGTTAGTTAAGGTCATAAATTTAAATGAGACCAGACAGCACCATTGTATGCTTTTCTCCAGCCTGTTCGGCTGTTCAGGTGGGTGGAGGAGGCAGAGAATAGGATTTAAGCTAGGTTGGTTTTGCTAAGCAAATATGATAGAGAGAAGAGGTACTGGGGATGTATTCATGAATACAAAAGGAGAGATTATAATTATAATGGAATAGAAGTTAGGTAATGAGGAAAGTGAAGCCATGAATGGGGTGATGGACAAGGAAAAGGTGGCAATGTTAAGAGTCACAGCAGGATCAGAGAACTTTTGGAATGTGTTGCAGGTTGCAACTGATTGGAGCCAGCATTGTGGGTGGTAAAATAATTTACAAAGACAGTAGTAAGTTAAAGAAAGCAATGGGCAGCACAGCAGAGAAGGAGCTGTCTGCAAAGAGACAGGATCTGGAGGGAAGTTTTACAGGGTGGTGCCGGAGGGGCTACCTACAGATAAGCTTGTGCTGCTGGGGCTACATGCAAAGCGAGGTATTTGGGAACAGGATGTTGTGTCAGCAGGTTGTTGGTGGTTAGCCTTCTCTCAGAACAATTGTTCTCTCCACACTTGGGGCATCTTCCTTGTTGTTTACTTATCTTGTCAGGACTCCACAGAATGGGCATACTAGAGAGAGTGAATTGGAAAGACACAAGATGGTGCTTGTAAACTTACGACTTCAGCAATGGTTCTGTATTTTCAATGACAAAGCTTAGGCTACAGTCACAGCAAAAGCTGCTTTAGGAGATTATAAAGGACAAGACCTTTGGGTTGAGGAGGGTTGTGGAACTGAGAAGCTAGGTATTGGGTAGATCATCTGTGAGGATATTGAAGTTACTAAGAATGATGATAAAGAGAGGGAAGGGTAAGAAAATCGTCAATGAATTGTGGCATGACCAGGTGGAGAGTAAGTGTCATAAAGAGGGATAGTGGATAGTATAATGTCAGGCACCTCAAAGGAACTGGGCAGGGAGTTAGGGAGTAAAAAGGGCGGTGGTCTGGAAGCAGAAAGGAGGAGCAGTGGTCCAGTAGGGGCTGCAGAGCTGCAAGGCTTTGCCTCAATCCTGTCAAAGGCAACTTCAAGCTTTCCAGGAGCCATACTCCTTCATTTGTTCATTACTTTCTAGATTAGGAAATCACCACTCAGCGACTGGGGTCTTTGCCTGAATGTATTTCAGAATTACTAAGTTGGTTGAATGCTTCCACAAATACTGTTTTCATGGAGAGCACTTCATATTTACATTGGAAAAGAGCTGGTGCCATCCTCTCCACAGAAACAAGGCTGACAGCCCTTAAATAGCTTTGGCTATCTCTTGGGGAGATCACAGTTTGTGGGAAATCGACAACATTACCATGGAACATAACTTGGAAATGATATTTTTCTTTGCTCGCCACTGAGCATTTTGGACTTGGGAAACAGGCTACCAGAAGAGTAGTTATTGGGAAAGGGCAATCAACACGTGCTTTCCTTGGCTCATGATTTCTTGCCATTTTTTCCGGCGTTGTAATCAAACCTGTAGGCTACTGATTATTTACTCATTAAGTTCCACTTTCTCACTCTTCCCATTTCAAAGTAGTCATTTAAAAAATTGCCCGATCGATGATTTTTATATAGGAACAACATATTTTTTATGAAAGTCTTTTTCACAACTGCTAAGAAGCTTTGTCACTATAAGCTGTCACAAGATGGCATCACTTGGTAGTCTTCAAGTCTAATTAGTTTTCTTGTACGCCTGGGTGCATTTTTGAGCTATAAAATAAAACTTGTTGAATAAAGTGACCTTTTTTTTATATGCAGTCTAGCCTATTTTGGAATTGTCCTTTACAAACATATAACATGATGATTGATCAGATGGCATTTGGGTCTGAAATTACTTCTTGGATGTAGAAGAGAACAAGGCCTTGTTTTGAAAGTTTCTGACTTAATTATTTTATTTCAAAAAAGACAAGAAGGCATATGCAGAATTTGAAGGGAATTATAGATTCTGCCCTGACCAAGAGAAGGATAAGAAAATCATCAATGGATTGTGGCATGACCAAAAGCAGAATAAATAACATAAGGAAGGCTGTAGTCCCATGGCAGGCACCTCAAAGGAACTGGGCAGGAGGTTAGCAAGTGGAAAGGATAGTGGTCTGGAAGCAGAAAGCAGAAGCAAGAAGTACACCTATTCAGCCTCCAAGAAATATATGTAGCCTTCAGGACACCCTAGACAAGAAAAGGCTCTCAGAAAGGGAACAGGTATTGAGATAAATAAATTTGAGGTGGACACCTACTTTGCATCACGACACTGTGTTAAGACCTAGAGATCTAAACATGAAAAAGGGATCTTCTAAAGCATCGAGTGGTCTAGCAGAGGAGAGAGACATGGAATCCAGTAGCCCTGTTGAGTTAGCATTATACTGAAAAAGAGAAGTGAGAACAGTTTATCCTCTTGGGTGAGTAGGGAGCTGGGATCCTACAAAGAACAAGAATGGAGATATCTGAACTGGACTTTGAAAGATATCAAGAATTTACCACCCATTTTGGATAGGAATGGGCTAGAGGGTGTCAGGGAAGGAATTTAAAGATGAGGCAACAGCCTGAATAAAGGATTAAGGTCACGAATAGGGTAGACTTTGGGACCCTGGGGAAGTAGCAAGGGACAGCAAGAAGTGATTTGGATCCTTACATATGGAAAAGACTCTGAGTTTCCTGGCACCCTACCTTTGACAGATTTAGGATGAATAAAAAGATGTACATGTGTTTCCAAGATGTTACAGAGAACACTCATATTTATTTGATACTTACATACTCCAAGATATTCAGAAATCAGATTATTGTACTGAAATAATGCAGAATTGGACCATTTTTCTATGACAAGTCTAAATAATTTATCTGGTGGATGTTTTCATAAAGGAAGGTTTTACACCTGTTCAGTGTGTGGTTTATCCAAATACCTTTACTTCGGAATTTGTGCTTGAAAATAGATTCTGTATCTTTTGGCGAATGGGAGCCAAGGGTTATAGTGGTGAGTATGAAGGGAGATGAGATAGGGTAGAAAAAGAAGCAGCTGTAGAGAAAATGTAGTGTAGAAGCAGATAGTATAGGAAAAAAAGATTTGAGCTGAGAGGAGGGTTTATTTCCTGGTGTGACCAGTTAGGAGCTACTCGACCTTAGACTAAAGTCCCTTGACCTCCTGGAGTCTGATGCCTTCCGCCATGTAGAGGGAGGTGATGAGCTATTCTGAGGCTCATAAGATACAACGTGTGAGGCATGAGAGAGCCCCTTTTGTGTGCCATAAAACTCTGTAGAAATGGGAGCTGATAGTCCTGATATCTTGGTATACTTTGAGAATTTAGCTTTGTTACAACTTCAGGGTCACGGGTTGTGGGATGAATGGCTCACTGAATGCTTCTCAAGCTTTTGGGATACAGGAACATGTCTCACCTGGTACGCTTGTAAAAACATCAAATATTGGGAACCATCTCCAGAATTCCTAATTTAATGTGATTAGGACAGAATTTAAGAATCTGCATTTTGAGCAGACATCTCATGAGTTGCGAAGACAGTGGACCGAGGAGACCATTTTCTTGTAGAAACTGTCCTAAAAGATCTTAAAAGTTATGTGCATCCAGTAAAATCAGGCCAGAAGTTGCCCAGCCTATTAATAAAACCTTGGACTCACCTTCTGAGAAAAAATGCAGGCACCCTTTGCTAGGCTTCTGAAGGTCCTCTTTGACAGGCACCCCAGCTGAGATTGGCCTTGTTCTCCTGCACCAAATAAAGGAGTTGCTAGCATTTTTGAACTCCTATGTTGTGCTTGTGGGGGAGGATCCAAGAACAGATTACCCTGCTTGCTGCTAGCAGAAACCCAAACCCACTGCAGTCTCCCATCACATTGACCATTCATTTGTCAGCAGTGCCCCTGGGTGGGAATCAGGCTGACAGCCTTCCAAAACCTCCCCTCCTGTCCCTGCTTCCCCCACACCCCTGCCTCAAGGGACATCTGTGATGCACTGGAAGGTGACCTAAACATTTGGCCAGAACCCTAATTCTGATACTTCTGGTTCTGTGACCCCCATTAATTCCCTTACTTTCCAAACCTCCAATTCCTCACCTGTGAATGAGGAAGGTGCACCTGGGCTGCAGCATTGCTGTGAAGATGAAGCAAGTGCTTGAGGCTCTGTGAGATCCTGCTGTGTGGGGTCTGCTGTCCAGATCATGAAGAACTCTTGCCCCTCAGGAACTTGTATGTAGATGCTCTTCTGAGCAACAACAGTGAATTTGGAAATCCTGCCTAGGAATCAGAGCAAGGGTCCAAGTTGTAGGCATGGAGTTGAAAGTAAAAACCAGCATTTTAATTTTTACTACAAGATAATTAGCTTCTGAATAAAGATAGTAATTTTGTATTGAAACATTTAATTCCCCTTCTTCCAAAGTTCCTACTGAAATGACTAATACACACACACACACACACACACACACACA
Source organism: Homo sapiens (assembly GCF_000001405.40). Taxonomy (NCBI): domain Eukaryota; kingdom Metazoa; phylum Chordata; class Mammalia; order Primates; family Hominidae; genus Homo; species Homo sapiens. Next base: position 36,953,867 of record NC_000007.14, on the reverse strand, counting down.
CACACACACACACACACACACACACACAAAACATACCCATACACTGTACCAGAACTGGAGCAGGGAAGAGTGAAATCTACTCATTCATTCAGCAACATGCAAAACACATACACCTTTAAGTTGCCAGATTCTCAATGGATTCATTTTATATGGCTAAGACTGTTACATGTTCAACAGTAGGGGAACAGCTAAATAAATAAAAAACCGAGTTGTCCTTAAAGATGATGGTGTATAAGCATCATTATTTACATATAAAAAGTATTGTTACACTAAGAAGATTAAAAAACAATATATACAATATTATATTACAACCATGCTTAGAAAAACCTTTAAAAGGATATGCACCAAAATTTTTGACAGTCATTTTCTGTAAATGATAGGGATAGTTCACCTTTTAAAATATTGCTTATCTATTCTGTCTAGTTTAATTACTTTGAATTTAACATACTTGCGTAATAAACACATATGTCTGACAGGTTGTAAAAATTGGGGCTTTTAGACTTCAGCTGCAGACCTAAAATATTTGCATAGCTAATTAGGGGCTCTTGTGTGATGTCCATCTTTATGTCAAGAGAGTAGTACGTTCAAGAGTAGTATGTCAAGAGAGGCACGGTGGCTCATACCTGTAATCCCAGCATTTTGGGAGACTGAGGTGGGTGGATCCACGATGTCAGGAGATCGATATCATCCTGGCTAACATGGTGAAACCCCATCTCTACTGAAAATACAAAAAAATTAGCCGGGCGTGGTGGCGGGTGCCTGTAGTCCCAGCTACTCGGGAGGCTGAGGCAGGAGAATGGCGTGAACCCGGGAGCTTGCCCTGAGCCGAGATCGCGCCACTGTACTTTAGCTGGGGCGACAGAGCGAGACTCCATCTCAAAAAAAAAAAAAAAAAAAAAAAAAGAGTAGTGACTTCCATTATTTGGCACATTGACCTCATTATATTGAAATGTCTTGAGAGTCTTTCACTCTCCAGTGGGTCACCTAAGAAATGCTTTGGGAATAACAAAGAGGTCTGTCTCCTCCAGGAGATGATACTGCTCTCTTCCTCCTCTGCTCTCTGTGTATTTTTTTTTCCTTCCCAGCTATTCACACACCAGTAGAATTTCTCTTATGTAAGTGGACCTCTCTTGAGACTCTGTGATGGAAAAGAATGTATTCAGTTTTTTCCCCCTTTTTTGAAAAAGCATCATTACAATTCCCGCTTCCCATCCATTCATTTTCATAACTGAGTCTAGAGTGATTTCTTTTTTCTTTGAACTTTACTTGAATGTATCCCGTCCCTTTCATAAGAGCCACTTTTACCTGGGAGCCTCAGAAGGTTAGAGTGATGATATGGAGGTGCTGCCTTATTAATCAAACGTTTGCTCTGTGCTGGGCATTAATCACTTAAAGCTGCACAGCTGGATAAGATTCATTAGTGTCTTCTTTCACTGTGCTCGTCTCCCCGCCCCGCTTGCTCTTGGAGGCATTTACTAAAATGCCACCAGTGCTTCCATCACCAGCTCCATCTCTCTCCCACCTCCCGTGGCCACGTGCTGTGTTTGGCCCCTGGGTACAGAGAAAGATCACTAAGAGGTTACCAAACAGAACATTAAAGGGCCTCTGATGGCTTCTTTGACTGATTCCTTTCAAATCTGCCTGGATCCTCTGGAAGCCTCTTCTCAGGATGCATGTTCCACACTGAGCCCAGTGGCTGCCCTCAGGAGTAGATGCAGGCCTCAGAGATGCTGAACACCTCCCTGGCATGGGTTTGCGTGGGATGCACCTGTTCATCAGTCATGCCCCCTCCGTCTGGGGACATCCTGCTGGTGCCCAGACCATCCTCCCTGCTTCCTGCTTCCTTGCCAGATCCTTCTCTAATCCACTTCCTGACTTCCACATAGAGGTCTTTGACTTCAGAGTCCCTTGCTTTGGCCTTTAAACCCCCCTTCATTTAATCATTCTTCAGTAAACATCTATTGAGTGCCTGCTGTATGCCAGGCTCTGCAGCAGTCACTGGGGACGTAATTCTGTGCCAGAGAAACATGGTTCTGACCTCATGGAAGTTTCTAGCAGAGAAGACATGTAAAAGCAAAACAGAAGAGTAAACAAAGCAACGTGGTCTCAAGCGTAAGAAGTGCTGTGAAGTCAACAAAAAGAAACAGAGACAGAATCTACTAGGAGTGGGCACCATATTTTGAATGGCGTGGCCAGAGAAGACTGTGGTCCTTGGACCAACACCAACAGCATTGCCTGAGAACCTGCTAGAAATGCAGATTCTCAGACCCTATCCCAGACCCACTTCAGTCTGATTCATCAGAGACTCCCCCAGCAGTCTGTGTTTAATGAGCCCTCCAGGTGGTTCCAGTGGCCACCCTAGATTGAGAACCACTGATTAAGGCTACGTGATGGGAAGGAGGTAGGTATGTGAAGTGTGGAGGAAAGCACCTTCCAGGCTGAGGGTCCAGATGAGCAAAAACAGGAGAGAGCTTGGCTTTTTTGAGGAACTGAAACCAAGACCATTTTGGCCGGAGCCAAGTGTTGGTGATGTGGGCAGGGATTAAATCAGATAGGCTCTTGCAGACCAAAGTGAAGGGATAGGATTTTAACCTAGTTAAGAAGCCCTTGAAGCATCTTAAGCAATGCCTTGCACTGATCTGGACTCCCTTTTAAGATGATCTCTATTGCTGAGTCCAGAATAGATTGGAGTGGCTTAAGAATGGAAGTGGGAGACCAGGAAGGAGGCTGATACACAGGTCCAAGCAGTAAATGGAGGTGGCCTGGACCAAGGTGGCAACAGTAGGAATAAGGTAAGAAGGTACTTGTGAGATATGTTTTAGAAATAAGCTCAAAAAGACTTGTGGACTGATTAGGTGTGGACAGGGGTAGTGGTGGAGAGGGGGAATCATGATTGACTTCCTGGTGTCTGGCTTCAGTAACTGGGTAGATGGATGGGTCATTTACTGCTCCAGAGAGGCAAGAAGCAGACACGCCCTCTCGGCCTTCCTCTCAGACACTCCGTAACATGGTGGGTCTGAAATCCCACTGTAAACAGCTTCATGGAGTGCATCCTCAGCTTGTCTTCATGGGCCAGTCCTCAGTTCAGCCCAGACCCCTGAGCCCTCATGGAGATGAAGGAGCCATTGCTTCGATCTCCATAAGGGCTCTGTCCCTCTAGCGCAATGTCTTGTGTGCAGTGAACATTTGAGAAATACCTAAATGACTCGGTCTGCTGGAAGAGCAGTATTCCTGTCAGAAAAATATTGAGTCAGTCCCCAGCCTTGATTAAAGATGTATAATTGTTACCTTCACCTTAGGAAGGACAAAAGAGATAAATTGCCTGGCGCCATGAAACACAGACAGCCCAAGGGGTTGAACCAAAGACAGAAGCAGAAGATAGGAGTGGCCAGGGGCCCAGGAGAAAATAGGAGAAACCTGTGGCTTGGTGGTGAGTGACCCTTTGCCCAGTCACCCACTGTGAAGAGTGAACTGCAGGAGGAAATGGGAAGGAAAACAGATCTTTTGACTCTGCTCATCTCCTGCAGAGAAGGTGGGCTGGTTACATAAAAAGCTACTGTGGGCTGCTCAGTTCCTGAGTCTTGCTCACAGGGCTGAAGGAAACATTCCCTCTGTCTCTCACAGATGTTAATAATGAGCATGCCAGTCAATCCACCCAGTCAGGAGTCGCTCATCTCCAGCTGTCCCGGGCACCTTGTTGATGGTGGGTCTTGCATAGTACATTGTTTCTTGTTTTCTGTGTCTGTTTAGGATATACAGGGAGCTGTATCTTCTAGATTTAAATGCTGAAAAAAAGTGGTGAGTGAGAAGGGGAGAATGGAAATGAGATGTATAGGAGCATGGGGCGAACACAGCACGAGGGAACTCCAACCGAAAGAGCCATAACCTAAATCTGAGAAGCTAATTTTGCAGAACCAGCTTAGCCACGGGACTTTGGGGATTTGCTTTGGAAAGATGTTTGCATTGTCTGTGTCATTGGCATGAGGCCACACAGTAGTTCTCAAATGGGAGGAGGGATTTCGCAATGTCTGGAGATAGTTTTGTTTGTCACATCTGGGTGGGGTGGTGGAGGAGGGCACTGGTATCTAGTGAGCAGAGGCCAGAGATATGCTGCTAAACATTCTACAGTGAACAGGAAGGATTTGCCATGGGGATGAGGGGAGTTGGCAATGTCTGGAGATAGTTTTGTCACATTTGGTTGGGGGTGGGGGGCCACTGACACCTAGTGAATAGAGGCCAGAGATGCTGCTAAACATTCTGTAATGCACAGGACAGGCTTCCACAACATAGAATTATCTGGCCCAAATGTCAGTAGTGCCAAGGTTGAAGAACCCTGGCCTAGACCGAGTGAAGAGGACAGAGCAAGAGAACCTGGTCTGATGTCTGCCACCGAGAGAGGGTGTGGCCATGCACATTGAGAAGGGGGCTCTTCAGCTGGTCTGTCATCAAAGGAACCAGATGAGAAAATTCCGTGAAGTCCCACCTGTCTTTTCAGCTCTTGTGTGAGTCTCCGTGAAAATCAGCAGATATTTATATCCTCCATTTGTGGCCAAGGCACAAGGCAAGGGAATGTGGGGGAAACACAGTGGAATAAGAAGTGGTGCCGTTTCCAGTTCAGTGATAGGGTCTCTCATCATGCAAGGCAGATGGAAGTAAGTACCTCTACCATAGGGTAAAAAAGTGTTATGAGATCTTTGAAGAGTGAGTGAGCAGGCCAGGCATGGTGGCTCACGCTTGTAATGCCAGCAGTTTGGGAGGCCAAGGCGGGTGGATCACCTGAGGTCAGGAGTTCAAGACCAGCCTGACCAACATGGTGAAACCCCTTCTCTACTAAAAATACAAAAATTAGCTGGGCGTAGTGGCAGGCACCTATAATCCCAGCTACTCGGGAAGCTGAGGCAGGAGAATCGCTTGAACCTGGGAGACAGAGGTTGCAGTGAGCCAAGATCGTACCATTGCACTCCAGCCTGAGTGACAGAGCGAGACTCCATTTCAAAAACAAACAAACAAAAAGAGTGAGTGAGCAGTACCTTCTATAGGGAGCATATCCTAGAGGCTCTGCCGTATGGTGGGAAAATGTTCAAATCCCTTTTGCGTCTTGATGTATATAGGAAGGTGGTTAAGAGCATGGATTTAGGAACAGTGAGAACTGGGTTTGTATCCTAGCCCTCAGTTTCCTTCTTCATAGGAAGGAGATAGTTGTAGGGTTATAGTGAAGAAAAAAATGAGATAATCTAAAATGGTTCAAATAGCACCTGGCACACAGTCAAGAGGTCAATAAATGGTAGAGACTGTTGTGGTATGGAGGAAGTTACTGCTCTGTGGAGGGGTAGTAGCTGTGTGATTTTATACAGTTGATTTAATTTTTCTGAACCTCAGTTTCCTAATCTGTAAAAGAGAGATGAAATGATGTGCTCTGTAGAACCTTTGTAAGGATAAAAGGACAATGTATGCCAAGTGCCTGGTGCATAGATGACATTCTAACTCAATGTGAAATCTTCTCCTTACTCCGGACTTTGGTTGAAGGAGTCTGGTGTCTTTTGCACATGATGATGTCAACTTGGGTCCCTCACATTGCCTTAGCGTCCTTCACCCAACCCACCAGTGCAGGACATAGTGGTCCTCCCCACCCCGCCCATTGTCTACCCCTCTAAATGATTTTAAGAACCAAGTGTTTGTCCTCTTAAGTACTTATAAACTTCTCTAAGATAAATATTTTATATAAAATCAAGTACCTCTTGATCCTAGTTATGTTTTTCACCACTTATCTATTCAAACTACACTTATTGAGCATCTTCTGCATGCTAGGAACCGACATAGGAGTTGGGGATAATAAGTCAAAGAACGCACAATAACTCACTTGACTGTGTCTATGATAGACAAGTGTTTGCCTAGCTTATGTCACTTGAACTCGACCTTCATTAATTTTGCCATATTATTCAGTTAAATAAACCTGGGCTACATCCTGAAGGAGGAAAGAGAGTCAGCCAGGAAAAGAATCCTCAGGGCCTAGGTGGTTGTGGGGAGGTGATGGGACATTCCAGGCAGAGGGAGTGGCCTCTTGGGTGGAGGCCAGAAGAGAGAAGGATGCTTCTAGGTCACTGGTCAGAGTTTGAGGAGGAAAGGAGCAAGAAATGCAGCAGGTGAGGTGAGCCAGGTCAGCTTAGGAAGGGCCTCGTATAAATTGCTGTGGAGTTCAGACTTTGACCCAAGGTTATTGAAGACCACAGAAATATTTTAGGCTAAGGAAAGACATGATCAGATCTGTGCTTTGGAAAGAAAACTCTTTGGACTGAAAAGATTAGGAGGCCAACGCCTGATCCAAGCAGGAGATAAACACCTGATCAACGTCATGGCCCAGATTGGGAATGTGGTCAGTACGTGTTTAAGATGTGGGATCAACAGGTTTGGGTGGTTGATAGGTTGTGATGGAGAGTGAGTTGGAAAATGAGAAACTGGGGATGATTTATTGGTGGGCAATAGTACCTGCAATTGAGATAGAGAATGTGAGAATAAGAGCACACCAGGAATATGGGAGAGATGAGCTCAGTGGATGAACTAGATGTGAAGTGCTTTGGGCACATCCAAATGGAGATACTGTCCTGCTCAAAGCTAGAAAGTGAATTAATACAGAAACAAAATCAAATACCGCATGTTCACCCTTATAAGTGAGAGCTAAACATTGGGTACACAGGGACATAAGAGTGGAAACAGTAGACACTGGGGACTCCCAAAGCAGAGAGGGAGCAGGGCAAGGTTGGAAAAACTACCTATTGGGTACTGTGCTCACTATTTGGGTGACGGGTTCAATAGAAGTCCAAACCTCAGCATTGTGCAGTATATCCATGTAGCAAACCTGCACGTGTACCCCCAAATCTAAAATAATTTTTAAAAAATAACAAAAAGATAAATTGACAATTAAAAAATAAATTAATTCATTGTGATTATTTTTAAATTTTGCTGAAGAGCCTATAGAGGAAAGGTGAGTGAGATGGGCTGGAGAAATTGGAGTCACAAGAATTAGATAAAACTGTTAAGTCATTTGAATAGATGATCTCACCGAGGAAGAAGGTGGGGAGTGAGAAGAGAAGAAGGGACCAGGACTGTGCATCTGCATTTAAGAGACAGGCAGGAGAAGATGAACTCCCAAAAGACTGAAGAGGATAATCAGAGAAGTAGAAGAGATGACTATTTTCAGTGAAAAATGGAGGATCTTGATGGTTTTAGAAGAAAGTGGGTTTTTAGGGAGAGCCCCCAACCCCTCATCCTTACCACAGATAACAATAGTCCTTTGGAAGGCACGGAGCAACACAAACACAGAGGTGGTTGCGGAACATGCCATTCTCATTTTAACTAAGGGTGGCTTTGAAGATTAAATTACAAAGAAGCAGTTGGGAGAATTCCAGTTTTGGGTCTTGACAACTCTTTGTCTTCATAGCATAGCATGAGGGTCCAGTGGCCACTTGGGCAACAGATGCACTTACCCTGTAACCATGAATACCACTCATTCTCTCACTTACTGGGAGGGGACTGTAGTCCTCATAGCTGCCCCCAGTCTCCCTTTCTAGTGATGGAAATTTCCTTTATTGACAGGGAAACAGCAGGCTAATGGCACAGATGAAATGTAAATTTTGACAGCCCCGACAGGTAAATATTGGCTTTGCACAAACAAGTTTCTATAAATAACCTGTCTGCTGCAGAAACGCCACAGATGGCAGCAGGGCTGCCCAAGTGTTGATTTTTCCCAGGGTGCTTGGTGCAGAAAAGCACAGCTGTCAGCTTTGCTGTTCCTGTTCCCAGCTCAGGCTACCTCTGCTGTGCCTGCAGACTGTCCACGTCCCATCCTCCTTTGGCAGGAGAGGCAGGGACAGGTGGAGATCAGTCATTTCAATAACCTACCTCCGATGCCTTTCATTCCAGGATTCCAAAGGAGTTTCTTAAAAATGTCACTTCCTTGGGTTCTACAGTCCAAAGTGGGAATCTGTCTGATCTGGGGATGTGTTCGCCCCTTTTAATTAAAGTTGGTCCAGTTGAAAAGAAAATTGGATGGAGTGAGATACAGTCACTCTAGACTGTGTGCCACATGGCCCTGTTGCTAAAAATAGTACCGTCAAGGACTCTGGGCAGTATGTCAGGCTATTATGTTAGCAGGCATGGACTCTGACTTAAGGGGAATGTGAGGGGTATGGAGCCACAGCAAGTCATCTCACTGGGGAAATTTGCCCGATTTAACCCCATCCAGGGAGCTAAGGGAAACACAGTGAGCCACTATTGGAAAAACAGAGGCATTCTTATTTTTCAACTATGCAACTAAGAGCCCATAACTCTAATAAAGCTGATTGAGGTAATGACATTCTAAATGATCGTTCTAGGGATTCCCGGAAAGCTTCGTGCTAAGTTAAATGCCCGTCACTGAGGCTGGGCTCCGGTTTGGGGTATGCCTGTACCTCCCTCCTTCCCTCCCTAATGTTTATTTTCTGCTCCAACTTCTTTCCTTAGGCTCATTGACTTAGTGCATTTGTATTGTAAGCCCTTTCAAAACCCTTGTGAAAGTAGAAAAGGAAGAAACCATATAAAAGTGAGTCAGAGGATTCTAGAAGGTACCTAAGATAGCAATAGTAACTTAAAAACTTATTTTATATCCTACAAAGGCTTTGAGAAAATGTATGACAATAATGGACCTTGTGCAATTAAACAATCATAATTGAAAATTAGGAAGAAAACAATGTTGAGAACTGGAATAGGAAATCACCTGTGAATAATGAAGTAATGATGGTACCACACCCAGAGCAAACTTGTGGCGTTTTCTTTAGCCTTATCCCCGGAGAGTAGAGCAAAGCTGCCGTGAGTCAGCAGGCGTTGGAAAGGACAGCAAATACACTTGCTATTGCCCTGGGTTCGCAGAGTGAATTCAGGACCCTTTATTCCCACTTCAAGGCAACCAGTCACTGCTAGCATAGGCTCCTTTGCTTTTCTGGTGGGGCAGCCCCTTCTAGCTCTAATTCTACATTAAGAAGGTGTACTAGTGTTTTAGAGCTTTGGGCCTTTTCTCCCAAATCTTGTCTCCATGTATGAGGGCCTATGTTTTCACTAAGGGCTGGGAACACTTCCTAGGCTGGGCTACATCCACTCCATTGTGCTTCCCAATTACTTTCTATACAACTGGCTTCCAGCAGGCAACAAATCAATGTCTGTGAAGTCCCGTTGACTTCAAGGAGCTCCGGTCATCAGAGAAACTGATCTCCTCATTGGGGAAGAGACCAGTGACATGCTTCATGAGTAAAATTACAGCTTGATATTCACCAGTAGAACTTAGCAAGATGCTCAGCAGAGAAAATAATGAATCATCTTTTGCTAAGCCTGTGAGAAGGATAGAAAATATTATACGGGAGGTCCCAGGAGTAGAGTGAAAATCATGTGGGCTTTGAAATCAAGCAGACTTTAGTTTGAATCGTGCACTCCTTCGTGTGAGCTGGTGGACTTTGGTCAAGTTTGAGTCTCTTTGAATCTCAACTTCTCCATTTTAAAAATACAGATGGTGATAATTGGATTCTCAGGATTGTCGTGCCCAAGAAGCAGCCTAGTGTCAGGTGGCAAGCAGGGATTCTGGAGCCACATTGCCAAGTTCAGATTCCTGCTCTGACATTTACTAGCTGAGTCATCTGCAGCAAATTACTTAGCCTTTCTATGTTCATGTCCTTATGTTTAAAATAGGGAAAGTTGCCATGAGGAATAGTTAATCTATGTAACGTTCTAAGATCACTGTGAAGCACATAAGAGCTGCATGTGTTCTTGTGGCAATACCAGGTGGCATTGAGCAGAGATGCCCCACCTGTGGTACTCCCCACCTCCATCTTGCTCTCTTACTCTCCCTGTTCTTTTCTTGATCATTTTTATGTTTCCTGATCATTTTTTAAATGTGAAACCAGCCCTATTGTTGTGATTTTCCTAAAGGATTGTGCAGACCCTGTCTAGTGTATATCCACCCTCAGAGCAGAAGTTAGCATGACTTTCATGGAAAGCCAGGAAGGGAGCTCTCGAGGAAAAAGATGAGTGTTGTTATTCAGAACTGGGGTTAAGGTTTCATTTCCTTTTTGTTATGAAAATATGTTCTGCAATTGAAAACAAAAGTGCAAAGCGTTCTGAAAACTAAAAGTAATATACATGTTTCTTGAGTAAGGAGTGAATGAACTATTTAGAGGCATATAATACACTTCACTTATTCGAAGCATTAAATATTCCAGTTACTCATTCATTCAAACTTTCTTACGTAGCAGTTGTACATGGTTCTATGCCAGATTCTGGGGATAGAAATAGGAACAGGACAGTCCTTATCCCCCAAAACTCCAATCAAATTGTCTATGAATGAAATTGGTGATCAAGCAGTTGAACAAAGAGCCTCTCATGACTGAAGATCTAAAATGCCAACAGAGAGCACAGAGACAAGGAGAGGCCAGTGGCCCTTTTGTTAGGATGAGTGTGGCAGCTTAGCTGAGGCAGAGCTTACAAAAGGTAGGGGAAAGGGAAGACTGGATTTATATAAACACCGTGTTACTCTGAATTTTTTACGCATAAAAGAAAAGGTATTGTTGACAGTCACAGAACTGCATAACCATAGTAGATAAGGGATACTGAACGTACACAGTGGAAGGACTTTAATGAATGTGTCGCCTGCTCATTTGCATGTTCACCCACCTCGACCCGCTGCAGTGGCCAGCGTTGTCCCCAGTGTACAGATGTGGGAACTGGAGCTCAAAGGGAATGAGGCAGTAGCCCTCACCATGAGCACCTCTGAGGTAGGACCCAGGTTCCGCAGGTAGTCTGTGTCACACTGAACTGTCCCACATGCCAGCCTGCCGTGACCATGATCTGAAGGTGGCTGGTCATGGTGATTTTTGCTGCATGAGAATTCTGGAAGCTGTCAGTGGCGTGCTGTCAGGACTGCCTTTTTCCTTCCAGATCCTTGGACATCTTTTCTTCTCTTTCCTGCGAGCATCTTATCAGTTACTGAGAAAGGCCTTTCTGTACTGTGTATTCATTTTCTTGGGAAGTGTTCATTATAAGTGTAGATTTTTTACAGAGCCTAAAAAATTTCCTGGCTAGGGCACTAAATCTAATTAGCATGCAAAGCTGTGTATGATCTCATGTTATCATTCCTTCAAGCCAGAACACAGTGAACCCACCATCAAAGCAAGTGCTTTCTTAAAGGTAAACTATGCCATTTGTCCAGATTTATTCCCTCTCCATGCAAATCTATGGTTTTTATGTGACTAAAGATAATCTGTTGTCTACGCCAAAGAAAACGTCCTCTTCATTTCCCTCCTGAAATCCCCATCCATGTCATAAGCCTCCTCAGAGGGTGGCAGCACCCACCTGTCTCCTGAGACAGAGAAAATGTTGCTTTTAAGCCTCACTACAATTTGAGGGTTGTCACTTGTAATTACTTTATATTTCTATTTTAAGCATTGTTGACATGCTCTGGTAAATCATTTTGTTTTTCTAGATATAGCTGAGGGATCTTAGAAGTAAGTAATGTGCAGCTGCGCTTCCTGATAGAAGAGGAAAGACGTTCTAGATATGGCAGAGAGGGGGATGCCTCCTTAGTGAGTCAGGGTTGGGTGCCTCCCAGTGGCCTTTACTATTCTTTGATCCACATCCGCCAGGTTGTGAAGCAGCTACCTGGAGGTCTGGACTGACAGGGGAGTGCTTTGGACTATTGTACCTTGAAAAAAATTGTCTGTGTATAGCCATTGGTGAAATGATGATTGTATAGTCCATTGGTTTTATGTAAATTACAAATTAATGTTAACCTCTACCTCTAAAACTCTTGCTCCCTGGAAATCATTCAGCACGAAGCTAAGGTGATGCTAGCTTACTAACACGATTTCAAATCCAAGGCACCTGGGGTGGAGTAAGCAGAAAGGCTTAGGAAGCAGAATTCAAGTCCTGCCACTTCCCAGGTGTGTGATCTGAGGCAAATTGATTTACATCTCTGAGCATCAGTTTGCTCATCTGTGAAACCAGAGGAATGAGGCCCCCCTCTCAGGATGTTTTGTAGAGTGAATGCAGTATCTTCCAAATGGAGAAGATGAGTTCAATCCTTTGAAAGTACATGTTTGGCCATTTGCCCAGGACTGGTCACAAGACTGAAGCCATGGAACTTCTTCCTAGAGATCCAAATTATTAGGTTTGGCATTCTATTCTAATGGCCCTTTAGCAATGCCATGTCAAATGCTCAAAGTGACAATTTCTAAAGGGAACTGAGAAATTCATAGGTGTTATGCTAGGAGATAAAAGGCCTCACATGACCAAATGTTTGTGAAATGCTAGGTTTAAGAAGGTGAACAGATTTAACTTGTAGATGTTAATATGTTTGTAGATAAGAGATGGAGTTTCTCAAAACATTACATCATAGAATCCTTTCCTTTATCTCATACTCCCTTTCTTTCTTCTGCCCCACCCAACACATCGTGGAACCTGTGTAACCCAGAGCTTACTCTGAAAAACACTGATCTAAGGAATTCCAAAGTTAGTGTTCTCAGCTCTTGACACCTGTGCTAGCAGAAAGGCACATTGTCGTAGATAATGCAAATACCAAACACTATATAAAAAGCAAATCTGTGACTTCTGAATATACCTTATAGTAAGTGAAGGTGATTGATTCGAGCACTAGGCTTTTATTCTACATGTTTTTTATTTAGCTGAAATTTCAGAAATCAATTTATTCTTTTAGAGCCAATCTGGATAAGAAGTGATGGAATTTATCCAAAGAATGTAATACATAATTGGAAACAAACTTGGAATTTCATTTACATTATTTAGGCATATTTCATAAAATGCAGAGCTGAGAGCCGATGCTATCTCCTTCATGAACCTTCTCTAGATTTCCCAGCTATAAGTTATCTTTTCCTTCTCCAGACCAGTTATCACACTATCTGTGCCTCTCTTGTGCATTTATAACTTTCCTAACTATATAAATCTTCCTTTATAACTGTCGCTGTTAATGCAAGAGCTAATTGTGTGCATGGCTTGTCTCCCCTGCTGATGAAGAAACTCTTGTTGTAGAGTCCCCCAGTGCCTAGCAGAGAGCCTGCACATGCTAGACACTCAAATGTTTGACTTGGTGAGAGTTTCTTTTATTTCCCTAAGATTGTTAATTTGTCATTATTATTGTTACTAATAGTTGTCAATTAACTAATATTTCATGAACATCTATGTGCTAGGCAATTTGCATTGATTACTATACTCAATATTCACAACAGAACTCTGAAGTAGATACATGTCCCCTCCAAAAAGAAACTGAGGCTTTAAGAATTTATAAGTATCTTGCCCAGTATCAGAACTAATATTCTAAACTACAATTGTATCTTGCCCAAGCCTGTGCTTTAAATCACTAAATTACCCTCTTAAGGGCTAAAGAATATACAAATACCTGCAACCCAAAAGGGCAGCCTCAGAGGAGCTTTGGTAGTTCCCTATTCTCCTTAAGTCCCACTGTAGAAATAATCACCCCTAGGAATGAAAGACTTGAATACTACTACTCACTTGCTTTCTCACATACAGTGTGAGTGTAGAAGGCTCTCCTTGGCCTATTCTATCTAAGGTTGCTTTCACCAGATTTGCCCCAGTGTGACTGTAAGCCCTTGTTAAGCTTGGGTTAATTGCCAATTTAGGCAAGGTTCTCATTTAGAAAGTCCCTTCAGGGAAAGCAGCCTCAGAACTAGGAGATGGTTGTCTATTTACTCTTCACTCACCCAGCTGCTAATGGGGTTAGGGGAATGGCAACAACATATGCCACTCCAGATTCTTCCCGTTTACAAAGTCTTGATCATTTCCACACCCAAAATCCTGTCAATTGCCACCTGTGGAGTCAGGCAATAAAACCAACCAGTATTTATTGAGCACACGTCACATGTAAGGATAAGGTGTGTGTTATGAATTCATTCATACTGGTTTGCTTTTGCCAGGAGCATACAGTGTTGTGAAGAATAAAACAGGAAATTTGTTTTCTTATTGTGGGTCAGATGCCACTCCACGCATGCCTCCGGCCAGCCACTTGGCCCCTCTGCCTCCCAGATCCCTGAGCAGTGAAAGCAGGAGGGTGGGCTTTTGCAATTCCTGCTCTCTCCTTGTCGGCCTGGCTTTCTGAGAGTGGGGCACCCCCCGCCATCCCAGGGAAAGGGTTGATCTGCACTTTGAACATGGGAACCCTTGTCTATATGTGGCATGGTCCAGAGCCACAGCAATGCTTCCCATGTATTCTGTTCACCACTTCATCTCTGAGAATATTTTAAAAATGTAGTTCTTGGTTAAGTGAGCTGAATCAAAACATATCCAAGTTGGAATAGGATCTACTCTGTGTAGACTTGCTGGAAGTGAAACACACAGAGCCTGCGGGAAGAGTTGTTCTATGAGTACTTGAGCCCCCAGCCTGACTAGGTTAAGTCTTCTATGAGTACATGAACCCCTAGCCTGACTAGGTTAAGTCTTCTATGAGTACATGAACCCCTAGCCTGACTAGGTTAAGTCTTCTATGAGTACTTGAGCCCCCAGCCTGACTAGGTTAAGTCTTCTATGAGTACTTGAGCCCCCAGCCTGACTAGGTTAAGTCTTGGAGCAGATCTTAGACTCTGTCTTCGGTAAGTGGCCAAGTCTTTGGCCTTTGTATGCTGTGGCTAGGAGATAAAAAAAAAAAAACTCATTTCTTAAATGTGTTAAAATACAGTTATGTCCATAGTACTTTAGGGGTTAGTCTCTATTTGTATTAGCTTAAACAATTTTGCAGGTAAATACATGTTCATTTTTTTTTTAATTAGCAATGTCTATAGCTTTGTTTTTAAGAGACAAGGTCTTGCTCTGTCACCCAGGCTGGAGTGCAGTTGTACGATTATAGCTCACTGCAGCCTGGAACTCCCTGGCTCAAACAATCCTCCCACCTCAGCCTCCCGAGTACTTAGGACTACAGGCATGCACCACCATGCCCAGCTAATCTTTGATGTTTAAATCAATTGAATTTTTTGAAAATTGACGTCACTGAACAAAATAGACAAAAAAATCTCTCTCATGGACCTTACATTCTAGGTAGCCATTGATGACAACTAAAATAGAGAAATAGGATTTTCCCATCCAAGAACACAGTATCCAAAATGAAGAAACTGTAATAAAGGCCCTCTTAGCTCATGCATCAGGAGTTGGCAGCTGATTAGTTAATTAAAAAGTTGATGACAGTGGTTATGGTTAATCATAATATGATATATGCATACCTTAAATATTTTATTTTAACTTAAAACATACAAATGCATGTTAAATCACCAACTTTTTAATGTGAGACTCAAGCTTTTTCTTAAATTTGCAGATTGGAGTTTCTAATTACCATTCTTAGATAAACCATGCCAAAAAGACATCATCTGTGATTTCCAGTTTCAGTTTTCTTAAAGTGGAACAAGCTCTGAAGACACTTTTGAAGTTATCTAAGTACAATCTCTTCCAGTTTTCTGTGGTTGACCCACCCACATGTGGTTCAACAGCAGGTTTGGCTTGGTTTCAGCAACTTGTTTTTATCCAGTCTTTCAAAGCATTCAACTTGGAGCTTTTTCTACTCATATTTCATCAGTGTATATAATATGCAATCAAATTACATAATTACAATGACAACTATAACTGGAAGAAACACATTTGGAGACAAAGATCCCTAAATCTCACATCTCAGCTGGTGGGAGCAGAAACCCAGGGGCATTCCAGCATCTTGACTGTGAGCTTGGAGTGTCAGCCTGGGCAGCAGTCAGTATATTTTAGAAAAAGGATGGAGGATGTTTCATAAACTGGCAAGTCTGTTATGGTGGCCGTCTTTTAAGAGGACTCCTACTGTACTCCTGGATGCGACCATAAGCAGACATTATTTGCAGCTTCTAGAATAGTGTTTCTCAGCCTGAGTTCTGTGGCACCTGGCAGTTCCATGAGTGGCCTCAGGGGCCACTAGAGAGTGTTAGCAGCAAGTCTGAATCCCTCCAGCTTCCTTCAGCTGTAGGAGCTCCACTTTTGTTTTATACCTCTCACTGTTGCATTTAATTTTATTCAAATAAAAAGACTGAGCAAACCATTATTATTTTTAAACAACGGGTATTGTGGTGCTTTTAGGGAGGAAATCTTAGACTATTAGCAGTAGCATACACTATTGTCAATAGAGGACATCTGATAACAGTCTGAAATCCTTTAAAGAGACAAGGGATTTTAAATGTCTGGTTTACACTTGATTTTCTTCCATTACATGTTTCTGAATAAGCACTGTGTTCATTGCTTAGGGCTGCTGTAACAAAGTACTACCAATGAGGAGCCTTCAGACAACAGGAAATTATGGTCTCATAGTTTTGGAGGCTATGAGAAAGTTATGGTCTCCTAGTTTTGGAGCATGGCTCACAGGGCCTTGCTCTGTCTGAAATCTGCAGGGGAATCTCTCCTTGCCTTTCACAGGTTTCTGTTGAATTGCTGGCCATCCTTGGCATTTCCTCGCTTGCAGCTGCATCACTTCAGTCTCTGCCTTTGTTGTCACGTGGCGTTCTCCCTGTGTGACTGTCTTCATATTGCCATCTTCTTATAAGGACGCCAGTTATACTGGACTAGGGGCCAACTCTGCTCCAGTATGACTGCATCGTAACTAATTACATCTGCAATGGCACTGTTTCCAAATAGTGTCACATTCTGAGGTACTGGTGTGAGGACTTCAGCATATCTTTTGGGGGGAGCAAAATTAAAACCATAACCGGTGCTAAAGATTTGTTGAATATAGTTCTTTCCCCTGCCCCTAGAGACTGCCAAAAATAAAACAAAGCCTCCCAACATTTAAAATGCCAGTGATGTCCCTGTGCCCGAATAAAACTGAAGTAGATCCCTGGGAGAACCCCCTAATTGAGGTGAAGCAGTGTGGCCCAAAAAAGAAACTACAATAAAAGGAAATACCATATTTTCAGTGCTTACTCTATACTTAATCCTGTGTTAAGCACATTCTTTTTTTAATGTATCTTCCCCAAAATCCTAACAGATATCTTTAGCTTTTCATATGCTTTCATTTGTAAGCAACAGAAAACCAAACATTAATGGTCTTTAAGAAGAAAATGGGCCAGATTCGGTGGCTTACACCTATAATCTCAACACTTTCGGAAGCCAAGAAGGAAAAATGGCTTGAGGCCAGGAGTTTGAGACCATCCCAGGTAACATAGACCCCATCTCTACAAAAAATACAAAAATTAGCCAGGCATGATGGTGCACACCTGTAGTCCCAGCTCCTTGGAAGACTGAGGCAGGAGGATCACTTCAGACTGGGAGGTGGAGGCTGCAGTGAGCCATGATTGCACCATGGCACTCCAGTCTGGGCAACAGAGCGAGACCCCCATCTCTAAAAAATAAAACTAAAAAATCGAGAGAAGAAAATGTGTTGGCTCTTTAACTAGAAGCCAGACTAAGGTAGAATTCAGGGCCAGCGTAATCCAGGGGTGGTAGCCCATTTCCCCATGATTCCCTGGGCTCTTCCCTCCTCTGTGTGGCAGCTTTATTGCTCAGTGGCTAGTAAGGGGGTGGCAGTAGTGAGGGACATTTGCACACCACATCATCCCATGGAAGAGACAGGGGTCTCTTCAGAATGTGATCCCAGAAGGATGGAAAATAATTACAGAAACACTGAATCCACCCTCTGCTTGGTCCTTGGCTTGAATTTGTGCCCACTTCTATTTCTGAACCAAATACTGTCACAGTAAAAGGAGTTGCACTCAGACCAATCAGGGCTACCTCTGGAGGTGGGTGGGGTGGTCAGCATTCACTCAGGTGCTAGGGCTGCCTGGAGGGTGAGTGGACACCTGAATAAAACAGGGTCCTCTTAGGAAGGAGGAGGGGGCAATCTTAGGTAAGCAACCAACAGTATGCACTGCAGCAGGCCCAGGGTACAGATGAAATCACTCAGATTTAGGGAGTCGCTCACTTCTTTCCAAAATCACACAGCTTGTAAGTGTTAGATGAACATTCAAGACCAAATGGCTTTGACTTTTTCTTGTCTAGCATACCACCACCTATTCTCTTACTGGAGGGGCCAGCCATTTTCCTAGGCTTTTTGGAGTAGTAGTGTAGTCTTAGCTTATTAGAAATGGCCTTCAAAACCCTCAGCTGTGCACCTTATAGTAAGAGCATTAAGAGCCTCAAAATGTGTGTGCCCCTTTGAATGAAAAACGCTGTTGTGGTGTCATTGAGTGTTGAGAGAGAATTCTGGGGGTGCCTGTGCTGGGAGAATGCCCCACCTGAATAGACAGCCTCAGTAGAACCACTCACTAAATGGTTTGCCTCCTTTTGTGCCTTAATGCACTTTGATCAAGATATCAGATAGGTTGCATCATCAGATAAGGATGGCAACAAAAAACAGAGCTGCTCTCCTCAACTTTGCAATTAGGCCAGTAGAGTACTAGTATTTTTTTTTAGAAGGGACAAGGCTGTTTTAGTCCTTTACGTGTGGCTGATAAAGATATATGCAAGACTGGGCAATTTACAAAAGAAAGAGGTTTAATGGACTCACAGTTCCACATGGCTGGGGAGGCCTCACCATCATGGCAGAAGGTGAAAGGCACATCTCACACAGCAGCAGATGAGAAGAGTAAGAGCCAAGCAAAAGGGGTTTCCCCTTATAAAACCATCTGATCTCGTGAGACTTATTCACTGGCGCGAGAACAGTATGTGGGGAACCGCCCCCATGATTCAATTATCTCCCACTGGGTCCCTTCCACAGCACGAGGGAATTATGGGAGCTACAATTCGAGATGGGGTTTGGGTGAGGACACAGCCAAACCATATCAAAGGCAATACCCAAACAGCCTCTCAGGAAAAACTTGCAGTGGTGGAGACCACGGTGGTCCTGATAATATTGTTCACAGTAATAGCAAATCTCCCAGATGGAAGAAAAATTTTCCTGTGTCCCTGGCATCTCACTCAAGTGATGAGAAATGAAGAACAAGCTTCCTCGGCTTAGACCTTGGGGACAACCTGGGTCATTGGCTGTAACCTGGAGTTGAACTCCTTCTGTGCATTTTTCTTTAGAATTTCTCTGGCCCTTAGCTATTTAAAGCTTTCTCTAGTGTCACCAGAGGAGGATTACAAAATCCAAGAGTTTTTCAAGGACATTTTGTTTAGTGAGCATCTGACTTCTTGTCAAGGAGAAAAAAACTATTTTGCCCATTATTAACCTTCATGCTAATTGTTTCTTTTTTCATCTCCTAATCATCAAAAGCGCATGTTTGCATTTCCATTTCAATTATTTGCATCCAAAGCAGAAACAGTCCCAATGTTATTAACTTTTATAATGCCCAAAAGTACACAGCTGTGAGCCCTTACCTAGCCATGCCTGAGGGTTCCCATTTCCCTGGGAAGGCACTCTCAGCAGGTTTGGTCTCCGAGCTATGTGCCGGGAGAGGGGACTAGAGTGTGGATGCTGCGAAGCCCAGCGCTCTTCCCTCCGTGCAGAGCTGCCAAAGCAAAGGCAGATGTTGTCAGCCCTTGCCTCACTTTCCCAGATCCACTACCCAGGCTGCTGTCTTGCCTGAGCCTTTTAAGAAAGCGTTGCAGCAGCCTCTCTCATTGTCTTGGTTGTGGGAAGGGCTGAGTTAAATTGGCCAGGCATGTGACTTGTCATCCGCGTTGCCCTAGTTCGCCACAGTCCGTTTCTTGCTATCATGGCCCAATCTCTGCAAGAACTTACTCTCCCTTGCAAATTCCCTCCAAACCTGTGACTTACCCTCAACCCAGCCCTCTTGGCTTCATTCCCAGAGGGGTCTCTCCAACCCCAGAAGCCACCCAAAGCTGCTGGGATCCTGCTGGGAGAGCCTGTATCAGCACATTTCAGACCTTTCCATACCAAACCCTTTTTCAAAACAAAACAAAAAAGGCTTAGCGGAAACTCAGTAAATAATTGCTGTACAGCAGAGCTGTTGTCATTCAGATGGGACGGGCAACTTGAAGTCCTGCCCCTTGATACTCCGAGGTGAGCCCTGCCTCTTTTGAACATTGAAGATCACAGACCTGAAGTCACAAGCCTGCAGCCATGAAGCCTCAGGCCCGCTGCCTTTCTGGCAGGTGCCTCAGTGCTACCTGCCTCTGCATTCTCCTCTCCAACTTCTGCCTGCTCTGCCAGATTCCCCAAAACTCCCTGAGTTGTCATGTGTCTGGAAGAATCCCACTGGGTTGCCCTTCATCCCACAGAGACGGAGCCTCTTAGCAGGAAAGCGTTGCACACATCCTATTGCCCTGGTCCTAGACTTCTGTCCTCCCAGCACCCCACACCTGTCACTCTAGGGCATCCAAGTGCAGAGAGTATTTCACACAGAGCATTTAAAGTGCTTCTTATGCAATTGTGATTTCACAGCTCACTTCTCACCTTAGAGGCTTAGCAGGAACTACTATTCGTCTTCCCATACCAAGTTCCAAGATAAGAGTGCAGATGTAAGCCCTTGAGGATCTTCAACTAGAAAATGACCTGGACTTTTTAGATAAAGCGACTAGTTCTTCCTGTCTGGGGCACCTTGGACCAAATGGATTAATATCCTTAAAAATGCCATTATACACTCTGTTCCTGTATTGTTTTAGCTACATTGTGAAGAGTCCTATCTAAGCAAGCTTGGGATACAGTGATTCCTCGCCTGCAGCCTGGAGTCTCATAGTCTTCTCAAAGCACGGGTGAGTGACATAAAGATACTGTCTAGCCCCACGTGCTCTGAGCTGCTTTGAGCAGAAGTTAACTGGGCCAAAAGGACACCTCGTTGTCCCTCTATCATGGCAGTGCGGGATTGTGATTGAGAATGGGACAGAAGTGATAGCTTCACAACTTTTCAGAGTCAGTCTCTACACGATCTCTGAGCCCTGGCTGCAGCACCAGCCCTGGGAAGGCATCCGCCCACTGTCTCTGCAGCACCCCAGAGGATCTCAGACATGGAGAGCAAGCATTTCCCACTCATCTGTTGCCTGAACAAACATCTAGGGAGCTCTTGCTGTCCCGGGCACTGAGCTTGGACACTCAGTGATGAATGGAGCACACAGAGGGTATTGCCAGCCTGACAGAGCAGGCTGAAGAGGTACAAGGAGCCCGCATCTTGGAAACATCCAAGAGTCTAATGGATATTAGAGGCACAGAGAGAAGAATGAAATCAGATCTCATCTTTGCTCTGTGTCTGTCTCCTCTCTGATCCTCTCAGCCTGCTTTTTCTTCAGTTACAGAAGCATAAGACTCCATAGAACCTTCCAGCTTTGTTTCACTTCGTTCACTTAGTTTGTTTCACTTACTTTGCACTGTATTCTCACTGTTGCCCTTGCCCCCACAAGAGTAAGCCACAGTCAATCCTTTTCTGAAGTACAAAGACTTGCATTTAGCAGGGTCTGAATTCAGGAGATTTTTTCATCCATGCATTTCAAGATTCTTAATTAGAAGTAGATGGACTCCTAAATCTAACACACTTTTTTTCTCCATTCATGAAACTGGAAGTGACAGAAGGGTATTCAGCACATTGTTTTCTTTTATCACGTATCGCCCAGTCCTGAATTGATTTTCATTTGTCTCCCAGTTAATCAGGGAACTCCTTGAGAGAGAGAAAACACAGAAAACTAATACTTCTTATGAAGGAAACTGAGCCATGTACCATGAGGGAACCCTTCCCTATGTGTGGACAGGATCCATGTCTTATTGAACGGTGTCTAGTAGTGCCTTGGTTGCCTCTTTCCACAGCTATACTAAGTGTTCTGTGCATGAATGAATGAATGAATGAATGAATGAAGTTAACTCTCCAAAGAGCAGATCATCTTACACCTCAGCATGTGTTTTAGTATATTGAATCTTTAGTCTTGTGTATAGTATCTGGTTACCTGAAACAATGTATTATGCAGAGCTTTCTGATTTTCTTACATATCCTTAAAGAGAGAAAGATATACACAAAAGTTCCTAGAACATAAAATTTGCTCAATTAGTGTTTAACACACACAGATGGTTATTAAGAGAAGTCTGTAGCTAGGGAATACCATTCTCCCTTTCGTGGAGGATGTATCTCCCTCCACGTGTGCCCAAGGTTACGCAGCTCAAGCATTGGATTTGTGTTCAGGTTGCATGTATTCAGGACATGCACTCCACCATGTGCTGGGTGTGCCACTGGGAGCTGGCCACGTGCTTATAATTTAATCCTACAGCAACTCTGCAGAGTCTATATTAGTGTGGTGATTGGGGAGATGATGAAACTGAGGTCTGTTTTTTTGAGACGGAGTCTCGCTGTGTTGCCAAGCTGGAGTGCAGTGATGCAATCTCGGCTCACTGCAACCTCCGCCTCCCGGGTTCAAGAGATTCTCACGCCTCAACCTCCCCAGTAGCTGGGATTACAGGCACACACCACCACCCCCAGCTAATTTTTTGTACTTTTAGTAGAGACAGGGTTTCACCATGTTGGCCAGGCTGGTCTTGAACTCTTGACCTCAGGTGATCCACCCGCCTCAGCTTCCCAAAGTGCTGGGATTACAGGCGTGAGCCACCATGCCTGGCCTGAAACTGAGGTCTTAAGAAGAGTTTTATTTAAGGCCACAAGTTCTTACACCACAGGACCCTATTCCAGTAGCATCCATTACGTCTTAAGCAGCTAGTACTGGTCCTGGGAGATTGACTCTCTGGGATAAATCCCGAAAAGCTGCCTTAAATGTTCTAAAGGAAGCACATTTTATTCCACATTTGTATCCATCCTTTTCATTCTAGCATGGTGCCCAATAAGCATGATAGTGACCAAAGCTTTCATCTTATTAAATTCTGTATTATTTTAGACTACATTTCTTAACTATCAAATTGACAAAAATGAATGAAGTGTAATAGGAAAGAAAGAAACTCTTATCCATTCTGACCGCTTTTGAGGACTGATGGAGGAAGAGATAGGAGACTGAAGGTGCGCATGTTCTCACCTCAAAGTTGAGTCTGAAAAGGTTCACTGAATTTTTCTGCGTGTCCCCTTTGTGCAGAAAGAGAGGAAGCATGTCTTTCTCACCCTAGAAAACATGCTTTGACCGTTTTTGCCCTTGCCTTATTGGAAAACAGCTGAAATTGTGAGTATGACATGTTTGGAATGATAGACTTTCTCACTAAGGGAGGAAAGCAGAGTCAAGCTTATTTTAAAAAATCAGTGAGGTGTTTCTAAAAACACAGCATTAAAAAATGATGTGCCTGAGCATGTTCTGTAGAAGATGATTTTATCCTATCTTAGAGGGTATTTCAATTATGACTACTCTTTTGAGGAGCAATGCCCCTGGAATACAGGAGTGAGTAACAGAGCACAGCATGTGGCTTGGGAGGCTTCCCACTAAATGCAACTCAGCAAATTAAAAGCATATGTAATTTTAATGACAGC
This sequence comes from Homo sapiens, assembly GCF_000001405.40. NCBI lineage: Eukaryota > Metazoa > Chordata > Mammalia > Primates > Hominidae > Homo > Homo sapiens. Next base: position 36,930,468 of record NC_000007.14, on the reverse strand, counting down.
CTAAGAGAAATGAACCTTCAAAGGTTAGGAAATTGTAGTTTTCATTTGAGGGAATTGCATGGAGCTAGACTTTCTACTCTTTTTATCTTAAAAAGGCACATCCAAAAATATTACAGTATATGAACATGGACTAAAATTCACTGAATCTGCCATTTGAAAGCAAGATACAGCTTTTGAATTAGCCTAACACTGGCTTGCTATTGATTTTGTTAACATAACTACATTGGGCCCAAAAAGCCACCTAACCATTTCTAGACACATCCAGAGGGCATAAGTATTCCCTGGCAAATAGTAGCTTGCCCATGGGCTGGGGAGACCCGTACACCAGGGTAGTCAGTTCAGTTGCATTTTATATAGGCAATGAGCTCATGACTCCTCAGTGACTGGATGTGTTTCCCAACTCTCTTTGATTTGCGTTGACCAGTGCTCCTCACAGTAGGGGTGCTACCTAATGACCAACATAATCTCTCAACATAATTTAGGGCCTTGTGGAGATGCACTATTTCATTAGGCCACTTGGATCTCATGGAGCAGCAGACTATTCATTTTCTCAATTGCTCCCGAAGGGATATGCAGAGCTGATGAACCTCTTTACTTATACTTTGGGAGTAACTCATGGACCGGACAAGCTCTGGCTTGTTTCCAGGGGACTCACTTGGGAGTAATGGTTTTCAAGTGCATTTGAAAGCCAGTACAATAGATTTGACCATCATAGACTTGAATATATAATATTTCAGTATACATCGCCAGCTATTTTCACATTGTGGTGTTACAGTGAGTCTAAGACATACTCTCTATAAAAGTCATCAGCTGCTTGACCCATTCATTGTTTATTTTTTCAACAAGTATTATATGAGTGCTGACCATTCTGGGCTGGGCCACACTAAACACTGAGCTGGAAGACCATAAAGCATGCTTAATAAAGGTTTGGAGGGTGGCATGTTGCCCCATTAAGAAATATTTATGTGATCATTTTAATCTCAGCTTAGAGAAATTTTCAATCTGATGCCTTGATGTGTATTTACCTGTGTCTTGATGTGCATTCCATCATATCTAATGCCTTGATGTGTATTTACCAATGCTTTGGTGTGCACTCCATCAGAAAACTCAGATTTGAGAGGCAGGAGACTTAACGGGGGAGTGACCCTAGGGAACTAAGAGGAGGTGGCAGCACTTGCACTTTCATGTGGAGCTTGACCCCACTTCTATGTGGATGAAAGAGTCAGTGCAGTGCTGGTGGTGCGGCCAGCCCCTGGACATCAGGAAGTAAGCCTGGCAGGAATCCATACCCCAATCTGTAGCTGCCTAGACCAAGCTTACCCCATTAGAGGCAGTACTAGAGAGTATGGGGCTTTGGTTCTAGCAGAGTCTGCTACTTGCTAGCCAGGTGCCCCGAGTAAAACTCTTAACCTCTCTCAACTGCCCTTTCTTAGTAATCTCCACTATTAGGGCAGATGCAGCATGTAGCTCAGTGGCTGGCCAGATAAAACTTCCATAGGTGATGGTTGCCCATGACTAGTGAGGTCATGCTGCTACCAGTCCCTCCTGTCTTTCTGGTCCCTTGTTGTGGGTGCACGTGCTGTGCAGCTCTTTGTGTGTCATATGCCACACTTTAGTACATTCTCACCTTTCAGAAAAGCTCCCTTTCACATTTAATCTAGTGGAAGAAGACCCCTAGTTCCTCAGCAGGACTGTCTGATTCCCTGAGGCCTCTCCCACAGCCCTGGTGGGTGGGATGACTGACTGCACTTTAGACCATAGGTAATAGTTACAGTCTGGCCTGGGAATGGGGCTGAGAGTTTACTCGGCCTGCTCCTTCAAGATGAGCATTGTTAACCAGGCAGTGGGAACCAAACAGAGCCTGAAATAGGGGTTGGTGTTATCTCTCTGTTGCAGGGTGTCGCTGCCCCTGATGCATTTCTTGTCAGTGCTTCTTGGATAGAAGGAAAAAAAACGATGGTGTAATATACTGTTCTTATCAGAGACTTCACTTTTCAAATACAGAATGCCATTTGTGTGTCACTGAGGCTGTTGTAATTGCCTTCTGCACCTGATTTACAGTTGGTTCTTCTTGACTGGTTACACTAAATGATTTGCTTAAAGTCTTATTGATTGGATGGGGAAGGGTAAGCATTGCCGTCAAGGCCCTGTTGAGTCGGTGGGAAAGGAGGCAGAAGGAGATTTAGAATGTTTTAAAATAATCCTATTCTTGGATAGAAGTACAGGTGGCAGGAGACAGCCAGCTTTCTGTTTTCTCATGAAGAGGGAAGATGCACTTACGAATCCGGGCGTTAATCCTGAAGCCTCACTTGAATCAAAGGAGTTTATCTTCTTGGTTAACAAGTGGCAAATAAATAAATAAATAAAACTTTTGAATCTTCTTTTTCTCTCATTTGCCTTTTAGGATTTTCAGAGATTTACTATCACCCAAAGACAATGCTAAAGCACAAAGCGATAAATTTTGGATTTCTGAACAATCAGAGATTGACTGGCATGAGTTATTAAGATTAAATCCAAGGCTGGCTTCCCAGAACTGTTGTGAGATCAATCACCTATTTACTGATATTTGAACTCCCAAATCTCTTCCCCTTGAGCCCATTACTGTAGTTAAAATGACAGTCCTTGGAATTAACCAATTTATTTAAATATGTAAATAGCCCTTGGGCCCCTGTCACTCATTCATACTCTGGTATGAACTAGTTCCTTCAAGTTTGATCTCTAGAGTGATGCTAAATGTATAGGGAAGGCTATGTGTTTTACCAAAAACAAAATAGTCTGGGACTGTCTCACAAAAGTAAGGCTGAGTATGGAACCACTGTGTGGTCCCCAGTTCTGGGCTGCCTTGTGTACTGTAAGCTTTCAATTCTGCTACTCTGACTCTTCACAAGGGAAAATTATAGCTTACTTCTTGGTGTTAGTGTGAGAATCAGCCTAGGTAAACTCTAGAACTGTACTAGCACTAATTTAAACAAGGATTTCTATATGTGGTTTTGCTGTTGAGCAGCAGATTGTAAATTATATTCCATGGAATAAGTGTTCAAGGTATTGTTAACAGGCATAACACGTAAAAGTGTTCTGTCGCCCAACAAGTTCGAGAAGCATTAGGTTAAAGAAACAATCTTGATTTCGCTAGTTGTTTCTAAATCTCCAGTACTATATATCTTTTGCATTCTTCCTTGTTCATTAAACTCATTTGCTAAGGAGTGTCTCTTGAGGCAGGGATAGCATAGTGATTAAGGAATCTGGAGCCAGATAATCTAGGTTCTTGGTGTGGCCCCAGGCAAGTTGCCTCGGTTTTCTTGTCTGTAAAATGGGAATAATAGTTATCTACTCCTAGGGTTGTTGAGACAATTCAATGAATGAAACCATATAAAGCATTTTAAAATGTTCCTAATGCATGGCAATTTCTCTAGAAGTGTTAGTCTTGTTATATTTTTTGAAACTAAAAGGCTGGGTATCTTTTTAAATGGTGCTAATCACCAAGAGACAATTCCCATAGGAACTAATCTTATCAGGCTAATTATTGTTTGCTTTAAAAATAAGTTACGGGGATTTTAATTTTTCTCTAACACATATGGAATTAGGAAAAAAATTAATGCAAAAAGCAGAACACATACTAAATTATGGGATTCTGTTGCATTAGGAATATAGAAAAATATAAATCATGAGTATCAATATAGGAATTGAAAGAGGCCTCTGAGCTTCAGCAATGAGTTACTAAATGGAAACATCAGAGTATCAGATCTTATGTTATTTGCATCTCCGTATATTAAGAGCACACGTGAATGAATTGTCCCTTAGGGTTAGTGTAAGACACTAAGTAGCTGGATTTTCTTTCTATCCTCTTCCTCCTCACACTAAGGGGAAAAGGAGGGGAGGGGAAACTTCAGTCATATGGGTTTAAGTACAATTCTGAGTGGATCCCAAAGCTGGAAAAGGTAAAACCTGAGACTCCAACCTCAGTTGGGGGGGTCACTTCTCCCATGGGACTCTAGGGGGGTCGCACAAAGAACTAATTTGCCCTAACGCTGCAATACTGAAGAACAAAGAAAAAAATGCCCACCTAGGTTTAAAAATTCAAAGCCAAATTCTTCAGAGGGATGGGAGTTGAGTGAGGCCTGGGTCCTACCCTTGTCACTAACTATATGTGTGATCTTGAGTGAGTCACTCCAGGCCCAAGCCTGGTTCTTCACCTGCAAAACAAAGGGACTATCTGCGATTGTCCTGAGACTTATGAAGCAGAGTAGAGATGAGGATGGACTCTCAGTCTGGAATTTGGGGTTCTTCCCTTCCTCCACCTCTTTGCCTTGGGCAGCTGGGATCTTCCTTATGTAACACGTTCAGGAAAAGGAGGGCAGGAAGGTAAAAATATTACCCTGCAGTTGTAGCCAAGCTGGGTTCTGGGGATGGAAGAATGAAGATGAAGGGGACTTGGAGGGAAATGGGAAGGAACAGAGCCCATGTAAAATCGAGATTGATTCTTCTGGACCTGGGCAGTCATCTGTAGTCAGTCCTGGGTGTCGCTGCTGGGTCTGCACTGAAAAAGAGGCCAAGGGGGTGGTGCTGGGGGATAGAAACATCCATCACCATTGCTCAGAGTGTTTAAACTTCCAGAGATTGTCATTAAACAAATTTCTGCTGCAGCCTGGCAGCCCTCACAGACATTTGTTGGAAGAAAATTACGAGTAGGTGATTTGTCAGAGGTAATAGCCAGGCTGAGCTCTGGATCCTTAATGGCATTTGGACCTTTTGCCTTTTTAAAAATTGCTTGTTAAAAAATTCATTTTCCAGCCTGTCTTTGTAATTAGAATTGGAGGGGTCGGGGCAAAGTGAAAAGAAAAGGACCAAACAGTTGCTGGGCTTTCAGGCCCTGCACTGGGGCCCCAGGAAAATTGAAACGGGTTGGGGGCAATATAGGGACCCAAGGAGTAATGGGACAGAAGAGACTCTGCTCATAAGGAAGAGAGGCCTTCCTGGAAGTACCTGGTCATTACCTGCCAGGAATAGCATCCTTTCATAAATTAAGGTCTTATCTTCTGTGCAGCAGCCAGCCCAGAGAGGCCAAGGCCAGACACGGCACAGGGAGGATCTGAGGGGCTGGGAGCTATGTATAGATTGCAGGGCTGCTCTTCCCAGACTCTGGAAGCGTTCAAGCACTCAGAGAGTCACGAAAAAATGATCGCTTTGTTTGTTCCTTGAAGTATAAAAATGGTTTTATTTTTAGACATTATAGTGTTTTTAAAAATCTACTGGCAGTTGTCTTCAGATGCAGCCTTGGGAAGTGGAATGGTGCATGCAAGGGTGGATGCAGGCAGAAACTTTACAAGGAGTCAAAGGTTTCTCAGCCACAGCACTGTGGGCATTCTGGGCTGGATAATTCCTGGTTGGCGGTCTGTCCTGTGCATTGTACAACGTGTAGCAGCATCCCTGGCCTCTGCGCACTAGATGCCAGTAGCACTCCCACCACCACTGGAGATGATCAGACTTTGCCCTGTGTTCCCACAGTGGGTAAAACTGTTCTGAATTGAAATCACTTCTGTATCCTCAAAGTCATCAGCTTTTTTTCCTCCACAGAATGCAAAGTGAGGGCAGAAAACACAACCTTTCCCAAAGCTGTTGCATAGTTTTTCTTCAGTTTTCAATTATTCCCCCAGACCACCAAGCTCTCTTGTGCCCACCTGCCTTCCAGTTGGCCAGTGCCACCCCCCACCATGGGGGTGCTGTTCCCCTCCGTTCTCTGATGGCCTCCATCAGATGAAATGATTCTACACTCTTCCTCCCCCCTATAACGTAATAAGTTTAGTGCACACTGTACTTGTCATGAAATATTTGCATTATATTTACCAAATATATTTCCTTTAAGTAAAAGTTTGCCAAATGTGCTGCTTCAGCAGGAGAAAACACATTTTTACTCAGTGTTTCCACTTAGCTTTGTTTATGTGTGTTTTTTAAAGGCAGTGCTAAGAGGACGTACTCCTCCTGAGGTCTCTGGGATTCTATTTTTTTGTACAGCATTGGTTTTCTTTTACACTGTTTCAGTATTTGGGGTTCCAGAATGAGAGCAAGGTGATATGCTCTGCCAGCAGGAGGGCCCTCGCTGGGAAGCACCTACATATCATGTAGGCTGGTGGTGATGCATACTGAGTGGACACAGCCTCCCACCCATGGACTTGCAAACCTCTCGCACCCAGTTTCAGTGCACCCCCAAAGAGGAACAAGAGGCATTTCTCCTAGGAAAGATGAGCTAAACCATAAAGTCAAGGCCAAAGCAGTTGGGCAACAGTCTAAAATCTAAATGTTTTATAAGTTCTAAATTTAGACTTTGGAAGTGGAGTGTGGTTGAAACAAGTGGTATTTAGAAGAGCAGTTGTTCTAATACACAGTTCTCATGACCTCAGCACTCCTTGTTCACAACCCTTTAGTGGCTCCTGCAGAATGAGTTCAGCCTCCTTGGCCTGGAGTGCAAGGCTCCTGTAATTGCCCATAATTGCCTCATCACGTCTTTTCCTCCAGCCAAGCTTCCTCACTGTTTGTGTTCCACACGTATAGAACCACTTTCAGTTTTCTAGATGTGCCAGGCTATTCCACAGCTTTGCCTGGAATGTCCCTCTCTTCTTCCCTTCTGCCTGGAAAATTCCTACTTATCATTCGTGACCTATCTCAAACATCTCTTTGGTGCTACTTTTCTGCCCAATACCTGTAGTATATTATAGTTCTCATAATTTATTGGAATTATTTATGTTCCTTTCTGAATTTCCAATACATGGTACAAAGTAGAAGTTCCCTGAATGAAATTGAATGGATTAAGGCATGATCCTTATCCCAAAGAGGTAATTCAGGATGTGCCATTCTTGAGAAGATTTTTTAAAATCAGTTACTAAGTTCTAAATTCCAGAAAGTGCCTAGAAAATTCTATAGTCTTCACCCAGCCTCTTCCTCTGGGGAAGGCCTAGATAATCTTAAGCCCACATACTAAGCCCTCTGATCCTGTGGATCCAACCAATACAAGGGTTTTTATCATTATTTTCTTCCTTGTAGGCTTTCAATGGTCATAGCTTCCTTGGAACTGTTTTCTTAAACTGAAATTGAATTTCCTCTTGACCTTTACTCTCCTACCTGAGATATAACATTGACACACACTGTTTGGCTTCAAGATGTGAGTCCAATTTCAGGATAAATTTCACTCATTGTTATGCTAACAAACCCATTAGTTCTATAAGGTTGTGTTCTGTCCTGTGAATTTGGTCTTTTTCCTCCTTTCCTTTAATTAATTAATTGGCATCTGAGGGATGCTAGAAAAGAAAAAATACCGAGGACCTCACAGTCCAGTGAGATAGCTAACCCATCTAATAGTTCCACTGCCCACAGAAGGAGCTTCCATGGAGACAGGTACTGGAACTTGAGAGAGCCTACTGGAGGGAGTGACAGCTTGTGGGAAAGTCTAGACACAGCCTTCCAGACGAGGGACTGGGCTGTGACAGTGAGATCCCTAGAGACCAGTGGTGTGCCCATCCTCCATGACCACTTTGCTGGTGGTCATTTCTACTCATCGTCACCTTTAAGAAAGACAGGAGGTGCATTGGGAGACTCTGAACACTTTCCATAGGAAGCATGCCATTAGAATGAAGTTTTAGGCTAACACTCAGCCATTATTTAAAAAGCTGTCATGAAAGACGAATATGAAAGGGGGGTTCTTAGGCCTTGATCGATGCTGGCAGCTGAGTGTAGCATCCACATGGGAACACTTACTATTGCCTGGAACTCAGCCACCATGCCCCTTTGATGCCCTCCCGGCAGCAGCAAGTTAATTGTTAAGTCATATTCATTTATAAGATGGAGCTTCTCATTTTTTTTCTTTGTCTTACTTGTTTTCCTTCCTTTCCCTTCTCTGTCAAGTCATCTTTGGGAAGGTTTCTTAATTTTCAGAAAGAAAAGATCCCGCAATCCAAGAATAAAACTAATTATAATGACAAACTGGCCAAAATAAAAAAATGACAAATAATCTGTGGGCTGAAATTTTCCCAAAAGCCAAGAATAAATAAAATGTCTTTTAAAGTGTCTGGTGGAGGAGGCTGATAAAAGAACTCAATTATCTGTTGGTTTTTTTTTTTTTTTTTTTTTGCAAGTCTGTGATATCTGCCTTTAAAAGGGAAAAAAGTGATAAAGTGTTTAAGAGTATAAAATAAAATAGAAGTTCATGAGCTTTTGTGAATTTTGAGGTTGAGAGAAAATATAGTCTTAGTAAAAGAGCTAATGAATCTGTGGGTTTGCTTTCAAAAATAGCGTCATTCAATCCGCTTCCTCTCCTTTATGTTAAATTACTTCAGTTGCACAACTAGACACCTGACCACCTATTGATTTTATTAGAACTTTAAACTGGTTTACTGCAAACAGATACCATACTTTGTTTCCCCCAAATTTGCCTCATTTCCATAAGGGACTAGAAAAAAACAAAATTAGCAAGGAGCAAATATTTAGAATTTCAAGAGTTTGATGGGGAATAGGGAAAACTCCACAAGAAAATAAAAGAGATCTGACAATGCCACACAGGCATACGCAGCGGGGTCTTACCACTCTTAGGTATTATTTGACTTTACCTGGGCCCTGTCCAATCTCTAAAGCCCAGCAAATGCCCCAGGTGAGATCCTTCCTCAGAGAACTTTCACAGGAGATATACAGCCTTGAAAAATAAAAGACTGCCATAATTGAGAGGTTTGTGCAAGGAATCCTATCCTAGCACTTTCTTCACTGAAGAGCATTTTGGGAGCTTTTCTGTGCGGAAAACGAGGAGTTCTAGAGAATGCATTATAGTTATTGAATGCCTACAAGTATAACCACAATTTTACTTGACTCTTGAGCCAGGTGCAAGAAAGAGAACCTCTTCCACCTGTCAAGGAAATCACAAACTAGGTGAGAAAGGAGTAGTAGTCATAATAATAGCAATAATAATAACATCAACATAATAAGAGTTGTCATTGTGTTTGCTGCTGTGTTTCTGGTGCCAGGACATAAATGTCTGCTCATGGGTGTCATAATTTTCACAAGACTTTAGATACTGTTTTTGTCCTCATCTTACAGTTGAAGCAACTAAGGCCAAGAGAGGTTTAATAACTTGCCTGTATCAGCTAGCTAGTAAGTGGCAGAGCCAGGTTCCAAAGGCAGAAGATTTGGTCCAGTGGGCCTGCCCGCTCTTGATCACAGGGCCACACTGCTTCTCAAAGACATTGTGTTGGTCCATTCAGGCTACTGTCACAGCGTACCTTAGACGGGGTAATTTGTAAATAACAAAAATTTGTTGCTCACAGTTCTGGAGGCTGGGAAGTCCAAAATCAAGGCACCAGCAAATGTGGTGCCTGGCAAAGGCTCACTTCCTGCTCCATAGATGATGCCTTCTTGCGTCCTCACATGGTGGAAGGGACTAATAAGCTCCCTTGGACCTCTTTTATAACTTCAGTAACCCTATTCATTACAGCAGAATCTTCATGACCTAATCCTCTCCCTTCAAAGGCTCCACCTCTTAATATTTTATTGCACTGGGGACTATATTTCAGCATATGAATTTGGTGGGGAGACACAAACATTCAGACCATAGATGAAGACCTTGACACTGCTCATGGAGACCTATAAAAAGGATTTGGGGTTCATAGAGAAGAGAGTGACTTGTGGGAGAGTTAAGAAGGACTTTTCAAGCAAGACGGCATTTCAGGAGACACAAGGTGGTCAGTCTAACAGTAGAAAATGAAATCAGCAGTAGAAAACAACATGGAAAATTCTGTTCTTAAATTACCATGTTGGAGAGGGATTTAATATGGCTATGTTTTATGCCAGATTTTTTTAAAAGCCTTTCATGCATAAAACTATAGTGATCTATTTAGATTCATTAAAATATGTGCACATATATATGCATGAATTTCATTATGTGGATATGTAAATTAATGTATTGGGTGAGAGATTATGTTTTAGAATATAAACCAAAAACCATGTTGTGATTAACTTTAAAGAACCATCTAGTTTTGGACATTGTGGCAGTTGTTTTTAATATCCACAAATCAGCTGAATTAGGAAACATAAACTATATGTTTGGACTTCATATTTAGAGCTATATGAGGTCAGCCTCTTCCTCCAGAGGCACTGCCAGATGATAGTTGCTTGCATGGGGCAACAGTCCAATGAAACAATTAATCCAAATCTCATTCAGAGATGAGAAGCAACTTATTTCATTCACTCATTCATTCATTTTCACATACTCATTGACTTCTATTCAGCAAATATTTTTCAGGTAGTTCATAAGCCCTGTAGTTGACTGTGTGGTGGCCTGGCCAAGGGGCATATTAGCCAGAGTAGAAGAGGCAAGAGCTGGGTCTTAGTGGCCAGGCTGAAGGGATAAAGTGTGAGGTTGGCCCTTGCAGAAGAAAGTGATTGGACATCATTCCAGAGTAGAGTGCCCAAAGGAAAGAACCAAAGCATCCCTGATCCAGGCCACTGTTGATGTCAAAAGGGGTGGGGCTTTTGGCATCTCATAGGGCGTTCCCAGTCGTGACACATTATAGTTCTGAATGGTTCACATAATTAAGGCATTGATTCGTTCCTTAAATGAATCAGAGGAAGGGAGATGGAAATGATTAGACAGGTTGTTTTATTTGCAGTCACATTAGCAATAGGGTTCAGGAAGGGCTCCCATTCTGATGGGAGCTTTGGATTGCAGAAACTCTTCCCCGTGAGCCCAGCATCGATCACAGAGCTTGGAAATACAAACTAGAGTTTCATGAGCAATGGGGAATCAGAGCTTCTTTTAGGATACTTGATACTGAGTGTGCAGCAACACACTTTGATTGGCAGCAGCCTCCCTTCCACAGTTGCCAGGCCTACTCTGTTCTAGGCACTGAGTGTACATTATCTAATTATCATAGCAACCCAGCAAGGTTGATGCCATTATCCCATTTTACAGATGAAGAGACTTAGCCCATAAGTGAGAGAACCAGGTTTCAAATCCAGAGTTCTGTGACCCCAAAGCCCACATTCTTCCTAGTTTACTATGCTACTTCTCCTGAGCCATTCTGAGCCTCAATCACTTGCCAGAGAGATTGGTTCAGGAATTTGTCAGGGATAGCCTGAAGTCCCAAAGTCTTCAGCCAGCATCTGAGCAGTGTTAGAAAAGGCTGAGACTCACACGATGCTATATGCTGTGGGAAATGTAATAGACATGAACGATTATCCTAGTCACTATTAACCAAATGCTGGATAACATGGAGCACATAGTGACATTCAACAGAGTTACATTCTCTGCCTTCTAGGATCTTGCAACCCAAGGTGCATATTTACTTGCTTGAATATTGAGCTGTGAGAAGAAAAGTTGCTACGTTTGTGCAAGTTCTATTTATTATGGATGCTAAATTCCTATAAGTTAGCTGAACCATCCCTAGAATAAAGTACTTTATTTTAGCCCAAGTGCCAACTGACTGACTGACTGACTGAATGAATGAATGAATGAATGAAGGCATGCTTGCTTGCTCTTATAGATTAACTCTCTTGCTATGGGTAAACCAAAAGAAAAAAAATATTTTTCCTTACCCCTTAAAGTGAGTCTACTTTGTTTTGTGGGAGGTAGCAATTTATAGACCTGTCTACACATTATTTTCTAAAACTCAAGTATTTTGGAAGAGCAGATGGGGTACCATACTGTATACACTAATCATATATTTTGAAATGTATTTCTTTTTGAGCAGTTTGGTGACGCTTTATTTAGCAAAAGCCCTTGAAAGTTTCAAAAGCAACAATCCAAAGAACATGAGTGGCTGAGAGCACAGCGGACAGACAGACCCTCCAGCACAAGGCTAATGCTTTTCAAAATGTACTGTGGACCCTGGCCCTGGCCCCTATTCCTCCTGCCCTTAGAGATGATGATACACATTGTCACTGGGGGAGGGAACGAGTGGATTGGGCCTGATTATCTGAATTTTCTGTGAATCCCCTGGGTGACTGTGATATGCACCCAGGGTGGAGAACTAGCCTTCTACACTCATATCTGAGTGCTACTCTTCTTACCTCATTCTCTTGAGACTCATATTTTCACTTATAAAATTATTAGAGAAGCAAAAGAAAACCCCATCCCTTTTACATTTTCTGAGAGCCACAGGGGGAGCAAATAGGTGTTGAGCACCTCCTACATTGCCAGAAGTTTGACTTATAGATCTGGTTTAATCTGTACAAGAACTCAACAATGTTTAAAGAATTAATTGGCCCTCAGATATGGAGTTGAGTTATGCATACTGCTCAGTTCATAGCTTATTGTCACCCTAAGGCCATGCAAGACCCTCCTCTTATTTTGTTATTGTTCCTCTTCACCCCCCATTCCCTACACCCATTTCCTTCCCTCCTCAGAGAACCACCTAATATGCTAGAACTAAAATGAATGTCTTTACAAAATTATATATTATTTTTGTGTGTGTTTGTTTTAATTTACATAAATGATAAATCTCTGTAATATAGACTATATAGAAAGTAAGAATGCTTATTTTTTCACTCAGTATTATGTTTTCAGATATATCTATGTTGTATAAACTTCCCACATTTGCATAATATTTCATTGTCTGCATTTATTCCATTTTGTTTATATCTTCCCCAGTTGATAGACACTCAGCTCCCTGCTACCACAGAGAATTCTGCAGCTAACATCCTTATTTGTGACCCTTGGGGACCTTTGTGAGAGTTATATCTGGGATACGTGTCCAGGAGTTGGATCCTGGGGTCCAGATGTGATGTATGCCTCTTTAATTTCAGATTGTTTTACTTAATAGAAACAAATCAGAGTTCCCATCTCCTTACATCCCCATTTGGTATGAACCACCTTTTGAATTTTCATCATTCTGATGTCTGAGAGTGACATTTAATTGTTTCAATTCTTATCTCCTGGATTACTAGTCAGTTTGAGCATCTTTTCACATACTTTTTACCCATTTGGATTTTTCCTTCTGCAAATTGCATTTTTATATCCTTTATCCAATTCTCTATTTTTCTAATATTCTAGGTGTTAAGCCCTTGTCAGTTTCAGAGGTTATAATAATTTACTTCGTTTATAATTTGACTATTTATCAATAATTTCTTTTTTGAATAAAAATCCTTACAATTTAATGTAGATAAATCCAGCAACTTTCATCTGTGGTTAGTGATTTAAGTATCTTTTTTATGAAATAATTTTCTACTCAAAAGGATATTATTCCTGTTTTTGTGAATAAGGTAGTTATTTCTTATTCAGTACTACTGCCCAAGGTCACACTACTACCTAGCAGCAGGATTTGAAACTATTAATAATTACCTGTTAATAAATTAAATCATGTTATTCATATTTTAAAAGCAACCAAGTATTATTTGCACTAAAACATTTTCTGAGTTTTAATCAGAGATCTCAAAAAATTGCACCCTGCAGCTTCTATCAGTCAGATTTCACTGAATTTTCCTTTCTGCCCCTAAATTCTTGCAAAGTATCTCAAATCACATTACAGCCAGGCTGGTTGAAATTACAGCTTTGGCCCTCATTAAGCTAATTACCACTTGTACCCAAATTGAGCCATTTCACTCCAATAACACTGTAAACCAGTCCTTCCTCTGTGATGTCTCTGCCTTGCCTAGGAAAATGTGAGGCTGATGTCAGAATTTTCTGTCTCCTTAGAGCAGGAGGTTTCCAGCTATTTCTCTAAGGAGCTCTGGGATGCAGCTCAAGTGTTTGATAGGCAGTGTAAGAGGAATGAGGGTGGAAACTGGGGAACCAGAGGGAAGGCTGGGCACAGGCCCCCTCCTCAATTTAGCCCACACAAGTGTTGCCTTCTTGGTTTTGTACTTTAGGCACTATGTAAGTAAAATCTATTGGAAAAGGGATTCTACTGCTAAAAGGAATGGGGGAGCTTGGAAGCACTGTCTTAAAAAACTAGACTACTTAATATAAACTGATTTATTTTCATCTCTCTGCTCATGTTACATTTGTATAGTGTTTTACATTTTGGAAAACACTGTTACATTATTTGAGTTTATAAAACCTGATAAGGTAGGCATATCTCAACCACTATGGCACAATTTTTCACAATTAAAGCTCCATATCACAGAATCTGTCCCAGCAGGTGACTGAAAGGCTGCATCTCAGGAGTGTGGCAGGGATTATCACCGGCTTGGGTAGAAGCTGGACCTAGATGATCCCTAATCTCCCTGCTCGTGCAAAGATGCTATGACTGGAAATGACGAGAGAGGAAAGTTAACACCAAAAGAATTACCTAAATTAAACCTCCTGCCTATTGGAGGTAGGGATGATGAAATTCCCATGTTTATGGAACACCTGTTCTGGTCTGGTCATCCAGGTGCCGCCTTCCACTGAATCCTTACAGCAACCCTAGGAGAGAGGTATTGCTGTATCCATTTTAAAGGTGACAAAACTGAACTTTATAAAACTAACGGGAAAAGCTTAGATTTCCTCCCTGAGCTCGCCAGCTCCCATACCACTGTCTGTTCTTTCCACTCACAAGGATGACCCCAAATAAACACCACATCAGTTAGCCGCCCAGAACCTTATCTAGGCAGTGGCTGTTTGGGGAAGGAAGTTCTTTATAAGTACTTCTGTCTCACACTGGGCATCACGTTGATGCTTACATCTTTTCCAATGCTCACCTCCTGCCTGGGGGTCAAGCCACATCATCTCTGGTTTCTGGCTGCATTCATCCTCCTTATTGATCAGGTCACTCGCTGTGACTCAGCTGTTAGCATCTCTCCTGCTTTGATATCTTGGATTGCCAACACAAACCCATGCTATTTTTACTTTGCCTCAGAAAGGAAGATTGGAAGACAGCAGTCCAGCCTTCTGGTTTACCAAGTTGTTGATTCTTCTTGGCTTTCTCCATTCATTCATGAATTCTTTCTGTACTTCAAGCCGAAAAGATGTGTGTGGCTGGAAAGCCCTTTGTGGTGGATCCATCTCTAAGGCCTGAATGGGGGCTGAATGTGATCACAGCTTTGGAGATCTTTGCTTTCTCTCTTCTGACTAGAATCCTTTACAGTATGAAATCACTCTTTCCCCCTCCTATCTTAGATAAAAGAATAAACATATTGAAAAATGTGGCTGAGAAATTTTGTTTCAAATATGCATATATTATGAGTAGTGTTCTGAGCAAGACAGAAAAATTACCAAAAATAAATGCATGTAAGCTTAGCCTTTTATTAGTAGGGCTGATTGTTTAAGAAACCACTTTGTTAGCACCAGGCACAGTGACTTGAGCCTGTAATCCCAGCTCCTCAGGGGGCTGGGCAGAAAGATTGGCTCACTTGAAGCCACGAGTTCAAGACCAGCCTGGGCAACATAACAAGACCCCCATCTCTTAAAGTATATATATTTTTTAATTAGCAGGATGTGGTGGTGCACACCTGGATTGCTTCAACCCAGGAATTCAAGGCTGCAGTCAGCTATGATCGTACCACTGCACTCCAGTCTGGGCAACAGAGCAAGACTCCATCTCTTAAACAAACAAAAAACTGCTTTGCTAAATGAAAGCTGTATGGATTTCACAATTTGAATTTCTGAATTTCTGAAATCTTGCATTTTATACCAGAAGGCAGTTTACTCATGTGTCTGATCATTCTAAACCAATGGAGAGTTAAGAATGTACATTTCATTTCGGCTGGGTGCGGTGGCTCATACCTGTAATCCCAGCACTTTGGGAGGCCGAGGCGGGCAGATCACGAGGTCAAAAGATCGAGACCATCCTGGCCAATATGGTGAAACCCCGTCTCTACTAAAAATACAAAAATTAGCTAGGCGTGGTGGCCCACACCTGTAGTCCCAGCTGCTCAGGAGGCTGAGGCAGAAGAATCACTTGAACACGGGAGGCGGAGGTTGCAGTGAGCCGAGATCAGGCCACTGCAGTCCAGCCTGGCGACAGAGTGAGACTCCGTCTCAAAAAAAAAAAAAAAAGAATGTACATTCATTTCATATAGTACCTTACGTTGTACAAAGTGCTTTCATATGCATGATCTATTTTACGTAATTACTCTATAGGGTAAATTTTATCATCTCTATTTCATATAAGCAAATTAAGATGCGAAAAGCCTTAAACTTTCTAATATAGTACTAGTTTAAAAAGCAAAGGACGTTTAGTTTGCAGTCACCTAGCCCTAACACATACAAGTAATTTATTTCTTTAGCTACAAACAATACTAAGTTGATGAAGAAATAATATTATACTTTGGGAGAGCTGATTCATAAGAATTGTCATTCAGCTGACACTCAGGTCAGTATCAAGGAGGCAGGATTCATGGAAGTAAGCAGGGTTTCATATCATCCGTGTGAAGCCAGGGCTCTTATTTGTGAACTGCTTTCCTTACCCTTTCCTTACGCTCTCCTTTCAAGATAGCTTCCTGTACCTAGCTGCCACTGGCCAGTTTCAGTCAAAGCCCCAGCAACTTTCCAAAGGTAGAAAAACGTGCATGTGCATGTTCACAAAATATGGCACAATTTCAGTTTGTTTGTAGAACTTTCAGGTAATAATCCTTGCTTTAAATGGGACATGGAGTTTTAAAACTCCAAACAAATCTCTGAACTACCAAGTCCTATATTGAGAGACTGTCAAAGATCCTACCCCACTGCTGTATGATTGGAGGATTCTAGCTAGGACCACATGCTTTGTTATCAGCACAAGTCAGTAGATCAGCAAACAACTGCAGTACCCAGAAACTATAGCATAGGGACTCATTTTAACTCTTGTATACATCACTCAAAACCTTTTCCTCATGACCTTCTGGTTTGCCTGTTTCACAAACTCCTCTCCAAACTGTCCTCCAAGGTGGGGCTAGTAGAACACATGTTCAGGCTTTGTTATTATTTGTTGACTCGTATGTGGCGTTTCTTGTCCCAATTCATTACATAAGGCAAAGATTCTACTGTAAGGACAGTAAGAATGTTGAACACACACTTGATCTTCCACTGTATCCTCGGCTTCAGTTGGTCAAACTCTGTGTGCAGAACTCAACTCACTTTTGCTATCACAGAAATATAAACATTCTGCAATTTTCACCTCCAAATTTTGCCTCTTTTTACAAGCTCTATGTAATTTCCTGTGAAACAAACTTATTAAATACATTCTATTCCCCCATCTAACCTTGTTGACATTCCTCTCCTCTAATACAATAGCCTTTCAGATCAACAGGGTCCCCAAACAGATACAGAGATGTATTAAAGTTTTCTGTTATTTAGTATTTGCTGGGTACTTGCCACATACTAGGTTTCCCTTGAGGAACCCAGTCTAATGAATGTGGCCAATGTGAATTTATAAATTACACACAGTGTAATTAACATAGCAGCAGACCCAGAATTTCATGTTGTGCATGCTCCACCGTTCCTTGTCTGATGGGGTGAGTCGTTCACTTAGAGCAGTACCCCTCCCGAGCAGTGTGCTAATAAGTGCTTTGGAGATGGATCCTCAGATAAATCTTGACTTTGAGATCCTTTCACAGCTTCACAAAGATACACAAAATAAGCTTTATAGTGGGAGGTAGAAGTGATACGTGCCATACATATACAGAAAAACAGAGGAAACTAATATTTATTGAGCATATACTGTGCACCAAAAATTCTTTTCAACACTTTCACTTATGTTATCTAATTTAATATTCGTAACTATGCTTGAGGCAGATATTATCTTCAGTTTACAGAGAAGGAAATTAAGGCTCAGAGGTGATAAATAACCTGCTGAAGAAATCTTTGTTCCAATACTCATGCTATTTCCACTCTATATCACTAAAATGCCTTACAAAAGATATCAAAATAATAAAGTGAGAAAGAATATGACCCATTTAGTTTCAGTTTTCTCTCGACTTCATTGATCTCTTTCCTCCTTTCTACTACAGGTAAGTAGATACCTGAAACATCCTAAGGGGTTGGCCCTTAGGAGCTTTAACTATTATGGATATTTTAGTAATTTCAAAAATAAATCCGTTTGGATTTGGCCCAGCAACTCCCTCCTGTCTTTCTCCTATGATTTACACAGTCTCCGTCAGTACTCATGTTGGAGATAATTAACTGTGCTGCCTTTCTAAGGTGTCTTTCCATAGGTGTGCCATCCTAAGCATGGGCATTCCTTAAGGAGAGTTGGGCGTGGCAGCACCTTTGCTTGTAATCAGGGCCTCTCATACCCTTTTTAACATAACCACTGACAAACCCTCTATAGTATCCTTTCTTGGGTGGGAATTATTACAGCTCCAGTACATCTATGCAGTATCTCAGAAGTTGCTGGATGTACTCACTAAATGACCCAGATTTCATCTTTCTCACAATTTAACACTTTAAATAAATGCCAGCAAGCTTCACCGCATTAGAAGATTACTATATGTCTGAACAACTTGGATATCAATATTTGTCATGCAGCCTTCCTCGGTGTAACATCTAAAGCAATACTCATTTAGCTGACGTACATTCTCTGCATGGTGTTTACCCAACAGTCATCACTCATGTTTGCTCATGAGGTGTTGGGGTGATGAGCCGAGCTGCTGTATTCTCAGCTGGGCCTGGAGCCTGCTTAGTTTGGCACTGATTAATGATATGTGGGGACTGATTAATGACATGTGGGGAGCAGGCTGTTTGCAGAGCCACCTTAGAAACCCAGTTAGCTAAAGACAAATAGCTGAGAGTTGGCCGATGGGAGCAAGGGAGGTGGGCTCTTGAGAAAGGAGAGTCATTTTGAGAGATATCAGCATGACTTTTGGTGATCTTAACTAGAGGAAGGGACAGATTCTGCAGTAGACAATGCTTTTGGGTCTGGCTTCTTGGTAGACACCCCAGGATCAGGTCTAAGGTATGTTACCCATGTATTCCCATAACAGCATCATTTCTCTGTGCTTTGAGTTTCACCATTTATAAACCTGCTTAAAGAGCTTATCTTCTTCCTAATCATACCTTGAGACAAAATGCACTTTATACCAGTAAAGTATCATGAGATGTTCGTTTGGAAGCCGTTATGCCAAAAGAGCAAGCATTTACAGCCTTGCTTTTTATTTACCAAGTGTATTTTACACTGGAAAAGGTTTCAATATGGCCCCATATAGTATTTATTTTGCCTTATGTCCTTCCTATGTCTCGTTTTTCTTTCTTATTTCATTCACCTACTGTGTCATGTTGGTTTGGCATCCACTTCTTTTCTAAAATTGTATCTTTTGTATTTTTTATTCTTTAGGTGGGGCAGCGAGGAAAGGACGCATTGATCTTGAAGTTGTAGAGATAATGTCTCAGCACCCTGCTTGGGGTGCCATCCTTTTAGTGGCATGGCAAAACCAAGCACAAAATATTTTTTATTGTCCTTTCCAGAATAGATCCCTTTCTCCACAGCACCATGTGGGTGGTTGTTCCTGGCAGAGAACACCTTTCTCTCTCATACTGTAAGTTCCGTTGGCAACTCCTGACCAGGGACAGTAGCAACATCGATTTCCTAAAGATAGATATCCCCTCGTTTAGAAGGCATTTTCTCACAAGCTTATTCAGAATACTCAAGTCAGAAGTTATAAGGATGTCCAAGCTCATTTTGGGGGAAAAATACAGAGAGGTGAAAGGATGTGCTGAAGGTTACACAGGAGCAGTAGGAAAAGACAGACACAAAGCCAGGGAGGCACCACGTGTCCTCCTTAACTGTTCATCTTTGACTGTATAGCTTCATTCGTCTGCTCTAAGATCTTGCATTTCCAGCCATCGTTTATATCTGGTCCTATCAAAGCTCGTTGACCAACATTCTCTCTTTTAACCCTTCCCCTACAGTGCAAGGTCTGCACTGTACACTCTCATTTATTGGGAATCTGAGACCTAGAGAGGTTTAGGAATTTGCCCAAGGACACACAGATGGCAAGTGAGCAAGCCAAGGATTTGGAATCAGTTCTGCCTGATTCCAGTGCCTGTTGTTTTCCTTCCATCTTTCACTAGAGCCAAACTGATCTTGAGCAGTTGTCTTTCCATTGACCTGCAAAGTTCTAACCACTCCCCTTACTCCACTTTTTAGATTGAGATTATACCCATCCTGCAGGACCCATCAGAGCCTGCTTTGTTCATTTAGTGTTTCCCAGCCACCTTGAAATGGAAGTGGTCTTTCCTCCTTTGAATCACATGGCACTAGAGCCTGTTCATTTGGCACCAGTGCCTGCAAAGCAGACAGCCTGGAGCAGGTAGGAATAGGGAGCTCTAGGTTCAAATCCCTGCTCTGCCACTATATGGCGTATGATTTTGAGTAAGCCACTTAATTCTATCTTGGCAGATCCATCAACCGGACCTCTAAAGTCCAGCTTAGCCAAAAATTCCAGGATTCAAAAGTTATTATTATATTATTGCTAATAATATTGTGAGTGTGAGTTGAGTTCTATACTAATCTGTGCCTCCCTCACCCCTACTTTCCTGTTATCTATGCCCACCTCACCCCTAGTTTCCTGCTGTCTATGCAATGCCTTACGCAGAAGAAGGGGCAATGGAGTATTGATAAGAGACACTTTTTGATCTTCAGTTGTAACTCACTCCCATTTATTTGTCTGTTTATTCATTTGGTCATTCATTCATTTATTTATTGCTGGCATTGAATTTTTCTATTACTTCCCAAGATTGTTTCTGAGATCTTCTGGAGGCCTCACCAGTACTTTGGGACAATATGGTCATAGGTTTGGAATTAAATCCTTGAAGAAAAAGACTTTCCATTTTTTAAATATAACCAAAGCAAATAAGGAAAAGTCACTCTTACAATGTGAGATATCAGAAAACAAAACTTAGGCAAATAAACCAAAAATACTTTGTAACATTTTCAGCATTACAGTTTTTTCAGCATTTAATCAGTCTTTGTGTACCTGTACGTACAAGCCCATAGTTACCAACCCACACACACGAAAAAAGAACCAATTAATTTAAATGATCAAGTTCATGCCATGTTCAATGGCGCATGTCCCCTTTTGCTCCTAAAATCTTTGATCGCTTTTTAGCTTCTACAGTTCCTTGGGCATTCATTGTAGGAGATGGCAGTTCTGCCTGCCCCATCAGCAGACACCATTTTGCAAAGCAGAAACCATCTTTGTCCCTTCTACCCCCAGCAAATTCCCTGGCTCCCAGTTTTCACCTGTCAGATGTCCATGCTAATTCCAAGACTCCTTTATCACAATAATAACAGAAGTAAAATTCTCTTGGTGGATGGATTTCATTTATAATAAACACCTTTCTTATTTACTTACTACTTGAGTGCTTACTTACTACTCAATAGGAGCTATGCATTACTCACTAATCTTTTTACCAACTTAGTGCAATAGCATTCATTAATCGTAGGTTAAAGTTAAAAACATCTTTCATTCAACTCTCACATTCTGAAGTCAACTTCAGCTCCATGTTTCCATTGTAATAGTTTAAAGCATATGCTTTCTAATTACAGAACTTGGATTCAAGTCTCTCTTCTGTCATTTACCAGTATAAATGCCCTGAGACTTGTTTTCTGCAACTGAAAAAAAAGGATAGTCCCTATTTGGTAGGATTCTTGTGACAATGTAATGAGTTTAAAGATTCCAAGCTTAGAGCACTGTGCCCATGCTTAGTAAACACCCAGGAAATGCTAATAGTCAGCATTCTGTTGCCTCTAGCAGATAGGAGGTGCTTTATATGCACCCAACTCACTTGATACTGTACCTAATTAGGTGGGAAAAAGGGTGGGTATTGAATTTGTTTTCAGTTTTTAAACATACGTTTTCTAATTCAAGATGAGATACATGGTAAGGTCCAACATAAGATGTACGCTCTTCTTAAATAAGAAGTTGAGAACTGCCATTACACTATGTAGTTTAAAATTTATTTATTTTTGAAGCCGGCTTTGATTGTCACTTTACAAGATGTATGCCG
Organism: Homo sapiens; assembly: GCF_000001405.40. NCBI lineage: Eukaryota > Metazoa > Chordata > Mammalia > Primates > Hominidae > Homo > Homo sapiens. The sequence goes on along the minus strand of NC_000007.14, from coordinate 36,908,588 downwards.
TTTTTTCCCTTCTTTCACACTATCTTAAAAAAAAAAATAACAAATCTTAACATGGCATTGGCTTTGCTATATAACAAAACTCTAATACAAATTATATCCTTTTGGAAATCATTTTGTTTTTAATAAACAAGTAGCAAGAACATTTTTGATTTATAAATAAACATTACTTCTAAAAAATCCTTAGTAATTTCACCCAAATTATAATTCTAAGAAAGTTCCTTAGACATTGATTATAGTCAGAGATTTTTTTTCTAGTTACAAAATCATTGAAATTTGAAAAGAAGGAAAATGGTGGTTGTGCTAAACATCAGTAGGTCTAGAATTTGTTCACTATTTCAGTTTATTCAACAAACATTCAACAAGCTCCTTCTGAGCTGAGTGCTTGGCACTGTTCTAGGACCCATAACTATGTCCTTACAACAACCAGCACATCATTGTCAGAGGTGTTAGTATTGACTTCAGCAGCCAAGATGGGAAGTGATATAGAAATTCTGTTTAGCTGTTGGGTCAAATAATTTTCACAAGGACATAAAACTGAACACAAGTTCAGGCCCGGAAAAACACTTGGATTAGTCCTCAAGGAAGTCTAGTTAGTGCTTATTGGGACTTCTAAGAAAACCTGATCCAAAGTTATTGACCCGTCCTGTGTGTTAGGTAAGATTAACTAAGTGCCCACCAACATAGGAGATGGAGGATAGTGCCATTGTGAATGCCAAATTTAGCGGATTGGTGGTGGCTACTTGCAGACAGAGTCCAGGTTCAGCAGAAAAAAGAAGTGCCGTGATAGATTAGTGATGTCTGCCATTGGCATGGGAGAGAGGAGTGGTGGGATATGTGCCACATAATTGTTGTTTATTCTGTGTCCTCCAAAGGACTCATCAGTAAGGAAAGGGACTGCATTCGGGTGAGAGAATGGGAGACCCAGCAGATTTCTGGAAACCATTGCAATAACTGGCTTCACAGCTGTGAGAGGTAGAACAGAGGAGCAGAAAGGAAGAGGGATGGAGTGGAGAAACACAAGAACCTTTTCAGATCTTGCTTGGGGTCACTGACTTCACACGACTGAGGAACTGTCCAGGTTTTGCAGAGTCAGGGCACTCTGGGCTGTTTTAATTGTCTGAGTTTTGTAGCTGTGGTGGGTGACAGGTTCCCCTTTAAACATAATAAATGGCTTGCAATTACTTTACTTTGGAAAGCACTCTTCTGCCCTGGGACACTGTAATAACCAGCCATAGAAGAGAAAAGGCCTAGGGATTTATGAGGGTGTCCCAATTTTCAACCATTTGGGAGAAATACAGCAGAACATTGGTACAGCAGTGTGTTAGTAAGAGTTAATCTATCACTGCTCCTCTCTCAACCCTCTCTTTCCCTCTGCTTAAAACTATCACAGGGATTCGTCCCTGGCCTTCATGAAGACTTGCCAGAATTTTTTTTTTTGTTTGCACATAACTCTAGAAATACAATCTAGTTGACCTTCAGTTTCTGGACCAAAGGGGACATTTTCCAGGTATGAGGGATTTTAAAATTCAGTAGTCATAAAAAGACAAATGAAGCATGGTCTCTTCCTTTAAAGGGCTCAAGGTCCTGCTGGGGAGACGAGTAGTGAATAAATAATTTCACTGCACTCTGAGATATATTGTTGTTAAAGCAATAGGGTAAGAATGGACATATATTTCTAAAAGCAAAGAAACGGTGTGCATAATAAATCACTTTGTTTTCCTGCCCCTAAATTGTATTGATAATAGCACTTACTGAGATCTACTCTTATAATTTGTTTACACAGCAACTTTCTAAGCGCCTTTTTTTTTTGGGAGGTCTTGCACTGTCACCCAGGCTGGAGTGCAGTGGTATCATCATAGTTCACTTGCAGCCTGGGCTCAAGCGATCCTCCCACCCCAGCCTCCTGAGTAGCAAGGATTACAGACATGAGTCACTGCACCTGGCCTCACCTAAGTGCTTGAGTTTCTCAGCGGTGGACACTGGTCTGGTTATTCTCTCTGCTCCCAGCACCTCCTCACCCAGTGATTAGCACATATTAGTCTTGGTAAATGTTAGCTGAGCGAATATAGGCCTGAGTATACTTCTAATGCTTCTAACATAATACCAGGCATCAACAACTTATTAGAAAAAATGTAGACAATCAAGACATATGTATTGTTTCAATATTTCATTAATAATTCAGCTGAATGTATTTGAAAACTAAAATGGTGTTTTCAATTTCTCAACAAAGAATGGGCCACTTAAAATATGACACAGTTTGATCTGTGCTAAAAGGGTGAAAACATAATATTTTCTTGTATATATCACAGAATCTTGACGAGTAGGCTCTGAAGTTCAACTTTGTGGCCACTTCCACTGCCTGGTCTGTCTGTTGAGGCAAGTTCATGAACAGTTTCATTTTGGTTGATTGTACTCTCCTCCCAGGGTGATTTGCTGGAGTGGTCTTCGATTTCCTCTGAGTTCAGCAGCCTTGCCTGATGGCAGAGCTGGTTTATGGGAACCAGACCTGCTTTTCCTACCTCATTTCCCCTGTGGTCTTGCTTGAGCAGTCTGCTTAGGAAAAGTTTATCAAATCTCCTTTCCAGAGGGGCAGGTTTTCCCATTTCATTTGTCACTATTTAACAGCTTATGCAAAACAGGCTGGCAGTTCTAAGTTTGTGGGGCTTCGGGTTCTACCCTTGATATGAGACAATGGACTTTTCATTTATTTCTTTGTAGTAACTAATCTTAGAGGAGTTCAAGGCTAATTTATCTGTATCCACTGATATTCCTCTTCTCCATCTTCTGTTTAGCTCATTCATTCATTCACTCCACAGATGCTTATAAAACTGGTATTAAATACCAGAAACATAGAGATGAATTGGGTAAAACCCAATATTCATAGCCATTGAGGAGAGATCACCACAGTGACCACTGACTCCTTCTTTTCAGGCCATACCAATGAGTTGAGTGAAGAAGGGGCAGTGATTGAGTATCAGATCTGTTGGTAAACACCCTGAATGTTGAAAGGGATGCCTGTGGATATCATTTATTCATTAACAAAGACGATAAGGATTTGCTAACCATTCCTAGCATCTTGTTTTTTGGCATCATGATTGTGTAACTTGGAAAAGAAAAATCCATCCAGTCTCAGGTACTTCTTCAATGGAATTCCTCCCCTGATTTTGGGGAGCTCCTAGGGAAGTGAATTCACCATCCCCTCCCCACCAAGGACAGGCAGAACTTAGGTGCAAGAAAGCAGCACCCCAGGAGTTACTCCATGTAGTTTAGGAGACCTTCCATATGGGAGGGTCATTCCTTGTAACTACAGAAGGATTTGTAAAAGGCTTTGTTTTCACCCCATGTTTGGCAAAGTATGGATAAATTTGAACAGGCATTAGAAAAACCAACAGTAGCATGATTATTAAAAATTTGTAGCCATTTTCTCCCAATCCTGTTGGTGAAAGAGTTTTCCAGAAAAGAAACTCTATTTCTTTCTGCTTTTCCCCCACCGTGTCTCCTCAAGGTCACATGTTTGGAACTGACTTGCTTGACATGTTTATTTAAAGCTGTGGATTAAATGCCACCCACTAATGTGATTTGCTTGGGCTTTGCCTGAGGCAGGCTCCATTAGACACTGGTGAAAATAGCTTCCTGTTGTCCAGCCAAGTCCTTCGATTAGCTAACCAGCAAATTTAGCCCAATTGCTGTATTTCAATTTGACTCTCTATTTAAATGGAGAAAAGCAGCTTTGTCACATGGCTGTTTGCCTCTTGATCTCTCATCTCAAGAGCAGACTGCAAAGAGAAAGCGACGACCCCAAACCTCACCTTTTCTGTCTCCTCTTTTGGATCAGCTCCCTGCAGATGCTAAAGAAAGTGAGAAGGATGTTGCTTGCATAAACATTGTTCTTCAACTGAGCACTAATTGAGTTTAAGATGAATTGCTGGTTAACGTTTTTGCTTATTTATTTTTACCCATTATAAAGATGCCTTGAGCCTTAAATTAAAGTGCTTTCTCATGAGGTGCAGGGCAGTTATTCATGGCCTGTGTCTGAGTCTTAGGAGTGGGACAACACCCAGTGAGCACCTGTGCTGAACTGCAGGGTAAGACATTGCATAACTAGTTATTTAGGGGGCTAACACCAAGGCCCTCAACACTCCTGTTTTGGATTATGATCAGATTCTCAGGATGCTTGAAGCTGCCTGAGCACCGCTATCCCCTGCCATCCATTCCTGTTTCATTAGAAGCTGCAAATCCAAGCAAGGCAGTGGCAGCACTGGGAGCAGCTCCCTTCCCAACTGCTTCAGTGCCATCTGTTTGGCTCTCGAGGCACATTTGAAAAGTCACCTTTTATACTTTCATCACAGCCTGTCCTTAGGTTCTCCAGGCGCTGCCTGGACACTGCCAGCCACAAGCCTGCCTGCTCAGGGTGGGCACTCATTGCTGCCCAGCTCTGATGGAGATTCTGGGAACACTGACCATCACTGCTGCCCAAGGAGGTATGGGCTACTTTGGAAGATGTTGGCTGCCCTTGCTAAAGCAGGTCCCTACACAGTGCCTGATCCAGGTAGCCTGATGCCCTCCACATGCTTCTCACTGAGGCAGCCCAGGGGGAGTGGTCTGGCCTCAAGTAGCAGGTGGTGTCTGAGGGACCCGCCCAAGCAGGCTGAGAGCAGGCACAGTCCCCTGTCCGCCAATCTGACTGTCCCCAGTGAGAGTACCAATCCTATCCGTGCTGTCGGGAGCAGTTGAAGATCAAGCTTTAGGAAAACTGTGGGCAGTAACAAGCGGAGGACTCAGCTCTTTGGTTGGCATCTGTAAGTCACATTGGGCAGCACAGAGGGAAGGGTGCAGGCCCTTTCTCCCTTTTCGCTGGAACTGCAGTCATTCCTCCTTCCTACCTTCTTGTGCTGCCTAATTCGGACCAGTGTTCCTCCACCCTAGCTGTGCATGCACCTCCCCTGGAGAGCTTTGCAAAACATGACCCATGTCCAGAACCCATTCCAGGGTCAGAATCTCAAGGGATGAGGCCAGGCAAAGACATCCTGTGAATTGTATTATACAGTGAATGTTGAGAACTACTGATTTTAGAGGCTATTTCTTTCTGGTAGTCATTTGATGAGCCCATTATTCATAAATTAAACAGATAATTTCTCAATCATTACTCTGTGACTGGACTGTGCAGGCTCTGGAGATGAGATAGTAATAAAGGAGGGCACAGGTCATTACATTATGGTACAGTCAGTGCTATGATGGGACTGTGATGGGAGAATGGGGACAGGAACCCTGACTTTGGCTGAAGTGCAGCAGGTCAGGAAGAATGATAAAGGGTGGTAACATCTAGGCCTAGGCTTGACAAATGAGCAGGGGCTAGAAGGAAGGTAATAGTCATGGATAGGAGGAAGGGCAGGAATGAAGGCACAGGAGTGAAGTTCAAGCACTGAGAGAATCCTAGTGAGACAAGATTGTGGGGTGCAAGGGCTTGGCCAGGTAAGGACGTCTCTGTGAGATGGGCAGGTAGACGGCAATGCATTGGAGAGGCTGGCCTTCACCCAAGAGGCAATGCTGGGCCCCTGCAGGGTTTAAGCAGGTGAATGATATGATCAGCTTTGCATTTTGGAAATAAGCTGGCTGGAGTGAGGAGGAGCTGGAAGGGGCACAGTTGAAGTCAGAAGGTTGTTGGGTAAACCAGGAAAGGCAATAGGGCAAGGGTCCAGGGAGAGGTCAATGAGAATGACATGAAGTAGAAGGAACAGATATTCAAGAGGCAAAGTCAACATCCCACCACTCCTGAAAACTCTGATCCTCAGAGCAGAATTCCTGACTTTCGTCAACATGCAGGTTCCCAAGCTCAAGAAGTTTCATTATTTTGATCATTGCTACATCACTTGCCATCACTTACCAAAGACACCCTCAGAGTTACGGATGGTCACAAATCCAGGTATATGGCACCCAGAGAACAAGACTTGGGTTGTCAGTGGTTTGCATTCAAGAATAACTCAGGAAGAAGAAAACCAATAGAGAAAGTTTCAGTCTGCTGTGGACCATTATTTTTCTCATGGCACTTAACTTCGTTTTTGATGTGATGCCCCGTAAGCTTCGCATTGGTTGGGTTGTGAAATGCCATCCTACAGAGGAGGACTTACAAGGACCTCACTGCCCACATTAAGCACAGCACTGGCTTTGGCTCTAAATTAGGTCTCATCACCCCTTCAGACAGATGCTCACAGGAGCTTAGAGCTCAGAGGGCCATTAGGGACACACTGAAGAAACAGAGGCAGGAGAAGTTAATGACTTGCTGAGTTCTCTTGTTACTGGATGCCACGATTAGACCACACATCCTTTGTGAAATGCAGAGAAGCTTTTTTGCTTTTATTAATGAATAAAGTGTTTCAAATTCATCTGGTATAATTGAGGACACATGATGAAATTGAGAGGAGCCAGAGGTTGCACACTGGCTGAGCTGTGATTTCAAAGCAGTTTCTCTCCATTTACATTAAGGCTGACCCCACAGGACCCTAGACAAGGAGGCCCTTCACCAGGGGACTGCAGTGGTGGAACCACAGTGAGAGGTGAGGCAGAAAAGAGCAAGGACAGGCCAGAGCATCTTCCAAGCCCTGAAACCATTCAGGCAGAGTCGAGAATACCATTTGATGAAAACACCTCTCTTTAATCTGTCGGAACCGATTCTGTTCGATTTGTCCTGAATATAATCTTGAACCACCCTGCATGTATTATAAAACACCCAGAGTCATCTTGTGAAGATACGTAAGTTGTTTGCAAGCTGCGAGGGGATTATTTTTTTTTTGGATAAGATGTCTAGGACTGTGATTCAGAGGGAACCTTATAACATATTGGGTGCAATGCTCTACATCTCTTAATCCTAATTAAAGATTATTACCGCTACTTTATAGATAAGAAAACCAAGGTTCAGAGAAGTTGAGTGATTTTCCCAGCTTGTAAGTGACAGAACCAGACTTTGAAATGACTTCTGCCTAACTATAAAGCCAGGTGTTGTTTTCATTTTACACTAGGCATTGGCAAGCTACTGCTGCAGGCCAAATCCAGCCCACCACCTGTGTTTTGTAAATAAAGTTTTATTAGAACACAGCCATGCCCATTCACTTATATATTGTCTGTCATTATATAAGTTGCCATGGTAGGCTTGAGTAATTGCAGCAGACACTGTATGGCTCACAAAGACTAAAATACTGCTATCTGCCCTTAACAGAAGTTTGCTAACCCCTGTCTAAGCCTCATTGTCCTAAAATAAATTCAGAAACCTCAACTGCTACTCCTTCAGCCCAGACAGCACCTTTATTTTCTCTCTCCTTCATTTTAATATGCACGACACCACTCAGCAAAATGTCCTGCATGCATGGCCTGGCCTAGGTACTCCACTCCCTGATCTGGCAAAACTATAAAGTGAAACTATTTTGAGTTTCCGGAAGCTGACCCAATTTTAAAGACCTCTATATGGAGGTAGGCCAGGGAGGGATCAATAATTGTCCCTACCAGGTAAGCCATCAGTTTGTACCCTCACTTCTGACACTTTTTCTGGGCAAGGCCATTTCTCCACATTGTACCCTTAGAGTGTAGCCCCAAAGCGATCCCTGGCCTCTGGGAAATTATCCTTCCCACACATGAGCACTTAGGGTCTTCTTCCCCCAGACCCCTCTGCAGGCAGAATCTTTCCAATTCTTTGGTTGTTGTGAGCCTTCAGTCCTTTTGTTGTGCGTAAGGAACATTCCTGGGAAGAAAAATGGTCCAGCAATAAAGTCTCCCCCACATGAGTCATTTTTAGCTAGACTGGGTTGGCATCTGTTTTTCCTAAGACAGCCTTTTCTCGTCACTGTGAAGATAAATCAATTTAATGGACACCACTGGTTGGGGGTAGATTGTACTTTTTTTGTAAGTATTGACCACCCATTAGTGGCAGTGCCCAGCAGCATACACCATTGTACCTTCTCCAGAAACCCTCCACTTGGCTGTAGATCTATCCCCTTCCAACTCTGCCCTGGAAGCAAGCCCAAAATGACCTCTGGAGCCCTAAGATGCCATCCCACGGCCACGGGCTTTGTTCTTTGGCTTTGTGAAAGTGTGCTTTATAAACCTTGTTGGCAGACTCATAATTCTGCTAAGGACTTATTTGTTGTGTCAATCTACAGATCAAAGGTGGGAGCCTAAAAGCCTTTGACATTGCTCATACCAACCATATTACACTCTGGGATACATTGTATTAAGTACTATGGGCCATCATACAAGTAAGAAATAGTTCCTGCCCTCCAGGGACTTACAATCTAGACAGCATGAAATGTACACCAATAACTAGCTTCACTGCTTGCTGGTGATATGACAAGACTTGCTGGAAGTTGTAGATGCCATATGGAAGACTCAGAAGGGGTGCTGGATATTTGCTGAAATCGGTGGTTCTCATACTTGAGCATGCATTAAAATCACCTAGAGAGCTGTTAACACAGATTGCTGGGTGCCACTCTTAGCATTTCTGATTCAGTAGATCTAGGGTGGGCCCACAAAGTTGCATTCCTACCAAGTGGCCAGCTGATGCAAGTGTGGCCCAGGAATACCCTGTCCAAAATATTTTTATAGGAGAAGCTTCTTACATATGTAATTTCCTTCTGGGATTGTAACAGAACTGACATTTGTTGAGTGTCTAATATGTTCTATTCAGTATATTAGGTACTTTGGCTATAATATTTTCTTTAGATTTTACAACCCTGTGAATTTCGTATTATTACTAGCACTCTACAATGAGCAAACTAAGGCTTAGAAGGAGGAACTTACATTTGCCAGATATCCAGTATGTACCATAAAGGATGTGGGGCATTATCCAATTTAAAACTTTTTGAATTCTAAATGATTAGTACTCCTAGTTTAGGAGTGGTAAAAAAAAAAAAAAAAGATGAGTAAAGATAGTAAAAATGAGTCTGAGAGAGATTAAGTATCTTAAGGAAGGTCAAAGCCCCAGGAAACATGCATGCTGGATTCAAAATCACGTGTTGGGTTCTAAAGGCTGAGAAGCCATACTGCAGCTAGTACCTGTCTGTTTGCCAAAAGCTACTAATGTAGATTCCAAAAGCATGTTTTCTTTCATGCTTGAAGCATGTACTTCCTACCTCCTTGCCTTTGCTCATGCTGCTCCTTCTGCTTAGAATTCCCTTCTCCCTCTTCTTCACCTGAGTAACTCCCATTCATCCTCCAAGCAAAATGTTGTCTCAGCCATGCAGACTTCTGTAACATCCCCTCCTTGCCTCAACTAGAGCAGGAATAAGGACTACTTTGTAAGCGTCCCAACATACTTTATATTATCAAATTCCTTCACAGACCCCAAAGTCCTCTAGTGACATATCCTTGGTTACAGAAACAAAAAAATCCAAATTTTTCATTTTAGCCATCAAAGCCATCCCCCATCTGACTCAACTTGCCTTTCAACCACACCTTGCAGCTCCCTCATTTCTCCAACTAAACAAGACCGCTGAACACTTCCCCACCCATGGCTATGTTCTCCTTCCCCCTCCAAGCCTTCACTCAGGCTGCTGCTGTCACCAAGAATGGCCCCTCCCCTGCACCTCAGCCTGTCTGCATGTGGCCTTTCCACCAGCCCCAGCTAAAGCCCTGGTGCTATGCCCTCAGCCCTTTGGGAGGGCCTCCATGAGTGTTCATGGAGTGAACACCTGACCCCTTGCTCCCCTGTGACATCGCGTCTTCCCTTGGGTGAGGCAAGTATGTGTCTTTCCACTGTCCCAGGCTGAGAGCTCATCCGGCACAGGGCCTCCAGTGTCGCGTCATTCCTTGCACTGAGTAGGTGCTCACAAAACATTTGTTGAAGAAATGGATAAATGATGCTGGATGAAGGTTGTGGGTTAAAGGCAGGATGGGAGAAGTGATTAGACAAGGAGCACGTGGAGCCTCAGTACGTCTTGCAATAAAACACAGGAGCGCATTTACATGACCAACAGTGAGAGCAGGGGACATAGGTGGACTTTGCCAGAATGCTTGATTCCATTTAGGAACCTCCTGTGCTTGTACCTTTAACCCGGTCTTCCAAGGAGCCAAAAGGATTTCTCCATTTGAAGTACAAATGTCTTGTGGGACTCTCACTTTTTTTGTAATGTGTAACATTATTACAGAAAATATGGGCTAAGAAGACTTCAGAAACACACCACTGACATGGTCCAGACATCGATTGAATGATGGGGCAATACCAACAACAAATGCAGATTCTAAGAGCGTGCTTTCTTTGATGTCTGTGTTTAATTCCATTGATTTTCTGATGTCTCCGCAACACCGTCTGTGGGTTTTTCAAACAAATGGTAAAGGGTGTGATGTTTTCTAAAGAAGATAGAGTTAAGGATGGTGGTTGTGAATGTCTTGATTTGTGAATGTCTTGCACATGTGAAACATTAACAGAGACATAAAGCTATCAGTTGTAAACCTTGTAGCTAAATTGCAAAGGCACAGAGGAATGTTTGACTTATGTAACTCTTTTGTCTTCTTAAAAAATTTAATGATACCTTTCACAGAGGTTATTTTCCTTGACATGCAGAGTGACCATAGAACTTCTCAGGGCTGTTGGCAACAAAACTGTGAAGTGAAGTAGGTGAAGCTAGTCTTTGACTCCACCAACCTCTGTCCTGTGCTTTATACCCACTGCTTATATCCCTTCCTCTGGGGCCAGGTGCCTGCTTTTTCCTTCTGCCTATCAACCTAGTCTTAGGAAAAGTTCTATACTTTCTTCAAACTGAACTATAAGTGATTTGGGGAAAATTCAAAGGATTGCTCTACTTATGTATTCTTGCATCTAGCAAGGTTCAAAGTCTTAAGCTAGAGGAATGGGGCTCTAGGAGTGGATTTTAAGCCTAATCTATAAATAGGAGTTAAAGAGTTCCCCACATTCCATAAGGGATCATCATGATTTCCTTGCAGAGGTGCACCCATGAGCCTGTAAATGCAGGCGATTTTTAAAAGTCACTTGTTGAATTAACTTTGCTATTTCCATCCAGCTTCCTTCTCCTACTCCTCCCTTTCCCTGGACAATCTCAGCCCCACAGCTGGTCCTCCTCTTGGACTTCACCATATGTATTTGTTGGGATTCTTTGGTTGCACGTGACAGGAACAAACTATCATCCAAGCCATCTTACAAAAAAAAAAGAAAAGGCTCTTGTAACCAAACAATGAAATGCAGGGCTTGAGTCACCTTTACAGTTGAACAAGGCTTAACCATTAACACTCTTTCACACACACACACACACACACACACGTCTGTTTTCTTTGTCCTACTACTGACATTGGTCTCATTATCTTCCCCTTTCCTATATGTGAAGGGACATAGTCTCACAGCTCTCAATTTGAGGGAAAGAGAGCATGCTTCAGGTCTGCCTCAAGACGTGGCAGAAAAGTCTGGGGAAGGATTTTGATTGGTCAGTTCAGGTCACGTGCCCACTTAGGCCCAGTGCTGTGTCTAGGCAGATGTGGTGTAAACACCATCATCTCTGTGACAGCCCCTTAAGAAACACATGACATGAGGGAATCATCTTCTTCATCTGTAAAATGAGGGGAGTGGAGGTCACTCTATAACTCTTAGCTTTAACCTGATTCTATTTAAAAATCATATCTTCATTTTTGGTATTCTTTTCACTATATCTTTGTCTCTCACCATGTCCAGCCTCCCACAAGAAAGCCAGATATCATTGGGAAACAGTAATGATCTCCTTGGCTCAATTCTAAGTCTCTCTAAGTGGGCAAAGCAGCACCCCTATGGTGCCCGTCATATGATACAGCAAAGCATTATAGTTCAACCTTGACCAAATTTAATCATTTATGCCACATGATGTAAGATGATCACAATTTCCAAATTTGTCAAGCATCCCAAATTTGGCATTTTGCCTAAGTTAAAAAAAAAAAACAAACAAAAAACCAGCAGATCTGGTGAAAGATCAACTGGAAATTTGCCTGTATGACATTATGCTGGGGGCATGAAACAATGCTTATGCAGTTCGTTCCAATTCAGATGCAACCCAGGTTCAAAGCAGCTAATACACAGTGGTGTTCCAGATTATCTGTCTATTTCCATTCCCATGAAATGTCTTCAATGAAAAGCCTATCTACCTGCCAACAGAGTCCATCAGTCTGTCATCTCTATCATTTCTGCACTTCTATTATAATGATCCTTGGCCATGTCCACCTTTCTTATGAGACCATTAGTTCACGGAAGGCAAGAAATATATCATATGCATATTCGTTCAACATCAAATCTATGCCAAATCCATCTTCGTGGGTTGCTTGGGATCCTAGGATTCAACTACATATATGTGACTTGGGGCAAGTCATCAATCCTTTCTCAGTCGGTTTCCTTATCTTTTACATAGTGATACTAGCACCTCCTCCACTGTATTGGAGGGAGGATTAAATAAGGTGATAAACAGCAAACTGCCTAGCACAGAATTCAACATATAGCAGGGTGCATCTGTGGTTTGTCTTATTTTTAAGTTCCCAAATGACACGAAGAATGGTGGCATGGGTGGCAGCATAGTCGGGTGTTTACAATCCTGATATCCAGTCCCAGTTCAGCCACTTAATGACCAATGGTATGATTTTGAAGTTTCTTAAAGTTTCAAAGCCTCAGTTTCTTCATATGTAAAGTGGACTTGATGGTAATATCTACCTCATAGGTTTGAGTGGATAAAGAAAGAAAACATAGATAAAGCACCTACCACAGCATCTGGCACATAGATACCTATAAATGGTATCACTTGTTGCTATCACCTGTAATGGAGAGTGAAAAAAGAAGCAGCAAGCTCTGAGATGCTTCTGTGTTTTTTCTGGTCTTTTCGTGCTGTATGCGTCCTGATGAAGATGAACCCACATTAATAGAGGCAGTGGTTAATTGCCTCCTTGTGGGCTAGCACTGTCCTGAGGCAGAAAATTACAGTATTCTTCTTTTTTCTTGAAGCTTCCAGTGGGATATGTCTGTTCTAATTTAATAAACCTCTTTTTTTAGTGCCAGGCTCAAAGAGGCAATATCACATGTACATTTCCAAATGCGTAATTAGTATGAACACTCAAGCCCTAACTACATGGCGAAAGCAGTCTGGGAGAGGGGAGTGTGAGTATCTGTTCACATTCATTTGAACCAGCTCCAGCCAAACTTCCACAGTTAATTGTATCTCAGCGATTTTCTCCTGGAAAAAAATAATTACTATGCAGGGCTTTAGCTGCTGCTTGGCCTTCGTTCATTCCTGACTCTTGAGTTAGCATTGTTTACAGTGTTGAGTCAGCAGCAGTCACATAATGTGTCAAGCAAGTGGAGTACACCTCCCACCCTGAGCTTCCCCACCCCACCAGTTCCCTGTTATCAATCCATTTCCTTCCTTGTGTTCCAGCAATGCAAGAGAAAATGGAAGATGGGCATAATGGAAGTTGACTGTTTTGGAAAAGCATGCTCAAGGTTAATGCTGAGCATGCGTGCAGAGGGCACCAGGGAAGCAGGGAGCCCTTAACTCGGAAAGACTTTTCTGAATGGGAAAGGTCAGCCCCCAGGAAAATGATGGTCTTCCTTTCATCTTCAGGTAATGCAGGTGGTGAAGGAGCAGGTTATGAGAGCACTTACAACCAAGCCTAGCTCCCTGGACCAGTTCAAGAGCAAACTGCAGAACCTGAGCTACACTGAGATCCTGAAAATCCGCCAGTCCGAGAGGATGAACCAGGAAGATTTCCAGTCCCGCCCGATTTTGTAAGTTACCTAGTATTGACTTCTATCTCCCAAAAGACTCTAACCCACTATTTCTAGAATGACCGCCTGTCATGAAGCTGGGCTGTGTTGTGAGCTCCTCAGGGAAGGCCAGCAGAAGACATTCCAAGTATCTCCATTTAGTTAGGGGAGTCTCAGCAGCTCCTTGAGGAAGGGCTGGGCTGAGTGGAGTGGGCCAGTTGCTGGAAGAATGGATCTAAACCAGGAGCTGGCCCTGTTAGTGACAAGTCCTCCAGGGATTTGTAGATTAAAAGTTTGGACCTTTTCCAACACTTGGAACAATTTTTTTTCTCTTTGACCAGTAAAACTATATTTCATGTGGGTGCCCTTTGAATAGCAAGACCTTGTGAGCCAGCCAGAGTGAGGCCCATTCATTAAAGCACTATGAAAATGAAAGTAGCATGAATCTAAATGAGTGGGAGTGAGAGCTTGAGAGGAAGAGAGTGAACTACCTCCTCTTTGCCCTGTTGGCACTGGTTGGCATCGGAGCATGCTATATGGCCCTCATGACTGTGAACCTACATTCCTACAGTGGGGAGGCAGCAAGCCCCACTTCACAGGACTTTGCAAGGAATGCCACTTGCAACCATTGCAAAATGTCATGTATTCCAATCTTTGAAGTGTTCTGAACTCACACATGAGGGGTATTTTGCTTGCTTCATCTTTTCTTAGAACTGCTCTGTTTCTCTTCCTTTCTCCTGTTCTAAGAGCTGGGTCAATTTTGTTACCCGTATATTTTAAAGAGGAAAAACACAGGGAAAGGCATATGTGTTTGATATTTATTCTCATTTTGTCCTCAGAAGACTGGACACAGCTTCTTCTGAGCTTTTGCATGAAGCCAACTTGTAACATAGTTTTAATTCTGAAGGCAGTGCTCCCCCACCACACACACCTGCTCTCTTTCTGTTTCTGATTCTTTCCCTTTTTGTTTGTTGCTCTCCAGTATTTGACACTTCTAATGCTTGGCAATTTGTAATGCACCCTTCTTGCTATTTCATTTCTTTACGTCCCTGTGAGATGGGCAGGCCTTACTCCCATGCAAAGGCTAGGATAGGCAGGTCTTACTCCTATGCAAAGGCTAGTCTGGAGGGGTGAAGACCATGCCAACAAGTGGAAGAGCCGGGACTGAGCCTCGAGTCTACTGACCCCTCAGCTAATATTGTGTTTGCCCTGCCCTAGCTTCTTTGCAATGTGAGAGACTGAAATGAGGTTTAAAAAGTGCACAGGTCTAAAAGGACAATAGCTAAGCAGTAACATCTACCGTACATTTGTTTTCCAATCTTAAGAAGCACTGTTGGAAACTGTGGAGTAGAACCCTTCAGACTAGTTGGCATGAAGTTAGTTAGCGGGGCAGGGAAAATGCTTCCAAGGCGCTTTGGCTTCATCATTGCAAAACCTAAGTCATACCTGCATGAGCACCAGCTAGCCTTGACAAGAGGCACCACTGGGGTTTTGCATTGGTCCTCAGCCAGAAGACGGTAACAGCTAGAAACACCAAGCAGGATGCACTTTGGATAAGTGACTGGCTCCTCAGAGATGCAGTTTCTCACCTGCAAAGAGGGACAATGGCTCCTTGCCCCATCCCAGGGCCTACAGTGTACTGGATTTCATAACATGGTTCAGCAGATGTATAAACGTAGGACACTTTATTATGCTTTCCATAATAAGTCTTAAAACCTGAAGGGAGACTTGAGGAATCACTTCCGTTAAAGCCAAGTAACTCTGAATTATGTTTGATGAATTATGTTTGACCTTGACTTTTTCCAAGTAAGAATGTTAATTAACTTCATGGCAAGTACGAACATTTTACTCCTATTTTGGCTTTATATCTTCACTTCCTAAGACTTTGCCTGTGACATTCTGAAGTTTCTTTCCCCTTTATTATAAGATGCTCTTATCTTTGAAACTATCCAAATATGAAGGAAATCTCCTGCATGGATGTAGCTTTTGCATAATCCCTCGGCCATGGACCAAGAAGTACCATGGCCCACTGGAGTTCTTGATATCTGTAGCTGCAGCAAAGTCACAAAGAGTGGTTAGGAGCCACAGCATTTAAGCAGGTGGGCCAGGGACCAGTTTGATAGTGACCCCAGTCTCTGAAGCCGGCAGAGGGTAGCTGCGATATGTTTTGCCTATTAGAGTGATCTACTAGACAGGAATTCATTATGGGGTTACATGAAGTCTAACTTCTGCCAGAATGGCTCACACGATAAACCAAGTCACCTAAGAGAAAGAAATAGAGGAGTAGACCATGTATGCTTGTTTTCATTCATTTTTTCATTTCACAAACATCTACTGAACAACTCCTACATGCCAGGCCCTGCTCAAGGTGCTGGGGGCAGACAGAGACCCAGAGACACTTGGTCTCCCTCTGTCACAGGCTAGGATTAGGGGTGGGGGATTTACCATAGACTGGGCTCATTGCTTAGTTACAGGAAGAGCACAGAGGAGTTGGATCTAACCCAAGCTTGAGGGTTAGGATATTGGGATTTTCGAGCTGAAAATCACCCTTAAGGCCATCCAGTTCAAGCTTTTCATTTTGCAGACAGGGACAGCAACTTGGCTGGGGCCTGACCACCAGTGGGGAATCCCACTAGCCATCAGGCTGCCCTCCTCCCTCTGTGTGTGCCACACACAGCATGGTGGCAGACCTCAGCTCCATGCAGACCACTTGAGCAATACACCCTGTTGTTATAAAATGGTCGTTTTCTGAGAAGAAAAATGTAAACTCCATGTGAATAAATATTTTGGGGGAATATATATTCAGTGGGTCAAAGAAGCTCTGTTTTATTTCTTAGCTCTTGACTAATTGTTTCAAAGAGGAGGTATTTGTTATGTCCTATTTAGTGCAACTTACCAAGGAAGATAAGTCCATCCAATTAATTGGAGTTAATGGATATAAAAAGCTTGAATAGTCCAAAAATCGATCATTTAACACTATGCTGGAGAGGAAGGGGAGATGTAAAGACAAACATCAGTGAAAGCAGGGAAGCAAAATGTGTAAAACTTGGACCCAATTTGCTATCAGACTGACCTGGAGTCATTTACAAATGTGGCTCTGTAAGCAAGTTATGTAATCCGTTCTAAGCCTGCTTTTCTCATCTCTAAAAATGAAGATATCAAAAATGTCTACATCATTGGATTGTCATAAGGATTTGACAGAGTCATGCATGAAAAGCACTTTTCATATGCCTGGGACCTAATATCCACTTGAAGAAATGTTCTGTCTTATTAGCCCGTAACCAGAATTTAACAAGTTGTGATACTGTTGATATGTAAATGATAAAACTGACACTGTGCATATATTTGTATTAATATATGCCTCTCCCTTGTCTTAGAAAGGACAATAGAAATCCATGGGAAAGAAAAGCAAAAACAAAGCCAGGAATAAAGCTGATACCTACCCTGCAAATCTGCATCCTCGCTAAAGATCAGCCGCATGCTTCACTGAAAGCTTTCTCATAACCAATGCAAGGGGGACAGTCTGGTCAGTTAGACAATGTTCAGTGTTCAGACAGCTGACAAATATCTAATGAGTGCCTGCCACGTGCCAGACACTATTCTATGTGTTGGCAATTCAGCAGTGAAGAGAACAGACATATTTCTTACCCCTACAGTGATTATATTTTAGTAGGGAGAAAAAAGACAATACACATGGTGAATAAGATGACAGCAAGTTAAGAGGAGATACATGCAGTGGAGACACAAAGCAAGATAAGGGAAATAGAGTGCAGTTTTAAATAGGTTGGTTAGAGTAGCTGTCTCTAATTAGGATGGTGCCAATTGAGTACAGACTTGTAAGGGACTAAGGGAGCAGGCCATGTGGGTATTTGGGAGAAGGGTACTCCAGACAGGGAGAACCACCAGGGCAAAGGCCCTGAGGTTGGAGCAGGTCTGGGTGTTTAGTGAATAAAGAGGAGGCCAGTGTGCTGGAGCAGAATAACTGAGGGGGAGAGAGCAACGGAAGGTGAGGCCAGAAAAGTGCAGGGAGCCCCATTACACAAGGCCTTGTTGGGGAGCCATTGGAGGGTTTTGAGCAAAGGAATGATGTGATGTGACTTAGGTGTTTAAATAATCCCTCTGATGCTGTATTGGAAATAGACACTAAGAAAGCAAGTTTTTGGAAGCAGGGAAATCAAATGGGAAAGCTATTTTAATAACCCAAGCAAGAGGTGATGAGAAATGATTATAGTGTACTGAAAATGAGATCCATTTTGAAGAGAAGGGACAAAGGTATTTCCTGATTGATTAGGAAATACCTAAGGGGTGTAAGAGAAAGAGAGAAGTCAAGGATGAACTCACGGTTTGGGGCCTTAACAACTAAAGGACAGAGCAAGTGGAGCAGGGGATCAGAAGTTCGGCTTTGGATATGTGAAGCTACGAGACGTCCAATTAGACAGTCAGACAGATGAGCTTGGAGTTCAGCAGAGAGATGGACAGTGGGTAGTTGCTCAGTAGGGCAGACCCCAAGTCAAAGAAGGAATCTCACCAGTCTGATGGTGCTGTCTGTCTTCTGTGCATGGCAGTGGCCTCACTGGGCTTGAACTTGAAATTGTTTTCCAGAAACAGTGCTAGACTTTGAATTGCTCTTCACACACTCTTTAAATCTTCTCTCCTTTAATCTTCCTCCTTTTATTTATTGGCAAGACCTTTGGATAGAATGAGAAAGATATTTAGCAAAGCAAAGCTAGTAAACCCATGACCCTGGCCTGATTGACCCCAAGCTCAGAATTTCAAAACCCAGTTATAGCCCATGGGGTTATTACCTGGCTTACCCCAGAGGGCAGATATCGGCCACAGAAACATACTGTAGGGCTTACTTATGTTTTCTTAATGTGTATGAATTTTACGGCTACTGAGTCCATTCGCCAGGAAAGAAGAAATTGCTTTGAAAAAGAAAGAGCTGGTGGGCACCTGCCATGAGCCGGGTAGTGCAATAGAAAGAAAGAAAGAGCTGTCTCATTTCCTTCATTGCCTGGTCATGTTTTGTAGTCCTTTGAGGCTTATAACAAAAAAAAAGCGGGGAGTAACTCTTGTAGCAGCAGATTCTCTTATTCTGATAGTGCATCCTCAGAATATGGTTCCATGATGAAATGCGTTGTGACAGGCACCTCTGGGTCTTACACAAAAAAGTCATAAAGCATCAGTTAAGATTACTCAGAATTCCTTCAGTTGTTTCCTTCTCTTGGTCTTCATCACTGCATTCTCCACTCCATTTTAATAACTCAACCCTGGCCTAGTGAAACTGTTATTTAAATACATATATCTATAACCTAAGAATTGATGAAATTCCAAAACTCTTTCTCCCAGATTTTCTCCATCCTCTGGTACCGTGCCTTTGTCTGCACCCTGTCACCTGGACTTGGAAGTTGGGAGCAGTGATTTATTGCTGTGTGCAGCTCCCTGGCAGTTACCCACTTTCTTTTCCACTCAGTGCAGGGTTCTTCAAAGCTGCAATTTACTGAGTCCATTTTAGGTAGAGCTAAGTGCTGATAATAAATAGTTTAGTGATCTGAAAGCCTGAAATGAGACCCTAAGAGACCTGTACAGGGAAGGCTTTACAAATGTCCCAAACTATTATTAGGACTGAATTTCCATATTATGCTTTATAGATGTTCAGTTGGAACAGTATCAAATGAGAGAATGTTTGAGGGCACTTAAGCCTCAAAAAATGTATTAATGGAGTACTAGAATACCCTGTTAGATGGCCTTATCCTTTTATGTAACTTTTTTCTTTTTTCTCATGAGTAAATCAAAGCAGTTTGCACAAGGAAAACCTGAGTCTGTGCCCATATTCCACACGTAACCTCCACGAGTTGTTTCCCCTTCTGTAAGATGGGAATGATGGGAATGATGACATTAATACTTTCCCCAAAAGCTGTTATTTTCAGGAAGGAAGGAAGGAAGGTTAAATGAGCTAAAATTGCATATTGCACTACCTGGCTCATAGCAGGTGCCCAACAAGCATGAGTACCTTTCTCACCTCAGAATGGAGCACTGTGTGAGAACAGGTTGCCTGCAGTTCAGTGTCAAGGCAAGTCCAGAGTTAAGGTGGAAGCTGATGAATGTGTGAGCCTTGACTACAGGGTAATATGGGCCTATGGACTGTTTGGCTTGAGGAAAGGAGAGAATGTCACCAAAGCAAATTCAGTTGTGCCTTACATTCCTGCTCAGTGCTTAATAAAGACTTGTATTCTGTCTCATTTGGGAGTCACAGCAGGAAAGATTCTTATTCCCATTTTATAGATGAAGAAACTGAGACTTAGATGAGTTACAGGAAATGCTAGTCGTGAGCAGAGCCTAGACTGAAACTCTAGTCTTCTGACTTGTAGATCTATGTTCTAACCAGTACTTCTTACACTGCTATGAGGAATGGGCTCTGGGTCTCCCTGTCCAGCTTCAACTAGAATAGTTTTGGCTTTACTAGACTCAAATGCTAGGGCACTACATAAAATTTCCTATGATAAAAATTTCTGCTCTAAAAAAAAAAATTTGAAAACCATTTCACTCTATCATGATATCTTTGCAGCATAATGGATCTCAAACTAAATTATATTGCATTAGCCTGAGACAAGATACAAATAATCTTTCATTTTTCCCATCATTATCTCAGTCTCTGTGGGCTAGAATCTGGGACAGTGTTGTTGTCCCCATTTGTGAATGATGGAATTGGAAGCAAAAGTGGTCCTGTGGTTTGCTCACTACACAGTGTTTGCTGTGGAATAGTAATCGTGTGGTTGCCTAATATGCCTGTTTAATCAGATCACAAACACAGTCCCAGAGTTTAGCTGGTACAGGGGAAAAAAGTTGACCAAGGATTGATTGTCTTAGCAGTGCTGAATGGATTTTTGCATAACTTTGTATCCGTGGCTTTGTAAAATAAAAGAAGAAAATTTTCAGGACACTTTGCTCTGGAAAAACATCACTGAAGTAGCTGGTTCTTTTGTGGAATTCTGTAAATGTCACAGAATCTATTGTGGTGTTGTACTTATGCCCCTGGCCACTGACTCTTAATAAACACTTCTCTAAAGCACCAAGTTGGAGGTATTAGATGCTCATGAAAAGATGCACTTGTTCTCCCCTGCCCGTATGCCCATGATGCCCACCAAGCCACACTCTGTTTCTCAAGGCATGCTGTGGAATATGTGTTTTTCCTCTAACAGGGAACTAAAGGAGAAGATTCAGCCAGAAATCTTAGAGCTGATCAAACAGCAACGCCTGAACCGCCTTGTGGAAGGGACCTGCTTTAGGAAACTCAATGCCCGGCGGAGGCAAGGTATTGTTTCTGGGGACACTCCAAACTTGGATAGGGTAAACAGTGGCCCGCTCCCTGGAGAATCACAAGGGCATGGTGTTGGTTTACGGGTAGGCCATGCAGCATTGTACTCAGGACAGGAATAGCAGTCCAGGTCGTTTCTGGTTCCCATGCACACCCAGAGAGAATCAAAGTCCACAATTACCAGAAGAGCCACAGAAATGAAGAGCCATTCTTTGCTATTTAGTGCCACAAAAACTGCTAGTGGTGGTGTCAACAATAGCTGACACGTATATGAGCCTACCATGTGCCAGGTGCTTCTGAAACTCTAGTCTTCTGACTTCCGGATCTATGTTCTGGCCAATACCTGTTACAATGCATTACTTTATAAAGCATTTTATCCTCACCATAACCCTAAGAAGTAACTACTAGGATTGTGCCCAGTGTACAGATTAGGAAATAGAGGCACTAAAGGGCTAAGAAACTGGCCCAAAGTCACAGAAGAGCAAGGATTCAAACTCCACAGCTCCAGGACCCTTCCTTTTAATGACTCCCCTTGCTGTAGGAGAGCTGGCACTCACTGTTTGGTTTGATCTTGGAGCTTCCAGCATGGATGGCCCTTATTGTCAAATCTCCCACACTGCTTCTCTTCTAGGACAGAGTTATTTTATATGTGGATATAAGTAACAGTGAACTAAGATAGGGTAGCATCACTTACATAATTTCTCAAGGCAGATTTCTGAATTGTCTCTATAAATTCTAACCTCAAAATGTCAAATTCAAATGGATGTCAAAAGAGTAGACCCAACAGGTGGGAAACATGTCTAGCTGTTTCTTTCCTGGACAAGTAAAGCACCCTTGACTGTTTTCTTGCTCTCTTGACATGCTGCTGATTGCACAGCTAGAGTCTTCATACCACACTCTCCTAGAAGCAAACAGCCAGAGCATAAAACTGAAAAGTAAGATTTGGGAAGAGGCAAAGAGATTGAAGAAGAGGCAGGAGCAAGCACAGGCATTAGCAGCTATACTAAGAACACCAGTTATGGCCCAGGAGAAACTTTGGCAGATATTTTGAAACCTGCTGGATGCCCTGCTAAGCCACAGAGCTCACCCACTAATGACAAAAATCATTTTGTGTTTGTCAGCTGAACTCATCCCCCGGCCATTTACTGTAACTGTCCTGTGCTGCATATTCAGTAAATTGGAAGTATTTCTCATGTCACCATTAAACATCACATTGAGGAACTTCCAAAGGCAGAACTTCCTGGAGGAATGAAAATGCAGTTTCTTCACAGAGAATGAGAAGCTCTTAGAGTGAATTTCAAGCTGAGCCTCAGGAGAGGACAATGGGCAGAGTAATAAGGGCTGAGTTACAGAGAAAGCCTCCTATTAGTGAGACCAGTGGAAGAGGGAACTCCTCCCTCCCATTCAGCCACTGAAGAATGAGTTCATGCCCTCCTCTCATCGCGTTCCTTGCATCGGGCATCATGTCAGAGTAAATGGTGTTCCAAGAAGACCACAGGGCTCAGTGGCAAGGACATAGCCCTGGAACCAGGCAATGTGGGTGCGATCTTGCCTCTACACCTGTCCAGCTGTGTGACCTTGGGCAATTTCCCCATCCGAAATGGGGATAGCAATGCCTGTCTCCCAAGGCTATCATGAGGAAGAGAGGTGATTATGAATGTAGCAACAAGAAACAGCAAAACAAGGGAGCTACTGCTGTTCTTTAAGATTGTGTAGGAAAAAAGCAGTGAGCCAGAGTGAGTGGACTTGGTGCCAGGCTTCTCAGTTCTTTAAATAACCACCTAGGTGTCTTTAGGAAGGACACATGACCTCTCAAGGCCCCAAGTTCTCATCTGTAAAGTGGGAGGACAGGATTAGGGGATCCAGGAGCTCATTTAGTCAGAGAGTCGGTTGTATGCCCTGATGTCTTTATTGCCTTTGGAAAAATCAATGTTTGGGATATATTGCCCCCATAAAGATGATTTATAAGATTTTTACTTACTTGACATTGGGCAAAGGGCACAGAAGTTTTGGGGATGGGAAATGGCAAATAGACACCCATTGCCTCCGCTGCTGCCCAGCTAGAGTCCCTCACAACCTAGCTCCTAGCACCAATTTAACCTTCTAGTCTACTGCGTCATGAGACTTCCCTGACTAGGTTGAAGTGGGTAGGTTGTATCAGAATAATCCTGTTTCTAGATGTATTAACTACAGGGTTTGTTGTTGTTGTTGTTGTTGTTGTTGTTGTTGTTGTTGTTTAAAAAATGTTAGTCCCGTATCTATAAATTTTTCCAATTTTCTAAAAATGAACTACCCCTGAACAAAAAAATATTAGCATCTAGATTATAAATTTATGAGTTGAGCTCCCTAGGGAGCATGACCATCTGTGTTTAATACAAAATCATCCTTCCGAGTGCAGAAAGGAAGGCTTTTTGGTATTTGGTAAATGGATTTGAAATCTGGTGACTGGCTCTGTGCTTAAAAATAGGGATTCAAAGCAGACTGTGCTGAAATTGGTTTCCTATCACCCCATCAAAACATTCCATTTAGATTTACACAGATTAATAAGAACATGACATTTTTAATCCCTTCGAGAAAGACGCACTTCTACATGAGATCTCAGACTGGGATGGACAACCGCCTGCCTGGTGCCACCACAGGTTAAAGAGCAGACACTCCCAGTGCAGGAGCCAGCACCATACTCCCTCTAAACTTGTCTGACAATGAGTAGGACACAGATGAGTGAATTTCAGTAGTTAACTTTATAAGGGAAAATATGAAAGAACTTACAGCTCCACAGAACTGGAAAGTGAAGGAACAAATAGAGAGTGCTCGACTGTGCCACGTTTGGCTAGCAGGTCCCCGAGTTGATACTTGCTGATCCTTCTGCCTGTCTCATGTGCAGCTCTGCTACTGGAATAGTCACATGCAGACATTTACAGATCTGGGTTTCTGGGAATTCTAACCACATTAGGACTGGGAGGTAATATATCTCAAAAGACACAATAAGCTGGGTTGAAGTCCCTGTTCCTACTCACTAGCTGGGTAGCCTCGGGCAATCTGCTCAATGTCTTTGTGCTCCTCTTTCTTCGTCTTTCAAATGGGGATAATGTTAGTTCCTCTATCAAATAGCCATAAGGGGTAAGTAAAATTATACATCTATAGCACTTTGATGCTTGGCAGATTATCAAACATTCATTAATGATGTTTGCTATTAATTTTAGCTCGTAGCGCCTCAGAATATAGATTTTTTTTTTTTTTTTGAGACAGTCTCGCTCTGTCACCCAGGCTGGAGTGCAATGGCATGATCTCGGCTCAGTGCAACCTCTGCCTCCTGGGTTCAAGCAGTTCTCCTGCGTCAGCCTCCACTGGGATTACAGGCACCCGCCACCATGCCCGGGTAATTTTTTTGTATTTTTAGCAGAGATGGGATTTCACCATGTTGGCCAGGCTGGTCTCGAACTCCTGACCTCAGATGATCCACTTGCCTTGCCTCCCAAAGTGCTGGGATTACAGGCGTGAGCCACTGCACTTGGCCAGAATGTATATTTCTAAGCACAGGAGGTGGAGTAGCATGGGAGCCCACACACCTGCATCACTCCACTCTCTCCCCAAGCTTATACATGTTGACCACGAAGTATAAGCTCTGGTCGCAGAATCCTTGGCATGGAAATTGCCTGGCTTCTGTGTTCCCTGGACTCCTGCAGGAGAGATTTCAGATGAAACCCCAGAAGATGTCTGTGTTAGGGACACTGTATTAGTCCATTCTCGCATTACTATAAAGAAATGCCTAAGACTGACTAATTTATAAAGAAAAGAGGTTTAATTGGTTCACGGTTCTGTAGGCTGTACAGGAAGCATCACAGCTTCTGCTTCTGGGGAGGCCACAGGAAACTCCCAATCATGATCCAATCATGGTAGAAGGTGGGGCAGGGTCAGCGAGGAGCTTCACATGGCCACAGCAGGAGGAAAAGAGGGAGGAGGAGGTGCCACACACTTAAACAACCAGATCTCAAGAGGACTTTATCACTATACAGTACCAAGGGGAGGATGGCGCTAAAACATTCATGAGCATTCCACCCCCATGATCCAGTCACCTCCCACCAGGACCCACCTCCAACACTGGGGACTACAATTCCACATGAGATTTGGTGAGGACACAGATCGAAATGATACCAGCCACTATTTGCTTCATGAGAATCTGTAGGCTCAAGAACTGCCCCCTACTTCTCTTGTATTTTAGAGATGAAGGTCTTTCAGAATCACTTGCATTGAATGGCCTTGGTAAGAGTCCAGGGCTAACATTGGAAATCATTTCAAGAAGTGATAACATGAAACCTCCTGCAGAGGACAGTGTCTGTTTCATTGACCAGCATTCCCTAAGTGCTGACATGACAGGCTTATGTTGGAACTCAATGTTGGGCAAAATGCGTACCTACCACTCCTGCCAACAAGGCTGGTATATCTTACGTTGCTCTGGAGGCCCCCTCAGAAGACCTAGAGCCAAGTGGTGCGTTCAGGCATGGTAACCATATTGCCCTGTTGTGGGGAGCAGGTCATTCCTTTCTCCATCCCTGGTTGAAATTTTATTTTAATATTTTGTTACAAAAAGGCAGGTATAAATAAATACATATTTTCAAATTATGAAAAGCCAGTTCATTTTCATGAAAAAAAGGCACTTCCCAATAGGTCAGAATAATACATAATCATTGTTTCCAAAAGATGGAGGGACAGTAGTGTGGACGAGAGGGACTGCCATTGACTAGAAGAGCAGGAAACTACAAATATGTTCTGAGAACCAATTCTGGAAGATGTAGGATCCATACTTTATGTGTGTTTTACTCATATAATTATGACCATTGTACATATGAAGAACAGGGATTTCTGAAGTTTTTACAATTAGGCCAAGGCCCCGCAGCTAATAAGCATCAGGGCCAGGTGTGTCATCCAGCTATGTGTGACTTCAAGGCACCTGTTAGACCAAATCATCTTGGAAAGTACCTAGGGACTCCGGTGTCATTTGCTCTGAGCAGCTGTGTCCAGGGAGGCAGAATTCAGAATCAAAACACAAATCTGTCCTTTTAAAGAAAGCTCAGTGAAGTGAGGAAGATTTGATGCCCTTCGTCTCTGTATCAATAGTTGTTTCCCTTTTTTGTACCAACAAAAAAATCTTAGATCTCATCACCTGAAAGATGACATTTCCCTTTAAACACATTGCTGGGTCCCTCTTGTTTTGTGACTTGGAAAGTTTGGACCTTAGGCAGAAAGCCGACCTTGTTCTGAACACACAGAAGACTTGGCACATTTTAGGTTATCCTTGGGAAAATTCAGAATCCTAATGGAAGTGTTCTAAAGACATCTTTTAGAAAAACCTGTTCTCCTCCCTAATACAGGACTCTTAGGGCCCCCGGGGTCAGCCCCCAGCTGCTGACAGCGGGCTCTGCACTCAAAACAAAGATGTGTCCTGATTCCATGGCAGTCTCGGGGTTTGGTTCTTGCTGTGCCCTGTGTCTCACTGAACTGGCTGGCATTTCACACCTACCAGTGGTTGCCATTGTTCAGCTTGCTGGGCTCTCCTGGAGACCCAGGGACCAGCCCCAAGCTTGTCTTGGGCCTGGATGATTGAAGACAGACGGTGGGCTACACTGTCTGATAGAACTACCTACGGCTGTTTAAGTTATTTAAAATGAAAGAAAATTTATAATTTGTTTTCTTAGTATTGGATAAAACAGATACAGAGAATTTCCATCATTGTAGGAAGTTCTGTAGGAGGGCACTGCAAAAATTACAGTTGACAGTGGTTATTAGCTCCATAACAATCTATGTGACATTGGGAATAGCTTTAATCAGCCCTTCTTACCAGGCTTGTGAACTCTGAAAGCAGCTCTTCCCTCTTATCCTTCACACACGCACACGCACGCAAGAAAAAGATTGAAACACGAAATTCTCCCTGTATTTTGTTTTGGGTTTGGAGATGAAGCCTGGCTATTAACGTACTCTCATTAGTAATTGACTGGAAGACCTCCACATTAACTATTGTTTTCTCCAAAATGCTAGTAAACAATCTTTGATAATGTTCTCACTGCTTCCTGCTAATTGCTTTTAGTGACGCAATTCACTCTTTCATCGCCCAGAGGGATAAAGGAACAAGTAACATCATGCTGGGGTTTGAAAGGAAAATACACATTTGTCTTGCCGTAAAAGAAACTGCAAATCAAGCTGCTGCTGGTGGCTGACACTGAAACTGTCTCACCCAACATGTCGACGCACTGTGCTGATGCTATCCTTGTAGTGGCTCTCCCTTCAAGACAGAAATACACAACGTCTAAGCCTTCCAAAGCTAAGGACTCCAGTTTTACTGTGAGGAAGATACTGGCTGAGTAGCCTCCCATTTGATTATGAGTCAAGACAAGTTTCTCAGCGTTTTCAGCCCCTTTTTCCAATATTTTGCCATCCATCCAAGACTTCCTAATTGATGAGGAGTGGAACACATCACTTATATCTGTGATGTACCAATCTTTTTGCTTTTTATCGTTTTAGTAGTAGACAGAAGAAGAGAAACTTGTATAGGATAAGAGAATTAGCCAGAGGTAGGAGGAAAACCAAGGCAAGATGGTGTCATACAAGTCAAGGGAATTTCAGCTTTGGAAAGGAGGAAAATCTGTCCGCTGCAGACCCTTTGGGTTTTCTTTAAACAAACATCAACTCCAACTTTGCAAGGAAGATGGCTGTTTTGCCTCTTGAAACTCTGACAGATAGCCACTGTTCTCTGATCATTACTGTATGTAAGAATATGTTGCACAAGAGATTTCTGCATTCCTATTTTTCTCCATAGTATTGCCAGAGTTGCTGATTTGTCCCAGTTCCTACTTCCCAGACCTGGGAAACAACATCTTTCTCTTAGCTGCCTTGAAGAACTGAGGGAGCTCCTTTTCCTTGAACTCCTTGGCCTTGTCTTTCATGTCTACCTTCCGTTCTAATGATGTTTCGCTACACATAGTAGAGTGCTGTGTGCATTGTAGACAGCCACTCAGCAAATATTCATTGGATAAACAAATTTATCCTGAAAGTAGAGCAGCAAAATTTTCGAAGTCTTACAAATCAATATATCTTACACATGAATATTAAGTTGTGCAATTTACTCTACAATAATATGTGTTTGTATTATACTGTGCACCAGTTAAATTTCTTAATTCCCTCAAAATCAATTGAGTGTCATTGATCTTGTTTGATTGTGACACATTGGCTTGGCTTCAAGTCCCACTGCTGACCCCTAGAGTTTACTTACCCCAGCTTGAGAAGCAAGGGATTCCTATAAAGCACAGGCCAAGACCTAACTCACAATAAGCCCAGCATGTCCAAGTACCACTTCTCACTGTCTTCCTTCCCAGCCTCTATCACCCTTTAGTCGCTCACACAGCCAAACGTATCACCTAGATGCAGCAAGGAAAGGAAAACTTTATAGCAGATTTCTCCAGTTGGCTTTCTGGTCATCACAGCCACGTAGGGCAGGGGAAAGTATCCGTGGGGAGAGGCAGCCCCCACAGGCCCCCAAGAGCACTGTTGATGTTCAGAAAGCCATTGCCTCCTGCTCTGGAATTCACAGTTCCTATTGTAAGTTACAAGTCAAATCCCCAAGGTTGCTCTCCTCATGAAAAACCCATAAGTACACATTTGCCTAATTTAAATGTCTGTGAATTACTCAGAGAATAACTGTTTTCTCCCTTTGAAATGCTCTCCCAGAAAAATGACCCATGTTTGGTATATACATAGCATAATTTTGAAATTTAGCAATTTCAAATATTTTCCTAGCTGTTAAATGACCCTTTTCCCACTCAATTTTTTCCACTAGAGTTCAGATTCCTTTAAATCTATGGATTGCCGTACTCTGACTATGCTTCAGAATTCTCAAACTCTATTTAAAGATGAGGAAGATAAGAATCACAGAGACACTCTCCTTTTGTGGATCAAATTTGGGCATTTTCTTTGTTCATTGTGTGGCTTTTACTTCCATTCTTAAAACTTCTATTTCTATTAAAAGAATCATAATTAAACCATGGGTTTGCAGTGACAGCAATTTTAGAGAGAAAACCACTTTTCTTAAAATATAATGAAGAGCTTTTTAGTTAGAGTGGCTTGAAAACAAATTATATTTCAGGTGCAATAATGAGGTAACTTGGCCAAGGCCTCAAAGGGTACCAACCGCACAGTGGTGCAAAGGGGCTTGTAGGTGACTGACACCTCATGCCTTAGGCATTTTGATCAGGTCGCTTTGGGTCTTCATTTATCAGCTTAGCCAACGCCAACTGTGCAACTTTTATGTGTCAGACACTGTGCCAAGAGATTGGGATGTTGCAATTATGAAGACAGTGACTGTCATCGGAGAGACTGTGACTCTTCCACACTGTCAGGGCTGGAGTCCTCTTCTCCTATCAATATTAATTGTTCACAATACACCCTCAAGGGCAAGTTACTTACCTAGGGTCTGTAGCAGATAATGGGAAATACTAAGGTGTTAACATTAGGCTCCAATATTGCCAGTCCAAGCCAAACTGGTGGTGCAAAGAAGACTGTAGAACATCTCAGAGGATGGGGAGAGGCCCTTCGGCTGCAGGGATAAAGAGGGCTTCCTGGAGGAGACAGCTGCACAAGCATTGCTGTCACAGTTCAAGTCCCTAACCTATAAAAAGTGCTCTTTGCCTCTTTCTTCCTGCCTCATAGACTTACTCAAAATTTCTTCTCACTTTTGAGAGACTGAGGCAGTAAAGTTGAGGAAGTTGTTTATAAGGATGACCCTAATCTCCTGGTCATACCTATCCAGAGAAGTAAATTCTGGGAATTGGAGAGGAGAATGATTGTGCATGTCCCCATTCTTTGGCTAAATCCGTGAATTATTTAGATGATTTCCTCATGAATCCCACCCACCATGTGTATTACCAGTGTCCTAACAATTCGTTCATGATTAATGTGCGTGTGGTAGCCTAGGGTAGGGGTTTGTTGTATCAGCTAAAATCTGGCCTTGGACACAACTGTCTCAACAGTCTGAAATTCTCAGAGAGGAAAGTGGAAGCAGAAACATTCTGAGAAATCTGTTTTTTTTTCTATATCTCCCTCCCTCTTTTGTCAGTAAATGAATAAGGAGCAGTTCCCATGGTGGTTATCATTAGTGATAACATAACCTCTGGAAGCCACCACCTCATAAAATCTATTGCTATTGAGCTTGAAGAGTTCAATGACTTTACTAATGGTTACCAAATGTATACCAAGCAGGACAGGTGATAACTAAATATTAAAGTCAAAAGGGAATTTATTGCCCAGGGCCCTAGAATTCATTCTTCCTCAAGACTTAAAATCAAATGAACTGCTTGTTTCCTCCAGGCAAGAGTATTAAGAAATAACCAGGCTAGTATTTTGATAAACCACAATCACTTACCTTGTAAACTTGTGTTTTTTCTCTCAGACAAGTTTTGGTATTGTCGGCTTTCGCCAAATCACAAAGTCCTGCATTACGGAGACTTAGAAGAGAGTCCTCAGGGAGAAGTGCCCCACGATTCCTTGCAGGACAAACGTAAGTAGCTCTCCT
This sequence comes from Homo sapiens, assembly GCF_000001405.40. Taxonomy (NCBI): domain Eukaryota; kingdom Metazoa; phylum Chordata; class Mammalia; order Primates; family Hominidae; genus Homo; species Homo sapiens. Next base: position 36,877,994 of record NC_000007.14, on the reverse strand, counting down.
TGGCAGAGGCCTGAGTGGTGGTCGGTTGGTTGTTTCCTAGTCACAATATATCACGCAACAGAACTATCAGCCTAAGTAAGCCCTTTGAACACATCTCATCTAGTTGTAAGTCGTCGCCTGAGCCATCTCATCAAGTACAAGACCTGGATGGACTTGGGGTTTGGAACTGAATAGGGGAGAATGTAAAATGGATGCAAAGGTATCTTAATTGAAAGACGTAAACTGGGGGTTCAAATGTCCACTTTTTACATTATTTATCCAGGTGCTGTGTCAAGGAGCAAAAACAATACAAACCTGATTCTGTCAGCTGTCTTTTTCTGAAAACCCAAAATAATTTCTTATTTTCGTAACTTATATGCCTGACCCCTACAACATTTATTCCTTACAATTTAGTGTATCCCATAGTTATGACACAGAGTTAATGGCAGAGCCAAATATAGCTAGTTTACCTCAAAGACACTTTGAAAATGATGATCCGTTACCTCTACTGTTTGCTAAATATTTCTCTTGTATATTTTTTGGCTTTTTCTATATGTTGTCTGTTTTAACATACATGCTTTTGAAGAGACAGTAATGTGCAGGATTCTTTTAGCCCCACAGGGAACCAGGTGCCAGGTTGACAGTGTTAACAATACAAATTAAACAAGTATTATAGAAACACTGAAATACACAAGGGTGATAAATTAATTTGGAGGAGAAATGAGATAAAATGAACGTAGCCTCAGAGGATATCCCAAGTAGAAAAATCCGAGAGGGAGAAAACATTCAGAGCACTTTTAAATAACCTTTAAAAGTCACCTTGACCTTGCAGTGTTCAGATAAGCGTGTCCCAGACAGTGTCCTTACCCAGAGTCTCACACCTTCTGTCCTGTTACCCTGGGGCCCATGGAAGTCAAATCTGGATTACCTTCCTCACAGCTCACGGCCATTGAAGGTGAAAATAACCCATGAGTGGGAAATTTCCTGACACATTCAGACTCTGCGCTGACATCTCAGGCAGATAGCCTAGAACATTCACTCTTCCTCCAGCTTAAAAATGGGACAGTCTGGTCTTTGTGATGTCACTTAGTTCAGAAAACGATCTTGTTTTCTTTCATAGGAAAACTTTCTTCCCAGCCCACATTATTGGCTCCCTAAGTCAGGGGTTATAGAAAGAAATCTGAAATCCACTGCTGCAGAGAGCCTGGGACATTGTCTATGCCTCCCTGCTTTGGGGCAGGAGTTAGGGGTGTCCTGGGCCTCTACCTGTAAATGAGGATCCTCCTTTCACAGTTCCAGCCTTCCCCACCCCACCTTGGCCAAGCTAGACCAGCGGTTCTCTAAACGTGGTCCCTGGAACATCAGCAGCAGTATCACCTAGGAACTTCTTAGCAATGCACATTCTCAGACCCCATTCCCAGCCCTGCTAAATCAGAAACTCAGTGGGTGGGGACCAGCCATCTCTGTTTTAACAGATGTTCCCGCCAGTTCTGACATGCACAAGTTTCAGAACTGTGATTCCCCAAATGTGGCTTTCACTAATAATTTTAAAAAAACAAAAAGTTTAAGTAAATTAATAGCATGTTGCTAACTTTTAACTTGGGCCAAAAAAAAAAAAGGATATTAAAAAATAAAATCTAAAGTTTAATATCACAACCCTTTCATAAAAGAAAGGACCCTCGATTACAAGAAAAAAAAAAGTAAGAAGGACCTAATCTTAGATAAAAGACAGTCCCTTCTGCTAAACTAAATTAGCCCTCTGAAAAACTCACACCAGCATTCTCGTTTTTCTGCATTTGCTATTAACTGGTGAAAAGCTCACTGGTGTAAACTCCCTTGTGAACTAGGAACTGACCAGAGCCCAGCGATGTGGAATCACTGCTCTGCAGTGGTTAAACAGAAAGAGTTGAGGTTATTGTTGGTTGAAGCAAATAGCAGCTCCCTAGGAGGTCCCCCACAGCCCCATTCTTAACCTGTCACAAGGGGAAAAGTGGTCAGGACAGAACAAACACAGCTTGACTCCCCATATGGTCCAGTGAATCTGCTCTCCCACTAACAGGACATAGTGTTTAGCCCCATGTTTATAGGGATGTAATCACTTCTCAACCCAAAGATAGGCACTTGACCGACAGGTTTGCCAGGTGTTAGCACAGCACCCCCATGCTAATTGGCCAGCTACCTAGGATATTGGCAGCCACAGCAACAAAGCCTTGTGTAGGGGCAGTTCCTGGTCTTGCCCACAAGCTAATGCCCCCCAGCTCTGCTAAGACCCTCACCCCCAAGACTCCAGGGTGAAAATAACTAACCTGGAACTAGAGGTGCTGATGCCAGGGAGAGCCAGCTTGCCAGGGTGAGTGCAGGAGAGCAAGGCCAGAGCTGCAAATCTCCACACAGCTTTTCGCAGTGGCCACTGAGCAAGGCTGGTTCTTGAAGGGATTGTGACAGCCCCTCCTGACCATGCCTCCAAAACTCTTAGCAACTGCTTTCCTCTGAAATGAAGTTCCAAAGAGCTGCTCCAAAAACAGTATATCCATTGCAAGATGAACTAACAATGCATACTTGTGTGGATCTATTTATCTGCACAAGTATTTATCCACACCTTGTGGGAGAGTGTGTGTGTGAGAGAGAGAGAAAGAGAGTGTGTGTGTACTAGTAAGACTGTATCCTTCTGCACATATGTGCTAGAGAAATGGGTATACTCATGTAATGAATTGAAATGAAGCAATACTGTGCCTGAGACAAAAAAAAAGCCCGGCCTAATAAGCTGAAGTTTCTTGCTGCAGGCCTGCCACCTTGGTTTGCATTTAATTCCAATTCTGCATTCTGCCTGGAGCAAAATAGCCACCTTTTGGAACTCTTAAAAGTCAGAAACCTCATTCCACTGGAAAAATGAGACGTGCTTTTAATTAATGTTCAGTGTCATTGCTCTTGCCACATAACATTGCCCTCTCTTGAGACCAAGGCAGAGAGTGTCTTGTGCCCCTTGAGTTAATCCGTGCTGAATACTGAGCTATTGATAAATCAAATAGTATAATGGAGTTTTCTTAATACAGATAGTGCACATGAGGATTGAGGGTGCCTCCTTGGCTGTCTTCTCCAAAGCTTTAGGAAATCTTTCTTTTTGTATTCCTTTTCTTTGTCAGGAAATTTGGCCTTTGAAAATCGACATCTTCTTACATCCCCCCTCTCCCCATATCCCTCCCAAGCTGACTTACAGGTTGTCATAGCCCCCAATAAACATAGGACCCCACTGCTTTCCAGCCATGCCCTGGGTTCCTCACTGCCTCCCTTTGAAAGAATCTAGGCCAGCATTCCTCACTCCCACATCAGAGGGGGCAGGGAGGAAAGTTCTGGCTCACCCTGCCCATGTGGAGATGAAGCCTGCTCCAGTGGATGCGAAGAGCGGCGACACAGGGAGGCACTGTGGGCAATTTGGGTCACCAAAGCACAGCGAATAATTCAGGTCTCTCCATCTACAGAATTAACTCTGATTATTGATAATGGGAATAATTGCAAATGGCATTTATTGAGTGCTTACTATATGCTAGGCCCTGTGCTAAGGGCTTTACATAAATTATTCTCAACAACCTAAAGAGGTAGATAATATTGTCCTTATTTTACAGAAAGGAAACTGAGATACAGAAAGATTAAGTAACTTATTCAAAGTCATAAGATTAGTAAATAGTAGAGAAAGATCTGAATGTAACTGTCTAACTCCATGGCCTAGATTTTCACCCACTACTGTGTACTGCCTAGATTAAAAGCCAACAATGATCTCAGCTCCAGCATCAGGATTTAACTCTCAGAGCAACCATATGGGATAGATAATGTTAGAGTTACAAATTGCAGACAAGGAAGTTGAGGCTCTCAAAACTTAAGCCCAAAGTAGTAGAGGCGGTTGGTGGATGTAGAATTCAAACCCTGGCACTCTGATTCCAAAGGCGCATCTTTTCCCCACCATTCCATGCCATGTGGCTGATCTGCTAGGCCACAGAGACCAGGTTCTTCATGCAGCTATCCTGGGATGAGCCTGTACCTCCTCATATTTCTGCCCACAGGAGCTTCTACTATGGAGCTGTGCACACAGCAAGAGCTCAAGGCTTACTAGCTACTTCCTTTGAATGGTTTCTGCCTGAACTTGGATCTCACTGATGAAAGCTGAAACTATTTTAATCATGGGTGGCCACATTTGCTTTTTCAGTAGTATTTTTGTTTTAAATCACAATTAAACTTCCTTCCACAGGTATTAGCATTCAAAGAGTTTCCTGAATGTCCGAAGTGATAACCACATTTGGGGCTGTGCTCAGCATGATTTGGGGGGCTGGCCCCTTACAAAGGGAGAAATCATGGCCTAGCAGGGGAACATGCAGTGGAAGAAGAAGCACTAAACCCAGCTCTTTTCACCTACTAACCTAGCTGTGTATCATTGCATAATTGATTTCCTCCCTTTAGGATCAGTCTTCCCATCTGTAAAATAGGAGTGTTGAATTAAGATGGTCTCAACCCAGCTCAAACTGTAAAAAGCATTGAAAGAAATGAGGCCATGCCCCAGGGGGTAAATGTGGTGGGAGGGTGCGTTCTTCACTGGTGACCCTGATTCTCACAGATCTGGAGCCCACTTCTTTATCTTGCTTCCACACAAAAGGCCTCATCAAAATGCTAGCCTGGCTTTGAAGTCATCAAGAGCCCCCTGCAGCCTCCTTAGAGTGTAGATTCTGGAGATATGAGTCTGACCCCTCTGTTTCTGCTCATGAGAATAGAGAGGCCATCATTTGAGCCTTTCTAATGCCTAATCTTCTGGTGCATCTAGAAGACAAACTATGCAAAAAGCAACCTTTAAAAGCTACACTGTATTTTTAGAACTTTGTGTTTTCCTTTTAGTCATAATCCTATGAATGATGTAGCAGCTGGTCTCTAGGACAAGGGACAATGCATATAAAAAAATATATATGTACTTCCACAAAACCTAGTGAAAAAGTGACGCTTCTCCTTGGAAGCCTTTCTATTAGAGATTCTGAAGACCACCCCCCAGGACAGACTATGGTATTACTCTTGTCCCATTCCATACAATGGGTTTTCAAAGCTAAGGGCTAACTTACCAATTGTAGCTTGTGGACACTGTCTCTAGTTCATGGACCATGCTATATATTATAACAAAAAAACTTTCTACAAGACACTTGTGACTCAAACTCTATTTGAATCTTGAGAACGTTTTTTAGAATGAGTTTGTTGACTATATCACATTCACTTCAATGGTGGGTTTTCCATTGGAAAGTCAGCCAACTTCCCAGAGTATCCAAATGTCCCTTCCTACGGTAGGGATTAGGCAGCCAGATCAGCTACTGAGGGAAAGGAGGCCAGTTCTTGGTTATGAAAAGGGATTTGAGGAGAACTGAAGTCAGTGTTCATGGTCAAAGGTAGGTTCAGGAATCATAGGGACCACCCACAGGAAGATGCCAACCCCAAGGGGGTCAGGCAAAGAGGCAGAAAAGGGGTCTGAGATCAGTCAGGAGGGGCTGTAATGCTACCTTGTGCTGCAGGGATAAACAACCCCAAAATCTCCATGGCTTGCATAACAAAAGGTTATTTCTCACTCACGTTATACAACATACACAGGTTGGCAAAGGGCTGCTCCATATAGTCATTCAGGAACACAGACCAGTGTGCACCATGTCTTCCATCCTCTCACTTTCTGTTTATTTCCAACCCTAGGAATTGCCCTCTGACTATCGTCACCTTGTCCTCCCTGAGCCTCCTCTGCCCATCCATCCATTCCCTGGGCCTCTCCTGTGACATCTGGATGGAACAGGTCACTCCTTCAGTTTCTGCAGCAGGGGAAGACAGAATGGAGGGCCTCCACCTAGAAAAGAAGCATTTTCTTTCACATTTCATTGGCTAAAATTAATCACATGACCTGACTGCAAAGGTTGCTGGGAAGTGTAGTTTTCTGTGGCCAGAAGGAAGGAGAGACAGCTATTCATAACTACAAGTAATGTCTACCAGAAGGGTCCAGAATCAGGTTGCAAGATGTGGTGAGATATGGCAGGGGAACCTACAGAGATTCCTGGAAGACTCATCACAACCCCACTCTTAGGGTTACAGAGAGGCCTAAGAGTGTCAACAGATATGGACAAAGTTGTTAGTAATTTTAGGGTACCTGGAAAATGTTAGCATTTGAGGCCTTCTTGTGTATTGTTTTAATATTCTAGGAGTGTCAACAGATATGGACCAAGTTCTTAGTAATTTTAGGGTACCTGGAAAATGTTAGCTTTTGAGGCCTTCCTGTCTATTGTTTTAGTATTCTAGGTATTCTGTAATTTTATCCTTATCTGTCACCTTCACAACCCAATTTCCCAATGAAAGGATGTGAGCTTTAACTGTGAAATCTCTCATCATCTTCATCATTAAGAGAGTCTAAGGAATTGATTACTTGGCATTCTCACACATCCCAAATTCTTGGTAAAGCCACACTAGCCAGCGTGCATACCTTGATTCATAAACCCATATGGGGCTGGAGGGTTAGGGATTGGAGAGGGGCAGATGACTTTGCATTATTTTAAATTAAGGTTCCAAACCATCCTATTGCCTTCTTTCTTTCAGTTGATCTTTTTGTTTTTAATTTTTTATTTTCATTTCATTGTTTGTAGAGACAGGGTCTCCCTATGTTGCCCAGGCTGGTTTCAAAGGCCTGGCCTTAAGCAGTCCTCCTGCCTCAGCCCCTCAAAGTGCTAGAATTACAGGCATGAGCCACTCACTGTTCCCAGCCTCTTTCACCTGATCTTATCAAAAGTTTTAAGTGCACAAACCCTTCCATATCTTTTCTTATCTTCCGCCAACTCCAGAGTAAGACATGAGATAACATCATTTTGTCTAACTGCATTATTTCCAGAATCCTGTATCAGAAAGGAATTCTCCCTTTATTTAATTGAGTTTAGTTTTGTTGTCTGTAAAACAGGGATAATAAAACCTGCTTTATAGAATTAATGAGATGGCAGAGAAAGAGATTTTGGAGAGTGAGAGTTCAGAACTGTTTAGAGTTGGATAAATTTTTTGAGATAGGGCTGCTTTCTCTCATCCAAAAACTCAGAAACTAAATAGATGCAAATGCTGTAACAAGAGACACTGATATATGTAAAGCACTTGGCATTGCTCTTGTCACACAGGAGCCCTCTGTAATATCAGTATGAGTATCACTGTTGTTATTACAATCACTGTTATTTCTACTGCTGCTTCTAATGCCATGACTTCAAACAGTACTATGATGGGTGTTTTTTTAGGTCTTTGTTTCACTGAACCAAATTCTGCTTACAAGCAAGCTCTTTCTCTCCAGGGATGCTTTTTCCCAGAATATAAGATATATTTTAGTTTCTAATCCTGGGACACTACCTGGCTTCTCTTCCTCTTTTCAACACTCTTCTTTTTGCAGTAGTTTCTGGGAATGGTAACCACAGTAGCGGACCCAGTGCTTAGTCCTGTTTCTTTATTGACATCAAAGTTTTCACATGGTGTAGTTACTTGCATTTTCTTTTATGAATTGCAGTGCCGGTGGCAGATATCAAAGCCGTGGTGACGGGAAAGGACTGCCCTCATATGAAAGAGAAAGGTGCCCTTAAACAAAACAAGGTATGATTTCCAAATTATTGCAAATAGCTCTATTTGCCCAGTGCGGTCGGCAACTGCAGCCAGCCTAGCCCTCCTTTATAGCAGTGTTCGTGTGTGTGCGTGTGTTCAGACACACATCTCTTATTCAGCTCTCCTGTTTCCTGTCCCGATTCCTTTTACGTCTCTTACCCTTATTCTTTCTCTTTCTGACCCCTTTTCTGATGCTCACCATCTTTTCCATTCTCTCACTTCCTGCCTACTTCCAACCCTAAGAATTGCCCTCACTATTGTCACTTTGTCCTCTCTTGAGCCCGCTCTGCTCATCCGTCCATTCCCTGGGCCTCTCCTAACCTCCCCCATTTATGTTTATTTCTCCCTTCTCCAACTTCCACCCCAATATCTTTCATTGTCTTCTGCTGTAATCATGCTCTTAATATCCTCCCCGGGATCTCAGCGAAGCCTGGGACAGGCAGAGAGCAGCTGACTCAAAGAATCTTAGAAAACTTTAAAGGCCTGATACCCTTCAGCATTGTGGAAAGTAGGCTGTGAAATATCTCCAACTCAGACTAAAGGAGAAAATTTTCCCAGAAGTGTGTATTACTTAAGCCCTGCAATACCTTTCACCATCCCCTCCTAGTTTACCAACCATTCCATTATCATTCCATTACAGAGGGCACAGGAGGGAATATTATTTGAAAAGACAGAAGAATTTCTTTTGCCCGCTGGAAGTATTTGCCCTTGGAGAGGCCGTCAGGGAGCCAGTGCTTTGTTTATGCCTCTTAGAATCTTGTGATCTATACCATTCATGAACAAAAGTATCCAGATTATCTGGAGCACCCAGAAAATCTGGTACCAAAAATGTCACATAGATCAATAGGTTGCATCTTTATTTCCAGTGTCAGTATCTAAGAGGGACACCAAAATGATACACAATCTATTTACCAATCAGCGTTAAAATAAATAGTTTCCACTGTGTAATTTCTATTGTTATAAGACAGGGAATCCAGTTCTTTGCAGGATGGCCCTATCTATAGTTAAGGAAAAACAAAAGTACTATGAAAATACTGTTCAGGAAGGCAGAGGGCAGGGGATGCAGCTGAAGAGGCTGATTGTAAGATCTTTCCTTCTTAAGTTCTATAACTCACCTCAGCTCCATGGGAACTCCTTTGTTGAGCCCATCACAGCATTGTCATGTAATGCATTTGATTGGCAAGCATACTGATGGCAGGGCATGCCCAAGAGGCCAGGATCTGTGGTCTATCTGTTACACAGCACCAACGGGGGTTTCCGTTTATCTCTTCTCCATGCTATGGGGAGACAGAGATTCTATAGCTCAGCAGATTAGAGAAGCATCCTTAGCTATAGCAGCAAATCTCCAGTTTTCATGGTTTGCCTCCTGTGGAGCAGACTTTCTTCAACACTAGCCGGGATTACCATATGCTGCACATGTCAGGTATTCTCTCCACAATCTCGGAGAGCACGGGCTCTGCTCAGCTTCAGCCGAGGAGGTCCCCACAGTTACGTAACACTTGGGGCTGAGCTGGAAACAGTGTGGAGAAATTGGCAATAATAGGGGTCTGGGAGTCTGCAACCCAGAGAAGACCAGGAAGGGTGTACCTGGAAAAATAGCAACCTGCCAGAATTCAAGTGTGCTAAATAAAGATAGAGGGAATTATGTAAAATAGGTGTGGAGGGACTTCCTGTTTCAGCCCCAACATATAAAGAGCTTGAGAGTTGTGCTCCCATCCTCAGAATAAGGAGAAGCGGGCAGGGTGTGGTGGCTCGCGCCTGTAATCCCAGCACTTTGGAAGGCCAAGGCGGGCGGATCACAAGGTCAGGAGTTCGAGACCAGCAGCCTGGCCAACATAGTGAAACCTCGTCTGTACTAAAAATACAAAAAATTAGCCAGGCCTGGTGGCAGGCACCTGTAGTCCCAGCTGCTTGGGAGGCTGAGGCAGGAGAATCACTTGAACCCAGGAGGTGGAGGTTGCGATGAGCCGAGATCATGTCACTGCACTCCAGCCTGAGCAACAAGAGTGAAACTCTGTCTCAAAAAAAAAAAAAAGAAGAAGAAGAAGAAGAAGAAGCAGAACAAAGCGGAAATCAACAAGTTTTCTTGGACCTATCCTAGAACTGAGGTTGCAGGCAAACCATCACCGTGGAATGTGGAAAGTCAGATGTCCAAGAAGACATAATAATCCTTAACATGTCTGAACTTAACATGAAGATATCAAAATCCATGAGTTATGAAACTGATAGAACAGAAAGGAGAAATAAACAAATTCATTATTATTAATATATTGGAGACTTCAACTTCCCTTGGTCAGTAATCAGTAGACCAAGCAGGCAGAAGATCAAGAATATTGATGACCTGAACAGCACCATAAATCAGCTTGATCTAATTGACATTAATAGACTAATCCACTCAGCAACGGCAGAATACACATCCTTCACAAGCTCAAAGGAAACATTCACCAAGATAGACCACATTTTGGACCGTAAAGCATGTCTTAAAAAATTTAAAGAATAGCAGTTAGACAAAGTATGTTCTCAAATCACAATGGAATTAAACTAGAAATCAGCAGCAGAAAGACAGCTGGAAAATCCCCCAAATGTTTGGAAATTTAACAACACACTTGTAAATAACCCACAGTTCCAGGAAGAATTCCCAAGAGAAATTACAAAATGTTTCAAACTAAATAAAATGAAAATCCAGCTTACCAAAATGTGTGGGATGCAGTGAAGGCAGTGCTTAGAGGGAAATTTATAGCATTGAATGACTACATTAGAAAAGAAGAAAGAACGAAAATCAATAAAGCTTCCACCTCAGGACACTAAGGAAGGAGAGCAATTTAAGCTTAAAGCAAGCAGAAGAAAAGAAATATAAAATTTAGAGTAGAAATCAATGAAACTGAAATCAGTAGAGAAAATCAACAAAACCAAAAGCTGGTACTTTGAAAAGATGAATAAAATTGATAAACTTCTAGCCTGGCTAACCAAGAAAAAAATGAGAGTCACCCATATAACAGATGTGGAGATGATTTCATTTGAACATGTGAGGTAGTATATTTGGCCTTGTATCAGACTCCTCTCTCCTTAAAGGAGACTAAAAAAGTAAAACCGAGTAAATGATGTTTTGCAACCTTTATTTTTCACATATTGTCATGACACTCATAAAACATAGGATGGATGATGATGGATAGATGGATGATGGATGGACAGCTGGAGAATGATGGATGGATGGAGTACGCCACTGTAAACAGATAAGACTGCAAATAGAGGCTACTTCCTGGGACTCACTGGCCCGTATTTCTAGCTACCCTGGGCTCTTCCAGTCTGCCATGAGGGATAAGACTAGCAGAATTTCAAGCAGCCTGGCCCTTTAATTAGCATATACATGGAATTTACTTGTCTTGCAATGTTACTAGTGTTCATATATACCATGTCATCAAGCAAAACATCAAAAGGCAGAAGGAAAGCCACGATTTTACCTGCTGAACCCCCCAACCCACACCCCTTTCCCCGTACTCCAGAGGTGCCCTCCTGTCTACCTCTGGGACTTCTGGGTAGGAAAAGGGGACCTGCAGCCTAAAAGGAGAATTGACCAGAATGTGTTCATAAGAGGTCTGTCAGTACACAGTGGATGGATGACAACCAAGGCAAATTGCTGGCTCTTTGGACAGTTTTTCCAGCTGTGGAACAGCTTTTGACATTTTGTGCCATGAGACCCATGGTTAACTTAATCACCGAGCAAGGCAAACTGAGACATTGGCATCTGTAAAAGAGATACTTTGTTAATGGCAGAGTGTTGATAACTGATCATCCTCTCACCCATTCGGTCTCTGCTGATGTTCCCAGCAGGGCCCTGAGAACAGAAAGAAGAAAATTGGTCCTTTCCCTTGAGGTGTCTATTGCAGAGGCATTTGTTCATGTAGTCAGTCATCCACTCAGTCAGCATGGGAGTGCCTGAAATAGCACAGGACTAAATGGGGTAGCTGGGGTCCTGTCTTTCTGGAGCTTAGAGTCTGTTATGTTTAACAGAGTTCAGTGCAGCAGGCACATTTTTACGGAGACAAGAAATGGTGGGTTCTTCACACAGGGATCAGAAAGTTTCTCATTGAGACTTGAAAAGAATTGCCATGAGTAGATGGAAATTCAGTTGGAAGGTTTTGATTTGCAAGGATTAAGGATTCTAAATTCAAACTCTATAATTTATAAAAATAAGCTGATTTGTGGCTGTGTGCTTTAAGGTGGGCATTCTTGGTGCTTGTCTCACTGAATTTGGGGCTTTTAGGTCAACAGTCAACATGAAATCACCAGAGTGAAGATCCATTGATTCAGATAGGAGTATATTTGGTGTATGAGAAGCTTCCATCTTCCCATTTGCCAGAATTAAGCATTTGTTTTTCCAGTGTGATGCTTAAACCTGAAATAGGAAGCATATTCTACTGAAGCTGATGTTCTAGCATCAGTTTGAAAACCCTGGTCTTAGCCAAAAAGTCCTTTATTCACATTTACTTCATTCATCATCCATTCATTCATTCATTCAGCAATGTATTGAGCATCTCCTTTGTCCTAGGTGCCAGGAATCCAAAGATAAATATGACCTGGCCCCTGGCCCTAGGTGTCCAGTAGATAACATTTATATTTAAATATGCAATTACAATTCAATATGTCTATGCCAAAAAAAATTAAACATGGAGCCTGGGAGAGTTGAGAAAGGTGATGCAGGACATGGCATCTGATCTAGCTTTTGAAAAGGAATTGGCCAGGCAGAGAATGAGGAGAAGACTTTCCAAAAGGAGGAAAAAGTCTGAAAAGGCACAAGGGCCTTTGCTCATGTGAAAAGCATCCTCTAATTGGGAATGTTGAATTCAGAGTATAGGATGGATGGGGATGGGGAGAAGAATATGGATTGGAGAACTATTGGCCGGTTACGCTGCTAAGATAGATTGGGGCTGGAGAGTTGTAACTGCCTGAAGAAGGTAATCTCTGTTATGTACTACATGAATGAGTGTTTTTTGCCTTCTAAAATAGAAACTCAAATTCTTAGATATCTGGACAGCAATAAGCTATAGTTCTGAAATCTACTGCTATTTCTGTGACCATAATTTAACACCCACACACATGCCGAGTTATATCCTGTGTCTTTTATCAAAAGGTTTTACCCTCATGATGACCTGGATAGATAGAGAACCAACATAGTTAAGTGAATGCTAGCAAAATGGCCATATGTGGTGAGTTACCGTCAAACAATGTAAGGATTGGCAGCCAACACTGCACACTGAAAATATGTTGCATACAACTCTACTCTTGTTATCAGTCGGTTCCTCATTTGACCCATGGAAGATGGCAGTCCCCAAACCCAGGAACCATTTTCCTGAGCATCTGCTGACACAGCGTGCCTTGTCTTCTGTCCCAGGGCCAGAGTGTTGAATACAAAGGTCAGGGGCCTCAGGGCATGGAAGGATGTTCACTTTCCTCTGCCTCCACTCTCCCTAGGACTCAGGCTTCCTCCACATGACAAGGTGGCAAGCAGGCATCAGTGCAGCAGAGAATGGAGAGAAGCTGCTTCTAGATGTAATTTTTCACTGCACTAAATCCAGAGGAATAAAAGAGCTTCGGTCATGAGCAACAAAGCCCCTGAACATTCGATGTCTAAGTGAGTGTTGTGGTGTGTGGAGGCAAGTAGGCCCTGAGGGGGGCACAGATCAGTGACAGTCTACTCCACCACCACCTGGCGCCTTCTCCCTCATGGACAGTGTGGACAGGTGGCAGTTTCTGGAGTATTAGCCTGAGAGGTGCTATTGCTCCTGGCTCTGCAGCCTCCCCGCTCCAAGTGCTGAAGAGCTGACCTTCACCAATGACTCAACAACAGCAAGCCAGAGACATCAATAAAACCCATTACAAGCGATAACACCCTTTAACACAGACATGCAGCTCAGAGAATTAATTCCTCCCACCCCCTCCCAGGCAGCTTTGGTGAAATTAAAGTGGGAATTGACATTCTCACGAATTTCCCATTTCCTGCCTGTGTTTATCAGGAATCTAGGTCATGACAGTTCTGATCATTCATGTCGTGAGTGGTATATGTCATAGAAGGGCAAAGCTGAAAGTTTGCCTGCTCCTTTTCCTTCCTTCTCCATCCCCCTGCAGAAGAGAAAGTATCACAGCAATAACCACGCTGACACTGTGGTCTCAAGTGACTTCAGCACCCTGTCCGGAGCACATCTGGGCTGCAGTGCTGTTCACACCGGCTCTTGTCAGCAAGGGGTGATCAGCCACGTGATTTCCCTGAGCAGTCAGGCACTTGTCACCCAGGGTCAGCCCAAAGGGGCCTGGATGAACTTTACCTTTTCCTGTTTACCTCCAAGGGCCCCCTCACGCCACTGTAATATCCTGACTGGTTGTTCAGAAGCAAAGCTCACTCCCTCCTTTTTCTTTCTTCAATCTCTCAAGCATGAGTCAGAGAGTTTTCCTAATAAATGACTCTAAGATTAGTAAAGAAATCATCATTTTAATGAACATGCCAAATCTGAGTACAATTTGTATGAATTTTTGAAATTATAGCTTAGCATTTTGTTGAAAAAAAAGTTGTAAGAAGAGATAATGACCTATGACCTATCACCTTACCATAATTATTTTCATTTCCCATATTTCTTTCCAGTCTCTGTCCACAAGTAGGAATTGTTCATAATTGTGATCAGTGTGTACATGGTGTTCATGTCTCGTGCTTTTCTCCACTTAACTTTGGCTCCCTATAATTATCTTACTGAATGGCCAAATACATTTCCCTTGGTGGCTAATTTATGATTTCTTTATTACCCAAAAGAGGGAGAGGTTAGTTTCTCATAATGTTCTTTCAGATAATAATATTTGGCTTTTGCTTTCTTTTGAATTTTTCTTTTGAAATTATCTCAGGCATAGCATCTCTGGTTCTTGATATGTATTTTCATATTGATTTTTTTTTAAAAAGAATGATATGAATTTATAGTACTAATAGTAAGTCTGTGACTATTTTAATTGTAAATTAAAAGGCCCAAGAGAGATGGTTATGGGAACAGATGCTATACTTAATGGCAAATTGTTTTTGTTTGTTTGCTTGTTTCGGCGCCCTTCCTTTTTACATTATTGTCTTTACTGGGTAGGCCTGAGTCAGGGCCTAAAGAAGAATAGAAAATGAGGAGAGCATTTTTGCAGAATAGCTCCCATTCCACGACTCAGCATTCTTTCCTTCGCTTGTTTCTATTTCTGTCAAGGTGAGGAGACCTTTTGAGTGTGAGACGCTGGTAGATCTATCCTCAGAACAAGACCTGCCCCCTCTCAATGAGGGACAGCTGGAGGTGAACCAGACACTGAGAACTCCATGAGAGCCAGAAATAGTTAGATGATGGACTGTGTCAGGACAGGGATGCAGCCACTTTGGAATAATTCTTTAATCCGTCTGAAATTCTGAAATCTGTAGGCACTGACCTCATCTTTTTGCCTTTTATCTTTCTGGGGCATTTTTGCTGTGAGTCACAGGCCAAAGACAAACCCTCTAACAGATATTAAGGTAGAGAATGATGTGAAGAGATTGGCTCCCTAAGAAAGAATGTTTTGTGGGCAATTACTGAGCAGTGTGGCTCACAGATCACAGGAGGGGAGAGGGATGGTCATCACTGGTGCCTAATAGAAGCACAGAGAAGGAAGGCACACTGGAACCTCCATGCTGGAACAGTGTAGAGCGTTGGTTTGGATACACTTGGCTCTTCTCTTCCAGACTAGGAGTCCTCAGGATGCTGAGAAGAGCTGATGACTCTCATCTTCTGCTGACCGCTCAGACCACTAGAATGATCGTCTTACCCAGTATTGGTACAGCATGTACAGTTTGAGAAGTGTGGCTTAATGTACATATTAGACATGGCACTGAGTGCCTTGGTCATTGGTCATTCACCTGCAATGAAATGAAAAATGTCACTTGGTTCCTAGACTTCTGGGCCTGGCTCATTGCGTGCACTCCGTAGGTTTTCACCAATGAGTAAGCCCGTGCTTCTCGATTATACCTTGCAGTCTCTGCTGGGTAAGACCTAAGCTTTGTGTAGCCTTTGCTGTACAGTAGCTTAAAGGTCAAAGGACAGATATAAAGATAATGGGTTCACCTAGCAGCCTCCTTAAAGCTGGCATAGCGTCCACATTTTAGGGAATTCATACCTCTGTGGGCCTCTCTGTCTTTCTTAGGATGATAGAAGGAAGGGCAGTCCTTAATCCTGTTGATTGGGAGTTTACTGGGTTTTTGTTTGTTTGTTTGTTTGTTTGTTTTTGTGGCCTCTCTGGAAGGGAGATGCTGAAGAAAGGAGAATAACACAGTTTTGGTGGCGGGCGAGGAGGCAGGCGGTGCTGTCACCTTGGACACTCATTGAGCCTCTCTAAGCCCCACCTCATAAAGGAGATGAAAACACTTGCTACATGGGCTGCATGCGAATTAAATGAGATAGTTCACAGACCGCCGTGAATGGAGAGAAGGAATCATGCCGTGAACCTTGAAGAGCATGGTTCCTCCTTCCATCAGCCTCATTGCAGCTCCGCTTGGCTAGACAAGCTGGCCCTATGCCATGGTCAATGTGCAGCCATTTGCAACTGCAAAATGAAATGTGCCGATTTTCCTTAAGGTGCTGTTTTCTCTCATCTCTTGTAGGAGGTGCTTGAACTCGCTTTCTCCATCTTGTATGACTCAAACTGCCAACTGAACTTCATCGCTCCTGACAAGCATGAGGTAAGGGTCTCGGGGGTGATAATTTATGAGATAATGTTATCTTTTCTCAAGAAAAATATAGAAAGAAATTTTACTTAAGAAAAATAGACCTGCCTGAAAAAATGATGAACCAAGGGGCATCTTGCTGACTTGGAGGAGAATAGAAACCTCTTGACAAACTGCCCGTTGCAACAGATTCAACTTCTTAGTAGCTTGATTGATAGTTCATGGTAAAGAAAAAGGATGTAAAAGGCCTCAAATGCAGCAAAGGTATACTTGTTAATCCAGAGAAAGAAGCGGCCCTGGTTACAGCTTTGGTTTTCATTGAATTTTTCGTTTTTGGTCTGGATTTTCCCAAGATAAACTGGTCTCTCTTCTTTAAAACATCTGAGGAAGTAGGTTTTCTACCAAATTTCTTTAAGCTATTTTAAGAGGTTTAGGGCTGTCTCTGCTGTTGGGATTTTATTTTCGAGATGCTTTTATTCCTTTCTGACATCTTGTTATATGTATAATTTGTTTCTCTTCTTGTAGCACGCTGTCAGCTATATTTAAAATATTTAGCATAAATCTAGGAAAATGCATTTGTAAGATAAAGTAGCAGTTATGGCTGATTTAACTTTCTTTTATAAACTGGAACCCAACATCATGCTTGAAACTTTTATTTTTAGATGATACCATTCAAATTTTTGTTTTGCGTGTGGTTGCATAAACAGCTTTAGAAAGGAAGAGAACATTTTAATAGAATCTGACTTTTGTTCCCCATTTCCCCTAGGACATTTAGCTCATTTAGAAGTTATTCAGTATCTAGTTTTCACTGGTTTGAAGCTTTTGAATAAAATTGTATATCCCAAAGAGAGAGGAAAGATTAGACACAAATCCTGCATTTAGAACGGTGCTTAAATATAATTCTGTGTCACTTGACATTTAGTTTGCTGAAGGGTAAGACTTTGTCTTCATCTTTCTGAAAATAGATACTGTGTTCTACTGTTTCTGTTTTTAAATAAAATTGTGGTTCTACACAGGCCACCATATTCAAGATGTATAGAGCTGTGTACAAAACTACTTAAAATAGTAGAACTTTGGATGTTATTTAAATCTCTGCAAGGCTGTTTTCCCCAGTGTACATTAATTCCAGATCAGGATAAATGCTCTGGGACTGCCAGATTTTTATTCATATCTGCCACTTCTTATAGATACAATGAAGAGAAAAATGCCATATGCTTGTGAACACTTTTAATTACTTCAGACCACTTTCCTTCTATTACCTCATTTTATTTCCATAATTATTCCATACAATAGAAAGTTCTATTACAGACATTCTCATTTATCAAATGAGCACGGAGAGACCTCCCAGAACTGAATACCTCAACAATAGAAAGGTTAACACAGTTGGCCCTTGAATAGCATGGGGGTTATGGGCACCAAACCCCCCACACAGTTGAAAATCTGCCCATAACTTTTGACTCCCCAAAAACTTAACTGTCAGTAGCCTACTGTTGACCAGAAAGAAGCCTTCCCCATAGCATAAGCAGTTGATTCACACACATTTTGTATGTTATGTGGATTTTATACTGTATTCTTCCAATAAGGTAAGCTAGGGAAAAGAAAATGTTAAGAAAGTCATAAGGAAGAGAAAATATGTTTACTATTCATTAAGTGGAAGAGGATCATCATAAAAGTCTTCATCCTCATTGTCTTCACATTGAGTAGGATGAGGGAGAAGGAAGAGGACGGGTTGGTCTTGAGGTCTCAGGGGTGGCAGAGGCTAGAGAGGTGGAAGAGGTGGAAGGGGAAGCAGGAGAGACAGGCACACTTGGTATAAGTTTTATTGAAGAAAAAAATCCATGTATAAGTGACCCACACAGTTAAAACCCATGTTGTTCAAGGGTCAACTGTAAGTATAACGACCCTGGCTTACTCTCTGCCAGGCACCATTAATGCTTTATATGTATATTTCACCCCAGTTAACCCTCATATAACTCTAAAAGAATCCCCATTTAAAAGAGGGAAATGAGGCAAGAGAGCTTAAGAAACGTGTCCAGGGTCACACAAGTAGTAAGAGGACAGAGCTGGAATTTAAACACTGGCAGTCTTGCTCCAGAAGCCCTACACTTAACCCCTGCACTGTGGAGCTAGGAAGAGAAAGAGCAGACACTGAGCTCGCACATTCCTGGCAGGCCCATCACTCAGTTTCTACAATCACCAACTCATGGCCAATCTGGTTCACCTGTGCTCCCATCCACTCTTCCACCATCACCCAGCTGCCACCCCTGATTATTTTGAAGCAAATCTGGATATCATTTTATGTATAAATGTTCCTGTATGCATTTCCCAACAATAAAGACTCAATTTAAAACCATAACTGCAATACCCTGATCACACTTAAATAAATTAATAATGTGGTATTTATTTATTAAACCATGTGCAGTCAGTTTTCAGATGTCTCTAATTGTCTCATTTGTGTTTTTTTCTTTCATACTTTGTTCAAGTCAGAATGCAAATAAGATCCATGCATTGCAGTTGGTTGACATGTTTCCTAGGTTTCTCTGAATCTACAGGTTTCTCTTTCTCTCTCTCTGTCTCTCACAATCATGAGCATGTGCCTTTTTTCCTTGAAATTTATTTATTGGGAAAAACAGGTCATTAGACCTGTAATGTTAATAGTCTAGACTGTGCTGGTTATAACTTTATGTATTAGCTTACTGTTGCTATTGTAACAAACTGCCACAAACTTAGTGTTAAAGAACACAAATTTATTATCTTCGAATTCTGGACTTCAGAAGTCAAATGTGAGTATCCTGGGCTAAAATCAAGGTATCAGCAGGGCTGTGTTCCTTTCTGGAGGCTCTAGGGAAGAATTTTCCCTTGTCTTTTTCACTCAAGAGTCCACCTGCACTCCTTGGCCTCCATCCATTGCAATGGCTGGTTGAACCTTTTCATCACCTCACTTCAGCCTCCTCTTTCGTACTCAGATCTCCCTCTACCTCTCACTTCTCTGACTCTGACTCTGACTCTTCTTCTGTTTCCTTCTCTCACTTTTAAGGACCTTTGGGATTACATTGGGCCTGCCTGGATAATCCAAGATAATCTCTGTTTTAAGGTCAGCGGATAGCAACCTTAAGTCCCTTTTCCATGGAACCTGACATATTCACAGGATCCAGGGAGTAGGATGTGGGTGTCTTTGGAAGGCGGGTATTATTTTTCCCACCGCAATCTGCAATATAATTCATATATTCATCGGTCCCCTGTATGTCTTGTGAATTGTAGTTAAAGGATTAATCAAATTCAGGCTCCCTTTCTAAGCAGCAGCAGTGGTGTTTGTACTTTCATGGTGACTTCTTGCTCCCCTTTCTTGGATATTAGCAGCCAACAATGATCGTTGTCTGGATCCTTGGAACCATTAGAGGTTGCAAAAGGTTGATATCCTAATTTTATTATTCCTTCTTTATTAAAGGGATATATAAAGAGAAACTGGCCTCATCAACTATTTGGTTATCCTAAAGTTATACAATTTACATATGGTAGGCAGGATAAATACTTGATTCTCTTTACCAGTTTTCAAAATAGTAAGCATCTTTCAAAGAAGAACAATGAGGCATTTGGGGGCAGGGGTTGAGTAGGAAATCATGCTTTTAAACAGAATTGTGTCTCAATATGTTGCAGTTACTGTCGTTATTAGTTTCTAAGTTATCCTGTCTGGAACAAGTAGGAACACCATTGGGTTGGCATCTGAGTCCTATTGGGAGGACCCCTTACGTCTTTGATAACTTTCTGGCATTCTGGTATGATGGAGTGTTCCAGGTTTATCTTTATGTTTCCTGCCTTTTCTCTGTGAAGCCTTGATTACTTGTAGTGGGAAATGATATTTAGTGACCAGAATCTAAGCATGAGTTGTGTTTATGGTCATTGCACACCACGATGCAGTGGTTCTTGGTTGGTCATTATTTTTTAGCCCTTTTTGGGGACAGAGCTAGGTGGTTTTCTTTTAAGATAAACTAATGAATTGATACTGATAGTTCCAACTCAAATTCAGTATCAGTACTACAGGGTTTTTATTTATTGGTCGATGTACTTTCACATAAAATTTTCTGTGCCTGTTGTTTCTAAAAAGAAACGTGCTGCAGAAGTGTTCCTGTGGGTTAAACTAATCTATACTAGGAAGCTAGCCAGGCCTGGGAAGGCTGTGTGAAAAGAACAGTAATCCCCAGGACTTGGGGATTTACCATGAAACAGCATGAAAGCTGGAAGGGGCCTTTGAGAATGTAGAGTTCAGTGGCACCCGTACCTGCGTGTTCGTTAGAGTTTTCTAGGAAGCAAAGTCTCCTCACCCTAGATCTACATGATCAGGATCTCCAAGGTAGGAGCTAGGTGTCTACTTCTGTCAAGGTTATTTATGAAGAAATTGATGGTTAGACATGTTCAGAATCAGATCATGAGGACACTAATTCTTCCGGAAATCCCTTAACACTAAATTGATGTTTCGATGGGTTAAATGCTTTGGCTGAGATCACATAGCCAAGGTAGAACCAAAGCCCTCCAAATCAATGCTGCCCTCCTGAAACACAGATCTCATAATACACCCATTGTGCATCTCCTCAGCTTAAAAAGGAGGACCGCTGATGTGCATCACGGAAGATTTCCATCACATCATGGTGACTGGAGATTTATATAGTGCTTGCAGTATACTTTGGTTACTTTTACGTTGAGATCTGCTACCATGGAATACAGTCCAGATAACCACAGTGCCAAAGTAGGTTAAAGAGGGTCTGGAATTGCCGCTTGAACTAGTGAGGCAGAAAAGTTGGGAATCTGGAGTGCATGGTAGAAGGAAGACCACTTCAACAGAAGAGGAGAACAATTGCTGTTATAGAATCCTATATAGGACTACTAGAAACCTAAACTCCAGTGCATGAGTGGAGCCCAGCATCCAGAATGCCAAGCAGCTTTCTGAGATGCTGGCATCAGGGGTGCCTCTTTCACCAGGTGTCATGGTTCTCTGTCCATGTCAGTACAGAACTCCAGCCTCTGGGAGGGGAAGCTAAGAAGAGAAAAGCAGGTCCTCAGACAAGGCACAGTTCTTCCTTCTCCCTCACAGAGATCATAGTCTCCTGGAGAGACAAAAGGCTATGAAAGGAGAAGAATCAGACTCTTAGTTGGGTACTGTGAAGGGCTTTCCAAAACAGATAATATCCCCAAGTATGAGGCCCCAGAGACCTGGTGAAAAGAAACCTTAGGAACTAGAGACAAAGGCTAAAGAGGTCCCCAGACAGGCAGCCAACCCTCCTCCCATTAAGATTGCCCAATAATTTTAACCATTTTGGCTGCCAGACACTGGGCAGCATAAGCCTATTTCCTAGCCCTTTAGCTGAGAAACACCAAGGTGGGACTGCCATTGGCCATTGGCTCCAGGGTGGGACAGGGCTGTCATTGTGAATGCTAGGATCAGACAGGACAGGCCGAGATGAGCTACTAGACTAGGAGCCATGACTGGAGTCAGCAAAGAAACCTGCTTCACCTGATGTTGAGTCCAGGGCTGTTCGGTAGATTCCACCAGTACCTAAAAGTCATAGACTCCCACCTAGGTGTTACATTGCAAGTCATGGAGAACTCCAATCCTCAGCTGTTACAGAGAAGCATTCTTTGCAAAGAAGAGCACAGGCACTGGAGTCAGATTGCCTGGGTTCAAATCCCACCCGGTCTACATAATACTGAGTCACTTCTCTGTACCTCAGTTCCTTCACCTATAAAACAGAGATAACAGAAGTATCGACTTTATATTGAGATGTCGCCAAATATGAAATGACGAAGTAGGCAGAGCCCTTAGCGCACAGCCTACTGAGGGATGAGTATTCACTGTTAGCTATTTTTACTATTAATACTTCTGTAATTGCCACCAGTAATGATCGCTGTTGCCTCCCTTCCTGCCAGTACTGTATCTGGACGGATGGACTGAATGCGCTACTCGGGAAGGACATGATGAGCGACCTGACGCGGAATGACCTGGACACCCTGCTCAGCATGGAAATCAAGCTCCGCCTCCTGGACCTGGAAAACATCCAGATCCCTGACGCACCTCCGCCGATTCCCAAGGAGCCCAGCAACTATGACTTCGTCTATGACTGTAACTGAAGTGGCCGGGCCCAGACATGCCCCTTCCAAAACTGGAACACCTAGCTAACAGGAGAGAGGAATGAAAACACACCCACGCCTTGGAACCGTCCTTTGGTAAAGGGAAGCTGTGGGTCCACATTCCCTTCAGCATCACCTCTAGCCCTGGCAACTTTCAGCCCCTAGCTGGCATCTTGCTCACCGCCCTGATTCTGTTCCTCGGCTCCACTGCTTCAGGTCACTTCCCATGGCTGCAGTCCACTGGTGGGACAAGAGCAAAGCCCACTGCCAGTAAGAAGGCCAAAGGGCCCTTCCATCCTAGCCCTCTGCAGGCATGCCCTTCCTTCCCTTGGGCAGGAAAGCCAGCAGCCCCAGACTGCCCAAAAACTTGCCCACCAGACCAAGGGCAGTGCCCCAAGGCCCCTGTCTGGAGGAAATGGCCTAGCTATTTGATGAGAAGACCAAACCCCACATCCTCCTTTCCCCTCTCTCTAGAATCATCTCGCACCACCAGTTACACTTGAATTAAGATCTGCGCTCAAATCTCCTCCCACCTCTCTCCCTGCTTTTGCCTTGCTCTGTTCCTCTTTGGTCCCAAGAGCAGCAGCCGCAGCCTCCTCGTGATCCTCCCTAGCATAAATTTCCCAAACAGTCCACAGGTCCCATGCCCACTTTGCGTCTGCACTGTGATCGTGACAAATCTTCCCTCCTCACCAGCTAGTCTGGGGTTTCCTCTCCCTGCCCCAGGCCAGAACTGCCTTCTTCATTTCCACCCACGCTCCCAGCCTCTTAGCTGAAAGCACAAATGGTGAAATCAGTAGTCTCGCTCCATCTCTAATAGACTAAACCTAAATGCCTCTAGGACGGACTGTTGCTATCCAAGCGTTTGGTGTTACCTTCTCCTGGGAGGTCCTGCTGCAACTCAAGTTCCACAGGATGGTCAAGCTGTCAGACATCCAAGTTTACATCATTGTAATTATTACTGGTATTTACAATTTGCAAGAGTTTTGGGTTAGTTTTTTTTTTTTTTTTTGCTTTGTTTTTGTACAAAAGAGTCTAACATTTTTTGCCAAACAGATATATATTTAATGAAAAGAAGAGATACATAAATGTGTGAATTTCCAGTTTTTTTTTAATTATTTTAATCCCAAACATCTTCCTGAAAATAACATTCCCTTAAACATGCTGTGGAATAAAATGGATTGTGATGATTTGGGGAGCTGGTGTTTTGATTTAGTAACTTAGGTTCTTGCTACTCAGTCATCAGCATCACCTGGGAGCTTGTTGGAGATGCCAGCTCTTCAGCTCCACCCTAGACCTGCTGAATTGGGTGATGTTTATGTACATTGGTTTGAAAAACACTGCTGTGGGAAACCCTCCACCATTGCTAGGTCACCATAGGCTCTGAGCATCAGTGGAGAATGTTACTTCTAAGAAGACCATCTCGACTCACTGAGAAAATCAGACCCACTGTATGAAAATATCTATTCCTTTTACATTGCTGTCTCTTGACCATGACTTTCTCTTTTTTCTTTCTTACCATGATATAATTTATAGAATGGGTCTAATTAAAGACATCACAACTTTGAGGGAGCACATTTAGCAATGAAAAGAATGCATACCCACAGACCTGAAATAAGCCAGAACTAAATAAATCTAACCGTGGGTTAATAAATTATAGGTCAGAGCCCAGCGAAGGATGTTTCTTAAGTCATTTGCACTGGAGGCATTATCAGGATTGTAAACTCCCAGCACTGGGAGGGATGTCAGAAGGGTCCAAGCATGCAGTATTAAGCGTGGCACAGCACCAGCCACTCTGGCCTCACAGCACAAGCTGTGGAAGCATCCAGGTCATTTCTCTTTACCGTCATCAGGATGTGCAATTACAGATTGACCTGGGTTGAGATGATATGGTCCAGAGCACTGCATGCATTGCAGGAAAAAAGTCCTTTGCATTCACAGGGGTTCCTTCTTCCCATCAGAGCACTCACACCTGTGTCAAGCTGTTAATTCCTTGATCATTAAGCTTCGATGTTATTAACATGTACTTGCTATCAGGAGCAGTTATTAATCTACCCATCATCATGATAAAACAGTAAGTGTTAGGTCAAAGGCAGCAAACAAAGTCATATTATTTTTTTCTTATGGGTTACAAGATCCAATCCATGAAAAAGGGAACTTTCTGGACCAGGATCTCTGAGGTCCTGAGACACTGGGTTTAAGAAATGTATCTGTCCTGTGACCTTGGTTGGGGAGATCCAGCCCCTCTCTCTTCTGGCACTCCAGCTTTGGTGCATTTAATAGAAAGAAACCTTTTCAGGACTATGAAAGGCAGCATTCTCCAGCTCCTCCCTAGACCCTCCTTTGGACCTGTGAGATCTGAAGAGTATGCCATCTGTTTCCATTCATTTTGTGACCATGTGGGGAAGGATTGTTGCCCATATTTGGCCACCTCACCTTCTCTCTCCAGGCTGCCCAAGGCTTTTTTTCCCATGCAATGAGCCTACCACCTCCAACTCATCTCCTGTTGCCTGCAGTTTCCTAAGCCTGGGCAACTCAGCCAAATCCAAGGCAGAAGTAAAGTAGGAAGACTGATGTTGTCGTGAAGTCCAAGTTGCATTCTGCTATTCATATTACTCAAAATAAAACTGATTACTTAATTTGAATCTGCTGATGTTTAAATTCCTCTCTTATTCTTGTTCAGAACACATAAGAGGAAGGAGAATTAACTGGCCTCTGAAACCTCTGTGACAACATTTAAGGGCAGGGAAAGCTAATAGTAATTGCAAAAGAAAAAGTGCAAGGCTGAATGTTTCTTGAGTCTATTTGCAAGTCCGTTCTAAGCCATCCTTCAGTTATCACCTACAGCATGTCCTGTCCACCTGCTTTTACAATGAACAAAGCAATGGGTGTCCCCAATGACATGCATACCAGTCATCCATTTTGTTTTAGTTATGAAAATACAATTAACACAATCCTTTCATTTTAAGGGGAAATGAAATATCCATTCAATAATCAAAAGTGTGCTTAGAGATAGGCCCTAGGAACTCAACAAGAACAAAATTTGTAAAATTGAGATTTGTAAAAATGAGAACAAAATTCATCAAATCAGGGAAATGACAAGCAACTTAGTCAAATATAAAACCGAAAAGTTGCAGCACAGTGTGGTAAATAGCATTATATAAATATGTACAAGGTAGAATAGTAGAAAGGAGGTTGTGACCAACACTTTCCAAAATGGTATAAGGGAAAGCAAGAGAGGAGTAGAAACTTGAGTAAGATCTTGAAAAAGGGATGTTCACCATGTAAGAGAGAAACCTAAGTAGAGTAGAGAGTGTGAACAAAGCATGGAGGCGGCTGATCTGGAACGACTCAGGAATCTGTAGGTCATTCAGTGTGGCTGCTGTGCCGGATGCATATGAGAGAGCAAAGGGTGATAACACTGCAGAGGAAGAAAAGCACAGATCATGAAAATCCTGACAGAGTTGGCAAGGACGTTTACTTGCGGGCAAAAGAGAGTGCATTAAGAGGTGTGATGTCAGATTTGCCATTCAGAAGTATCACAGATACAAAACAGCCTTGTGGGGGCAAGCTTGAAGTGGGAGAAAACTGGAAGCAGAAATATTAGCAAGGAGATTTTTGAAATAATCCCAACCAGCATTATTTGAGCTTAGACTTTGGTAGTAGTAATAGAAATGGGGAGGAGGGTAAAGTTATTAAAGAGGCAGAATGAGCTGGAAGCGGAGACCTCATTAGCATGGGGGTAAGAGAGAGAGAGTGCAGAGGACTCCTGAGCTCCTAGAAGAGGTAAGAGAGAGGGCTGTGAGCAAAAATCAGGAAGAGAGGAGGAACAGAAGAGTTTAGGAAATGATAATGAGATGAAATAATGAGATAGTGTGCATTTGGTGGACTTCTCCAAACAGAAAGATAATTTGAGGCAAGTCATTTACTGTGTGCCTGTTACTCATTTATATAATGGAAATGTTATTACTTGTGAGGATTATACATGAGGTGACTGAAAACTGTCAGTGCTCAAAAAGGAAATCCCCTGCCCTCCCCGTCCCTTCCCTTTCCTTCCTTTCCTCTGTCATCCACGGTGGTTTGAGGGTGGGATCTTTAGCATAGCTTAAACTAGAAGATATGCGATCAATCCCTCCAGATCCATGGGGGATTGGTTCCAGGAGCCTTTGGATACCGAAACCCAGGATGCTCAAGTCCCTTATATAAAATGGCATCATATTTGCATATAACCTATGCACATCCTCCTGTATATTTTATATCATCTCTAGACTGTTTATAATACCTAATACAATGTCAGTGCTATACAAATGGTTTAGACTCTATCATTTTCAAAGTTTAGAGTTTGTATTGTGTTTTTTATTGTTTATTTCCCCAAATATTTTCAGTCTCAGTTGGTTAAATCTGAGGATGCAGAACCTGTAGATATGAAGGACCATTTTTCAACCAATTCAGTCTGTTTTACGGTAAAGAAAAATGAGAAAGAGAAAGGAAGAGTGGAAAATTTAAGAATTTTGATATACTTCTTGAATTAAGGATTGGAGGTAATGCAATAAAACCACAATTTAAGATAAATTCCAGTGGGGAGGTAGCGTGTATGCTATAAACCCATATAAAAATATAATTATACCCTAATCACTTAAGGCATTAGAAAGAGGAAACTTTCATGGCTGGAGAACAGAGAGGAATATGGGAGAGAGAATAGAAGATAAGATGGGAAAAAAGGTAAAGAATCTTGACTGTCTTGCCAAGAAGTTGGAAATATATTCTTTATGTGATCAAGAGCCACTGACATATTTTACCTGGGTAAATGGCATGACCAGATTTGCATTTTAAGATCACGACTGTCACACAGGCAGCAGCACAAAAGAAGAGTCGTGGAAGGGTGGGACTGGAGGCTGAGTATGTGTCAAAAATGCTTCACTTTTAAAGAAGGCTGAATATCAATCATTCAGTCAATCAAATTATTGGAAGCAAATGGAATCCAACAGAGATTATATACAGGGTGCTGTAGAAGAGACGAAACTTGATCACCATTGCAAAAGACAGCAAAATAGAAGTCTATATAGTTAGCCCTTGAACAATATGGGAGTTAGGGGTATCAACTGCCAGCACAGTCAAATAATCCAAGTATAACTTTTGACTTCCCAAAACCGTAACTACTAATAGCCTACCTTTGATCAGAAGCTTTACTGATAATATAAACAATCAATTAATACATATTTTGTATATTATTTGTATCATATACAGTATTCTTAAAGCTAGAGAAAAGAATGCTATTAAAATCATAAGAGAAAATATATTTGCTATTTATTAATATTAAGTTGAAGTGGATCACTAATAAGGTCTTCATCCTCATCATCTTCACATTGAGTAGGCTGAAGAGGAGGGGTTGGTCTTGCTGTCTCGGGGTGATAGAGGCAGAAGGAAATCCACATAAAAATGGACTTGCACAGTTCAAACCTGTGTTGATCAAGGGTCAACTGTATTTTCAAAGTTCAATATATAAATACAAAAATAGAAGTAAGACCAAATCTTTCTCAGACTGGCTGAAAAAGCAAAATCTGGACAAATGCTGGTTACAAGATATGTGCCTAAGACAAAATGACACACAATAATTGCAAATACAGAGTTGAGCAAGAAATACCAGCAAATGCAAAGTCCCACTGCAATGAGTGGAGAGAGGAGGTGGTGGGGAAGGAGCAAATAAACAGCAGGCAAAATAAAATTGAAAATACAAAGATAGGAAAAAGAAAGTTATTTTATAATACAGATGGTCCTCAACTCGCAACAGAGTTGCATCCCAATAAACCTTTTGTAAGTTGAAAATATCTTCAGTCAAAAATGCATTTAATATACCTACCTACTGAACATCTGAGCTTAGCCTAGCCTACCTTAAATGTGCTGAAAACACATTAGCCTACTGGGCAAAATCAGCTAACACAAAACCTGTTTTATAAGAAAGTGTTGGATATCTCATATACTGCATATTGCAAGCCCAGGAGAAGATCAAAATTCAAAATTTGAAGTACATTCAAATTGCAACAGTTTCACACCATCACAAAGTCAAAAAATCTAGGTGAACCATTGTAAGTTGCAGACCCTCTGTACTCTTTCACGTTGATACTTTTTTTCATGTCTCTGTCTGTGTGCTAAATAAAATAGAATATTTTATTCATCAATAATATCTACATGCTAAATAAAATCACCTTGAAATATATAAACCAAAACTATTATATATAGAAGAGAAGTGATGAGCACCATTCCTTAGGTAGAGACTTCAAATAATGGCATATATATGATTAACTGAATTTGAAAGATGTTTTGGATCCCTTCTCTACAAAAAATTTAAAAAGCCAGACATGGTGGTGCATGCCTGTAGTCTTAGCTACTCTTAGCTACTTAGCTGAGGCAGGAGGATTGCTCGAGCCTAGGAGTTTAAGCCTGCAGTGAACCGTGACCGAGTGACTGCACTCCAGCCTGGGCAACAGATTGAGACCCTGTATCCAAAAAAAAAAAAAAAAAAAAGAGAGAGAGAGAAATAAAAAATAAAGATGTTTGGATATACATAGTCTACAAAAAATATACATAATATATCTTTGGAAAACGTTCCTCATATAGATGGCCACAAAGAAAATCTTTACACCATAAGACAGAATTTAAGTATAAAGAACTTCTGGTTTCATAGCAATACCCAAAACATCCTCCCCAAAACAATTATTTCAAATGTGGCTAAAAATTTAAAACAATAAAAATCATTTTAAATGATTTCCCTGATCTTCTATTACAAAAAGGGAAATCCACACGTGTCAGTGATGAGGAAAGAACTGAAATCCAAAGCACTAAACTTGTGGCTGAGGCTGTGGCCTCCCCAGGGTGTTAGTTGTCTTGAGAGAGGTGTAAGTTCTAGTGTCCAGGTGGGGAATTTAGAGACCAGACCTCATTTGCATATTAATTAGGAAGAGAACTGATGTCTTCCCATAAAAGCCAGGATCTTAAGACGGCTACACCCTCATTTGCAAGTTAGATGCGGGGGGAAAAAGAAACCTAACCATTGTCACAAGAAGCTAACATGAAATCTTCTCTGACTAGGCTGTGGGAGAAAAAAGACTCACAATCTATAATGAGTAAGAGTAAGATTAGATACCCCAAAACTTGACATAATGGAATAAAAACATGAAAATAAAATAAAGTGCCTGCCTTGGCCTCCCAGAGTGCTGGGATTACAGGTGTGAGCCACCACGTCTGGCCTGAGGTAAACATATTTTAAATAGAATTGAAATCCCCAGAACAATAAAGAGATGACAAAAGCAGTAAAACATGAAAAATACAGTCATTGGAAAAATGAACTCCGTATCACGTTAAATATAGGTTAGACACAACTGAAGAGAGAATTAATGAGCTGAAAGACTGATCTGAGAAAAATTACCCAAAAGGCCATGCAAAGAATTGAGAAAAAAAATTGACTGTTAGGCAGCTTGAAGGTGAGAACTCTAATAGAAGTTCCAAAACGAAAGAAGAGCAAATGGTGGAAATGCAGTATTTCAAGGAATAATGGCTGAAGATTTTCCAGTAAAACAAATCCTTAGATTTGGAAATGTAAAAAGTCCCAAGCAAGATAAGTAAATATGCATTGATAAAAATCACAGTGACACTGAAAAACACCAAAGACAGAGAAAATGTGAAATACCTAGAGAGAAAGACGATCACCTTCACAGGAAGTGTTACACTAACAGAGGTTGCTACTTCAGTAGCAACAATGGAAGAGGACGCTGAGTAATTTTTTTTTAATATACTTTAAGTTCTGGGATACATGTGGAGAACGTGCGGTTTGTGACATAGGTATACACGTGCCATGGTGGTTTGCTGCACCCATCAACCCATCACATACATTAGGTATTTCTCCTAATGCTATCCCTCCCCTAGTCCCCCACCCCCCACTACAGGCCCTGGTGTGTAATGTTACCCTCCCTGTGTCCATGCGTTCTCATAGTTCAACTCCCACTTATTATTGAGAATATGTGGTGTTTGATTTTCTGTTCCTGTGTTAGTTTGCTGAGAATGATGCTTTCCAGCTTCATCCACGTCTCTGCAAAGGACACAAACGCATTCTTTCTTATGGCTGCATAGTATTCCATGGTGTATATGTGCCACATTTTTTTAATCGAGTCTATCACTGATGGGCATTTGGGTTGATTCCAAGCCTTTGCTATTGTGAATAGTGCTGCAATAAACATATGTGTGCATCTGTCTTTATAGTAGAATGATTTATAATCCTTTGGGTATATACCCAGTAATGGGATTGCTGGGTCAAATGGTATTTCTGGTTCTAGATCCTTGAGGAGTTGCTACACTGTCTTCCACAATGGTTGAACTAATTTACACTCCCACCAACAGTGTAAAAGCATTCCCATTTCTCCACACGCTCTCCAGCATCTGTTGTTTCCTGACTTTTTAATGATCGCCATTTTAACTGGCGTGAGATGGTATTTGGTATGGTGGTTTTGATTTGCATTTCTCTAATGACCAGTGATGAGGAGCTTTTTTTCATGTTTGTTGGCCACATAAATGTCTTCTTTTGAGAAGTGTCTGTTCATATCCTTCTCCCACTTTTTGATGGAGTAGTTTGTTTTTTCTTGTAAATTTGTTTAAGTTCTTTGTAGATTCTGGATATTAGCCCTTTGTCTCATGCATAGACTGCAAAAATTTTCTCCCATTATGTAGGTTGCCTGTTCACTCTGATGATAGTTTCTTTTGCTGTGCAGAAGCTCTTTAGTTTAATTAGATCCCATTTGTCAATTTTGGCTTTTGTTGCAATTGCTTTTGGTGTTTTAGTCATGAAGTCTTTGCCCATGCCTATGTCCTGAATGGTATTGCCTAGGTTTTTTCTAGGGTTTTTATGGTTTTAGATCTTACACTTATTTAATCCATCTTGAGTTAATTTTCATATAAGGTGTAAGGAAGGGGTCCAGTTTTGGTTTTCTTTATATGGCTAGCCAGTTTTCCCAACATTATTTATTAAATAGGGAATCCTTTCTCCATTGCTCGTTTTTGTGATGTTTGTCAAAGATCAGATGGTTGTAGATGTGTGGCATTATTTCTGAGGCCTCTGTTCTGTTCCATTGGTCTATATATCTGTTTTGGTACCAGTACCATGCTCTTTTGGTTACTGTAGCCTTGTAGCATAGTTTGAAGTCAGGTAGCATGATGCCTCCAGTTTTGCTCTTTTCGCATAGGATTGTCTTGGTTATTTGGGCTCTTTTTTGGTTTCATATGAAATTTAAAGTAGTTTTTTCTAATTCTGTGAAGAAAGTCAATGGTAGCTTGATGGGGATGGCATTGAATCTATAAATTACTTTGGGCAGTTTGGCCATTTTCATGATATTGATTCTTCCTATCCATGAGTATGGAATGTTTTTCCATTTGTTTGTGTCCTCTCGTATTTCCTTGAGCAGTGGTTTGTAGTTCTCCTTGAAGAGGTCCTTCATATCCCTTGTAAGTTGTATTCCTAGGTATTTTATTCTCTTTGTAGCAATTGTGAATGGGAGTTCACTCATCATTTGACTCTATGTTTGTCTGAGTATTTTTATGTCACAGCATACGTTGAAAGTTATGATGCCTGTACAACACACGAGGGTAGGCAGATAAGGCTGCTCACCAGGAAGGGCCACAGCCCAAGCCCTGCCCTGACACCCTGACAACCAGGCCATCAATTCTTCTGCATACCAGTGACCAGTCCACAGTGCACTGCAATGAGGAGAGAGGTATGCACCGCAGCACCCGTGGAGAGGCTCTGGAATGGAGGTCTGATCATATGTTTTCATAGCATTGAGAGAAGATAATTTTAAGTAGAATTGTATTCCCAGTTAAACTGTCACTCAAGAATGGAAACAAAATAAAGACATTTCCAACAAGGTTAAAGGGAATTTGTCACTCACAGATGATCTCTAAGAGTAAGGGAAAGAAGGATAATTTTGAAAGTAATTCTAAACCAGAAATAGCTGTGTAAAAGACACAATAATAATAACTAATTTAAAGTGTGTTAAGTTTTAACACACCTTATAACTAATAATAACTAATTTAAGGTGTCTTAAAACTATGTGGAATTAAAATACAGAAGAATGTAACGTACAACAAAAACATATAACGTAACCTAAAGTACTTTAACCTCCTTTTACTTTTCAGAAGCTTAGAGATACTGATAATCTTTAGACTTTAAATCAACTCTACATGTTAAAAATTGGGGAATAACTATTGAAAATATTAGAAACAAAATGTGTGACTTCTCTATCAACAGAAGAGGAAAAAGATAAAGAAAATTAAATTAATTCAATAATAAATAAATAAGAAAAAATGAATGCTTTAGTGAAAAATGTGAAAAGGAAATAAACAGGCAATTAACAAAATATCAGTATAAATGACCAGGGGAATAATTGAAAAAAAATACCATCAAAAAAACTTGAAGAAATACACATTAAAATGATACATGTTTTTGGCCTTTCAACTTGGCAAATTTTTGTATGATTAAAGATTATTTCTCTTAATGTATAAGTGGTATTTAAAAATCAAAAAACACAATAATTCAGCATAGTATAATCCAAAATAAATGTGGATTTAAAATAGTAAGTAAATTCTGTATGAATAAGCAAAGAAATCAATAAACAAAGGAAATGTTTAAGATCACAGATAATATTAAAAGGCACATTAACATCATAAGACAAAATTTGAGAACATTTTTAAAATATTCCATGATGGTGAAAGGGTAATAAAACAGGCTCTCACAATCTCTCTGGAAAAAAATTTGGTAATATACAGCCAAAGTTTTCAAAATATGACTGACTCTTGACTTTGCAATTTTACTCATCAAATGGAGCTGCTCTGTTTGTTTTGTTTATCTGTTTATTTGCTACGCCCCATGTATGATTTTGTTTCATGAAAGGATTCCAGTGTTTAAAATAAAATTGTAAAACCTCAGGCTAAAATAAACTATGAGACATCCATTTATACCTTGACACACATGACTAACATTCATAATCATGTGAAGTGGCCCGTTGAAAGGAAAGATGTTAATAAGATGTTAACTGAAAAAAATAGCTCATAAAACTGTATGAAAATGTATATGGATTTTATTTTAGAATGTCAGTGTGTGTGTTGTATATATGCCTAGAAAAGCATTCAGAAGGATATACACCAATGTGTTTTTTAGTTTTAGTTTTTGTTTTTGTTTTGTTTTGTTTGAAACAGAGTCTCACTCTGTCATGCAGGCTGGAGTGCAGTGGGGCGATCTCAGCTCACCGCAACCTCTGCCTCCAGGGTTCAAGTGATTCTCCTGCCTCAGTCTCCTGAGTAGCTGGGATTACAGGCGCCCACCACCATGTCCAGCTAATTTTTGTATTTTTAGTAGAGACAGGGTTTCACCATGTTGGCCAGGCTGGTCTCCAACTCCTGACCTCAGGTGATCCTCCTGTCTCAGCCTCTCAAAGTACTGGGATTACAGGCATGAGCCATCGCGCTCGGCTCTACTAACGTGTTTTTAATAGTTTTCTCTGATTGACTAGAACTCTGGGAATTTATATTTTCTTGTTTGTGTAATGAAAATCTATATTTCAGATTTTTGTAATGAGCATGTCTTGCATTTGAAATAAGAAAAATTTATTTTGCATTTTTAAATCCAGTGTCAGCAGATTAAGGACCTGGACTAACTTTATCCACTGGATCCCCTACATTGCCTTCTTGCCCACTGCACTCTAACTTCCTGCTTCATTCCAACCTCTACCAATGCACCATGCTTCTATTTATCTACCACCTATGGTTGACACTCAATTCGCTTCCCTTGACCTCTGACCTCAGCTCTCCCATTTCTTCTCTCATCTCACTCCTTCTCTCACCAGGCCTTCCTGTAGTCTCATGGGCAGTGGTACCCCTACCCTCACTCCTAGTCTGTCTGTCTCAGATTCTTGCAAAAGCCTCCGACAGCAATGAGTATACCTGCCTATTTGGATGATGCAATTTGATGGGTAAAATTACAGACTCTTAGTAGTCATTAATCTGACCCACTGTCCAAGTATAAGAAGTCCATCCTCAAGCCAGCCTCTGCTGGACAACTATAGAGCCAAAAACCCAACTAGCCACCAAAATGCCCCCTTTGAACACAGAATAATCTGAATATACACAAGAACATAAGAACATTCATTACATTTAGTGACTTCCATCTAACAGCCCCCTATGCACTCCTTAAGACCACATGGATACATTCAATTTGACTTCTTCACAACAACCTTTCAATATTTGAAAACAACTATTATGTCCCTTTTAGTTTTCTGTTTTCCCATTTCTTTTCAACCCTTCCTATGTGACATGGTTTGCAGCTTAGCTTCAATAGATAAATTTTAGTTCTATCATGTTCCAGTTAAAATAGATCACTTGAAAACCATGTTTTCTAAATGTGTTTTGACAGTCCAGCAAACAAAAGGCCTTACTTAACTTGCAGAGTAGTTTTGCACATTTAAAGCTGAAGAACACAACCATTTTCATTTTATTATGCCATTTCATTTTGTCTTTGGAATCAGGTAACAATGTTGCTCCAAAACTCTAAGAGATTGAGCAAGATCTGTTGATACAAAACATAGTTTTTAAGAAGAGAGGCATAAAAAATGAGACACTAAAAATTAATAATCTATGAGTGCTTTTCTAGCTAACTCTTCTGAGTGTTTGAGAGGAAGGGAGAGACAAAATATGTGTGTGTGATAATTACTAATTGTTGAGGAAAGGCCCAATTTGGGGCCAATGTTAGAGTTATTCAGTTGTTAAAAAAATATATATTAGCTTTGAAGGCCTGTGTCAAATTCCAGATTCAATACTTGCTTGCTGTTTGACTTCAAGTAAGTTATTTCCTGGTTGGTAAAACTTTGTACAATCTTTTCTAACAGTGGTTGAAGGATTATATTAAATCATGTTTATAAATTTCAACGAATAGTGTCTAGTATATAGTGAATACTTGATAAATAGTGCCTACTAAATACTTATTGCTAGATCTTTCTACTGCCCAAAATCAAGCACATGCCCACTTGGAGGCCCCCCCTTGAGTTTTGGAATCAGATTACACTCACCCCTCCTCCCAAATTTGTTGCTGACCGTGTGGATTTTACAATTAACTAAAACCCTCATACTTCTTTCTCATGAATTAACAGTGTCTCATTTTTCAAATCCTACTATCCAAATCTCATCCTCACCTTCCTGTGTGGTAGTGCTAGGTGTTAAGCAAATAGGCCCAATTCCGGATAGAGATTACCTAGAAAACCAACATCTGTGGTCCAACCTGCAGGAATAGAGCTAAAAATGGAAACTGAGTCAACATGCAGGAGTCAGGCAGAACCAGCAAAAAATGGTACCAGGGTCAGGAGCTAAGGGGTATTCTATATGGCACCAGAAATAATGGCAAAATCCCTGCAACGTGCCTTTATCGGACATCGGGCATGTGGTGCTTGTGTGGTTTTGGCTGCCATCGATACTGAGTTAGCTACTGTTGACTGACAACCTGGTGCAAGGCATTGTGCTAAATACTTTCCTTGCATTTTATCACTTCTCTCTCTGAATACCCCCAGGAGGTTGGTATTATTACCTACTTTACCTATAAAAGTCAAAAGCTCAGAGCACTTAGGTCACTTCCCAAGGTCACACAGTAAGAAAGGGGTTAAGTCAGGGGCTGTTAGGCTTTTTCTGACCCATGGGCTCTGCTGTCCTCAAAAGGACAGTTTGTGTTAGACTTTCACCCTTTTATAATTATGTTATTCACTTTCTTGATCCCAAGTTTGGGGCTTTCCATTTCTCTTTTGGATGGAGGAAACAGGCCACTACATTTTGCTAGTGGATATTCTGGTCATAAGTTGTAAGAGAACTTCCTCGCTGTTCTCAGTATAACCCCCAAATGTGGATTTATCCTGGGTTCTGCCAACTTGCCTCTTCCTGGTCCTTCTCTCCCTTCTATATTTGCTCGTAGATAACTTCTCCTTGAGATCACGGTGGTCCTTGAGAGCTGCAAGGTAGTTCTTTGAGAGGGTTACATTCCAAAATATATGCTAGAAGTTGTTATTCCGAAATATATGCCTTTCAGCGCCATAGGGTCATGCCTTCGTGACAAGAAACATCCACAGTTCTTCCAATAAACAGCTTTCCAGCTTTCTCGCATTATAGACCAGTAGCTCTTTGAGAAGTGAGAACATTCCTTCTCAAGACTGGATCTTGCATTTTTCTTTTTTCGTTTGGAAAAGAGTGATTTGCCATCATCACAAAATGCAAAGCAGAAGGGAGAGTAGGAACCTGGGCGGGGTGGGGCTTGGCCTCAGCGGAGCCTGCTGTGGGCGATATTGCTGTGCTGGTGCAGTTGCCAGCTGCATGCAGCTCTCTAGGAGCAAGTGCCCAAGGGTGACATCGCCTCTACGAAGAGGAAAGCAATGTCACATCCTCCTTCCCTGGCTTGAGGCCCTCTGTCTCTGGCACCTACCGTGAGTGGAGTGAGGAGAAATGAACAGTCATACATGCAATTTCATTTGGCTCAAGTCATCTCAGCATCTGTAAAGCAAGAATACATCCATCACCAAATAAAGTCATTATTGAAGCAGCTGTTACCCAGACATGACTCTCAGCTGGGGAGGTGGGAGAGCAATTTATCTCTTAGCAGCAGCTTGCCAACATCTAACCTGCGATTTACAGAGGAGAAGAAATCCTCAGAATATAAAGTTCAGGCAGACATTTCAGAAACGACTCTTTAATTCTTCTTTAAAAAAATCCATTTTTTTAATATGTAAAATACTCAGAGAAAATTTAGAAAGTTCAAAAACAGCTACCCGGGGGAAAAAGTTATATCTATCAAGAAAATAACTATCATTAATATTTAATATATTTTCCTTCCAGGCAAATAAAACTGATAATATACTGTATATTTATATGTACTTGTATCACCAATTGATGGAATCAGCTGGGGAGAATGAATCTATCATACACCTGCCCTCCAAGTAGCCAGGTTTCATTGGGGCCTCCTCCAGTGATCCCATTCATCTTCTCCTAAGCTCAGTATCTTGTTTCCTGTGACCATTCCCCATGACCTCTGGAAAAGCCTCCTGGCAGGTCTAGCTGCTCTTGACTTCACACACAAGATATTTCTGTATATTTCTCAATGTTCAGCATTCATGGGTGAGAAGGACAGCAAAATTAAGTCAATCCCATATATCACATGGAGGAAAGTTGCAGGAAATACTTCGAGTCAGACGGAAATGAGAAGATGCAGGATGCTAGCAGACCATTCACAGACCTCCACTTGAAGAACAAAGAACAGAGAAATACTGGCCAAGTCAGGCTGGATTTAGATCTGCTTCCCTTATGCTCAGTAATTGGAACTCACTGCGATTCCATTGGAGTACTTTCCCTCAGCCCTCTTTAAAGCCTCTTTAAACAAAAGGGAGATCTACAAGGCATACTCCTTAGGGGAACCCATGAATGCTAATATATATCATCCTCTAGGGCCAGGGCATTATTGACATTTAGGGCCAGATAAGTCTTTGTCATGGGGCTGTCCTGTGTGTTGTGAGATGTTTAGGAGCATCCCTGACCTCTCCCCACTAGACACCAGTAGAACCTGCCCCTCTCCCCCTAGTTGTGACAACCAAAAATGGCTCTAGACGTTGCCAGATGTCCCTTGGGGGCAAAATCACCCCAAGTTGAGAACCACTGAGCTACATATAATAATACAAATACAAATAATACAATATAATCAATACAAATATATATAATACAATACAATACAAATATAATAATACAAATACAAATAATACAAATAATCCTATTTGCAAATCACAAAAAACACTTAGTAACAGCATCCCTAGGGTCACTAGGGCTGAGAGCATCATAGCTTTCTGGGATTGGAGAGAGAAACAACATAAAAATGGATCCACATAGCTCATTTATTTAAATCCCCTCAACAACCTTTCAAAGCAGGCATTATTTCCTTCATTTAACAGGTGAGAAAACTGAGTCTCAGAGAAGATAAGTAACTTGCCCAAGATCACGTAGCAGGTACACAGCAGAGCTCCTTCCTCTGCAATAGTGTATCTGGCCAGACAAGATACACTAAGACACGATAGTATTCCTGGATCACAGGCAAGGATATCTTAGAAATTCTAAATGTATAAATTCTAAATCAGAAGACCTAGAGCATGAGGAGACGGGCTTGAATGGAGGCCGACTTTAGTGACACCAAAACTGAGTAATTCCACAAAGATGTTACCCATTTCTAAATCCTCTGGTTTGTTTAGAATTACTTTGTCAGCAAAACTGTCGTTAGAGTATTTTATGTACTGATTAGACCCTGCAATTAAGCCTCCTTTGATAAAGGCACGTTAAGACTAATTTTAAATCTTATTACCGTCAGCATGACATCCACTTGAGGCTGTTTTTCAAACAAGTGGCAGTGATTTGCCCAGGGATGTCAGTGTCGGAGTTCGTTGCTAGAAGTCTCTGCAGCGGCATCTTCCTCTCCCACTCCTGTCATCCTCTCCAGACACTGTCTGTTCACAGCATGTTAAGCTCAAAGTGCCTTCACACAGAGAAAACCCCAGTGCATCTCTGAAGAGCCCAGACATGCCATGTGTCTAAGTGTTGGCCTGAATCACATAGCTACAGAAGATTGAGTGTCTAATCAGATTAGTGAGAGGAAAGGCTCTTGGGCCATGGCCTGCAGTCCCTTGAGTTGAATTCTCCTGTATTAATAGAAGCCATAGGTGGCTTTTGCAGTCCCTGCTTCATTGTGGAGGGATAAAGGCAGAGAGAGATTGACAGAGATTATTAAAAAGCCTCTTGGCCCCAAAGCCTTCCATATGGTCGCTCAGATCTCTTCTGGTCTTCCTTTGAATAAAACATATGCACCGGGCACGGTAGCTCATGCCTGTAATCCCAGCAGTTTGGGAGGCCAAGACAGACAGATCATTTGAGGCCAGGAGTTCGGGACCAGCCTGGCCAGTGTGGTGAAGCCCCATCTCTACTAAAAATACAAAAAATTAGCCAGGCTTGGTGGTGCATGCCTGTAGTCCCAGCTACTCGGGAGGCTGAATCACTTGAACCTGGGATGTGGAGGTTGCAGTGAGCTGAGATCATGCCACTGCATTCCAATCTGGGTGACAGAGTGAGACTCCATCTCAAAATAAATAAATAAATAAAACATATGCTAAGCAAGACAGGAACTGTAAAAGCTGATCTCTCCAGACTTACTTCAACCAACTGAGGAGCCAGCCAGTCCATTTCCATTGCTTAAAATGACACCATGCCCAGAAAAGTCTGCTGAGTGATACCAAGTGAGGCAGCATGGGGCAGGACCAGTGGTATGGAATTAATTCTAGAATTACTTCTGGACATCGACCTGGACCCACTACTAACCATCCTTTTTCTGACTCAACAGTCCCAAGTGACTCTGAGGTTGCCTGCTTGATTAAGTTGATGGTGGAGACATTAAAGGGCTAAATGAGCACAGGGTGGGCAGAGATGGGGTGGAAGGAACAGATCTGGAGGAAGATGGTTGCATTTATGTAGGACATGGGAGTGTGAGCACCTGTGGGACATTCCAGGAAATATGCCATGGGAGGAGGCGAGCTTTCTCTGCCACAACCCCACACTGACATGTCATTCTCCCCATTCACTTGAACCCAGCAGGTCCCTGCTCCCTTATCTACTCAGACTTCTAATTGAAAGGGGGACCTATAGGGAAATGGCAAGGCAGGGTCTTACAAGAAGATATTTGGGGGGTGGGAAATGAAGGGAGAAGAAGGAAGCTCCTGGTTTCTTTGCATTTGAGACCAACCCTTCAAATTCTGGAAAAGAAGCTAGGCTGCAGCTTTCACCTCCAAGCTCAGTGACAAGGACCTCAGTTCTTGCCCCTGAAGGACCCCTGAGTATGGAAGTGTCCATTGCTCCACAAACAGCAACTTACTTATTTTCGTGTGCTTTTCTTTCTTGACATTATTGTTTTTAATAACTGTTATGGTTTGAGTGTTTGTGTCCCTCCAAAATTCATGTTGAAACTTAATCTCCAATGTAATACTATTAAGAGGTGGGGTCTTTAGGAGGTGATGAGGCCATAAAGACTCCTCCTTCATGAGTGGGATTAAGGCCTTTATAAAACAGGCTTCAGGGAACATTTGGCCACGTGAGAATGCAGCAAGAGGCGCTTATAAGACACCTAATGCTGGTGCCTTGATCTTGCCTTGGACTTACCAGTCTTCAAAACTGTAAGCAATAAATTTCTGGTCTTTATAAATTACTCAGTCTAAGGTATTTTGTTATAGCATCACAAACAGACTAAGACAACATCTCAACTTTAACATGCTTTTTTGTTAGGTCATTTTAGTGTCCCTTATCCTTTTGATTTTTGTTTCTTGCAGTCTTTTTTTGCCTTTCTAAAGTGTCTAGAAACTTTAGAGACTATTTAACTGCTTGCTCATTCAATCATTAACCTTCTGGGTTTTACAGCCAGAGCTTCCTTTTTAATTATTTTTTCATGCCTTCATCTTTAACATTCTATCTTACATCACAGTATATCAATTTAGGTTTGTTTTGGTTTTCATTTTAGCTTTTGAGGTTCAGGTTTTATTTTTAATTGTTTAAATTTTTATTTAAATCTTTCCTTTTATCTATTTGAATTTTTATTTTAATCATTTTACTGATTATTCAAAATAACTTTTTTTTTTTTTTACTGTAAGTTCTGGGATACATATATAGAATGTATAGGTTTGTTATATAGGTATGTGCGTGCCATGGTGGTTTGCTGCACCCATCAACCCTCATCTAGGTTTTAAGCCCCACATG
This sequence comes from Homo sapiens, assembly GCF_000001405.40. Classification (NCBI taxonomy): domain Eukaryota; kingdom Metazoa; phylum Chordata; class Mammalia; order Primates; family Hominidae; genus Homo; species Homo sapiens. The sequence goes on along the minus strand of NC_000007.14, from coordinate 36,836,701 downwards.
CGTTAGGTATTTGTCCTAATACTCTCCCTCCTCTTGCCCCCCCATCCTCCGATAGGACCTGGTGTGTGATGTTCCCCTCCCTGTGTCCATGTGTTCTCATTGTTCATCTCTCACTTATGAGTGAGAACATGCGGTGTTTGGTTTTCTGTTCCTGTGTGTGTTTGCTGAGAATGATGGCTTCCAGCTTCATCCATGTCCCTGCAAAGGACACAAACACATTCTTTTTTATGGCTGCATAGTATTCCATAGTGTATATGTGCCACATTTTCTTTATCCAGTCTATCATGGATGGGCATTTGGGTTAGTTCCAAGTCTTTGCTATTGTAAATACTGCTGCAATAAACATACTTGTGCATCTGTCTTTATAGGAGAATGATTTATAATCCTTTGGGTATACACCCAGTAATGGGATTGCTGGGTCAAATGGTATTTCCAGTTCTAGATCCTTGAGGAATTGCTACACTGTCTTCCACAATGGTTGAACTAATTTACACTCCCATCAATAGTGTAAAAGCGTTCCCATTTCTCCACATGCTCTCCAGCATCTGTTGTTTCCTGACTTTTTAATGATCGCCATTTTAACTGGCGTGAGATGGTATTTGGCATGGTGGTTTTGATTTGCATTTTTCTAATGACCAGTGATGATGAGCTTTTTTTCATGTTTGTTGGCCACATAAATGTCTTCTTTTGAGAAGTGTCTGTTAATGTACTTCACCCACTTTTTGATGGGATTGTTTGTTTGTTTGTTTGTAAATTTGTTTATGTTCCTTTTAGATTCTGGATATTACACCTGTGTCAGATGGGTAGATTGCAAAAATTTTCTCCCATTCTTTAGGTTGTCTGTTCACTCTGATGATAGTTTCTTTTGCTGTGCAGAAGCTCTTTAGTTGGATTAGATCCCATTTGTCAATTTTGTTGGTATTTTAGTCATGAAGTCTTTGCCCATGCCTATGTCCCGAATAGTATTGCCTAGGTTTTCTTCTAGGGTTAAAAGAACATTTTATTCTAAGTTTTAAAAATTTCTATCCTTAAAATTTTATCCTGTCTCTCCCAATCATTGTCTTAATAATTTTCTTTTTAATTTCTCTTTAATAAATTCATTCTCATTTTAAGTCTGTTATTTTTTCCCATTTATTTGTTGTTGTTGTTGTTCATGTTATATAAAAAGCTAGGCTTTTTCATGAAGGTTCTGGATATAATTCCCCCAATTCCCACGCTAACCAGAGATTAGATTTAGTTTCTCTTCTAGCTGTACATTTTCTCTCTGGATAGACCTAATAGATTTTTTTCATATAGATTTTTAGAAATGAATTCTAAAACAAAGTATACACACATACACACATTCACTCCTCTTACCTCATGAAACAAAATTTCTTCCTAGTCAATAATTCTGCCTCTGCAAATGGCATATTTGGAGGGCTGGAATAATGATGTATCACTGCATGACATTATAAAGAAGGAAGGATGGGTTTATCTCTGCTTCCAAATAAGTCAAAGAACAATAGACGAGAGATTCCAATGGGCTACAGTATTGTCCAGGGAAAAATGGATGTCATGGGAGCAATGGAATAGAAAATTAGACCATTTAAAGTGCTAATCTGAATGTGAAGTTAGGCTTCATAGGAAAGAGCAGTTTGAGAGTTAGAGTTCTTGATCTCTACCGTGTGCTGAAGGCACCATCCTAAATACAGACATGGCTTCCTTTCATCGTTATAATGACAACTCTGTGTGGAAGGTTTTACCCCCATTTTACAGATTAGAAAACTGAGGCTTAGAGAGGTTAAAAATTTGTTCATGACCACATAGGCACTAACTGTTAGAACCAGGGGATGAGCTAATGCTCTCTGGTTCTAAAGTCTGTGCTCTAGATGCTATGCTCCCCTTCCTCCCTGGATCAAGATGAAAGAGGAAAAGACTGGAAAGCAAACAGCAGAACGTGGAAAATGTTCTCCAAATACATAACCAGGGAATTTAGGAACTCTGAGGTAAAGAGGAGCTCTACTAGCTGTGTTTGCTGCCTGGGAAATCTGGAGATGAATGGGAGGAAGAAGACCAGGACACTCACCATTGACCAGAGATAAGGCACACAAAGGAGAGAAGGGGATCACAGTAGGACTAGAAGGAGTATTGAACCTCATCTGCTGGACTCATGCCATTCAAGTTGGAAGTAGTGCACAGGGGAGCCCCCGGCTGGTGGAGAGGGGTGTAGTTTCCTAGGGCTGTCATAACAAACTACCACAAGCTGTATGGCTCAACTCAATATTCTCTGACAGTTGCGGAGCTGAGAAGTCCAAAATCAAGGTGTCAGCAGGGCCATGATCTGCTTCCCAGCCCTTGGTCATTACAGGCATTCCTTGGTGTTCTGCAGCTTGCAAGCTGCATGACTCCATCTCTGCCTCCATCGTCACGTGGCCACCCTCCCTCTGTGTGTGACTTCACATGGCATCCACCTCTCTGCTGTGTCTTTCTGTGTCTCTTCTCCTCTTCTTATAAGGACACCAGTCGGATTAATGGCATACCCTACTCCATTATCTCCTCTTAAATTAACGAATTACATTGACAACAACCTTATTTCCAAATAAAGTCACATTCTGAGTTTCAGGAAGAACATGAATTTTGGGGAGCACTAGCCAACCCAGTGCATGGTAAAAAGTGAAGTAGCAAAACCTGGAAGAGCCTGAAAGACTCTATCACCAGAAACTCAACCTGGAGTTCTCAAGCTTGGCTGCACTATGGAATTGCCTGGACTGCTTTAACCAATCCTGCTGCCTGAGCCCACCTCTAGAGATTCTAATTTAATTGGTGGCAGTGCAGCCAGGCTTTGGAGTTTTCTAAAGCTTCTTAGGTGATGCAAATGTGTAGCCAGGATTGAGAAGCACTGCATGGAAGCTGGTGGAGTTGAGAAGTCAGCCAGGCTCCAGTTCATGGTGAGTCAGATAGTTGGGGTGGTTTTATCTCATAGCCCCTTAAATTCAGGAAGCTATTGGATTAGAGTGTGAGGAGCTCTGGACTTGGTCTTACACACAGGTTTAGGTTCAACACCCTTTTCATTAGTCATTTACCCTTTCTGAACCTCAGATTCTTCTATAAAATGAAACAGTTGGACTGGATGTGATCTGAGTATCATTGGTGCTATTAAAAAACACTTTATATCACTTTATCACATTCATTATTTGGAAATATTGGGCATCTGCTATTAAATGGCTTCTTAACCTCAGTGACCTCCACCAAAAAATAAGAATAAATGCTGGGTAAGCAGCCTACCAATTTATACACTGGGTAGAGGTAGAACCCATGTTCTTTTTTTTTAACCACTATCTTCTTAGAACATGGCATAGTGTCTGGCACACAAGGAGCACTCACAATTAGCTGTTCACCGTCTGATTGGTGTTTGTATAAGGAACATTCCAAAGCAGGATAACCTACCCCAACTCCCACTCAGGCCTGTCGCCACAGTAGCAAATCCAATGCCAATAACTAAAACTTGGTCTGATATTTTGAAAATAATAAGCTCTGGCTCCTCCTCTTGCCAGCTGAAAGGTGTATAGAAGTTTAATCCTTCTTCCTGAACCTCAGTCCTCTCATCTGTAAGATGGGAGTGATAATTCTTACCTAGTGAAGGAACAGTAAAGATTGTGGATAAGTAAATTTTGTAGCATGGTGGTTGGCAATAAATACTGAATTATTTATGTATAGTACTGGCCCTATCACTGATATTAAAAAAAAAAGGAAAAACCTCTGAGGGGTTATGAGGAGATTTACATCTAATTTAAGCCAGAGGACTACAGTATTGTTAAATAAAAACAGGAATGAGTCCCTTCTTAAGATGTTACTGTTTAGTACTGTTAACATTTGGAATTGAAGTAAGTTACATCTATAGCAATTTTAGCCTTTGATTATGTTAGGCATTAACTTGTCACCAAACCTCACCTGTGACATAAAACATATTATGTAAAATATGTAACTATTTTTAAAGGCAGCTAATGGGATCAATAATATACTTTACAGCATTGTTCCTCATTAGTTACCTATTGTTCTGCCACAAATTACCACAAAATTAGTGGCCTAAAATAATAAACATTTATCATTTCACACAGTTTCTGTGAACCAGGAAATCAGGAGAGGCTGAGCTAGGTAATTCAGTCTGAGGATCCCTCATGAGATCTCGTTCAAGGTGTCAGCTGCAGTCATCTGAAGGCTGGACTGGGGATGGAGGACCTGCTTCCCATGTGACTCATCACATGGCTGGCATGCTGACACTGGTTCTTGGTGGGAGACCCCAGTTCCTTGTCATGATGACCTCTCTGTAGGAGTCCTTGAGTGTCCTCAGGACACAGCAGCTGGCTTCCTCCAGAGGGGATAACCCAAGAGAATCCAAGGTGAAAGCTTCAACGACATTGATGATCTAGCCACAGAAGTGGTACTTAATTGTGTCTGCAGTATTCTGTTGGTTACTAAAGTCAACCGTGTTTGATACAGGAAGAGAAGCACAGGGAATGAATCCTAGGAGATGGTGATTATTGGGGCTTATCTTGGTGCAGACCCCCTTCATCATTATCTTTGTTAAAAACATAAATTCCTGGCCCCATCAGCATTTTTAGCAAGGCTGTTGAATAACTGCATGATCTACACTAAAGTATGAGAAAAATTGCTTTATTGTACTTAGATATATCTACATATATACTTTCACATACATACAAAAACACTGAAGTTATGACTATTTGTTTTGGAGACTGAGTTAGGGTGTCAGGGTAAATGTCACTTTTAAAATAATAAGTATGTGCTACTTTTATAACAAGAGTTTTAATTAAGTGATTTTAAAAATGTTATTACACAATCCCTTTGGATTATTTTCTCGTGATGACTGAGTCTCTTTGACTTTAAGTTGGAAAGTAGAACAAGTTACAAGAACATAGCCTCTAAATACTGAGACTATCTTCCCCTACATTAAGACAGAAGTTAGAATTCCGTGGAGTACCACTAAAGGAAACTCACCTGTTCTGGCCCTGCCCTGTTCCTCTTCAACAAATTGGAAGCTAATCAAGGAGAGCCAAGGTGGCCCAGTTTCTCTGCCTTTCCCTGCCTCTCACTTAGCTTCTATACACGTCTACAGGATAGAGATCAAACATTTTGGCAGAGATAAACATTTTGGCAAAGAGTTCATTGGTGCGAGTGAATGAGGATGTCCTTGTTTTAACACTCCAACTGTTTTCATTGTCCTACTTTTAACATTTATTACTCAGCCCCATGCCCCTTCTAGAGATGTTTCCAGAGCAAAGCTCCCCAGCTGATTTTAATTGGTCAAGACTAAAAGCTAATCAGTCTTCTCTCCAGGGATTTTAGCCAAGGTCAGGCCCTGAGCAACTGGGGTAAGTATAGAAAGAAGAATGGAGGGGAGAGGAGGAAAGGAATGAGACAGAGGAAATTTGCAATTCACATATCTGGTGGGGCACTTGGATTAGGGCCTTGGGTCTATCTGGCTTGGTATTCTAATATCCATTATAGACACTTCTCAGTTCTTCAGAAAGTGTGGGGGCAGGGCCTCCGTGCCCAGAATCACTCTGTGTGCTGCGAGTCTCTGCCTCCATCCCTCTTTGTGTTTATCATTTGGGCACTTTTGTTTCACTAGGACAACCCTGTGGTTAACACTCTTTTAAATTAATCCAGATGGCATTGCTAATTATCTCTTTAGGATAGAGTCCTAGAAGTTGAATTACTAAATCAAAGAGTATGAACAATTTTGAGACCCTTGATTCATGCCCATTCATGAGGCAAGTGTTAGTTTTTCCTAATTGAATTATAAGCAAGTGTTCTGTAACAGACATGTATTTATTGGCATATGAATAACAAATTATTAGAAATACCAGGGCTTTAAGCCCATTAATGTACATGAAATTTTACTTCCTCCAATCCACTGGTATTGGTTGAAATGTTTAAAACTGTTTGCTCACTGGTAGTCCCCAAGGCTTTCAAGGAGAATGTCGTGCTGTATATAAAATTTGAGGATTCCTGATCCAGGGTACCCAAACCAATGTGGAATGTATAGTTCAGATGATCCAGCCCCTGTCAGCTGATAAACAAATGAAAAAGTCCATGCATCTTGATGGTTGTAGAAGTGTAGGCCTCTGCATACAACATACTAACACTAAGGAAGGTTTTATTTTTTTTGTTGAACTTTAATTCCCACACCATAAGATTGACCCTTTGAAAGTGCATTTCAGTGGTTTTTAGCATATTCACGTGTTATGCAACCAACACCACCGTCTAATTCTAGAATATTTTCATCACTCCAAAAAGAAACCCTATATTCATAGTGGTCACTTTCCATTTCTCCCTCCCTCCAGCCCCTGGCAACCACGTCTGCTTTCTGAATTATTTTGCCTATTCTGGACATTTCATATAAATGGAACCACACAATATGTGGCCTTTTGTGACTGGCTTTTTTCACTTAGCACAGTGCTTTTAAGGTTCATCCACGTGGCAGTAGATATCAGTATTTCACTCCTTTTTAACACTGGGTAACATTTAATTGTATAGGTATGCCACATTTTGGCCATTCATTCATCAGTGGAGAGCTTTTCATGTAAACTTTTAGGTATAAAATTCACCAAGAAAAGAATGCTAATCATAATTGTATACTTGAGAAATTCTCACCAAGTGAGTAACCAGTACACAGATCCAGAAACAAAGCATTACCAGCACCCCAAGAGCCCCTGGTGTCCTTTTCCAGCCCCTAATCACCCTCCAAGCATAACCTTTTAACTCTATAAATTAGCCTTGCCTGTTCTAACTAACGCCTTAGGTTAGTTTTGTGCATTTTTGAAATTTTTACAAATGAAATCATGCAGTATGTATTCTTCTGTCTTTGGTTTCTTTCACTCAACTTTTTATTTTTGAGACTTATTCATGTTGCTGCATATAGTTGTAGTTGATTCTTTCTCAGTGCTGGGTGGGTTTCCATTGTGTGAACACATACCACAATTTAATCATCCATCCTACTGTTCATGGATATTTGGGTTTTTATTTTTGGTTATTGCTAATTCTGCTGCTCTGAATTCTTGCACACGTTCTCGGTGAATATGGGTACACATTTTTGTTCACTATATATCTAGGAGTGCAATTGCTGGCTCCTAGTGTGTGTCAATATTCAGTGTTAACAGGTACTGCAGAATAGTTTTCTAAAATAATTATGTCAGCTTACACTCCCACCAGCAATGTGTGTTCCAATTGCTTCCTGTCCTTGCCAACACAGAGTCTTGTCTGTCTTCGTCATTTTCGCCATTCTGGTGAATGTATACTGGTATCACCATTGTAGTTTGAAATTATTTCTCTGTTGACTATTGAATTTCAGAAGCTTTTCATATAGCTAGTGACCATTTGGAAGACCAGTTTTTTGAGGGCCCATTCAGTGGTTCCCCCATATTTCTATTGTATTATTTACCCGTTTCTAATTAAATTGTAGAAATTCTTTATATTCTGAATGTGAATATTTTGTTTGATATAGGTCTTATAAATATGTTTTATGCTGTGACCTACCTTTTCCACTCTTAATGATGTCTTATGAAATAGTTATTAATTTTAATGCAGTCCAGTTTTCTTTATGGCTAGTGACTTTTTTAAGAGATAGAGTCTTGCTGTGTTGCCCAGGCTGGATTTAAAGGCCTGGGCTTGTTGAACCTCCAGCCTCAGCCTCCCAAAGTGCTGGGATTACAGGCACATGCCACCATACTTGGCTAATTTTAAAAATTACATTGTGTTTAAGAAACCTTTTTCTTCCCGAGGTCTTGAGATTGTGTTTTGACGTTAAAATGCTTATTACTTCTCAAATTCATACTAAATGGTAAATGTATTTCTCTTATGGCCTCATCAAGAGGGATACTCAATGTATTAGAGATGTTCTGAATGGAAATAAGAACAAAGGAAAAAATCATAGCATACAATTTATCAACACCTAGCAGAAAGCTGCAGTCCTCTATTAGCCTTTAAAGGAATCCAATCCAGGGTTATCTCAACTGGTGTTCGTTGCTGTATCTCTAATGCCTTTCCAACTTGTATATCATCCTCATTTGTGGCAGCAATTAGTTTGACTCATTAATCTCTGTCTTTTCATCTGAGTATAAACCATACATCATGACCTATTAAGTCAGTTTGTAACTGGTCCAGACAGGAGTAAGGAACTTTCTGGTAAGAGCTGCTCGGCAATGTTCTGATAGATTTATCTCCCCATCTGAACCCTTCTTGAAGATGCCAAGTGTTCCTTCAATTACCAATCTGGTGACACTTTGAGCATCATTATAATTTATGTTGGAGAGAGTCTAGGGGGCAGGGAAGAGAAATTAACCAGATTTTCAGTGACATTGCACTGTCACATGAAACAGAAGAACTGTACACAGGCCAGCTTCTCTCCAAGGGTCACAATGCCTTCTCCAGCTCACCCGATATGCACAGTATTGGTATCAAGCTAACAGTGATGACTGATTCTGACACAGTGTCACACTGCAAAATGCAAAATATTATGTTCCTCCAAATTAACTGATGCTAAACTTAAGCAGAGTCACACAATCAGATTGTGTAAGAAGGAATGATTCACTGGGTGCTCAGAACAGCTAGCCAGTGCATCAGAGGGTGTCTCGTGCCCTTCAGAGCTCAGCACCTGCATTTTGTAGGGATGGGAGGCTCTGTTTAAGCAAGCTGCCTTAAGAAGCATAACAAGCCTCACAAAATGGGGCTGCTGGGAGAATTAGGACAGCGAGGGAATGAGAGACACAGCCAAAATGGCATGTATCCACCGTGGTGAACTCTTTAATTCATTCACACAGCAGATGTGGGATATTGACTAGGACTGAAAACCGTGGGATTGCTTCCTCAGAGGCTGGGCAAGAGTGTGGATTGAGGAAATATGACAAAATACATTTGATCTTGTCTCCAAAATATCCAGTTCTCTCAAAGTTTGAGAGAAACCCGTAAAGAGAAAGCTAAAAGTATGAGTTACTTGTTAAAAACTGCCAGGCGTGAAAGTCAAGGATTCCCAAATACTATCCAGTAGTAATCATATTTCTCTTCTAGCTCATAAAACAATATTTCAATAAAATAATCTATGAGAATGTTTCCTATTGCTCTTCAGAAAGGGCCAGGGGTGTTGGGGGGAAGAGGAAACTAGAATTAGCCACCTGCTAAAGGGAAGGGCACTTACCTGGGCACCAACGTCTTGGGAACCCCTTAGGTGGGAGCCACGGGATTCGGATGGGCTTTTTAAGGAAGGAGGTCCTCTCTGGTCCCCTTTGCCAGCTTAGGGCCTTGTTCTTGACTTTTTCTGCCTTGGCTTCCCTTCCTAGCCCCTTCCCATGGCCTGCTCTTTTCACCCTTCAATCTCAGCAAATGCCACTCTGCAGAGAGACATTCTCCACCACCCTATCAAGAGAAGTCGCCTCTCACTCCAGCCCTATAGCTAGTTGCCCTCATTCAGGTCACCTGTTTATTTTTTCTGTGCGTGTTATCATAATATGCAATTGCCTTTTAAAGTATTCATTTACTTTGTATGAAGCTTGTATGCGATAGGGACTTTGCCACTGTTGCTCACTGCTGTATTCATAAAGCCTAAACCAGGAGCTGGTACTGCAGATGATCAAATGTTTGCGGAATAAAAAATTGACGATGACAAAAAATGGGTTAAGAATTACCGACCAACATCCCAGAATATAAATGACATACTTCAATTGACTAAAGCATCAATATATTACAAGTTCTGAAGATAGTCATTTCTGATAATAAATGTATAGACTTTCTCACGGTGAAGTTGGTGTGGTGTATTAGTTATCTATTGCTTTGTGGTAAATGACAGTAAAACTTAGCAGATGAAAATGATAATCATTTATTATCTCACAGTTTCCGAGGGTTCAGGGATCCAGGACTGGCCAAGCAAGGTGGCTCCTGCTTAGGGTCTCAGATGATGTTGCAGTCAAGCTGTCACTTGGAGCCGCAGGATTCACTGAGGGGGCAGGATCCACTTCTAAGCTCACTCTCATGGTTCCTGATAGAAGACATCAATTCCTCCCCAAGCTGGCCTCTCCATAGGACAGTTCACAGAATGGCTTCCCCTGAGCCAGGTGATCCGAGACAGAGAGAACACAGGCAAATGAGAGAGTGCCCCCAGACAGAGGTTGCACCCTTCTACAACCTAATCTCCGAAGCGATGTGTCATTACTTAGGCCATCTGCTATTGGTCACACAAAGCAACCAGGCACAACATTGAAGGGGGCTATACCAGGGTGCAAATTACAGGTGGCAAGATCATTGGGTACCATCTGGGAGGCTGGCCACCCCATGTGGCCAAGAGGGCTCTCCATTCTGGTCTAGGCTGGCTGCCTCATCTCTCTGGCTAGTCTAAGATCTGCTGATCATTAGGGTACATCCTGTTCTATTCTTGCTCCAGGTTCATTTGTGTTGAGATGTCTGTTTTGAAGCAGAGTCCCTCATTCTCAGCTTATGAATTAACTCACTATTCACTTTAATTATACACATTTTCAGTGATACAGAGATTTTACTTCCCTCAAATATAGCCTGCAGAACACTGGCCACTGATTACTTTTATCCTCAAGTGGGTTTTATTTATTAATTTATTAATTAATTTTTTAAATTTATTTTTGGCAGCATGTTGCCTCTGTGCTCTAATTGGAGCCTCTTTATGCTGTAACGTCAGTGTTGGTCCTGGGTTCAGCCTGCTCTGTGGAGTAGGGAGTGGAGCTCCTTCTACTCTCTTTTGTCTGGGCTGAAAGTGGCAGACCTCTCAGCAGAAACACGTGGCGCTGTGAAATATCATATGTGGCCAGTTAAGCGTTTGCCTTTCTGCAGCAGCCAGAGATATAATCATTTAGCTAATGATTTCACGGATGGACACCACATCGTATGCAGAAGAGTAAATTCCAAAGTTGGTTCATCTGAAGAACTCCCTGGGCAGCTTCTGAAAAAAGTCCATTTCCTAGATATGATTACAAAATATTTGGGTTCATTTTGTCAATCTTCACTTTCAAGCTCCTTTGGAGATTTTGATGATCAGAGAAGTTTGGAAACACTTGGGGTAGGCTAACATAAACATAGGAAGTAGTAAAGAGGCATTAAAATGAAGACATATCAACATTTCATATGTGCTAACACATGTCCTGAAAGCAAATGAGATGCTGTCTATTTCTGTAACTTGCTTGGGCAAAGTCCTGAGAATGAATTCCCCGACCATACTGGCTTTCCCCACTTTTTTAGCCCCCAAACTCCTAATGTACAGGTTTTCTCTTTCTCAGTGGGTAGGGAGATGGGAAAATCTGACCCTTCCAAATCTCACGGAATGGGTTCTTCAACTATAAAGGGAGTTTGGTTACCAGAAGAAATGGGAAGAGAGAACAGGATAAACAAATGCAGATGGACACCTGAGCATGCCACCGTGGAGAAATTGCCAGTTGCTGGCATTATATATTCATTCACCTGTTTAGTTTGTGGCTTTTAGTAGTGCAGTCCAGCTTAGAAAGAGGAAAAGACAACAGGTTAAACTACCTCTTCAAGCCTCTTCTGAGAGGTAGATGATGCCAAACTTGAAAATATTGAATAGTATCACACACAATTTCTGCTCCTGGAGGGATGTCTAATGGTGCTGCAGAGAAAACATGTTGGTGCCTGTGTTTAAGTACAGTGAGGAATGATTTCAGCTCTGTCTTTAAGTCAGAAATGATTTTTCCCTCCAAAAAAATTTTAAACTTGCCTACAGTATGCTAAGCACGCAGTCATCAGAGCTTAGAGTACAGGGCAGAACGGCCAGAACAGAGACTCACAGAACCTACACCCACGGCCAGTGCTGGCCAAGTACAGTGGAGGCAAACAATGCCTATTCTAGAAATCAGTGATAAACACTCAGAATAACACGGTATTTGTAGAAAACACAAACAAGTACTAAGACTTTTTAATGAAGGTTTTTTTTGTTTGTTTTTTTTTTGAGATGGAGTCTTGCTCTGTCACCCAGGCTGGAGTGCAGTGGTGCGATCTCTGCTCACTGCAAGCTCTGCCTCCTGAGTTCACACCATTCTCCTGCCTCAGCCTCCTGAGTAGCTGGGACTACAAGCACCCGCCACCATGCCTGGCTAATTTTTTGTATTTTTAGTAGAGACAGGGTTTCACCATGTTAGCCAGGATGGTCTCGATTTCCTGACCTCGTGATCTACCTGCCTCAGCCTCCCAAAGTGCTGGGATTACAGACATGAGCCACCGTGCCCAGCCTTAACCAAGTTTTAACAAGGGTGAACAATTGGTCATCTCCTTTATAAGTCAAGAGAAATTTGTAACACCTGGGAAAAGAACAGGCCAAGGATGGGTATGATACAGGAGTCCCCAGTCCCTGGGCTGCGGACTGGTACTGGCCCACAGCCTGTTAGGACCCTGGCCACACAGCAGGAGGTGAGTGACGGGAGCGAGCATTAGAGCCTGAGCTCCGCCTTCTGTCAGATCAGCAGAGACATTAGATAAATTCTCTTAAGAGCATGAACCCTATTGTGAACTGTGCATGCAAGGATCTAGGTTGTGTGCTCTTTATGAGAATCTAACTAATGCCTGATGATCTGAGGTGGAACAGTTTCATGCCCTCACCCACATCCGTGGAAAAAAGTTGTCTTCCACGAAACGGGTCCCTCATGCCAAAAAGGTCGGGGACTGCTGCTTTAACACAATTTCAGACAGAATAAGCCAGGGATTAACACCAGAGTTTATATCTATTTGTTTCTTATTTATTGTATACGTATATGTTTTCTTTTTTTTTTTTTGAGATAGAGTTTTGCTATTGTTGCCCAGGCTGGAGAGCAGTGGCACGATCTCAGCTCCCTGCAAACTCTGCCTCCAGGTTCAAGTGATTCTCCTTCCTCAATCTCCCGAGTAGCTGGGATTACAGGTGTGTGCCACCATGCCCGGCTAATTCTGTATTTTTAGTAGAGAAGGGTTTCTCCATGTTGGTCAGGCTGGTCTCGAACTCCCGACCTCAGGTGATCAGCCCGCCTCGGCCTCCCAAAGTGCTACGATTACAGGCGTGAGCCACCGCGTATGTTTTCGTTAATTGTTTGGGTCTAGATTTTCTCAATGAGTCCTTTGGTTATCTCTATCCAGTCTGAGCCAAACTATTCCTCTGAGAATTGTGCCAGGTGGTTCTTAGCAGACATGGAGAGTTAAGATTCCAGGGTTAAAATCAGCTGTATACTTTCCCTTCCAGAATTCTATCTCAACAAAGCTCATTTCTTCCTAGGAGGATGCAACCAACTCCAATGCTATGCTACCACACAAATCCTTCTAAAACAGTTGCTAATTTTTAATCAACCAAATTTATATATTTTGAATACAAATTTTCTTTTTAAAAATATCAGATGGCATTTAAATATTTATTTCCTTCAGTGTTTCTTTCATTGATTTGTTTCAGAAACTGACAAGAACTTGTTGTTAATTGTGTTTATGAGTTTCATAATGAATAATACATTGTTTTTGACAATGATAATTATATTTCTCTATTTATAGAAAGCGAGTGCAAAGAAAAAAAAAGCAGTCATTTCCATATCCTCAATTATTTCATCTAACAATGCCTTCACATTCCAAAGAAGAGCTGTTTAGTTAGATTTTTAAAAACTTAATGTCTGCTTATGGTTTCCTTAACGAATTCCATTACTTTCGGTTGTCTCTTATCTTTTCTTGTAAGCATCACATTATTTACTCTCTTGCTGCTTACAAGCCAGTCTACATCAATATGTATGAATATCTCTCTCTTCATTTTGGCACATGTAAGAATAAGCATATCTTATTATGCCCATGAACACACATACACATGCGTGCAGACACATGTACTCAGACACACATGACGTACTTATGTGATCACATGCAGAAAGAATTTGTCTCCCCTAATCAAACTTGGAGTCCGTACAGTACAATAAATTAGCAGGGAAAAGTAGGCTATTGTTATTTGATCTTCTCCAACTCCATATACCATACATTTTTAAAATTTAGTTTTTAATCAAAGTTATACATGCATACTTATACAGTCAAATTGTTTTACCAGAATTATTACCAAAATCAAGCTGAACCAAAACAATAACCTGCTCCCCACCTACAACCTCAAGTTTCCATTCCTAAAAGGCTACCTTTGCAGCTTTTTAAACTATTGCTCTTGTTTTTCACCTGCGTATCAATAAATAACATATGATTTTTAGCACTACTTGTGATTTTCAGCATTAGGCAGCATAAAATGACTTCCCACTATGGAAGATAAGGATTTAGCTCTTTTTTACTCTTTGCCCCACCATTATCACATCTCCTCTCTCTCTCTCTCTCTCTCTCTCTCTCACACACACACACACAAACATTTCTCTTCCCCTCAAACTCCAGTTATACTTATGTCAAGTTTTTGATAAATTCAATATTTAATATTAATATTATAACTGTACAAATATAAATGCTATTCTCAGTTGAGCCACATAGGATATGCACAACTATTTGTTTTCTGCGAAATTAATAACTGGATTTTTTTTTTAACTGACTTAGTTTGATGGTTGATTTTATGTGTCATGTTGACAAGGCCATGGGTACCCAGTTATGTGGTTAAACATTATTCTAGCCATTTCTGTGAGGGGTTTTCTGAATGAGATTAACATTTGAACCTGTGGACTGAGTAAAGCAGAGTGCCCTTGCTGATGGGGTGGGCCTCATCCAATCCATTGAGGAAGTGAATAAAATAAAGAGGCTGAGAAAGGGAAAATTTGCTCTCTCTATCTTGGAGCTGGACCACTGGTCTTCTTTTGCCCTCAGACTTGAACTTGGACTGGAACTTACACCATCAGCTCTCCTGATTCTCAGGCCTTTGGACTCAGTCTGGAACTCTACCATCAGCTCTCCTGATTCTCAGGCCTTTGGACTCAGTCTGGAACTCTACCATCAGCTCTCCTGGGTCTCTTGCTGAATACAGATCTTGGGACTTCTCAGCCTTTGTAACTGTGTGAGTCAATTCCTTATAATAAATCTCTTTATCTTTTCATCTTTCTCCTTTTCTCCCTTTCTTTTTTCCTTTTCTTCCTCCCTCCTTCCTTCTTTCCTTCTTCTCTCTCATCTATCGTCCATCTATCTATCTATCTATCTATCTATCTATCTATCTATCTAATCATCTATCTATATCTATCTATCGTCTGTTTGAGTATCTTTCTATCCATCATCTCTCTTATTGGTTCTGTTTTTCTGGAAAACCCAAATGAATACACTTAGTTTCATTTATATTTGCTCAGATTCTTCCACAATCTTCAATATCTCCTCTCAATACTTTTGAACACATCAGGAGCAAAATATCCTCTTCTCACAGATATTCTCCCAGAAGCCACTGAACTGGTTGTGCTCTATCTTCCATGCACAGTGGGCGTCTAGGAACTTCCTTCACTATCATCCTAACCCTTTCCAATGTATCTCCTGTTTCTTGGATCCCATGGCTTCTGCTTTCTTGGTTTTTACCCTCATTTTGGATTTTTTAAATTGAGATAAAGATCACAAAACATAAAACTTACCACTTTAACAATTGTAAACTGTACAAGTGGTTTTTAGTATATTCACAATGTTGTGCAACCAATACCACCACTATCTAATTCCAGAATGTTTCATCACTCCCAAAAAGAAACTCCTTACTAATTAAGCAATCACTCCACATTCCACTCTTTCCCTAGCCTTGGGCAATCACTATCTAATTTCTGTTACTATGGATTTGCCTATTTAGGACATTTCATACAAATGGAATCATACAATATGTGTCCTTTATGACTGGCTTTTTTAACATAATATTTTCAAGCTTCATGCATGTTGTAGCATTTATCATTACTTCATTCTTTTTATGACTGACTCATATTCCATTGTATGAATGCACTAACTTTTTTTTTATCCATTCATCAGTTGATGGGGATTGGGTTGTTTCTACTTTTGGCTATGATGAGTAATGCTACTATAAAGGTAGTGTTAGTGTACATCTGTTTTTAGTTCTCTTGATAGTACCTAGGAGTGGAATTGAATTGCTAGGTCATATGGTAACTCTACATTTACCCTTTTGAGGAACTGCCAGACTTCCATAGCAGCTGCAGCATTTTGCATTCCTACCAGCAATACACAAAGGTTCAAATGTATACATCCTCACAAAAATTTATTTTCCTTTTTTTTCTTTATTATAGCCATCCCAGTGGAAGTGAAGTGGTAACTCATTGTAATTTTGATTTTCATTTCCCTAATGATTAATGATGCTGGGCATCTTTTCATGTGCTCATTTGCCATTTGTATATCTTCTTTGGAGAAACATCTGTTCAAGTTCTTTGCCCACTTTTAATTGGGTTGCTGTCTTTTGTTTTTGAGTTGCAAAGTTGATTTAAATAGTCTATTATTAGACCCTTTGTCAAATATATGACTTGCAAATATTTTTTCTAATCTGTGAATTGTCTTTTAACTTTATTGATAGTATTCTTTGGTGATGCAATTTTTAAAATTTTGACGACGTCCAATTTACCTGTTTTTTTGTGCTTTTGATGTTATATTTTAAAAAGTTACCTATCCAAGATCACAAAGAATTACATCTACATTTCCTTCTAAGAGTTTTATAGTTTTAGCTTTTATATTAAGTCTTTATTCAATTTCAAGTTAATTTTTTTCATTCAAATATTTATTGAGCAGCTAAGGAGATACAAACGTGATTTAAAACATGGTCAGAGGTGAGGCAAATGCACAAGTAATAGAAAGCAAAGGGCAAGGTTCATTGAATCACAGCAGTCAGAAGAAAAGTGCTTTGGGGAACCAAGAGTGACATGGTTTCCAGCCTGAAGAGGCATGGGTGGCAAATCAGAATAGGGAATTGAGATTAAAATAGAAAACTTTAGTCTGGATTGTTGATGACACTCAGTGTGGACTATATTTGTCTCTCCTTTTTCTCTCTCCCCACCTTTGGGCTTAATTTACTAGTAGTCCCCTGGACTGTTCAATATGCTTTTTGTATACTTGCTTGCATTTTTGCTTTAATGTCTTCTACAGAACTAGGTCCTTTAGGTGTTTTAGGAATTTTTTCCTGTTTTTTGAAGGATTCTTGTCCTTTTGATCTTGGTGTTGATGGTTTTGAGTCTTTTCCATTCTGATTTGACTTTTGTGCATTTTTGGCTCGAGTATCTTGTATAGATTTCTTCACGGGTGCTTTTTCTTCAGTTTCCTCATCATCAAAATCATCATCATCATCTTCTTCATCAGCAGCAAGTTTTACTTTTTTCTGTGGCACCTTGCTACCACCTCCAGGGGCAAATCACTTTCCATATATACTTAAGAGTTTCACATCCTCCTGTTCTTCATCTTCTGCCTCTGAATCTTCCTCCACAGTGACTAAGTGCTGTCCACTAATATGCACTGGCCCTGAACCACACTTCAACCGTAAGACTACTGGTGGTGTTATTTCAAAGCCCCCAAGGGAAACCGTTGGCTGTACAGACATTTTCAAAGTTGCCAGTGTGACTTTAATTGGACTGCCTTCGTAATTCATTGCCTCTGCTTCAACAATGTGCAATTCATCCTTTGCACCAGCCCCTGAGCTGACCGTTCTTGAAGATAACTGATGCTCATTTTCATCATTATCCACTTGAAAGTGATTGTCAGCCTTTAGTTCACAACGGAAAAGATTGTTCTGGGGTCTCAGGGGACTCATGTCCATGTCCATTGAGTCTTCCATTGAGTAGTGGAACGCACTCAGGTGGGAGAGAAGGCAGACGGAGATAAACAACTACTGCTCAAGAGAACAGCCATGCAGGACGGAATCACACCAGGGCTCAAGTTAATTTTTAATGTCTTGTGAGGCAGGGGTCCAACTTCATTCTTTTGCACGTGGATATACAATTGTCCCCACACTATTTGTTGAAAATACTATTCCTTCTCCATGGAGTGATCTTGGCACCTAGTTGGAAATCAATAGACCTCAGATCTGTGAGTTGATTTCTAGACTCTCAATTATACACAATTACTCTACATGTCTATAATGCCAATAACACACTCTTTAGATAACTGTTGCTTTCTAGTAAGTTTTGAAGTCAGGATGCATGAATTTGTAAATTGCTTGGGATGGTTGCCCTCTTAACAATATTAAGTCTTCCAATCCATGAATATGGATGTTTTTCCAATATATTTAGGCCTTTTTTTTTTCATTTCTTTCAACAATGTTTTGCAGTTTTAGTGTACAAGTCTTGTACTTCTTTGGTTAAATTTATTCCTAGGCATTCTTTCTGATGCTATTGTACATGGAATTCTTCTCTTAATGTCATCTTTAGATTGTTCATTGCTACTGTATAATAGAAGCATAATTGATTTTTATGTATTGATTTTGTATCCTGTAAACTATTTCCTTTCTTTCTTTTTTTTTTTTTTTTTTTTTTTGAGACGGAGCCTTACTCTTGTCACCCAGGCTGGAGTGCAATGGCACGATCTCAGCTTACTCCAGCCTCCGCTTCCCAGGTTCGAGTGATTCTCCTGCCTTAGCCCAGTGAGTAGCTGGGATTATAGGCGCCCACCACCATGCCCAACTAATTTTTGTATTTTTAGTAGAGATGGGGTTTCATTATGTTGGCGAGGCTGGTCTTGAACTCCTGACCTCATGTGATCCGCCCACCTCAGCCTCCCAAAGTGCTGAGGTTACAGGCGTGAGCCACTGCACCTGGCCATATCCTGTAGCCTTGATGAACTCTTTATGAGCACCAGTGTTTTGGGGTTTTTAAATGGATTCTTTGGGGTTTTTTATATATAAGACCATGTCATCTGTGAACAGAAATAATTTTACTTCTTTCTTTCCAGTCCAGATGCCTTTTATTTCTTTTACTTGCTAATTGCCCTGACTAGAACTTCTAACATAATATTGAATAAATGTGGCTAAAGTGGACATCCTTGTCTTGTTTCTGATCTTAGAGGAAAGTTTTCACTTTTGCGTCATGCTGAATAATGTTATCTGTGGGTTCTTCACAGATGACCTTCATCAGGTTGAGTAGTTTTCTATTTTTTGGTTTGTTGGGTGTTTTTATTATGCAAGAATTTTGGGTTTTCTCAAATGCTTTTTCTGCATGTATTAGAATGATCATGGCGGTTTTTTCCCCCCTTCATTCTATTAATATGGTGTACTACATTGATTGATTTTCCTGTGCTCAACCACCCTTGCATTTCTGGGACAATTCCCACTTGGTCATGGTTTATAATTCTTTTTATACAATTCCAGATTTTGTCTCTAGTATTTTGTTAGGGATTTTGCACTTATATTCATAAAGAATATTGGTCTCTAATTTTACTTTTTCTTGTAATGCCTTTGTCTTTTGGTATGAGTGTAATACTGGCCCCATAGAATGAGCAAGGAAATGTTCCCCTCTCTTCTATTTTTGGTGTTAATTCTTTAAATATTCGGTAGATTTCACCAATGAGGTCATCTAATCTTGAACTTTTTTTGTTGAAAGTTTTTTTTCCTAATTGCTGATTCAATTGCTTTGCTTATTATAAGTCTGTTCAGATTTTATATTTCTTCTTGAGTCAGCTTTGGTAGTTTATGTGCCTCTAAGAATTTGTCCATTTCATCTATGTTATCTAATTTGTTGGCATGCAATTTTTCATAGTATTCTCTTAAAATCTTTTTTAGTACTGTAAGGTTGGTAGTACTATCTAGAAAGTATCTAATTTCTCTCCTGATTTTAGTAATTTCAGTCTTCTCTCTTTTTTTCTTGGTAAATCTAGATAAAATTTTGTCAATTTTGTTGCTCTTTCCAAAGAAGCAATTTTTTTATTTCAATGATTTTTATCTATTGTTCTTCTATTTCTGATTTCATTAATTTGCACTCAAATCTTTATTATTCCTTCTGCTTGCTTTTCTTTTTCTCTTCTTTAAGGAGTGATAAAGTTATGTTATTGATTTGAGATCTTTCTTAAGAAAGTTGTTCATAGAATTTCCATCTGAGCACTGCTTTTGCTGCATCTCGTAAGTTATGATTTGTTTTATTTTTGTTTTTTATCTCAGAGTATTTCCTAAATTCTGAGTTCTTATTTGACCTACTATTTATTTGAGTGTGTGCTTTTACATTTTCTACATCTTTGTGAGTTTTCCAAATTTTCTTTTGTTACTGATTTTTAATTTCACTCCATTGTGGTCAGAGAACATACTTCAATCTTTTAAAATTTATTGAATCTTGCTTTGTGGCCTAACATATGGTCTATCCTGGAAAAATATTCCATACGCACTTGAGAAGAATGTGTATTTTGCTGTTGTTATGTAAAGTTTTCTATGATGTCTGCTAGGCCTAGCTGGTTTACAGTGTTGTTTAGGTTTTCTATTTTCTTGCTGATCTTCTATCTAGTTGTTCTATACACTATTGAAAGTGGGGTATAAAGTTTTCTAACTATTATTTCTGAATTATTTCTTCCTTCAATTCTGTTAGTTTTGTTTCATGTATTTTGAAGCTCTGTTGTTAGGTGTATACACATTTATAATTGTTATATTTTCTTGATGGGTTGTTCTTTCATTATCATATAATGTCCTTATTTGTCTTTCATAACAATTTGTCCTAATGTCTGTTGAGTCTGGTGGTAGATTAGCCACTTCAGTTCATTTTGGGATACTGTTTGCATGAAATATCTTTTTTCATCTTTTTGCTTGCAACCTATTTGTATCTTTGAATCTAAAGTGAGTCTCTTATAGGCCTAATATAGTTGGGTCATGTTGTTTTTTTTTTAAATCAATTCTCCTAATCTCTGTGTTTTGATCGAAAAGTTGAACTCATTTATATTTAATGTAGTTTCTGATAAGAAAGGACTTACATCCGCCATTTTGCTATTTGTTTTCTATATATCTTGTCTTTCCATTCTTTCATTCCTCCATTACTGCTTCCATTACATCCACTGTGTATCAAATAGATATTTTAGTGTACTGTTTTAGTTTTATATTAAGTGTACTGTTTATATTAGTGTACTGTTTTAGTTTTATATTAGTGTACTGTTTTAATTCTCTTGTTATTTATTTTACTATATATGTTTTAGTTATTTTCTTAATGGTTGCCCTAGTGATTATAATTATATAATTAACAATATATAATATTAATTATGTATAATAACAATATATAATGTTAATTATATAATTATATAATTAACATTATATATTGTTATAAACTGTAACAATCTATTTTGTTAATTTTGGTAAGTTTACTTCTATATAGCTCCTCTCCCTTTGTGTTTTTATTGTCACAAATTATATCCTCATCTGTTGAGTGCCCATAAATAGTGTCTCAGTCAACTCAGGCTGCTATAATAGAATGGCATAGACTAAGTGCCTTAAACAACAAAAATTCATCCTATTCCGGAATTTGGGAGGCCCAGATTAAATTGCCAGCTGATTTGGTTCCTGGTGAGGGCCTCTTCCTGGTTTGCAGACAGCTGCCTTCTCCCCGTATCCTCACATGTTAGAAAGAAAGAGACCTTCTTATGAGAACACTAATGCCATCCTGAGGGCTCACGCTCCTGACATCATCAAAACCCAATTACCTCCTAAAGGCCCCACTTTCAATCACCATCATATTGGAGATTAGGACTTTAACATAAAAATTTTGGAGGAAGAAAAACATGTACTCTAGTAAATATAGACCCATAATTATTGTGTTTTAAATGAGATAGGAAAAAAGAGGAGCTAAGAAATATAAAATTCATTAATACTTACTTATATATTTACCTATGCAGCTATCTTACCAGTGTTTATTATTTCTTCATCTGATTCAAGTTATTGTCTACTCTTACTATCTAGAGTTCTTTCATTTCAACCTGAAGGACTACATTTAGCATTTCTTGTAAGGAAGGTCTACTGGCAACAAACTCTCTCAATTTTTGTTTATCTAGAAATGTCTGAGTTTTTCCTATTTCTAAAGGATAATTTTGCTGAATATAAAGTATGGCCTGCCATCAAAATTCACCTGAGCCTTGATATCAAATGCTTTTAGTTAGAAGTCAGTCACATAGGCAAGCAGTACCCATGTAGCTGACCCTAACTTACTTCTCAGTCTCCAGCCTTTCCACAGCTCAAATTGATACAACATGGCCCAAGGCCCTAGATGTACAAAGACACGCTTATCAGGCAGTATATTCCAAGGGCTGAGAAATTATCTCCCAACAGCTGGTCAAACACCAGTCCTGAAGAGCTTTGGAATGTGCAGGATGTAAACAACCTAGGTCAACTAAGTCAATGCTTAACTACACATATATTAACGCATTTAATTTTTATAACTATCTTGTGAGATAAGCGTTTTTCAATTGGTGCCCCAAGAAATGTTAAAAGTATTCCACGAAAAGAAATATTTAATGGTTATATAAGTACTGGGAATACTGCACACTATTACCAAATTTAATATTCATAATGTACATTAACATATTAAAGGCTCTGAGAAATCCTGCAGAAAAGAAACCTGTTTAATTTTGTTTAATCCAGCGTTTCCTAAATATGGGTATCTATGGACTCTATTTTCCAAGGACTGCCTATCAAAGTGCAGTTTTCATTGAACATAGTTTGGGAACTGCCAAGATAGAGACAGCCAGTTTTACATGGAACGATTGAGGTTTAGCAACTGGCATCATAACATGCAGCTAGTAAATGGCAGCGCTGGACCTCAAATCCAGGTTTGATTCAAAGTCTTATTCTTTCCGTCATTTCATACTGGCTCCCAAGGATACATTTTCTAAGCTTTTTGAGATAAGAAGATGCATTTTAAAAACTGAACTAAATTCAAACATTGCCTTTCAGATTTTTTAATTACCCACCCTCTATATGTACATGAACATGATCTCTCCTTATCTATTGTCTCCTATCTATTGCTCTATATGTTATGTTAGAATAGAGATGTTATCACTTGAGAGGAATCATATAGGCAAGGTACTCATTTTGGGTTTCTAGTTAATGGAACAGAGATATAATGAACTATAAACATAATAAATAAGTACTTATTCTGTACATTACAAGGTGATATGAGCTGTAGAAAACAATAGAGCAACCTATGAGCAATCAAGAGTGTAGAGTAGAAGAGGTGCAATTTAGAATAATGGGGTCATGGGAGACCTCTTTGAGAAGGTGACCTTTAAGCAAAAACTTGAAGGAGGTAAAACAGCCATGCAGATCTGTGGAGGAAGAGTATTCCAGGTTGAGGAAATGAGCCAGCAAAATCCCTTTGATAGTATTCCCTGGCATGTTCAGGGTCAAGCAAGGAAATCAATGTGTTTGGAGCAGGGTGAGAGGAGGGTAGTAGGAAATGACTCCAAAAAGGTAATGGGAATAGGGGTTGTGGGCAGGTTATACAGGACCATTGTTAGAACTTTCGCTTTTACTCTGAGTGGGATGGAGATATATTGGGGTCTTGACCAGAGGGATGACACCATTTGGCTATTGCTTTTAAGTGATATTTGTGCAATGTTACAAACAGAATAATAAGAGAAGATGGCAAGATCAGAAGTAAGAGAAGAGTTAGGAGGCTTTGGGAATAATCTAGGTGAGAGATGATAATGGCTTAGATCAAAGTGGTACCAGTAGAATCTGGATATATTTTGCAGGTATAGTCAAGAAAATTTCTGATACACTGAATGAGAAGTATGAGAGAAGACAGTAGTCAAAGATGGCTCCAAAATTTGTGGGCAACACAAGCAGAAGAGAGTTGTCATCAATTGAGATTATTAAAAATGTGAAAGGAATAGGTTGGAGCAAGGCAAGATAATGAGTTTAGTTGTGAATATGCTAGGTTTGAGCAGTCCATCAGACATCCAAGTAGAAATAACAAATAATTAGACGGAAATATACACCTATTGTATAGAGAAAGGCTGAGGTTGGAGATACAAATGTGGAAGCATCAGCATATAGATTTAAAGCCATGAAGACTATGAGATCCTACTAGATGGAGAAGAGAACACAACCAAAGACTTAGCTATGGGGTAATCAGTGTTAAGTTGTTGGAAAGAAGAGGAGGAACCAGCAGAAAGGCCAAAGAGGCTTAACAATGGAAACAGAAACCAAATAAAGAAACCATGTTAAGGACAAGAAAGAGAAATCACCTGTCAAATGCTGTTAAGTAAGATTATGACTCATAGCTAATCAATAGTTTTAGCAGTATGGTGGTCACTGGCTGTCTTGACAAGAAGGGTTGCATTGGAATGGTGGGGTGAACACCTATGCAGAACTCGATTCATTTATTCACATGACAAGTACTTAGTGTTACAAGTACCTAAAACCTACAGTTTGATGCCCTTCCTTTCTATGACTTGTAAATGAAAAAGATGCCACTTAGATTTAAGCTATAAAATCAACACCTAATTGATCCATGGGAGATATACAGAGCTAAGGTGAGAAAAAAAAAGATGACTCCCTGGTCAACAAGGCTTGAAAATAACTTGTCAGAAAGTATCAAGAGATCCAAGGTAAGACTGAGTCTACTAGGATGAGAATGAGTTGACAAGGAAGTATAGAAAGGACTTCTCCAGTTAATGTCAGTTCTATGTGGGGAACAGAAGTCTTAGTAAGCATCAAGTATTCTTATATCATTAACAATGAGTTCTCATTTAAGTCCATAAATTGATGTTTTTGGATCAATGCCTTAGCCTTATGAATATGGTTAATGTGACTCAGCTTCTGAGAAATGAAGCCACACTCACTGTCTGTGTTGATTAGATCAAGTTTCTGGGTCCTTAATGCTGAGAGCTGGAAAAAAGCCCCTACTCCCTGATATTCCCCCTGTGGGGAGACAGCCTTCTGGACTGCCCCCAGGAGTAGCCCTCTTCATCGCCGTCTGAATTGCTATCCCGAGAACTTTTTATGTGCAGACACTTTGTCATGAATTTAGGGTTTATAGGGAAGTAAAAGAACATTCCTGGGCTCAAGTGTTCACAGGTTCACCAGGGGCAATAATACATGAAAAGTTAGTAACAAGAGAGAATGACAAAGCAGAAATAGCACATGGTAATATATCCAAGGGCCAAATGAAGGTATATAGACAAAACTTTCTGCCAGCCCCTCTCCTTTGCCCACACCTCTCCTTGGGACAAAGAGCTGCTATAGCCAATAGTTCAATTCCTTTGGCTTCGAACAGAGTGAATCTCACTTTCCAGACATTCCTGTTTCATGTGATGTAGAAAGAAGATGCAGTTACTTTGGAAGCAAGACTTGTCTCCTAATTCTGCTTCTTGCATTTAATTGTTGCGTGACATTTGGAAAGTCAATTAACCCCTCTTGGCTGCAGTTCTTGCTCCTGTAAAACCAGAATGAAAACCACTTTTCTTGTAGGGTTTGGTGAGGATTAGAGAAAAGGTATAGAAGAGCCTGGGACCACAGATGATAAAACATAAAAAGATTGCTTTTATCAATCCTGATGCTTGGGCTAGTCTGTCAGATCATTTCCCTCTAAGCCAGTGTGTCACAGCCCATGGGCTTGAGGAATTAGCTGTGAGTTGAAGTTGAAACTTAATGCAATTCACTTACAAACCTCTGTTTGTTCTTCTGTAATGTAAAGGTTTTAAAACTCATTGGGCTCACTTAAAACTGAGACACTGAGACAGTGTCAGAAAGTGGTCTAAAGTCAGGAATATAGTCAGGCACAAATTCAAGATCCCTTCATCTTATCCTACTCCCTGTCTCCGCTGGGATCTGGTCTGTCCAGCTCACTGATGGAGATGATGAGGCTTGGTGGAAAGCAGCTGAACATCAACCCTGATATCATTTTTCTTTTTTTTCTTATAAAATCAGTCATTTGATAATAACTTTAGCTAAATCTATGCCTTCGCCTGTGTTCTATACTGGTGAATTACAATTGTAGAATCTTTGTACCATTTGCTAAGATGGTTGTTGGGAAAATAGCGTGCCATTCTTGGGATGGGTGGAGCTTATCAAGGTGCTTCATATTCCATTTAAACCTCATAGCAACCTGGAAGGTGTGTACTGGTTTCTATGAGGTGTGACCCACCCATAGGTTACACAGCAGGTGTGTGCAGAGCCAGAACTAGGTCTCTGCTCAAATAACTCCCTAGGAGAGCAACAATTAAGTGCAAACATCCAACCTTCATTCTCCTATGCTTTCTATCTCTATGAGCTCAATGCTAGTCCCTTGTAAATGTCAATCAAGGTTGCCTGCACTTCAACTCTCCCACTGGCACATGGTTCTGCTATATTTTGTTTGGGTCCCTCACTCCCCAAAGTAGCTCAGGCAGCCCCTTTAGTAACCAGGAATATGTCAGGGAAATATCAGCCTCTGATTGGGCCTGAAATAAGCTGACTGTAAGGGCCAAATGCTTTAATTTTGGAAGATGAGCTAAATAAAAAAAAGATTCACTGTTTGGGGAGGGTAGGAAGAGAGTCCATCCTGCTATGGTGATTTCTAATTAATCAGACCAGAGCAGAGTCTGTGGGTTTGGCTCTGTAAATAGAAAGCAGATGCCACCATGGAGGCTGCCCAAATAAGAAAAATAGCAGAAATGGCTTCAATCTGTAACAAGTTTAATGAAAAAGATTTGAAGAAATGATGTGCAAGTTTTTAAACATCTTATTATAATTAGTAGGAGGCGTGTATAGCCAAAACACCTTATTCTTTTCAGAGAAAAGCTGCCTAAAATATGTTTCCAATAAAATTTCCCAGTCTCCTTATCAAAAGCAATCAAACAAAAAAAAGATTTAGGGATGTAAACCATTATCAACTGGACTTTCAAAAGCAACCTATATTTACAAAGTGCAATCCTGTTCTCTCAAAAGCAAGATCACATATTCAGCAGGTCTAGCCTATGCCAGACACTTTACAACTGTAATCTCATTGAATTCTTATAAAAACCCAGTGAGGGAATTGGGTTTTTTTTTTTTCTAATTACATTCTTCTTGATGAAGAAACAGAGACACAGAGAGTGAAGCCAGTTGCTCTAGGTCCCACACCTGGCCAGGGTGTCACTTGGTGTGGACCAGATCAAACAGGAGAAGCTATGGTGTTTTGCCTGGTGGTTTGGAGCATGACTTGCCTGGGTCTAAATGCCAGCTCCGCCCTTACTGGCTACAATGCCTTGGGCGAGTTACTTAAACTCTTTGTGCCTCAGTTTCCTAGCTATAATTTAGGGATGTTATACAAACGGACAATGGCCAGACCATATATGACAGTGGAGCTCCTATCCTCAATCTCTACAGCAGTAGTCCCAGAACAGTCAGGACGTGGGCAATGACTGCCAGCTTCCCTACTTTTTTGCCCTTCCTTCCAACCCAGAACCAACCAGAAAAAGCCAAAGCCACATATGCTCCCTTAACAAATCCCATAAGATGCCCCACTTCTAGTTAGCAACCTCTGCTTTGCCATGCCAACAGAGCATATCTGAAGCCTCCCTTTCTAAAGCTTTCCCACTTCCTTGCCTGCCTTTGAGTCACTGCCAAACACAAGAGGTGGGGGCTGACTCCCTCCTGTAAGTAAGCCCCAAAAAGCCTCTGTTTGTTCTCCTTTGAACTGTCTTAGTTTATTTCCACAGGGATAATAACAGTACCAACCTCGCAGGGTTGTCACGATGTAGTTAGTGAAGCAGGTGAAGTGCTTAAAACAGAATTTGACACATTAAATGCTCACAAACACAGTTATAATATTTAAAAATCAGTTTCACAGTAGAAAGGCAGGCTCCAACACATGATTTGCATATGAGAAAGTTTAAGAACTACTGTGGTGTGGGAATTGGGGCAGATATATAGTTGAGACCTCCTATGGCCTATCCTAGGCAATATTGTTCAGTATTTAACTCCTTTCCCTCTCTAATTTCCAAGACAAAGATATAAAACAATTAAGAAACAGTCCAGAAGGTGGACAGGACAAGCCCGTCTATGCCCCATTCCCTAGCTCCCTGCACCCATTATCTTAGCCGAGAGGAGCCAAAAGTGAGAGCAGTCATGGGGGCACAGAGAAAGAGGCAACTCTCAGCCTATGAACACTTGGAAGTATAAAGAATGCAGTTTGTTCACCTCCTGACTATAGCTCTCATCCCCGTGAGTTGGAGCAGGAACCCTTCTTAGGGGCCTGTGGGCACTGCCAAGTATGGAAATAAAGGAAAATCTTGAGTTCCTTCAGGGGAAATTCTAGGCACCTACCTAACCCTGAGATGTAAATGAGCAACTTGATAAGCAAGAAGGTAACAATAGTTTTAAACAATAGCACAGTGCCTCACACCTGTAATCCCAGCATTTTGGGAGACCGAGGTGGGTGGATATCTTGAGGTCAGGAGTTCGAGAGTAGCCTGGCTAACATGGTGAAACCCTGCCTCTACTAAAAATATAAAAAATTAGCCAGGCATGTGGCTCACACCTGTAATCCCAGCTACTTGGGAGGCTGAGGCAGGAGAATCACCTGAACCTTGGTTCAGTGTTCCAGTGAGCCGAGATTGCACCACTGCACACCAGCCTGGGTGACAGGGTGGGACTCTGTCTCAAACAAAAAAGCAAACAAAAATAGCCAAGGAAGTTAGAGTCAGGAGATGTTTTGCTCCCTATAAAAACTAAGAATAGGATCTTAACATACGTCCCTGGGTTGTTTTTCAGAAACCCAGACCCCCACCAAATGAATCTGCTGGCACACAGACCTCCGATAAGGGGGAACTGGGACTGAACTCTGACTGCTGTTCGCCCTTCAAAATTTCTTCCTGAGGGGCCTGCAGGAGGTCAAGCCCACGAGCCAAAGCTAATATTCTTTTCTGCTGATCCCAAATTTTCAGACAAAGCTTCACCTCCTAAACCAAATCAGAAACTCTTTGAATCCACCTGTGACCTGTACCCCTACCCACCTCAAGATGTCCTGCTTTTTCAGTTCAAACCAACACATAGCCTTTGTGTATTGATTTATGGCTTTGCCTGTAACCTCTGTCTCCCTACCTTCAAAAACCCTTCCTTGTCAGCCATTGAAGAGGTTGGGTCTTAAGCATGAGCTGCCCTGCAATTAACGCCTCACTTTCTCAAGCTGCAATCCTGATGTCAGTATTTGGCTTTGCTGCGCCAGGCAAGCAGACCCCAGTTCAGTTCGGTAACACCTGCTGTCTTTGGAATGTATGTCCCCTATGTTGGACTGAAATCACCATTGCTACTCATACTTGAGAAAGAAAGGCTTCTCTCTCTAAGAGGAAGCAAATGAAGGAAAATCACTAGACATTTGACAAGATTCAGTACTTCAAAAGACAGAACTTTACACAAGGAATCAAAGAAAACATCTCCCTACACAACAGACCATCAACAGCCAAATGCAAACAACATTTCTGAAAAATATGTTTTCTACATAACAGAATTTGAGAGAACATTATACCTTTGAAAGGCAATCAAAATGATGAGAGAAAAGATGACTTGAATATGAAAAACGTGGTTTGTGGATTATTAAATGCATGAGCTGATTCAGACGATGGTCAAAGGCACCCCAGTGCTTTGTAAAGGCAGAGCTCAGATTGAAGTGATTACTATTGTTAGTGGTGATGGGGTTATAACTAGCTGGCCCCAGCTCTGTGGAGGCACACTGTAACAGAGGTGTCACTGTGGCACATCTGTGCAGTCCCTGTGGGGTGTGGGAGTCAGTTGGGTGAGTCAAGCAGGCATCTATATGTCCCACGGGGAAGTGGTCACCAGGAGGCAGTTGTATAAGGCAGATATCTAGATCAACCAGATTGAAAAACTGGGAAGAGGTGCAGAACTGGACAGTGTGTTGAGGGTGACTAAGCCCTGCTTCTGGTATGATAAAGTCCAACTTATTTTCAAACATGGATGCTAAGGCAACATAAAATTATGGGAATTCACTTCAGGGGGTTTATTGTGCTCTTCTATCTTTTGATGTTTTGTTAAAATGTTCATTTTTTAAAATTACATAACTTACAGTCAAATGGACATCATGTTTATCTGATTCATTGCTCACAACAGGCAGCTATTGGAACAGAATTTTCTTTTTTGGAATCTTCCACTCAGTCTAAAAATCATCACACATGGACTTTGCACCTTCAGATCTACAGGCATTGGAGCATGTGGTGGGTGCCGGGATGCCCTGTCTATATCCCCTCTTCAGGATGGAGAAACTATTTCCCCAGCATCCCAGAGGGTTGCCTACTGATGTCTCAAAGCTGAATCCCTTCCCAGGAACCGTCCTTGGCCAAGGGGAGCTGCCCCTCCCCAGGGGCAGTTCACATCCATTTTCAAAGCTGTATAGGAATAAAGGCCCCCTTGCCTCAATATGGAACAGCCCTGAAGGGCTCCAAATCCTCCCATAAGATGGCTGAGGTCTTTGTTGTCGTTGCTTTGCCATTGAACTTGTCTTTCTGATCAAGCCTGCTCCCATTACTCCCCCAGGGGCGTTACTCTTTACAGCAGTGACCAATAAACATCCTACACACAAATCTCTATCTCAGCTTCTGTTTCCCAGGAAACCCTAACCTAAGCTAGTGTGGAAAGGCCTCCACTACCTAATGTTGAATGAAAAAAGCAGGTTGCAAAACAGTATGAATAGAACGTTTCCACATAAATAATGGAAAAAAAAAGCATACATTTCTATATGGGTATAAAATGATGGAGGAAAAAAGATGGAGATATACATCTTTTTACTTTGAGAAAGGGAAATGAGTTGGGAAGATGTTAAGGGCAGTTTTCGTTGTATTTTAATTGCTTCAACTTTTACCAAAAACATGAATTAATCTGTTATTTATATTTTTCAAAGTAAGTCAATTTTTTTCTTTTTAGACATGCAATGAAAGCAACATTCAGCAGACACTTATGTGAGTTGATAAGAAGATGATATTATGTCTACCAAAACTCAGACAGAAAAGGCTAAAGAAAGAAATACATGTGAATACATTTAAAAAGATGAAAAGTAACGGCCGGGCGCAAAGACTCACGCCTGTAATCCCAGCACTCTGGGAGGCCGAAGCTGGTGGATTGCTTGAGTCCAGGAGTTTGAGACCAGACTGGGCAACATGGCCAAAGCCCATTTCCACAGAAAAAAAAAAATTAGCCGGGTGTGGTGGCACATGCCTGTAGTCCCAGCTACTTGGGAGGCCGAGGTGGGAGGATCACTTGAGCCTGGGAAGCGGTGGTTGCAGTGAGCCAAGATTATGCCACTGCACTACAGCCTAGGTGACAGAGCAAGACCTGTCTCAAAAAAAAAAAAAAAGATGAAAAGTAGATCCAGAGAATTATATATGTGTGTGTTTCACATGAAAGAGAAGTTTCAGAAGCAGGAGAGAGCAAAGGAGAAGCAGCAATGATTAAACAAATCAGAGATGAAAAATTGCTTTGTTTCAAGCAATCTTCAGAACCAGGCAAAATATCCAGAAAGAAATGCAAACCTATGTGGTGGATGGAATAAACTCAAGAGACATGGAGAAAAATTTTACAGGCATTCAGGGATTAAAAACAAGTCTTCCAAATATAGAAACAATTTAGTAGGCACCAGACTTCTTGAAAAATACCAAATATGAAAAGTCAACAGAGAAGAACCATGGCACTTGATGGGGAAATAGCATGGCCTGGGGCTTCCGTATCCAATAAAGTCATATTTAACATGCACAAGAACATCAGAAGGGTGTCTTGTACATGCTAGGACAAAAAGCAGCGTGTTGGGACACTTATCCTTAGTAGAAATTACTTGTGGAAGTATTGATGGACAGTTGCTCCAAACCAAGAAGTTGAGTCCGGAGATTGGATAGGAAATTGATGGTGATGAACAATAAAACAAAAATTCAAAGGTTTGGATTACTCTAAATAATTGAGTGAAACAATGCGAATGTCAAAAATAGTCCTTTAATGTTCATGACATTAAATTAACCAAATAGCCATTACTATTATTAATCTGGATGGAAAGTCCAGTGTCTATTGGTAAAACCCAAGGGGAGATGGTAGGCAGGAAGAGAAGAAGAAAGGAGAAAGCATGAGTCTGCTGACTCTCCCATAGTTTATGGAGGTATTCAAAAGAAATATATTGTCAGCTGAAGATTATCATTGGTAGACAAAAATTTAATTTCTAAAGAAATAGAAAAAAATAGGAAAATCTGGTCAATGTAATAAAATGTAAGAAAAAGGTGAAAAAAGTTTAAAAGTACAAAATAAGATGATAAAAACAGGGTGAAAAAAGTTATTAAAGTGGATATGAATGTATTAAGTAGAAGAATTAGAAACAAGAAACATTCAGCTTTAGTTGAATAAAAAAATTAATTAAATGTGGTTTTCCAGAGACTTGACTAAAATTAAGTAAGAAGGTTTAAAATAATGAGGTGAATACAGGCACACTGGGCAAAAAAAAGAATGTAGGGATGGCAATAGTAATATCAAATAAAGTTGAAATAAAGAGAGTCACTAAATGGGACAGAGGGCTGCTTTAAATTTTGAACAATCTCTACAGTAAAGATACAACAGCCATGAATGATGATTGAGTCTATTCACCTAATCACATAGCATCAAAATATTGAAAAATATATTCAAAATAGGAGGAGACATTGACAAAAAAAAGTATCCAATAGTCAACTTTAGTATACTTGTCCCAAAAGAGTAGCAGAGAAATTCACTAAGAATGTAAAAATTAGCATAATTAATTTGTATCTCTAGCTAGGTATAATTGTATCTCTAGCTAGGTAGCTAGCTATTGTTGATTACATTTATTACAACCATCCACTGTATATTGACAAAAAATCATTATCTTAAACTAAAAAGCGTATCTCAATAATTCCAAAAGAGACATTATATTAACCAGATTTTTCACCAAAATGCAATAAAACTGCAAACTAATTGCCAATTCTTTTTTTTTTTTAAATCTACTTAGAAACTGAAAAACACGCAGCTAAGTAACACTGAAATCAAAGAAGAAATTAAAACTGCAATTAAGGATGATTCAGAAAGTGATTATAAAGACTAGAATGAATCCACATTTTAATGGGCTATGCCCAAAACTGTATCAAAGACATTTCAAAAAGAATAAAAACACATGACCCATGATTTTACCAATATTGATGGACCCAAGAAAATGAATGTGTATACAGTAAACTAAAATTCATAAATTAGAAACAGAACAGTTAATAACCAAAATAAGGAGATTCAATTTTGACAAAGCTAACTAATAAAACAAAGGAGATAGAACACAAATATACAACGTTAAGAGTAGAAAAGCATATATTACTGCAGAAAAAGAAAAATATTACATTATTAGGGAGGACATGAATGAGATAAAAATGAATATAAGTAGCTACATTCTTGTAAGTAAAAGATCCTCAAATAAAAGAAGATTTTTTTAAACAAGAGATGCATCTAATAGCAAACAATCAGAAAGTTTTAAGAGAAAAAGGAAGGGAGAAGTCTACCAAGTGAACATAAATACACAAAAAGTTTAGGGTGGCAAAATTGTCTGACAAGGTAGAATTTAAGGCAAGAGCATTAAAAAGAACAAAGAGGCTTATTTTTAGTGGATAGGAATATAATTCACAGTGAAAATATAGCAGTCATACACCTTTACATGTCAAATAACATAGCCCTGGGCTCAAGTGATCTTCCAGCCTTAGCCCAGAAATAAACAAAAACAGAAAGACAAGAAAAGCAAAGACCACAGCTGTGATATGCGGTAGAAAAACCCCTGGAAAACCTCTTTTAATGGGCTGGGGCTCTTTAGTATTGCCATGTGAAACACCATCATTCTTATTGGAAACAAATGGAATTAATATAATAAACTGGCAGTTTTCCCAAGCTCCATATTCCTTCCCAGGGAGACCATGTAATGTTTGCAAGATTTCTCTGAGCACTCTCTCTGTCTGGAAATGATGCTTGCTTGCTGTTTAATGTTTCTATTAGGGAAAAAGAAAAACAAACAAATAAAGATGGTCCCTTAGCATTTCAAATCTAATAGCATTGTGACTTGATGTAATCCTTGGGCACCCTAATTACACTCCAGCAGAAGTAATAAGAGAGGAGGTACCACCACCCACTGGGGACCAGCCACCTAGTAAAACCCATCAACCTTGACCCTTTGTGACAAGGCAAACTTCTTGTGCTTCCCTTTTTATTGGAGGAAATTAGACTGACATGGGAGTTTGAGATTGGAGGAACAGAAACAAAAATGTTATTGTTCTTCTTTAGCAGAGGAACAAAACCAATCTGGGTAACATCTAAAGGTTGTTTATCCTTGTTTTGTGTTGGTTGGGCTATGTCTTTCAAGCCATCAAGCCTCCATCTCATGGCTTTTAGAAGATTCAAAGTCTAGCTCAGAGAAATAATCATCTCTACTTTTGGCAATGTTTAAAACCTGATGGAAGGTCTTATGCAGTTTTCTTATGAACCAGGAATTGAAACAAAAATACAGAAAGATTTAGAGGCTCTGAAACATATGTTTGTTTTAACAAATAGATATACAGCTGTTTACCCCACAAAAAATACATTTTTAAAAATTTCCCCGAGATATTTACAAAACTTTGTCAAAATTGACTAAAAAGACATAAACAAATTCAAGGGTAGAAATTCTATAGTCTCATTCTCTGATTCCTTCATTCCTTCATTCATTCATTCATTCATTCAATATTTAATGAGAACCTATTATTTGCCAAGCAATACGCTAGGTGCTGGTGATAGAGTCAGAATATAGGAAAATAAAAAAAATATAGTAAACAGAAAAAAACCCTCATGTTTTTGAGTTTGGAAGGAACTCAAAAACTATTTCTCCCTAAATAACTCTGGAATCAAAGAATAAATCAAAAGTGCAATTATAAGCTACTTAGACAATATTAATGATAATTATGCCACATTCTAGTGAAAATTGTACTTGGGGGAAATTCATAGCATTTAATACTTACATTATTAAAGAAGCAAGATTTAGAATAAATAAATGTAGTGCTTCTGTTAAGTTTCTTTAGCTGCCAAAAAAAAAAAAAAAAAAAACCCCAAAAACTAAAAAGCTGATCCTGGAATGTATTCAAAGGATTCTCCAGCCCTCCATGAGCTGTCCATTGGGAGACTCCAATTTTTCCATTGGAATATGCCACAGAATCAAAGGAGGAAAGAAAGGGAAGTCAGAACTAAATATTAGGAACTCATGGACCTTCCCTTTAAGATGCTGAAATTAGGATGACGCAGTTACAACTGCCATCCATCCCTGAATGTCTCCACACCAGATTCAGCTTCCCAGGAGAGAATGTCTGAATGAGTTATCTTAGGTGATCTATCCAAGGTGAGCCAGGATCCCATTACTGGGGGCCCAGTGGAATCACAGGTGGAAGAGGAAAGAACAGTTTTCCTTTTTTTTTTTGAGACGGAGTCTCGCTCTGTCGCCCAGGCTGGAGTGCAGTGGCACGATCTTGGCTCACTGCAACCTCAGCCTCCCGGGTTCACACCACTCTCCTGCCTCAGCCTCCCGAGCAGCTGGGACTACAGGCACCCACCAACACGCCCGGCTAATTTTTTGTATTTTTTAGTAGAGACGTGTTTTCACCGTGTTAGCCAGGATGGTCTCGATCTCCTGACCTCGTGATCTACCCGCCTCGGCCTCCCAAAGTGCTGGGATTATAGCTGTGAGCCACTATGCCCCGAAAGAACAGTTTTCTAAAGAAGAGGACACTGGACAGAAAAAAAATGAGAAATGTCCATGGCACTAATCATTCAATTCCAGACGCTAGAAAAACAGGACAAATTAAACCATAGGACGGTAAACACAAAGAATTAACAAACAAAAGTAGTTAATGTCCAGTAGAAACTCTTTCTACCACAGTTAGGAGAAGTTAACTGAAAAATTCAAAGAAAGCCAGGAATCATACAAATTAACATGTACTTTATTTAAACCAAAAACATAAACGTGCAGTCATTCTTCACTTTTTGTGGCAGTCTCTTCTTTGCATGGGGCCCACCGATTGGAATGTGCCATCATCTTTTTCACATAAACCATTCCCATAGTGCATCTTCTATAACTGTTATTTTCAATTTCTTTAAAATGAGAAGAGAAATAAACAACCCCTTGAGAAGTAATATGAAAACTAAATCCTAGTGTCTTGAAGCTTTTCCCCAGATTTTATTCATTCATTCACTCATTTATTTTGAGATGGGGTCTCACTGTATTGCCCAGTATGGTCTCAAGCTCCTGAGTTCAAGTGATCTTCCATCCTTAGCATCCTGAGTAGCTGGGATTACAGGTATGCATCTGGCTGCTTTCCTGATTTTGACAGTTGTCTCTTCCACATCTAACTTAACAGCAATATTTAAGCAATTTAAAAAAATATGAAGACTTTCCAAAATATTCAACCTAGTTTTCTAGGAAACAACTTTTTCTAAATTCATATTCATTGGTTAATATAATATGTAAGTAGATTATATAGTTGCAATAACCTCCACAACTGGCATAAACCGTTTTATAATCCTACCACTCAGCTGGGGAGAGAGGGAGAGGTACCTATGAAAAACTTACGTCATGATTGTGAACATTTTAGATACATCAGGTCAGTTGGTACATTTTACAGTGAGTGAAAAAATTTGATAAATGCAGTGAGTCAGTGGATATTGGATTAAGAGAGCTTCTACTGTATTGATAAAACCACTACTCATTTCTCTTAATCCCTCCCACTCCCATACCCTGATTCTAAAGGGGACAAATCTGGAAATTTTACCTCCTATCTCCATTCCCTCAAAGAAAGAAATAAACAAATACATTAGGAATGAGAAACAAACCATTAACTGCAGACACGGCATGTGATTGAAAACACGGCAAAAGAATTTAGATAAAGTGATATGCCAGTGAATTTCAAAATATGAATTAAATTGTTTTCTAGAAAAATATAGATTCCAAGAAAAGGCAGAAAACTTGCATAGAACAGTAACCAGTAGAGAAACTGAAAAAACAAACAAAAAGGTAATTGAACTACGTCTATCCCAAAGTCCAGATAATTTTATTTTATAGGAATTTTTTTTTCTTTTTTTTTTGAGACCGAGTCTTGCTCTTGTTGCCCACACTGGAGTGCAGTGGTGTGATCTCTGCTCACTGCAACTTCCGCCTCCTGGGTTCAAGCAATTCTCCTGCCTCAGCCTCTCAAATAGCTGGAATTACAGGCATGAGCCACCACGCCCAGCTAATTTTTTTGTATTTTTAGTAGAAACGGGGTTTCATTATGTTGGCCAGGCTGGTCTTGACCTCAGGTGATCTGTCCGCCTCGGCCTCCCAAAGTGCTGGGATTACAGGCGTGAGCCACCGTGCCCGGCAATTTTATAGGAAATTTCTATCAAATCTTCAAATACAAATAGTCTAGTTTTATTTAAATCATTTCAAAAAGTAGAAAGAATTAAACGCTCTAAATTCTTTTTATAAGGAAAATATAATCTCTATACCAAAACCTGAGGAAAAAATAATACCAAAAAATAAAAACTTAAGATCAATCTTAGGATTATAGGCATAAATACTGTTAATACAATATTAGCAAACTGAACCTAGCAGGGTCACAATAGAATAATATACCATGAGCAAGCAAAATTAGCTGTGAAATGCAAGGATGGCTTAACATTAGAAAATCTCTCTGTAACCCACACATCAGTTAGGGCTTCCCTGTTTCTCAGGAATCTGGACTCCAGTCCTGAATATGGAGCAACACGAAGCAGTTCTTGTAAATCCCAGGCCTTATTTATTTGGGCTTCTGCCTCCTCACTGCCTCTCACCAGCCATCTAGGGCCGGTCACAACAAACTGTAAGCCTTTTCCTCTTCTCGTTTTTCCACAAAAAAATCATTTTCCTTATTTATTTTTAGAATGTTCTGAAATTTGTTTTACCTGGTTACTTTACTAAAAATATAAACATATCACACATGAGGAATCCCGTTGAGGGGTTTCTGACACCATGGTGATATTCTTCCTCCAACTTCATTACCTTCTAAGGCCAGTACTCTCCGGAGATGACCCTTCCTTCGTCTGGAAAAATGTAGTCCTTATTCCAGCTCCCACTTCCCCTCTGATTCCTTCTCACCTACTCATCCCCCATACCACTCTGGAATTTATCTGAAAAATATGTTCTCGTCAGAAATCATTAATGTAACTATCACATTAACAGAATAAAGGAGGGGGCAAAAACATAAAATCACCCTATTAGATGCCCAAAGACATTTGATAAAATTCAGTTTTCATTCTTGAGTTTTAAAATAAAAAAATCTTGTCAAAGATCATGAAGATTTATTTCTAGATCAAATACTTGGCATTATGCTTAACACTAAAACAGTAGAGACACGTAATCAAGCATGAAATACACGTGCCCACCATCACCTGCATCTATCGGGC
Source organism: Homo sapiens (assembly GCF_000001405.40). Lineage (NCBI taxonomy): Eukaryota > Metazoa > Chordata > Mammalia > Primates > Hominidae > Homo > Homo sapiens. Next base: position 36,798,393 of record NC_000007.14, on the reverse strand, counting down.
AATCTTGTTCTGAGAGTGCTAAGATATGCAATTGAATAGAAAATTTAATAAGAACTATAACTATTAGAGACAATTTACCACTATTTTCAGAAAATATAAACATATGAGAATTGCCTGAAAAAAATATTAGAATTCATAGGAGAGTTCAGTAAGATAGTTATAAATAATAAAAAAGTTACATAGCCTCCCTACAAATCAACTACACCATCATTAACCTGTTAGACAATAAAACAGAAAAGCTACACAATAACCACACAAACAGAATTCTGAAGATTAAATTTAATCAGAAATGTGTTAGACTTTTCTAAAGAAACTAAATTTTTTTCCTGAGAGGCATAAAAGAAGAAAAATAAATGGCAAGGCTGCCCATGTCATGTTCTTAAAGAGAAAAACTTGTAAAGATTGCATAATTGTATTTCTACAACAAAGTAATATTTCAGTTAAAAATATGCAGTATATACTTTTATGCCATACTTGTAAGAGTAGATGCACACACATGCACCTGCACACACACATACACACACACACCTGAAATTATATTCCTCCAAATCTCTAGTGTGATTACTCTAAATTGTGGCATTGTTGGCAATGTATCTATTTATTTAAAAAATTACTCACTATATTTTTATTTTAGGGTTTCAGGACAGGACCATAGTTTACTAATGAAAAAAAGATACATACATCATGGAGGAAAAAGCTGAGAATTATTGAGTTATTCTAGATTTTCTCTTTTCATTAAAAATTAACTCAATGTAGCCTAGAGCTCCATGCAAAGAGCCGGCATTGACTTCCTTTCTATATTTTTAATCTTTCTTTGGCTACATATTGCATAATTGTCTATTTGTTCATGATTTCTGAATTCAGTTATATTGCCTAACTTTCTCTCAATCTGCACTGGTTACTTGTGAGATAATAAAGGTAATAAAACACACAAACATATGCGAAGCAATAGGGTAGCCTCTCTGGCAGTATCTTCCCATCTGCTGAGCCTGCCCCACCTTCATCTTGCACCACTTGGTAGCAGCTGGGAATGCCTCAAAACACTGGGAGTCAAGACTCAGTTCAACTTGTACTGAGATGTCACATGCTCTTACAGAGGCGGAAATACCACTATAGTACAGATGTGTGCTTGGTGAAGGGGGCAGGCAAGCAGAAGGAGGGCATTCCACTGCCATAGTTTCCATTCTCATCCACAGTAAGACAGGCTCTTGAAAATGCACACAGACACACTCGGCTGAGTAAAGCCTTGCAGCTCAGAAGGAGCACCTGTGGCCTAATTCTCCACAGCTCAAAACAGATGCCCATGACTGTCCAGTGCAAAGTCCTGGCTGGGAAGCACAGATGTTTGGATCACAGTCACTGTGGACCAATGTGCAAAGTGCTTTGAGCATCAGACAGGCCAGGGGTCAAAGCCTGGCTCTATCGCTGGCTCTACTGCCCTCAGCAAGTCATTCAACCTCCCCTGATGGGCTAGGTCCTCACTTAATGTCATCAATAGGTTCTTGGAAACTGTGATTTTAAGTGAAACAACATACAACAAAATCAATTTTAGCACAGCCTAAGTTAGATAAACAGGAGTGAAGTTCCTATGGCATATTTCTGGTCACAAAAATATCCCCAAACTTCTTATTAAGGGATATTAATAACACTTCTAATATTAAACACTGAAATGAATGTGAGTGAAATGTACATCTAAGAAAGGTTCATAAAAACAAGTAGATAATTATTTACCCACATATTCCAGTTCCGGGTCTCAGGTGGCTGGAGCCTCTCCTGGCAGCTCAGGGCACCAGACAGGAACCCGCCCCGGACAGGGCGCCATCCCCATTGCAGGGTGCACTCACACGCATCCACACTCCATCAGACTGGGACAAAAGAGACACGTCAAAGTACTTGACGTGCACATCTTTGGGATGCGGGAGGAAACCTGAGGCCCTGGAGAAAATCCACGCAGGCATGGGGAGAATGTGCCAACTCCACATATACAGTGGCCCTGGCCAAGAATCAGATTTTGTTCTCATCAATGTTATAACAAAATAACATTGAACAAAACAATTTTATTTGAGGACCTCTTGTACACTGAGGAGCAAAACCAGATTTGCTCCTGGAGCTTAGGGTTCAGCAAGATCCCGCTTGTGAGAATGGGGATACCTTGCAGGGCTATTATGAGATTTCAAATGGGATTAACTTCTGCAAAGCATGAATGTGAACTACAGCAGGGGCTTGTCAATTGTTCTTTCTCTTCAACCTCCACCTCCACCTCCCTCATTGCCTCCTTTCCTTGCTCTTTTCATCCACTCTATTGCTCAGTAACTCCTCCAAATGAGCCAAGACAGAAGATGGGAAAAGACAGCAAGACCAAATTAACAAAGCTTTCTATGGCTAAGAAGACAAAAGTACTGTGACACTGGGAGCTGAACAGTCTACTAAAAACTCAGCTAAGGAGTATCTGCAGAGTCTACCTGGACTTAAACACCCCTGCCCATCTGTAAAGTCACGTCCAAAGGTTGACACATGATGTGTTTTTGTCTGGTTAAAAGTTAGCTTATCTGTAAAGCCACGAGCTAAAAAATAACCAAGTCATCCAAATGTTTGGGCAAACTCTAATGAGAATGGAGCCTTCCAGAGAGCTGTGTTTGTCTTTGTTTTCTCCTGGTGTTTGACTTTGACACCGACTTCTAATCTCAGATGTCATATTAAGAAGAATACACACCAGGTTTATTTCAAATGCATGATAGGTGAGCTGACTAATGAAACTTGGCTTATTTCCCTGTACAGATAGTTCTTTTCCTGCTGAGCAATAATAACAATATGTAATGTGGTTTATTGTTATTCAACGTACTCAGCACCTCTCACTCAAATAAAGGCAGGCTTCAAGGGCATTCATCTTTATGACAACCATGAAACATATCATATGTAAGATCCTGAGCTGTCTCAAAAGACCAAGCTGAACAACTTCTCCAGTAAAATGATCATAGGAGAAAAATCATTGAGAAATGAAGGGAGACTTTTCACCTGTTGAGCTACAGGCTGCTATGATGAGTTGCGTAGCCGATGACACCCTGCAAAATCACAGCCATAGTCATTTTAGAATTTGGAGTGAGAAGGGGAGTGGTGATATAGTTCATGTTTTGCCATTGCAGAGAGGGTTCCAGGGCATCTCCGGGGCTGCAGGCTTGGCCCCTCGGGGAGTCAGCAGTCTCTTGCTGGATAGCCCACCCTCCTGTCCCATACCCAGAGATAATGATTTTATAAGTCTGAAACTTGAAGACCTGAGCATCAAACTTTTTAAACTCTCTGGGTGATCAGATGTACAGTCAGGGCTGAGAATCAGAGCTCCAGATCTCACTTTCTAAATGGGAAACACACCTGGGCAGGACACAGGCCTGGAGCTGCCGGATGTGGGAGGCCAGGCATTGGTAACCTGCCAGCTCTCCCACATGGTGGGGAAGGAGGACTGGCCTGAGCCATTGTTACTCCCACGGCAGGTGGGTCTACACACAGCTGTCCACATTCTAGGGAGGATTCTCCACCAGATGGCGGGACCTCCAGACAGAAGCCAGTTGAAAAGAAAGTCTGTTTTCTCCTAATAATAGACCTTCTGTTCTCTGACATGAGGCAGTGTTAATCAACCCCTCAAAAGATTCTTCCTGCCTCTCCCATCATAAAACCTATGTTCATTGTGTGCTTGGGCCAAATATCATTCAACTTTAAGCTGGAAATGATGATCTCTCTGGTGGTTTTCAAAGCTGTTTGTTTGTTTGTTTGTTTGTTTGTTTTTTGTTTTCCCACAACTCCCCCAATGCCCAAACCAAAGCCTGTGTGAAATTCTGATCTCCATAAAAGGCAAACGCAGAGGTGCTGGGGTGACATTGGCAAGCAGGAGCCCAAGGACTCTCTTTGGACCTGGCCCCACAATGACAGCCCCTGAGGAATCCCCTGAGAAACATAGACTGAAAACCATAGATCTGGTCCCATCGTCTTCCAGGCTCTGAGAAGCTGCCTTGTCCAGGGGCATCTGCTAGTAAACAGATTCACCTGATCTAAACCCAGGTTCCCAGCCTCAAAAGCAGTTCTTGCTTAGCCAAAGGTCTCAGCTACACTGGTGAAGATGGGCTTCTCTGGAGTCTCCAGGAGACATCCAGAATGGAAGGAAAAGGGCCTAGAGGCCTTGTCCTCAGGACTCTCAGAATGCTGACCTGTCCCCACTCTGTCCCTGGCCACTTGTCCCAGCCAACATTATAAAGTGGTACAGGGTACAGGAGGCCGGGCTTGGTGGCTGACGTCTGTAATCCCAGCACATTGGGAGACCAGGCTGGTGGATCACCTGAGGTCGGGAGTTCGAGACCAGCCTGGCCAACATGGTGAAACCCTGTCTCTACTAAAAATACAAAAATTAGCTGGGCATGGTGGTGGGCATCTGTAATACCAGCCACTTGGGAGGCTGAGGCAGGAGAATCACTTGAATCCGGGAAGCAGAGGTTGCAGTGAGCTGAGATCATGCCATTGTACTCCAGCCAGGGCAACAGAGCAAGATTCCATCTCAAATAAAAATAAAAAATAAAAATAAAACAAAACAAACACACAAAAAACAGTATAGGATTGGCCAGGATGTTTCAAAGGGGAGGGAAGGGATGGGACCAAGCTCCCTAACTCACCTAGGCTTGTGCAGCTTCTCTGTGACAGAGCGGGGGTATCTTCAACAGTTGACACCCACCTCCTTTTCCTGAATCCCCCTAGTCAGTATGGCCACCTTCATGTCTTCCCTGGGACCCACTGCCCTCTCCTGCGAGACTCAGATTGCTTCTTATAGGGTATTTCTTTGAACTCCCAACTGACCTCCCCAACTACCTTAAATGGCAATAATATTATTATTCCTAGAACTACTACTACTGTAGCTGCTGCTTTGACCACTGCCTTTATCCTGTGCAAAGCACTGTGCCAAGGCACCACATGCTTAGTTTACATGGTTCTCACCACCATCCTGGGTAACTGGGACCATTACTGGCTTCCTTGCCAAAGAAGGGACAGGTTTAGTGCTGGTATACATTTCCTATCACTGTTGTAACAAATTACCTCTGACATAATGTCTTAAGACACAAATTCATTCATTTATAATTCTGGAGGTCAAAAGTCTGCAATGGAATTTACCAGACTAAAATCAAGATGTTGACAGGGCTGCATCCCTTTCTGGAGGCTCTCTGGGGAGACTCTGTGTCTGTATCATTTCCAGCTTTCTAGAGGCGGCCCACATTGCTTGGCCTGTGACCCGTTCCATCTTCAAACCAGAAATGGTGGGTTGAGTCCTCACATCGCATCACTCTAATCCTCAATTCTGTCTCCATCTCTCACTTATAAGGAAATTTGAGATGACTTTGGGCCCACCTAGATAACCTGGGATATGCCCCCTACCTTAAGGTCAGCCGATTAGCAACCTTAATTTGATCTGCAATCAAAATTTCTCTCTGATATGTATGCAACATATTCACAGGTTCCAAGAATTAGAACATGGACATCTTTGATGGGACGGGGCATTATTCTGCCTTGCTATAGAGATATTATGCAATTTGGAGCTAATAAATGGAGTTTGCTGGATTTGAATCTTGGTCTCTTTGATTCCAAATCCTCTTCCATGAACTCCAATGCACATTGCTACCAGTAAAATTCTACCAACAACATCCCTTCCTAAGACCGTCTTCTGTGGCAGGCACGATCTTGGACACTGGTGGTTCATATATGAATAAGAATTAACCACAGCCCCAGACGAGCTCACAAGCTTGTGGGGGAGAGGCACTTGCAAATGTCAATAAATAACTATAATGGTAAGTGAGAAAGAAGTGTATGCAAACGCTGTGGGTGCACAGAGGAGTGAGTGTCTAATTCCACAGGACTGGGAGGCAGTGTGGGATGGGGTTGGAGAGGATATTTGAAGTAGATCTGAAGGATAATTAATTCACTAGGCAAGGGAGGCGGTGAAGGATGCTCCATGCCTAGAGAATGCTGAGAGAGGCTAAGCCATGTAATTGGCTGGATGTTTGTGGGAAAATGAATTCATTTTGTTGTGGCCAGACAGAATGTCTGAGGTGAAAAGATGGGAACTGAGGTTGGAATGGGTTCTGATATTGAAGGGTCTTAGAGGCCATGCTCATGTTCATTGTGGAGAAAACTGACCTCCATCAAAGGATTTTAAGAGAGAGAGAACCATGATCAAACCTGTACACTGGACGCCTCATTCTGGTAACATCTCAGAAGATAAATTTGTTGGCAGGTTGGAAGTGAGGGGGAAGAGGCTGAGGTCAACATCCAGGTGAAAGATCACAGGGGTCTAAGGAGCGCCATGACCATGGGAATGAAGAGCAAAAGGCAGATTGAGACTGTTCTGAGGTGAACTTAGTCAATATTTGTGGCTGTGTCTTGGAAAAGGGTCATGGGGTGAGGGGCAGCAAGGAAAGTAGAGTCAGGAATTCCCCACCAGCTCTGTAACTCGGGGCTACACGGTAGCTCCCTAAACTGAGGTAGAATTTCATCCAAGCCCACCCCATCATTCATTGCCAAGGATACTTGTAAACTCAGCATCACAGATTTCTAGAGGGAAAAGCTTCTCTCTGGAGCTTGAACCTGTTTACAAAATCATGCAGAAGAAATTGCTCACGGTGACTGATGTGATTCCAAATGCTGAAGTAAGATTGTGCATGTGTGTGTATATGTGTCTGTGTGTGTCTTGGGGGAGGTATCCTTTCTCTAAAGCAACTCCTCACATCCCTGCCTGCAGAAGGGGGCTCCCCTTTGCCCCACCACACAGGACCACTGTGAGCAGAGATTCATCCTCCTGCCTCCTTCCCAAGCCACACCAGTCCTTTCATCACTCCCTCTCACCTTGGCATCTCCCCAGCTCTCCAGGGGAAAGCTAGAACTACGATTCTAATGGCCAGTTTGGTCTTGGCAGGATCTGTTAAAAGAAACTAGGTCTTGGGTGTGTATGTGTTTGTGTGTATCGTTGGGTGTCTGTGCTTGTGTGTTTCTGCATGGGTCTGTGCATGTGAATCTAAATGTGTGTTTGTGTTACAGTTGCCAGATTTGGCAAATAAAAATACAGGGTGCACAATTTAATTCGAATTGCAGGTAAATTATTTCAGCAAATCATTCTTTTAGTATAAGTATGTCCGTGTGTATTTACGCATGCCTATTTAGGGCTTATCTGTACTAAAAAATTGCTCATTTTGTATCTGAAATTCACATGTATAACCCATGTGATTATGCGTGCGTGTTTTGTGTAAAAGCCTGTGTGGTTTTGTTTTTGCTCATGTGCTTGGGTGTTTGTGTGTATCTACGTGCATGTTTGTGTATATAGGTGTGTGGTTTTCTGTGTTTGTGTGCTTATGTGGATCTGGGTTATAGGAATCCTAATAAGAGATTTGCCCAAGTCATCTAGGCCTGGAGAAAACCGTCATTCTCAGCTTACCAGAGAAAAAGGAGTCAGATTTTTTTCTGCAGTTAATTAATTTTGACTTTGAACAAATCACTGCCAAGTGAGAAGGCTGAACTAGACTCATTCATTTAGATATTTATTGATCATTCTAGGAGCAGAAGGTGCAAAGGCAAGTAATTCACAGAGGACTCACGGTCTAGAGAAAGGACATCAATACTACTGAGGAGGTTACGACGTAGTAAATGGCACCATAAACATGTATGCCGAGATCCCCACAACTGTGGCGATACCTTCCATTTCTTTGTGTCTGTGAAGCCAGCCCTGCAGTGAAGGCAGGCAGATATTTCATTGTGATGCTTTTATCACTTTGAATCTTTAAATTATGATTATTGGTAGAAGCATGCATGCAGCTCTGATAAACACAGATCGCCCAGGCATCAGCTGCGGGAAGCATTGCTCCATCCGTCAAATATGTTTGTTTTTAATAGTAGCAGTGCTCATGGAAGCCAGGAAATGTCACTGGATTCAGATGTCACTTAAACATCTGAAGCATTTCTCATCACCCTTCCTGTCACCGTGAGCAGTGTACCTTGCAGCGTTAGAGGGCTGCCTGCTTCCCCTGGGGGGGCATCTCAGCTCCCTTCAGAGTCCATGCCTGACGTTTATGCTTCTCCCTAACTTCGACACTGGTTTTGCTCACCCAATATTTTCAGGCTCTGTCTCTCAAAATAAAGTTAGCTGGCTAAGTGAGATATTGGCCATTCTGGCTTGAAATCTGTCTCAAGCAAGCTTTCACACCCCTACAGAAAGCTGCCTTAATATCATAATTGAGCAATTATGTAGGAGTTTTTGAATCTGATGATATATGGTTAGAATACAGGCCAAGCTGTTATCACAAAGAGACCTCAGGGGCTGCGACAAGATAAGTTTGTTTTTCACTTACCTGATAGTCTGAGCTCAAGCTGTCCTGGCTGGTGCGGCAATCCCAGAGGGACAAGGAGCCCAATTCCTCCTGGCTTGATGCTTGGCTGCCCTGCTCGCATCAGTACGGCCCATCACAACAAGCAGAAAGAGGGAGCAGGGAGGCAGCACAAATCCATTTCCTTTCAAAGGCAAGCCTGGACATTGCATGCATCACTTCTGGCTACAGACACAGGTGAGGATGTGGCTGCACCAAGCTTCAAAAGAGGCCAGAATGTGACTTCCTCAGAACTGCCATGGGGCCTCTATTGCTATGGCGGAAAGAAGAGTGGGATGGGGGCAACTGGCAATCTCTGCTCTAAGAGCATTGGTGTCAAAATATTCAAGAGCTCTCCGGACAAATAGCCCTCAGAATACACTTGTCTGTTTGTAGCTGGAGGTGCAAGAACAACCTTAACTGAGTGCCCACTGTGTTACAGACGATGTGAGAATCAGCCAGTGTCTTATATTATTTGATCCTGATAGGCAAAGTGCCTGAGGGGTGGAGTGACTTGCCCAATTGGCGCGTAGGTGCCACAGGAGGCACTTGGACCCAAGGCCTTTCCCACACACCACCCTGCCTCCTCTAATCTCCTGGTGATGGAATGACTCTCTTGGACGTGTGCTGGGTTTTCAGGTGCCAACTCAGCATCACCACCAGCCCTGTCTAGGTCTCCTCTGCACCTCAGAAGCAAAGCAGGAACTACATTTCCCAGAATGCCATTCCCAGGAGGACCCACATGCCAACCCCAGTGAGGAACCTAGCAGAGGCCTTTATCCTGCATTGGTGGCTTTATCCAGCCCCCAGTGCAGAGGGAGCTTCACAGCAGCTTTCCACAGGCTTCTGAGAACCCCTGGCTTTAGTGTTTCAGGCTGAAATCTTGGTAGGTGGCTTCTCAGCCCTTTGCACCCTCGGATCTTCCTATAATACGTAGGCTCCCCCTACCTGGACCACTCAGACTGAACATCACAGACACAGAAGGTAAGATCACGTGATAGTGCGGAGGTCTTTCTCTCTGGCAGAAAGAACATTCAAATTGGAACTGGGTGAACTGACATTCTTACCAACCAAGCTGGCCCTTGACCACATCACTTAAGCGGTATGAGCATCAACATTTTTCACTCATCAAATGCGAATAACAATATCTACAAAATTATGAGGGCCGGGCACAGTGGCTCACTCCTGTAAATCCCAGCACTTTGGAACAACAAGGCAGGCAGATCGCTCAAGCCCAGGAGCTTGAGATCGGCCTGGGCAACATGGTGAAATCCCATCTCTACAAAAAAGAATACAAAAAATTAGCTGGGCACGAAGACATGCACTGGTAGTCTCAACTACTCGGGAGGCTGAAGTGGGAAAATCGCCTGAGCCCGGCAGGTCAAGGCTACTGTGAGTTGTGATCAAGCCACTGCACTCCAGCCCTGGGAACAGAGTGAGACCTTGTCTCAAAAAAATAAAAACAAAAAAATAACTGGGAAGGTCACATGAGATACTATATTTAACAACAATTAGGACAACAAGAAAGTAGGGTGCTGCTGTTATTATTTTTGCTAATAATAATAGCCAAGCATTTTATAGGCATTATTGCATTTAATCCTAAAACAACTCTGGTTATACCATTTCTATTTTACAAACAGGAAAACTGAGAAACAGAGAACTGAATTAACTTGCAAATGATCACACAGCTAGTTCTTGACAGAGCCAGAAACTGAACCCATTCTCTGTAGTTTCAGTGCTCACACTCTTAACCACTATTGATGTGTTTCCTGTTGACACTGACACATTTCAACTAGCTTGTTTATTTTCACCTTCCTCCTCAGCAGCTTACCACAATTACCAAGTATAAAGACTAGCAAGGAGAAGAAATTATGAGCAGCAAGATGTATGAAATAACCTCCTAATAATTTCAAGAACCTAGCATAAAAGTGGTCTATCTGGCAGGGTGCCTAATCCCTGAGTAATTTCAAGGACAACTTACTCTCAACTTGGGGCATCTATGCCCTGCAGGAGACATTTGGAAATGTCTGCAAACATTGTCACAACTGGTGGGGCGGGCATAGGGGGCCAAGGTGCTACTGAAATCTAGTAGGTAAAGGTTTGAATGCCCCTAAATAGCTTACAATACACAGGACTATCCTCCCCGCTCAACAAAGAATTATCTGGCCTAAAATGTCAATAGCATCATTGTTGAGAAAGCCTGCTTTAGAAGGTGTTATGGGATTTCCTGTGCCTAATATGGATCATGTGGGACATTCTCTAAGGCTGTGTTGTCCAATGTGATAGTCATTTGCCACCTGCGACTATTTAATTTTAAATAAATTAATAGTAAATAAAATTAGAAATTTAATTCCTTAGTTGCACTAGCCACATTTTAAGTGCACAATGGCCAGCTGTGGCTAATGGCCACCATATTGGACAGCAGAGAGTCATGGAACATTTCCACCATCTCAGAAAGGTCTTTTGGCCAATACTACTGCAAGATCTTCTCCTGGTCTGAAACCGTATTAACTATCTCAAGCTGTATGTAGTTCCTTGCACGTTATAAAAAAACAAATATTAAACCATGATTTTTAAAACAGATAAAATAGGGCATATTCATGAAACCATAAAAAATGGCCTTCTAAATTAGAATGCTTTGAATATAGTTGATGACATCTCCTCGTTAAGACACTGCTTTATTTGTTTATAGATCATTAAAACTGGGAAGAGGATAGGAACCTAAACCCAGAGTTGGCAAAGGCACTATCAATCGATGTTCAAGAAAAGGACTTGAGGGAGGCAGTTCTAAAATTGTAATCTAAACCAAAAGTTGTAGAATTTTTTAGTTTAAAATAGGATTTGAGTAATCTATTTTGGTTCTGAGTTGTATAATTCTTTTTAGGGGCCACAAAAGTCTTGGAGAATCTGGTAAAATGTGCTGATCCACATCAACAAGCAGATACACACAGAGACCATTTTCTTTTCTTTTCTTTTTTTTTTTTTTTTTTTTTTTTTTATTGTTGTTGTTGTTGTTGAGAGGAGACGGAATTTCACTCTGTCACCCAGGCTGGAGTAAAGTGGCACAATCTCAGCTCACTGCAACCACCGCCTCCTGGGTTCAAGCGATTCTCCTGCCTCAGCCTCCCCAGTAGCTGGGATTATAGGCACCTGCCACCACGCCTGGCTAATTTTTGTATTTTTAGTAGAGATGCGATTTCACCATGTTGGCCAGCCTGGTCTCAAATTCCTGACGTCAGGTGATCCACCCACCTCAGCCTCCCAGAGTGCTAGGATTACAGGCTTGAGCTACTGCGTCTGGACTACACAGACTATTTTCTATACAAGTTGATGTGATTCTTGGCTTCCTAAAGCCCCCTCTGTGTTCCAGTTGATCCCTACACACTACCCTCACTTCACAGATGAGGTAATTGAATGACTGAATGAATCAAGGGAAATGAGGAGTTAAGTGACTTGTCCACAGTTTACACAGCAGCAGGACCTCAAGCAGAGGCGGATATTCCAATTCTCAAGCCTTATCCATTCATTAAGAAATATCAGTTTATATAAAGTAGTAAAGGAACTAATCTAGCGTGTGCTATAAGATACACTTGTACTGTTTGAAGTTCTTCTGCTTGCCTTCTATGATGGGAGAGGATGGGGCAGTACTTAAAAAGAAAAGGAACAGCCTTCAAAGTTGCCAGAGGGTAGAATAGGGAACTACACACTCATTATCCACTCCGCAGACTGAGTTATGAAGCTCTGAACAAAGAAACATGTTCTATGATTTCTGATCTAGAATTTTTTTTTTTTTTTTACCAGAATGCTGCTTCTTTGGTGATACTCCATTGCCTTTCTCCAGACAGCACATTCTCAGTAATAATATGAACTCCTCACCTGATTTGATGGCCTCCATCCTTCTTATTAAGGCTTCGAGAAGCGCAGTTTGTGAATTTGCCTTTGAATAGCTCATTAGGTTATTTGCTTTTGTTCCGGACTCCTGTCTCCTCTCCTGTATTCTGCCTCCTTATTTGTGCTTTTTCTTTAAAGCCAAAAAAAAGCCTAGAAAACTCCCTTATGCAAAATTCCAAATTCAGCTGTGCTTTTACCCGTATACTTAATTATAAGAAGTCGTGCCCGCTCTATACTTGCGGCTTTTCACAATGTGCCATTATGTAGAACAGCAAGCAGAAGCAAAAGGTAGTGAACTTCATTGGCAGTCTAATCCGCACAGAGCTATTGCTATTGAAATGCTGTAAATAGAAATAATATTCAAGAAGAAAGAATTTGCCTCTAGGGCTGTGCCCAATAGATCTACTTACAAACCCCAAACAAAGCCTGTCGAGTCAAGTATACTTAGCCCAGTGTCTGGAACATAGCAATCCTTTTTAAAATATTTGTTGAATGAATTAACTGATTATTTTCATTTTTCCCCTCACCATTCATTCTCTGCTCTCCACCTTCCTTTGCCCACCTCTGTCCTGACCCCCGGGGCTCCTTATTTAGCTCTACTGCTGAGTGGCTTTCCACTGTCTACAGGCCATTGGAGGTTGGAAGGTGGAAGGAGAGACACATGAGGTTTCTCTTCCCATTTCCTCTCCTCCATGTTGCTCTGACATGGCTGTGCCCTCCACAGCTACAGCTTCTATGGTGGCCCCGCCTCCATGGCCCCACCTCTCACTGAGTTCCAGGAATATTATTTCCTCCTTTTTTCCCTTTAGGTTGAAGGAGTTCAGGAAATATCACCCTGAAATGTGCTGCTTGGTATGCTGGTTAGTTCCCACTGGGGGCACTTGAGGAACAGCAAGTACAGGGAAGGGCTTTCTCTGAACTTCCTTCAGAAGGAGTTCAGTTGTCATGACCTCCCTCCCTGGGGAACACAGGAGAGACTTGAGGTTGACACCATGCCCAGACAGACTGTCATCGCTTCCTCTGAGGGCTGCTCAGAGACGGCTGTTATTACCCGAGAGAGGTTTCGTCTGCAGAACAAGACACCCTCTACGCACCACACATTTCCTTCTCCACCCTCCCCTGCCCTGTGTGCTGCCAAGCCCCAGAAGCCCCATGTCCCTATTCCTTCTGTAGCTTAGGATGCTACAGAAGCTTCAATCATCTGACCCATCTTTCAGTCTCATATTTTGTGAAACTCCAGGCATATGTACATAATTAAAATGTTTTTTTCTCCTGTTAATTGGCCTTATATCAATTTAATTCATAGCCTAGCCAAAGAACCTAGGAAGGTAGAGGAAAGCCATATATGGCTCCCCTACGGGGTCTAAGCCTGTTAACAGCTTCCTACATTGCTAGTTCCTGGATGTCTTCACATCCTTTTGGTTCCTTCAACCCCACCTGCATCTCAATAAATCATCCATTCATTAAACTCTTTCACTGAACTAGATTAGTTAAGTTTTGGTTTTTTCCAGTATCCTGACCGATACAGTGAATAAATGAAATAGATATATAAATGAAAAGACTTGAAAACCGACTTTAAAGTAATTTTGAATATATTGTTTTTAACATGAAGGAATAAAGCCATAAACATAAAAAATTATTTCTCAAAATAATAAAATCTCAATTATTAGTTTTACCTAAATGTAAGTTATAGTATGCTCAAGTATACATTTATTTTTATATTACATATGCCAGGGGCCAGGGGCAGGTAATGTAATTGGGAAAACTTTTCCAAGTGTTAAGAAAAAAGCCACTACTAAGTGTCAAGAAAAAAACCACTACTAAGCACACTAATAAATGATGTCTGGCAATTAGCTCGTATATGCATTCTAGAGTAGAAGTTTGCTACACGCATACATGTATATATTTTGCAAAATAGTCTTCATCAGTCATAAAAGTGATAGATGTTGCCTGGTATATCATCTGGGGTCCAACTTCTCACAAAAAGCAAAAACCTTTTTACACCATAACTACGTGGTTTTAGGAAGGTGGGCCCCAAGGTGGGGGGTCAACATAGGTATGTTCTGCTTTCAAGTTACAGGTAGAAGCCATTTGCAGACACCTCATAATCAAAAGAACCGGTCCTCAATCCAGAACCAAGACTTGAATTACTGGAGTTTAGAAGTGTTGAAAACTAGAGTTCGAGCCGGGCACGGTGGCTCACGCTTGTAATCCCAGCACTTTGGGAGGCCAAGGTGGGTGGATCACGAGGTCAGGAGTTTGAGACCAGCCTAGCCAACATAGTGAAACCTTGTCTCTACTAAAAATACAAAAAATTACCCAGGCGTGGTGGCAGGCACCTGTAATCCCAGCTACTCAAGAGGCCGAGGCAGGAGGATCACTTGAACCCGGGAGTCGGAGGTTGCAGTGAGCCATGATAGTGCCATTGCGCTCCAGCCCAGGTGACAGTGCAAGACTCCATTAAAAAAAAAAAAAAGAAAAAAAGCTAGAGTTCTCACCAGAGTTTGGGTGACAGAGGCCTAAGCCACTAGCCTGGTGCTGAATGAATGCTCTCTCTGCCATCTCACAGACACCCTCTCCCTAGCATGCCAGCACATGCTAGTTTTTACCCTCGCTTTCTCTCATGATAGTACATAACATCTTTCTTATTTTAAAAGTAAGAGATATCCAACATAGAAAAATACTACAGAGTTAAAAATAAGCAAAAGAAAAATAAAACTTAAAACGACCCATCATCTTTCTATATTGAGATAACCAGTTCTAGCAGTTTGGTGTCTCTCCTTGAACAGGCAAATGATTAATGGCAGACTAGGGGAAGAGATGATAAGTGGATATTTCCCAGCAAGAACTTAATCAAGTGTACATGTTTTATAACTTGCTGTTTCACTTAATATGCTTTAATCCCTCTCCGGGTTATTGCCTGCCCTTCTACAGCATCATTTTTATAACTGAAAAATATTTTATTGTATGACTTTGTTATCATTCATTTACCCAATTCCCTATTGTTGTGTTGTTGGAAATTTAGATTCTGTCCAATATTCTGCAATGTAAATGTTGCAGTAAAAGATATCTTCATAATTGCTTGCTTTTTCAATGGCAGGGTTATTGTAATTACCTAGATATTTTTAGTGCAATGGCAAAGAGCTTTGCTCATTCTGCTTACATCTGAGGGTATGGCTGTGATTATAGAAAAATACAATGGTCATAGTATCTACTGAGTCTTAAGGGATAGGACCTGCATATTCAATCCAGAGCCCCTGCTGGAGCCCAAGTTCTCCTTCTACCCAAACCCTTTCCCCACATACTGCAATATCAGACTCATAATCTTGGATAATTAGTTAAAATTTTATTCAATATTGCTTCTTCCTAAGGAATACTAAACAACAAAGTGAAAGGAGGCATACATTCATTTCCAATTCTTTCATAGACTCACACCTACACACTACATAAATGGCTTTTTAAGACATGTCATGCATTTCATAAAAATATATAAAAATGCACATGCATATGGATGTGTGTCTCCACTGGATAGCTCATGCCATCTTCAATGTTCCTGTCCAAAAAATTCATAGGTCATTGTGTGTTCGTTGGTTCAGATCCAGAGCTCAAATCCATCTTTGATCCGCAAAGACAGATTACTTCTGCTGCTGGTAAGGACAGAGTAAGATCCTACCAGACTGAGCCTCCTGGACATACCAATTGTAAGCTTTGGACGTAATACAAGCAGCTTCTTGAAGACATATGAGAGTGAGAAGAGCAGGCAGACCCAGGAGTGGGGTGGTCCGTGCTCAGAGGAGGGAAGTTATAGGGACAGCTTTTCACTTACACCCAAGTGTAGTGAGAGCAGCCTGCAGGGTGGCAGGGCATTGGTGGAAAAAAAATCACAATCTCTCTGGCCTGTGGAAGGGAAAGCTGAATCCAGGGCCACCATGGCTGCTGGGAAGAGAAAGGGAATGCAGGAAGGGAAAGAGTCCGAGGGAGGATTTCCAACTTCTGTCTGCTCTCAGCTCTGGCTGACCCCTAAGCCACACATGCAGAGTGTAGACTAAAAGCTGAAATGATAACAAAATATTTTAGTCGAGTCAAAAGCAACCACCCAAAATAAACAGTTTGCAGTTAATTTTTTTCCTCATTGAGGCTAAATAATGGAACATAGAATCTTCATAACTTTATATTCATAATGTCCAGGATACAATGCAAAATTACCCAAGTTACAAGCAAACAAAAAGATGGAACACATTTTCAGGAGAGAAGGAATATCAACTGAGACCAACCCTGAAATTATTTATATATTGTAATTAGCAGACAAATGTTATGAAGCAGCTATTTATAATTATGCTCAGTAGTGAAAAAAATATGTTAACAATGAATAACAAGATAGAAAATCTAGGCAGAGGAATAGAAACGGTCAAAAGAATCAAATAAAAATTCTAGAACTGAAAAATATGATGTCTGAAATAAAAACGTCACTGGATGAATTAACAGCAAAATGAAGAGTACAAAGGTTAGAGCAAGTGTGCAGAAAAGAATGTAGCCCATGTTGTGAAATCTGTCAGCCTCAGTTCTCTCTCAAGACAAAGCAACTTTTGTAAAAGTGATTTACCAAAATCTAAATGTAGTTATTACTAAGATCCTGGCAAATATTGTAGTGTGAACTTGTTTCTATCCATTCTTCCTCAAGGCTATTTGCTTTCTCGTGTCTCTCTTCCTCCACAAATGAAGTCCCATTATCTCTAAAGTCCCCTTCCTTTTCTTGCATACATATTTAATTATGCCTGTCTCCCTTACTTGACAGTGAACTCTGTGAGGGAGTGTGAAGGAAGAAAGAAAACCAGCATTTGAGTATCTGTGAGGAAGCAAGCACTGCACCAGCAAATTCTCATACTGTACGTCATTTGGGTGTGCAGGAAATGAGTCTGATTTGCGCAGGAACCAAGTGAGATTCAATGCTTGGTATATTGCCTGGTTTTGCAGCTTTTAGGCAAACACAACCTGCTTCTTTCTTCTTTCAACTCTGATGCACTTTGTTGCAGGTATGCATATTTACATTTTCAAAATCATATATTAACCAACTTGATACCAAAAGACAAAGTCTGAAATGAACAGACTATTGATGTAATAAAAAGACACAGTGAAGTTGCTAAGGTGAAATTAGAATGTAGATGCCTACAAGCTCTCCAGGGAAATGCTGTAAACAACTACATGGAACTCCGTGAGTTAAAAAATCAGATAAGAGGGCCACCAGTAGAGGAACAAATGCAAGTCAGAGAGGGCTCATCATTAAAATGATTTAGTGCAGAATCCACTTTTGGGGAAAACACTTGGGGGATAAAAGGAGGAATGAAAGGAAGCCAACTGACATCATTCCAATGTATCTTTTTATGGCTATTAAGATAATTCTGGTTGTACCTGCAGGGAATTCATTACATTAATTAATACTCCGACTCAACTCATATTGTAATCTTTGCTTGTGCTTACATTTGTTAATCCCAGGAAATGTGCTAACCCTTTAGGTTGGTTTACGTCCTGCATCTAGTCCTGACTTCTCCAACCAAAGTAAACCCTTAGATAATTGATGGGCATCACTGCCCTTGGTTTAGTGTCTTCCACCTTTATGCTGGTGTTTGACCCCTTCTTGGCATTTTCTCTAAGTCTCTCAACTGAAGGCAGAAGTGCTGCTCTGTTTATGGCTCTGGATCTGTGTCCTGTCATTGAATTGATTTCCTCCCTTGGGCTTAGACTTTCATTCTCTCCCTCTTCCAAAGTACTTTACTTCAGTAATTACTCCCTGCTCTCATTTTTCTCCAACCCTTCCCTCCACATTTCTCCCATTCTAATATTCAATTCTCCCCATTCTGCCCAACACTCCTCACACCAAGCTGACCAATGAGCTCCTATTGCCAAATCGTGGATGGGTTTTCAGTTCTTATTTTGCTTGACTTATTTGGCATTTAACAATTGAGCACATCTTCATTTTTAAAACTCTGTCTTACATTTGCTTCCACAAAATGCCATCTCCTGGTTTTCCTCCTATTGCTGTAAGGCACATTCTTAGTTTTTTGCATGGAGTGCTTTTCCTCCATATCGCTGCCTTCCATATGTCTGTTCCACAGAGTTCCGTCTCTGGGCCTTTGATCACTTGGTCCTCTCTCTTTAGGAAATCTCATTCGCTCTTAGCTTTCCAATGATAACTCACATGCCGGGCACTGTCACATCTGTATCCTCAGGGCAGAAGATTCTCTTGAGCTCCGAAGAGTAAATCTAATTGCCTCATTATGTTTCTCCTCTGCCCAAACTTATTTCTCCACTTATATTTGATATCTTGGTGAATGCCACCTCCATTCACTCTTTTCCTCAGACATTTTAGAATCACCCACATTTCTTCTGTCTGCCCTAATCCCCACAGTAAGCCAATCATCAAGTCCTGTAGATTCCCAAAAGAGTTCTCAATCTTATTACTCCTTTCTATCATTTTTTTTCCAGAGGCTGAATGACTGCAAAATGTTTCTTAGGTGGATTGCCTGCTTCTTAGTCTTGCCCTTTGTCCCGTATACTGTCCCTGCTTGTTTGCTAGAATATGCATGTTTGAAATTAAGTCTGTCACCAATTAATGATGCTGTCCCATTAAGAGACAGATTCAGGAAAAAGTTAGATTCTGTTACATGGCCACTAATTGTCCTCCTAATCCAGCCCTGCCTTCCTTTCATGCTGGGGCAGACTCTTTGTTGGCCCCATATCTAGTCCACTCTTGATTCTCTCTTGGCATTGTCCAGCTAACAGCTGCATTTCCCATAAGGTAAAGTGTGGCCTTATGTGATGAAGTTTGCACCTTACTTGCTTAAAAGAAAATTGCTTGCCCCAGACTTCTTCACTTTCTATGTCCTTAAGCTGGAACACAAATGGCCATGGCCCATCCCTACCTGCAAAGGTAGAGGAACAACATGGCTCCCAAACATCATCATACAGCAAAGCTACCTGCCAACCTTGGCCTGCTGGATGGTTGCATGAGAGGGAAATAAAAAGCTATCTCATTTGGGCCACTGTATTTTGGGGTCTTTTAATACTCTGCTCCAGTCTTTGCCCTAAATAGTAAACCTGCTTTTTCATTATGTCTTTGTTTTTCTCTTCTCCAGTTGGATTCTATGTCCCATCCATACCAGACAAGTTGCATTCTCCAAATGCTGTGTACCCTCTTGCCCTTCATGTTTATGCACATGCTGTTCCCTCTGCCTAGAGTGTGTTCCCATTTTTCTCTGCCTGAATAACTCCTATTCATGCCTTAGGACTCTGCTGAGGCATCAACTTCCATTTGAATCCTTTTCTAACATACCCCTACACCAACACTGTACACATACACTCCTCTTTGCTCCCACAGCATCCTCACAAAGTCCTGTGATCACTGGTTTACCTATGTGTCTTCCCTTTGTGAGCATCTTGATGGCAAGAGCTATCTTTTATCTCTGACAAGGTCACAAGCCAAAGAATGTGGGCATCTTCTTGAAGCTAGAAAAGGTAAGGAAATGGATTCTTCCCAGCACCTCCAGAAACGGACATAGCTAACCTCTTAATGTTAGCCCAGTGAAACCCATTTTGGACTTCTGGCCTCTGAACATAAGATAATAAATGTGTGTTTTCTAAGCCATGAGATTCATGATAATGTGGTGCAGGAGCAATAGGAAGCCACTAGAAGTATTATCAACTGAATAAACTTGGATAAGTTAGTGAACGTCCCTAAACCTCAGCCTCCTCCTATAATATACAAATAAAATTCACTCCCTGGTGGTGAGTATTGAATTAGATCATTGATATAAAAAGGTTGGCAAAGTGTTTGACATGTAATGAGTGTTCCATAAAGGGTTGTTATCCTTAGTAATATCATCATTAGAATCATCATTACTATTATTGTTTACTAATTTGCCTGGTACATCTGGGGTAGAAAGGAAGAAAGAGACAGAGAAAAAGAGATAGAAAGTAAAATAACAAAAGCCTGCTTTGGAAACCTGCAGGCATATTTGGTTTTAGCTCTTTTGCAATGTGTCTTCTCAACTCACAGAGTGTCTTTCATTTCCTTTTGCTTTCTCTCTCTTGGTTGAGGTAGAAAGATCTATTTTAAATTTAGTCATTTCAAAGTCTCCTTGGCATCGCATAAATGTCGCACCATTAAATATATATTCAATGAGTGCTCAAGCAGGCTGGCTTCCTCGCCAAGAAATGGAGCACTGGAGGTGGGCAGGTGAGACACGACAGACAGCACACCTGCCCGTAGGCTCTGCTGTCCTTACCTACGAGGATTACATTTTCTGAGCTCCAAATGAGGATGTGTGGTCTGACAAACATTTTTTCTCCTGCATTTTAATTTGTTTGTCTGAAAAGGCTGTCACAGACATTAAATTAAATCACATGAAATTCAGTGAATAAGCTTTAATGTGAAGACAAAATTCATGCAAAAATTCAGAAAAAAATATATATCAGTTTTTATAGTATTTAAATTTGAATTACTTGCTACTGTCTAGAATGCAAGGTTTGATTGACACAATGCTGGGTTTTTGCTTTGCTTTGCGTTTCTCTGGTCAGGTGGCCCCTTCTTCAACTCTTTTTCTCTGAGGCATGCTTTTTCCATTCAAATCAGAACCCCACCTTCCCATTAAAGAAACAGGTATGTGATGCTGAGCTCGGCCAGTGATTGGTCCCATGAATGGCACACAATCCAAATGGCGCGAATTCCCTACAGACAGATGAAGAACATGACTTTCTCTCCTCTTGAATAGCAAGTAGTGCAGATGTACATAGAACCTGTTGCCTGCCACGCTTGCTACCACAAAAAGGAAATGCATCTGCAGGAAGTGAAGGAAGCCAAAAACCAGAAGGAAGTAGGGCTGAGAAATGTACAGGAGAAAAAAAAACCCTAATGACACCTTTGAGCCCTCAACCCCAGCTTCACCTGGCGTCACTCACTGCCTCATACTGCTCCGCACACGAGCTGATAAATCTTTTTTGAGTAGGATTTCTGTCACTTGAAATGGAAAAATGGAAAGAGCCCTGGCAAATACAGAGTCATTGCAAAAATATTGTCAAAAGGAGACCTTGGAAGAAACAAGCCCAGAGGTGAGGAAAACAGGCACAGGAAGAGGGAAGAGTGGACAGAGCAGGCAGTAAGATAAAGTGGGAGGAGAATGAGGCTCAGAGTCAGGACCCCAGGGTTAATGTTCCAGCTCTGCCCTTACCAACAGCAGGACCATTAGTGATGCTGCAGCATTTTAGTTTGATGGTCTTCAGAGGGGAAGACTGGGCTTCTGCCGCCATACAGAACATGGAGAGCTGTGGGAGGCTCACCTGGGATAGTAAATGTGAGCACTCTTTGCATTAAAAATGTTAAATGCTTACAGATGGCACTTATTACACGGAAAGCAGCACATTTTAAAAGACTATGATGGAAACAGACTAGAAATGAAAAGGTAGGATTTAAGTAGCTGAAATCTTAAGAGAGGAATATGGAAATCAGTTAATGATTAGATCTCCTTTAAAGTATCTAAAGGGCAGACTTTCTGCTGAATGTCAGTGGCTTGAGTAAAAATACATGCAAAATAAAACATGGAAAAACTAGAAAACAATTCTAAGGCTGTGTATGTGATAGGAATGGGAAGAGAGAAAAAGAGAGGGAAACCAGCATTTGCAAGGTGTCTGCTATATCTGAAACCCTAGGTATCATATATACTATCTCACTTCATCCATGAAGCAACACTACAAGAATCAGGTATTACTGTCCTTATCATATATTTGAGGAAAATAAGTCTCAGAGCTTACATTCAAGCTCAGGTCTTATGATTCTATAACCGAATCACTAGACTACACCAATACCCAGATAATACATTTGAAACTAGAGTTTGGGGGTTAGATGGAGATATGCTTAGTTTGCTTTCCAGATTATAAGAACCAATCAATCAATATTTTAAAGAAGGCTAGAGTTTACTTAAATAAAAACATTTAGTTGTGAATGGTTTTCTGCTGGATTGAAAGTCTAGTGCTTTTATTAGCCCCTAAAAATGTGTTTATCTTTACCTCAGTGTCAAGAATTGTGAAGGGTCTGGGAATTTACCCTACTTAGAAGCTAATAAGCTAGCCTGTTACTATTTTATCAATGTTAGTAGAAGACATAAGACTCCTCAGCCAGAGACAAAGGACTTATTACTCATGGCAAAAAGGGAACCACAATTTCATGTTGGTTTGTATCTGTTGCTTCCCCATACCCACTCTCCAAAGTCCCGTGAGAGTGACAGAGAAACCCCTTGGGGTGCCTGAATATGCCATGGGTTGCATTACAGTAGGGAAACACTGAAATTAGAGGATTCATTGCTTTTACTGTGAGTGGAAGCAAGCCTGTTCTTTGTCTGGGGTAAGATGTTGTCTTAGTCCATTTGTGTTACTATAAAGAAATACCTGAGGCTAGGTAATTTATTTTAAAAAAATAGGTTTATCTGGCTCACAGTTCTTCAGGCTGTACAAGAAGGCTGGCACCAGCATCTGCTTTTGGGGAGGCCTCAGGAAGCTTCCATTCATGGTGGAAGGTGAAGGGGAGCCAGCATGTACAGAGATCACATGGCCAGAGAGGAAGCAAGTAGGGAGGTGGGTGCTGTGCTCTTTTTAACAACCAGCTCTTGGGGGAAGTTCCACAGGAACAAGAGCAAGAACTCACTCATTACTATGAGAATGCCCCCAAGCCATTTATGAGAGATCTGCCCTCATGACCCAAATACCTCCCACTAGGACCCACCTCCAGTATTGGGGATCAAATTTCAACATGAAGTTTGAAGGGGTAAACATCCAAACTATAGCAGATGCTGTCTCATTTCTCAAGATTTCCTGTTGTAAACACAGCTCTGAGAAATGGCCCAGATAATGAGTGGTCAGGCCCTTGCATTGTTGGCATGCCCAGTAGGAGTGCATAGGGAGGCTTGGGGCCATGGTGGATTGCCTCTCCCAGCACCGAGTCCTTCCTTTGGCAACACTGAGCTCCTGATGCCTTCTTGTCCTCTTCAACTACAATTTCATTCCTTCGCTCTCTACTGGAACCATCCTTGCACAGATTTCTTATAGCTGTTTCTCTTTATATTTTCAGATATCTCTCACTTTATTCCCAAAGTTCTTAGAAACGCTTTCTTCATGCCTCCCCCTCAGCACCAGCGTGATACCTTTGTGATGTATTAACTTGGCTGGGCTGGACTACAGCCCCAGAATTCCCTTTCTAGTATGTTTGCAGTCAGGGCAGGCTACAGGGCATATTCTTTCATGGAGTAGGAGGACAGAAGGGAGGAAGCAGTTGCTTTTCCATGTTGTCCCAGTTCTGCAATCTAACACTAATCTAGATGCTACTGTGAAGGGATTTTACGGATAGAAAGTACCTAATCAGTTGACTTTAAGTTCATCAGAAGGGAGATTATTCAAAGCAGACCTGTCTCAGTGAGTTGGAAGCCCTTTAAAAAAGGGCTTAGGGCTTTCCTGGGCTAGAGGCTGCACCCAGTTGCTGACCCTGCAGGTGCCCTCCATTCCCCTTGGATCTTCCTTTTTGACTGACTGCCTGGGGATAGCAGTTCCACCCTGTGCGTATGGGATTCCAGCCTGCTGGTGGTTCATCCTTCCCGTCTACCTGCCCTATGGACTCTGGGCTTGCCAAACCCATTCCTACAACATGCAAGCCAATTTAATGTTTATAATGAACATGTATAATCAAAATACATACCCTATTGGATTTGCTTCTCTGACTGAATCCTGACCAATTCATGCTGAGACTTAATGGAAACTGTGCATTTGATGAGACTGAGACCTTCCTGCCAATCCAACAATATTCTCAGTCTTTATTCTGCATGACCTCTCTATTAACATCTTCTCTTTAAATCACTTTTCCCTTGGAACTGGAAGTACCCTTCAGACTATCTTCCTAGCCACTCCTCCCTCCCTCTCTGTCTCTCTCTCCTTTTATGCTTCCTCTTCTATTTCTTTAATTTTTTTTTTTTTTTTGAGACAGAGTCTCACTGTGTCGCCCAAGCTGGAGTGCAGTGGCACGATCTTGGCTCACTGCAGCCTCCATCTCTTTTGTTCAAGCAATTCTCCTGCCTCAGCCTCCTGAGTAGCTGGGGCTACAGGTGCGTGCCACCACGCCCTGCTAATTTTTGTATTTTTAGTAGAGAAGGGGTTTCACCATGTTGGCCAGGATGGTCTCGATCTCCTGACCTCATGATCTGCCCACCTCAGGCTCCCGAAGTGCTGGGATTACAGGCATGAGCCACCGCGCCCGGCCTGTTTCTTTAATTTTGGTTATTTCCCCAAGAGGATTCTTGCCATGTATTATATGTCTTTCTCCTCTCATACGAATGCTTTGTTATCCTCCTAGTGCATACTTCTCATTTTTACCATCTTAGAGTCTCTTAGTGTAGTTTTTTCCCAGCCCAGTTAATTAAAAATGCCTCAAAATGGATACAAGGCCCAAGGCTGCTTGAATCTTATGTTCCTCTGTACCCTGGCGAAACTGCCTTCATTATCATCATCATCACCATTAATTGAGCCTTGATAGGCACTACATACTATTTAAGGTGTTTTATGAACATTGTCTCCTTTAAACCTTACAACATCCTTATGAGGTAGACAGTATGATTCCCGTTTTTCTTATGAGAAAACTGAGAATTGTGGAACGACTATCTAACTTGCCTTAGGTCCCACATGTAGTAGATGCCAAAGTTAGGATGTATACGCTTAACCCAAGCTCCACCCAACTGGCTATACTGCTTTTGCCAAAAGACATGAGCAGTAAGAACACAATCAGTGAAGACCATTTAAATTCACAGGATCTAACCAAGCAAGGCAGAGCTGAACAGGTAGCTGCAGCTTAAAAGTTAACAGTAGCCTTCAGGTGACTATTGAAACCACTGCAGCCATAGGTCTATCCTAGCTGGTATGATCACAAGTTTCCCTTGCCCTTGGTTCCTAATGAAACTTTGCAGAGTTTCTGGATACCTTTCTGTACCCTCAGACAAAGGACAGCCAGTCTTTGCCTTGCTAAGCTGATTGCCTCCAATGATGAGCAACAGCCCTGCTACCAAATCATACTGTTGCTTTGCTGACACTGTTTCACCGCTCCTGACCCCATGACCTTGACACTATTGAAGCTCAATCACTCTATGTCTGGTAGGCACCATATCTGACACATCCAATAGGCCAGGGGATTTGGTGATCGTTTCTGCTAATGTCAAGTCAGTGCAGTGTTATTGCAGAATCATGGTGCTTAAAACATCCTGCAATAGAGAGCAGTAAAATATTGTTACAAATAGAGGGGAAAAAATTGCCTTCTTCCCAAACAAGAAATTTGGCAACTGTTTTGTCTTGGCTAAAGCCTGTAGGTTCTTGGCATGGTGTTTATTTTATGGGCCAATCATCAAACCCTGATGTGGCTGTGAATAAAAATTATATAGAAATAAAGAACAAATTACAGATATGGCTATAAAAGCCGTGATTCCAAAAGAAGTGTGCCATGATGGGAGAACATCTTGGCTGACTCTTCTCTTGGAAGAGTAGGAATAGGGTAATTACCTGCTAACTATTGAGACTTTTGTCCTCTGCTTCCTGAAGAAATTCTTGTTGATAAATTTACATTTAATCATCTCCTTTATGTTACATTGATGGCTTCAGTTTGCTTAAACATTTATTTAGTTGGTTATGAACTTATTATAAAGTTGGTTTGACAAGTTCACTGCATCAATTACCCCAGCCAGTAGAGTAACCACCACTCCCTTCTTTGTTAGTTTGATGCCAAGAAGAGCCCCATAGTGGCAGGGAAGTAGGCTCAGCTCCCAGTTTAATTGAACACTGACTTTGTCTACTGGTAGAACATTCCTTCCTATGGCAGAAATCTTGAGATTCTTGGGATAAGATCAAACATTACCGAAGCCACTCTCATTTTCCTTGGCTCCTAGGCCCATGCATTCTGGTTACAGAGAAGATGGCACCAGATATTGGCTGCTGGTTTAAGACACTTTCTTGTAAGGGATTGTCATCAGGCCATTCCATTGATCTGCCAAGCCATCTGCTTCTGGGTGACTGGAGAGAGTAGCAAATGTCAAAGGCAAGAGCCCATTACCACATCTTTGCCAGCAAATAAGAACCTTAGATGGTGGTAACATTTTGTGAGATACAATATCAAATGGACAAAGTATTTGTAGGTCCACAGATGAGAATGCTGGCAGAAGAATTCTGAGAAAGAAAGGCAAATGTGTATCTAGGATATGCATCTATTCCTGTGAGGATGAATCGCTGCCCATTTCATGGAATGGGGCTTTGTTAGGGACTCAAAGTTGGCCTCTGCTGTTGGAACCCTGGGCAGTCAGTAGTGGCTGTAGCCAAATCAGTCCACTGATTTGTCCCTGTGGCCACTCTGTATGTTGGCTTATTGAACAAGCACCAGTGTGGCCAAGGAAGGAGGCTGGCTGACAGCCACCTTTCCCACCTGTTTATTGAGAACTTTTGCCAATCAATAGCTGAGAACCAGGTGCCAAGAACGGTTATTAATTTGCTCCCATAAAGAAACCACATCCCAAACCTCAGCTGTGATTGCCATGCCCACCTGATTAAGTCTGGGACAATCTGTAATTATTCTCTAAGACCCATCTGGCTTTTGTACTGGCCAAAGAGACTAGTTAAATGGAGGTGTGATAGGAATAATCCGCGTCTCCCAAGACTCTGATGG
Organism: Homo sapiens; assembly: GCF_000001405.40. Lineage (NCBI taxonomy): Eukaryota > Metazoa > Chordata > Mammalia > Primates > Hominidae > Homo > Homo sapiens. The sequence goes on along the minus strand of NC_000007.14, from coordinate 36,771,381 downwards.
TGACCTTTATATTTGCAGTTCCTCTAGAGATGCCATCTTGCTTTGGGTTTATTACTTTGGGGTTTCCACTTGGTTCCTCTTATGGATATAATCCTCATTCTGCAGGGTAGGGAGCTAATGTGAGTCTGCCACTTGAGCATATTGATTCTCACTATAGTTTGGGGGAGAAAAAAAAGAATAAGAACTAGGTAAAAAGATATGCTTTTGCATGCAATGGATTACCAGTGTCTTATCCCTTTCCCTCTCCTCCCAAGGTTATCTGTGCATTCCTCAAATATGGGCAACCCAATCACAGAATCTCATTTTGAGAGGCTGTACCCTGGGGCCACTCCTCTCCATATTAATTACTATGTAAGTCAAGATTCCAGCAGAAAACAGATAGTACATTCAAATGAGGTAATTGGAGAGTGCAATAAAGGGACTTTTTACAAAGGTATGGGAAGACTTAATGGAAACCAAGAAGAGGTAGGGAATCACATGGTATTAGCAATAGTGGGGAGCATTAATTTGAACCCAGGGGGAGGGAACAGCTATTGTAACCCAGAAAGAGCTGTAACCTTCAGTGAGGATTATAACCACTGCTAACCTGTGGCCTAGGAAGAAAGGAGCTTGAGGGCAGAAGCTCTCTTTTGCTAGAATTAATACTCTGACCTCAGTGTGCTACTCAGAGTTCTACCAGTGTCATCCATTGGCTCAACCGAATGGGAAGCCAGAGGCCCAGAACAAGAGGGCTCATGGTGCAGCCGGTATAGACCATCATCCCAGGAGAATGGACCTGGAAGGGCTAGTGGAGGTGCTCCAGTACATCATCCCCACCAAGAGGTCCACCCACCCTGAGCATTCTAATATAATCAACACATTGCCAGGCCCCAGCACTCCCCATCCCCCTTATCCTGTTCTACTTTTCCACCATGGCACTCATCACCGGCCATATGTAATTTACCTATATTTATGTTGTGATATATTCTATGTCTTTCTGCTAGAGAGTAAACCCTCCTGGCACAGGCATCTTCACCTGTTTGTTTTATTCTCAGACATATCCAAATTACCTAGAACAGTGCCTGGTACAAAGGAGGTGTTCAATAAATATACATTTATAGATGAAAATAATGAATTGTGGATAATAGGAGAGACATACAGAATAATGAAAACCTAATTGCTGATATGCTAGTGATGAGTCTCTAATTTTCTAGATGCCTTAAGAGTTAGAAAAAGCCCAGGTATAGAATGAGGAGAGGAAGAGGGAGGCATCAGGAGAGGTTTCATTTATGTCAGCAAAGGAGAGAGAGACAGTGAAGACTTTGTTTGGTTTTTATGTCTAGTGAATCTCAAAAAAGTATTGCTGTATTATTTAACCTGAGGATTCTCTACGGAAATCTGACCAACACTTGAAGTGGCTCACAGTCTAGCCAAGTTATCCTGAATACTCTCACCCCCACATCCTTTCCCTACCCACTTTGCTCAGTACCTCCTTCCCCTTCATTTAGCTCATAGTATTGCAGCAGAAGCTTGGGGAAATGAATGGATCTGAGGTTAACTGGAAAGAACCTTCACTCCTTTAGTTTCCTAGATCTCCTCCCCCTTCCCTAATACATTTATGCCATTAAGAAAAATAACATCAGTTAAAAAAAAATAGCCCAGGTGGGGCAAGCATCTTGGAGCAAGGTTGAGGGCACCTGCTGCTCTTGCCTGCCTGGCAGGCCTTTCTCCTTCATTCGGTGACAACATTACATTTTATCTGGGAGGTGTTTTGCACTGAATTGTACATACAATGTGTATACTGAAGCCCTAATCCTCAACGGGGCTGTATTTGGAGATAGAGCCTTTAAAGAAGTAATTAGGGTAAAATGAGGTCATAAGGCTGGACCCCTAATCCAACATGATGAGTGTCCATGTACGAATAAGAAGAGACCCTAAGGATGTGCACAGAGCAAGGAAAGACCATGTGAGGCCAGCAAGAAGGTGGCTGTCTGCAAATCAAAAAGAGAGACCTCGAGAAAACCAACCTCCCAACACTTTGATCTTGGACTTTCAGCCTCTAGAACTGTGAGAAAGTAAATGTCTGTTGAGAAAACACATGCCTATTGAGAAAATAAATACCCATTAATAAAACAAATGTCTGTTGTTTAGGCCACGTAGACTATGTGCTATCAGTGCATTTTGTGATAGCAGTCCTAGCAGACTAAAACAGGGAGATTAAACTTTCGCCATTAATCATAGCATGAGAAAATCAAATATGCCACTCTCCAGCTGAGACATCTGCAAGCCAAGCCCACCACTCTACCCAGCTAGATCAATTCTCTTTCTCTCTCTGTCCAGGGAATTTTAATTCCAGAAGGAGAGATGGTGTAGCAGGTATTGCAATGGCACTGTCAAAACTGACCATCCTCAAGTTCTTCCTCTTAAATCCACAGGAGCTGTTCTGCTCCTGCACTTTAAAAATTCTGGTTGGTAGCTTTTTCTCCAACTCAGTGAGCTACCTGACTCCTGTGGTAATGTTGTCTTTCTTCCTTTTTTCTTTTGTTTAAGTGATTCAGAGTCATTTAGAATACCAATAATAATTTACACGTGATTCTCAAGCAGCCTAAAAATGGAAAAGCATTCCTGCCAGAATCTAACTTCTCTCTAGGAATTAATTCCATTTTATACTTTCATTCAAACTCAGTTTCCATAGATAGAGCATAGTTTGAGTGATGGATCTTGGAAGATGAGCCAGTATGCAAAAAGGAATACAGAAGGGAAACACATCGATCTGAATTAACCTTCTGGTTAAGCTGCCAGTAACTGCTGTGGAACAAGACAGGAGTAGGGCTTTAGAGACCAAAATATAGTTTGGGACAGACCAGACCATATTCCACGTAATACAGACTAAGGCTTTCACCAGTTCTTTGATAGACTTAGTATCAACACCCCATGGATGGTCTTTAGGGAATTTTGAATACAATGGCACCTAAGTTAGCAGTATCATAACTGGTTATGATTTTCATTCCCGGTTATGATCCAATAATTCAAAATCCTCCCAGATAATGTAAGATCTATATGTGTCCTATCTGACTACCGTTGTCAAAATTCTGGTGGAGAAAATCAGGCCCGCAGGATTAGCTATCCAAATGTAGTTTATTTCTGTCTCGGAGTGGTCCACCATCGGGACTGGCTTCACAGGCAAGTGACCTATGCAGTCACCCAGGGCCAGCCTCAGAAGGGCCCCACACTTTGTCTAGTGCTGTGCCATAGCCATCCTGAAATTTCTAATTTTTTTTTTTCTTTGAGCTTGCGTTTTGTAAATGAAGTCCAATGGGGCAATAGAGCATGGGCAATGAGCAGAACAGACTTTTTATCATGTGCATGGTCCTGGTCCTCACCACCCCATGTGCCTTTGAGATGCACCATGAGTATAGAATCCTGGTTGGCCCATATGCATTGGAGTTCAGCAGGACTCAAAGGGAGTTCAAGGTCAGTGTGTTATGTGTACAATTGAGTGAGTGGGGGGCCTGAGGAGTCCTGAAGGCTGTGCTTTCTGTTCCAGCCAGAGCTTTCTTCACATGCAGAAAGGAGGCAGTGGTATCCTGAAAAACATGAATGACCAAGGAATCCTGCCATGGCCTCTCTTATTTTTGTTAGCTCCCTGTAGTCGCCAACCATGTACTGAAAATGATGGCATAGAAGGAAAGGGAAAGACAGGCCATTTCCTATCTTTCCTTTCTGTCCTTCCTTCCTCATCAGTAAGCCAAAGGCAGAGTGTATTGGTAGCAGGTGTGCACATGAAGAAGTGAAACAAAAAGAATGAGGGTTTTGTTTTTGTGCAGCGTTTTCACTCTTTTGGAGAGAATAAACATATATGAATGTATGAAATAGGAAATAGGAATTGTGTGGCTTTGGTGATTCCATATAAGAGTTAAGTGCCCTTATATTTGCATTTAAACCTCATAATTGCATTTTAAATTATATTGCACAATACTAATATGAATGAGAAAATTCAAGCTAATAATTTAAGGGTTTAATTTTTCTTTCCTTAGAATAATATTAAACAAAGAGATAACAAACATCACGGCAAGGCCAGAGAGAAACTGCAGAAGAAAGAGAAATGAGATCTGTATTTTAGTTAGTACCCTGGATGGGACTTTTTCCTGTTATTTGAACAAGGGCTCCCACATTTTCATCTGGCACTGAGCCCTGCAAATTATGAAGCCAGCCCTTCCCACAAGTGCATGAAGCATCAGTTCATGTCGCTTTGGGACATTTTGGTTGCAGTATGACGGGGGCAGAAGTGGACATTGAGAAGGATTTGTATGAACATCATGAAGTGAGCCACAGGGCAATAAAAAACAGTCTGGAAGGAAGGTGGTGGCTGTAGCTAGTGTTCTTTAGCAGCTCACTTTGTGCAACCTGTAAGGAACAAGAGAGACAGCATCCCTAAACAAGGGATGCTTTGTGTAAAGACGCAGGAAACTGCTCAGATAAGAGCAATTTCGAGCTGAGAAGTGATGTCATAGAAAGGCTCTTTTCTCTTATAATCACTGATAACCTTCTGTCTATTACTTGAGTTCAATACTGGGATATATTTGTGCAGAAAAGCTGAGAGCTTGCTCTCAGAAAATCCAGGGAACAGTGTAACAGATCAATTGATTTGTCAAGCACAGGCAGACAGAAACAATTTCCTTGGCTAGACTTAGTTAATGCAGATGGCTGCTTCCTTTACCTTATAATACACCTCACACTGGCCATGGATCGTGTTCCCAGAGGATGTCACTATTTCCCTGGAAAGCTCTAGGCTCTTTCTCTAGGCATTTTGAAAGAAGAAATAAAACAGCACAGCAAGAGCCTGAGGAAGCCATTAGCAGGAGGTGGGTGTACCTGAGAGAACAGTTAGATTAGTAACATGGCTGCTGGTAGTCATGTTAAAACCAGTCCTGCCTCCATTTTCTGTGTCCAGTCACCAATAGTGCACATGAAGCTCCTGGGGGAAAGGAAGACAAAGAACTTGCCAACCAAATGCTAATTCTTGATACCTGAAGTGTCAGCTCCAAGTTTCTGTCTGATTGACAGTGATGGCAAGCTATCCAGAAGCACAAGATGATGTTCTTAAGCATTGTAGCTTAAGAACTTAACCAGGCTACAGCCTGATCACCCTACTCCACGCCTCTTCTTCCCTGCACCCACTCTATGGCTTATCTTAATACTTTGAAGGCAGGGAAGAGAAGAGGAAAGGCAGTTGCCCCACACCACTCCCCTGGCCAGTATACAAATATTCATTACACTCTTCACATTAAAATGCTCCAACCATGGCTAGTCGTATACAAGAGAGATGGCCCGAGTGCTAGACGAAAGGCATTCCATTGGTAACTTCTCTGTTTTCGGAACACTCTGACAACCCTAAAGTAGCTTTTAATTCCCTGCTGACACCATAGCATTCTTCCCTTCATGCCTTTATTGATGCCGTTCCCTCTGTTGGGATGCCTTCCCTACTTCTTCACTGGCTAGTATTCATTGATCCCATTTCCTCTTCCTCTGGGCTACACCAGAAAGACTACATTTCCCAGCCTTCTTTGCTATTGGTGTAGTCATGTGACTGAGTTCTAGCCCATAGCATGTGAGCAGAAGTGATGCGGGCCACTCCCAGGCCTGACCTATAAGAACCTCCTACACAAGATCTTCCAAGCTCTTCACCTTCTACAGACTACAGCAGAGGACCACAGCAACTTGGAGAGCCACGGAATAAGGGTGGTGGGGCCATAGGAAGGCAGCGGTCCAGGTTCTTTAATCACCACTTGGGAGAGCAACACCTGCTGATGACCAGGACCATCTATTTGGGACTCTACCCCAGTGAAAAATAAACTTTTATTATGTGTAGGAGTTATCTGTTTCAGCAGCCAGTGTTCCTATAACTAGCAGAACTGACTTTTGATAATATTGCCCCTCTTTCTAGGGATCATGACACAATTGTAACCCAGGTGTTTACTGCTGAGAGTCCTCTAGCCAGCTGGAGGCTCCCTGTTCCTTGATATTTAATTTTAAAGGCTGAAATTCCCTTATACTCAGGGGACGTTTCAGAGCTCTCCCTCTCCCACCTCCGTCCCCACTAATATCCCCTGGGGTTTCTGAAAGACATTTCTCCTAGTCTTATCTTGCTCTGATATCACACGAGTTAGAAAGGATATGATAGGGTTCTTGGTTGTTTCTTAGAGTAACATTGCCTTTTTTCTGTGTTGCAAGCAAGTACTGGTTTGAAGGGAAAGTGTGGTTTCTTGGGGCTGTCAGTGGCTTGCTTCTTCACTGGCAGACCCAATGCATTCTCTTTGTACTTGTTACCAGGGCAGCTCTGATGAAATAACTGGGAAAGTTTTTTTTTTTTTCTTACTGTTTTTCCTTAGTCCCTTAATTTACAAGCGCAGCTGCTTAAAGAAACCGAATGGCCTGAGATGGCGCCAGAGCTTCTTGACCCCTGACTAGATACCAGAGGGAGCTAACACTCCCAAACTGGCACAAACAGGAATAGACGACCCCTAGTTGCCTTTGGGTCATCAACATATCATAATAATGTTAAAATTCCCTCCCCTAAAAGAAAATCTCTACCATTTTGTGTACATGTGATATATGAAGAAATTTTTATAAATTTGAGCTTGGGTGTCTGGAGTCCCACCCTCCACATGCTAACAATGCCTCTCCCTCCCTGTACCCAGTCCTTCACAACCCCACGCCTTCTATTGTTTAGGGAGAAGGTGCATTTAGAGCAAGAGATCACGTTCTTCATTCTCTGGCCAGTGAATGAAACCTGACGGCCTTTTCCAATTGGATATTCTTTCTTTGAGACCGACATCAACTTGGGAAAGAATTTAGTTTGTTGGTGACATACTCAGTTTGTTGGTGACGTTCTCACTTTGAGTCTTGCTGAACCTCCACACTCCATGGAACCACTGGGTCCGGAATTGGTGGGTTCTTGGTCTTGCTGACTTCAAGAATGAAGCCGCGGACCCTGGTGGTGAGTGTTACAGTTCTTAAAGATGGTGTGTCCGGAGTTTGTTCCTTCTGATGTTCGAACATGTCCAGAGTTTTTTCCTTTTGGTGGGTTCGTGGTCTTGCGGACTTCAGGAGTGAAGCTGCAGACCTTCGCAGTGAGTGTTACAGTTCATAAAGGCGGCGCGTCTGGAGTTGTTCGTTCCTCTGGGTGGGTTCCTGGTCTCACTGACTTCAGGAGTGAAGCTGCAGACCTTCGCCGTGAGTGTTACAGCTCTTAAAGGCAGTGCGTCTGGAGTTGTCTGGTCCTCCCCGGTGGGTTCATGGTCTCTATGGCTTCAGGAGTGAAGCTGCAGACCTTTGTGGTGAGTGTTACAGCTCATAAAGGTGTTGTGGACCCAAAGAGTGAGCAGCAGCATGATTTATTGCAAAGAGCAAAAGAACAAAGCTTCCACGGCGTGGAAGGGGACCCAAGCGGGTTGCCGCTGCTGGCTTGGGTGGCCTGCTTTTATTCCCTTATCTGGACCCACCCACATCCTGCTGATTGGTCCATTTTACAGAGAGCTGATTGGTCTGTTTTACAGACCGATTGGTCTGTAACAAACCTTTAGCTAGACACAGAGTGCTGATTGGTGCGTTTACAATCGTTTAGCTAGACAGAAAAGTTCTCCAAGTCCCCACCCCACCCAGAAGCCCAGCCGGCTTCACCTCTCACCGCCAGCATCCATCCTCTGCTGCTGGGGCATTGCAAATGTTCTATGGGAATGGGCAGCAAAGAGCAGCTGACATGCATATTACGCCTCCTCCATGCTCCTGCGCATGTGCTGCTGCCCCATGGACTTCACTTACAGAGCAGAGTTCAGCAATAATTTTAAGAGGGCATGAGCACAGCATTAAATCTTAAATGGGGCTCTTTCAGCTTGGGGCCCTATGCAACCTCAACGGCTATGGGCCTGTGAAGCTGGCTTTGAAGAAGGACATTTCTCCCACTCCTCTCTCCAGCAGGCAGAGCCTCTGAGTGGGGACTGAGATGAAAGGACAGATCAGGAAGGAATTGATGAGGACTGTGCGAGATGTAAAAGCTTCTTCTGACTCTTCCACTGAAATCACCAGTCATGCTTGTGAGGTGGATTTTCCTCTGGGAATGTAATTAAGTGCTGAGTCATGCTTCAGGCCTGGTGGGGACAAAAATATAGCTAGAAGCTGGGGCACTGGCGTACAGGATACACACTGCCTCTTGCCCTCTTTGGATTCTCTGTCTTCCCTAGCTCTTCTCACCTCGTCTTGGATTGAGCCTGTTCCCACCTCCGTTTGTCCTTCCTTCTTGCATTGCCTTTGGAAATGCAAAACATATCTTACTCTATTTGCAAAACAATTTGCTTTCTCCTTGAATTCCTCTTGTTGATCCTGCCTGGATAGGCCAAATTGTCCCATCAAGGTGATCTGCTTAACAAAACAAAAACAAAACAAATACACAAACAAAAAGCTGGGTTTATTTCCTTACGGAATTTGACTACCAGCATTTATGTGTTTTTTTCTCCTGGATTCTCTGGTAGCAAACCTCCATGACATGGCTTAGGACCCTCAGAAAGCCTTTCCAGGCTCCCAGGTGGGTTTGGGAGCTCTTCCTTGGGTCTCCTTTAAAATCACATGTGTATCTCACATACAAATGCATAGACATATACACATTGTCAAAGACAGACCCAGCTAGATGTTAGTTAAAGCAGTGAAAACAGATTTTATTCAGTAATTACTGATGGGAGGAGAAAGAACTGAACTCCATTGTGATTTGCATAGAGGTGACTGGGATTGCAAAGGGAGTGAGGGAGTAGGGAGGGGGTAAGCAGGGGCTCAGCAGATTCAGAGAGGCAAAGAACTGCGAAGGGTTGGCCAGCATTAATGCCTTTGGGCCAGCTGTGTTTGTGAGTTGACAAGTTAGGATTCTACCCACCTACTGAGATGGGGGACAGGGGCCCTAGCCTTCCTGATGATGACTTTTCACAGTAATGGCTTTCGGGTCCTTGAGAAGGATACTTCAGAGTTACAGGAGATGCATATTCACAAATGTAAGCCCTTTTTGTTTTTATTTTTAAATAAATGTTATTGTGTATATTTAAGGTACACAACATGATGTTATGAGATACTATATAGTAACATGGTTACTACAGTGAAACAAAATAACGTTTGATCATCTCACGCAGTTGCTCATCAGTCCCCACCCCAGAGCAGTTATAATCTACTCATTCAGCAAAAATTCTGAATACAATACACAGTTATTAACTATATTTTTCATATTGCACATGTAGAATGAGCAAGTCTAAGCCCTTCCTTGTAAATGCTCTAAGGAAAGAGTCAGGAACCTAACATAAGGTGTTGGCTTGAACAAATAGTAAATTCTCCTGGCAGGTTTTAGCTTCCTCAGGCAGGCATTTAAGTAGGGGCTGGGGCATCCTATGGACAGGGACGCTAGAAGCCAGGCTAGAGTTGGGTCATCTCTTAGTACAGAGGTTTGTACTGAGTCATTAGGTGCCCAGAGTTCTGCAGTTCTCAACATATACATAATCTTTTTCAATCAACTTCCAGAGATTCTCATACCACAGCATAAGCCAGCCCTGCCTAGAGAAAGCTCACTTTTACAGACCATGTTCTAAGCTCCAAAGGGCAGTAGTAAAAAAAAAAGAAGAAAAAAACGGATCCAGTGCAAAATATTGTGCCCCCCTAAAGACCTGATCTGGACTTCCTAATCCCACAGTCGAGAACCATGGAATTCATAAACTTTCTCCTTCCTCACCAGGCTGCCAGGAAGCTCAGGTTTAAGTGACTTGGTTAATCATTAACAACTAGGCTAGCTATGGGGGTTAGCAAATAGGTGTTCCATTTTTTTTCTACTGTTTTGGTTTTCTATTTTTATTTCTGTAACCTTGTTGTTTATATTAACATGGGGATGAGGATGGAGAAGTGGGAAAAGAAACAAACTAAAAAACAGATACTTCGCTCATGCTGAAGTTCTGCCTCCAACGTTTTCATGAATTGTATGTGATGTGGTGTGGAGTGTTATAAGCTTCATTCATTCATTAAGAATTCCTGGGATGAGTATTTAACGAGCATGCCCTTCACACAGAGCACAGTTGTCAGGGCACAGTCCACTGGGGGAAGGGAGGGCCTTAGTTTTCTACTACAGCATAACAAATTACCAGAAATGTAGCAGTTTACAACATACATTTATTGTCTCACAGTTTCCACAAGTCTGGAATCCAAGCACCTCTTAGCAGGATTTCCTGCCTCAGGTCTCACAAGGCTGGGATGGAGGTGTCAGCTGGGCTACGTTTCTTCCTGGAGGCTCTGGGGGAGATCCCCTTCTAAGTTCACTCAGGTTATCCACAGAGTTCATAGCCAAGGAGATGCGGGACTGAGTTCTGGGCTTTGTGCTGTCAGCCACAGGCTGCCCTTAGCAACTAGGGGCCACTCACAGTCTTTCCCACATGGACCCCCCAGTGTGGCTGCTTACTTCATTGAGCCAGCCAGAAGCACCTCTAGGATGGGTTTAACAGTGTGAAGGAGTCTTAAACTTAAAAGTGACGTCTGCCACCTTTGCCATATTCTGTGGGATAGAAGGAAGTGCCAAGTCCTGTCCACCCTTGAGGTGAAGGGATTACACCAAGGAGTATACAACAGGAGTCAAATATCATGGAGAATACTGGGCAACATGGCAAAACCCAATCGCTACAAAAAAAAAAAAAAATACAAAAATTAGCTGGGTGTGGTGGCATGCACCTGTAGTCCCAGCTACTCAGGAAGCAGAGGTGGGAGAATCACCTAAGCCCAGGAGGTTGAGGCTGCTGCCACTGCACTCCAGCCTGGGCTACAGAGTAACAACCTGTCCAAAAAAAAAAAAAAAAAAAAAAAAAGAAAGAAAGAAAGAAAGAAAGAAAGAGAAAAGAAAGAAAAGAAACATTATTATCCCATGGGCAACAAAAATCACATCAGCTTAAAAGATCATGGAGGCTTTCAGGAGTGGTGGCCACCTGGCCTGGTATCTATAGGCAGAAGAAAAATTGTTGGAAGAGAGTCTGGAAAGAGAGGCTGGGACTGGATTTGCTGGGCGCTAAGTGCCAGGATTTTCAAATTTATCACATAGGCCTGTGCTTCCAGAAATAGGCTAAGTGGCATTGTGCCAGTGGTTGATATTTGAACCAAGTAAGAACAGCTCTTCACGGAGCATGGATTTTACTAGAATACTTTTCTGAGGAAAACATATTAATTTTTTATATTAGAGTAAGTATCATAGAGTAGAATGCAGAATTAAAATTTATTTCTCCTAAGATAAAATTTGAGACTTCAAATGATTTTCTCTCTGGCTGTGGTGGAAATTTTTGAGCAGGAAGACCCCTGAGCAGCTGCTGGCCAGAACAGCTGTCATATATGGGGTGCAGGGCAAGGGCAGCCAGAGACATAGGACGGAAGGGGGACACATGAGCTCTCAGCCACCTGTGGGGTCAAGGAAGGCTTCCAAAGGGTTCCTGGGCTAAGCCAAGTGGTCCCTTACCAGTATGAGGAGTGGCAAGTTTAAAATGGACAGCAGAGACCGGGCGTGGTGGCTCACGCCTGTAATCCCAGCACTTTGGGAGGCCGAGGCATGCGGATCATGAGGTCAAGAGATTGAGACCATCCTGGCTAACACAGTGAAACGCTGTCTCTACTAAAAATACAAAAAATTAGCCGGGCCTGGTGGCAGGCACCTGTGGTCCCAGCTACTTGGGAGGCTGAGGCAGGAGAACGGCATGAACCAGGAGGCGGAGCTTGCAGTGAGCCAAGATGGCACCACTGCACTCCACTCCAGCCTGGGCGACAGAGCAAGACTCCGTCTCAACAAAACAAAAAAAAAAAAAAAAAAAGGACAGCAGAAATCTTAGGGCACAAAGCAGGCCTGTGTGAAATTTTTCCCCCAGGATCAGGGCTATTTCCAAAGTGTCTTGTAGCTGTGGAGGGAAAAGGGACATTCTACCTATCTTGCACTCTCCTTTGCGTTTCAAAGAGGCAAGTATCTCAATATTTAGACCAGCAGTTGGCAAACTATGGCCCACGGGCCAAATCCAGCCCACTGCCTGTTTTTGTACAGCCTAGGAGCTAAGAATGGTTTTTACATTTTTATATGGTTGAAAAAAATCAAAAGAAGAATAGATTTTTTGTCACAGGAAAATCATATGAAATTCAAATTCCAGTGTCCCTATGTAAACTTGAATTGGAACACAGCCTGCTCACTCCTTTATGTATTGTCTGTGGCTGCTTACACACTACAATGGCAGAGTTGAGCAGTTGCAACAGAAAAGCCTAAAATACTTACTATCTGGCCCCTTGTGGAAAAAAGTTGGCCTGGTTAAACCCTGCACAGCGGGGAGGTCCCCAGGGATGCTAACCCTCTGCCAGTAAGCCTCACCCTCAGCCTATCTTCTGCAATGGTGCCATCTACACCTGCATTTCCCAACCTGTGCTCCAACACATGGGATTAGAAAAGAGAACAGAAAAGTCTCTATAGTAAATAAATTAAGTCCTGTTGTTTTTTTTTAAAGGATAAAATGATTTTATTACTGCAGATATTTTCAGCTCTTTATGCAATGTGACCATCCACATTGGGGATATATATTTTGGCATCTGCCAAACTTATTTGACCACTCAACAAATTTTTAAAGAAATATTTATTATTATCTCAAAATCTGCCATGCAACACTGTTTTGTTTTGTTTTGTTTTGTTTTTGTTTTTTTGACGGAGTTTTGCTCTTTTTGCCCAGGCTGGAGTGGAATGGCGCAGTCTCGGCTCACTGCAACCTCCACCTCCTGATTTCAAGTGATTCTCCTGCCTCAACTTCCTAAGTAGCTGGGATTACAGGTGCGCACCACCAGCCCGGCTAATTTTGTATTATTATTATTTTTTTTAGTAAGAGACAGGGTTTCACCATGTTGGCCAGTCTGGTCTCAAACTCCTGACCTCGTGATCTACCCACTTTGGCACCCCCCAAAGTGCTAGGATTACAGATGTGAGTGACCACACCTGGCCGCAACAGAGCTTTATAAATGCTACTCTAGAGTTTTACCAGATATCAGGAAATTGTCTCCTAATGTGGGGAAAAATAAATCCTCCTTCTTAGTGAAGCACCCTTGGCTCAGTCCATTGCCCAAGTTGGAGTGCATTGGCACCATCATGGCTTACTGCAGCCTCAAAAGCCTGGAGTTGAGGGATCCTCCTGACTCAGCCTCCCGAGTAGCTGGGACTACAGGTGTGTGCCACCATACCCAGCTCTCTCTCTCTCTCTCTCTCTATATATAGATATCTATATATCTATATATATATAGATATCTATATATCTATATATATATATATATATATATATATAGATAGATATATAGATATCTATATATCTATATATATCTATATATCTATATATATAGATATCTATATATCTATATATATAGATATCTATATATCTATATATCTATATATATATAGATATCTATATATCTATCTATCTATATATATATAGATAGATAGATAGATAGATAGATATTTTTTTTTTGTAGAGGCAGAGTCTCACTATGTGGCCCAGGCTGGGCCCTGTTCATTTAGTGCCCTCTTTGGTCATGGGAATTTGATGTGGCAATTGCTCATGCGGTCCCTTCCCTCACTGCAGTCACGCTCACTCTTTCACTCCCCCATCTGTTCCATTTCCTCCAACATTTCCCCCTCCAAGACATGGGAAAGCCGGAATTTTCAAGCCAACAGTTATAACCCAACAGTGGGTCACAGAATCAATTTAGAGGGTCAGAAACCAGCATTAAAAAAAAATTAAAACGTAATAGCCTGTAAAATATCAGAGTGTATCTCAATAGTACTCGGTGAAATTTTTTTATGGATTCTGGATCATGGCATGAAAATATATTTCTAACTTTTGGTTATGGTCAAAAACATTTGAAAGCCAATGTGCTAAGATGCCAACAAAATACAAAAGCATAGCAAAGCTTTGTAGATAAGAGTTGTTTAGCAAAAGCGTTACATCTGTCTCACTATTCATTCTCTTGTGTTTCATCCCAGTGTGTGCATCTTAAATTGCAAACACAATGACTCAAGGACTGTGCCTTTTGTTTGGCCTCTGTATCTTCCACTCATCACTGACTGTGGGACTTCCTTCCCTCCAGAGGCTGCATAAATATTTGTTGCTGATAATGAAATGGAATTTACAGTTAATAGCATCAGTTCTCCAGCCTAAGTTTTCTATCCCACATCCCACTTCTGCATGGTGTCCCAGAGTTTTCTCTACATACAACATAATATCACCCTAGAAGTAGTGCTTTTCTTTTCTTCTGCAGAAAATATACACACATGGCAACAACCTCTTCCTACACTGCAGCTTTCCAGCCTCAACTCCATCCTCTCTTGCCAGACACCCTCTGCTGCAGCCACTGTCTTCGGGAATCTTCCATGCCTCTGTGTGCACTGTGGTTCCCTCTGCTTCATAGCTTCTCCCTCCAGACTTTTCTCCTGCTGAAATCCCTTGTACTGGTAAAAGCCTGAGTTGCATAGACCTTCTCTCTACAAAGCCTTTTCTTATGGCCCAACACGTAGAGTTACTTGCATCCTTTGTCATGACCGCACAGGACTTAGTGCCTCCATCTGTACAGCAACGATGACACTAAATTGTAAGCTTTGACGTGCCTGTTTCTTACCCCGACCATTAGCTTCCCCAGGGCAAGGACTGTGTTTTATTCATCTCAGAATCATCCATGCCTGGCATGGCAGGACACGAAGTAGGTTCCTCATACTATTTTAAGTGTGAATGAAAGAGATAGTATAAAATATTAGAGACTGCAAAGGTTTACTTATGAAAGAGACCATAGTACTGCCTCGCCCCACCTCCAACCCCTCCCAAGGACCCAGGACAAAGCTTGTTCAGCATGTTGCCAAATCCTTCGACCTGTTCATGGGATGGATGAGTGGAGGTCAGCATGACTTCCAGGTATCTCAGGTGAAGAACAGGGCTGACCCTCCTGAGATTTATAGTTAGGCCATTTCACAAGCAAAGGAGGACTTTTAATTGCTTGTGGAGCTCTGATGTGATCCACAAGTCCAATATAGCGAGCAGTGGATGATTAATAACTTGTGGAATTAGCCCAAATGTGAGCTTTATAACAGCTGTGAATATTGGGAACTACAGAATTAAAAGGTGGGTTTTTTTTTTCTGAATTTCTGGCAAGCTTTTCTGTTTAGATCTCTCTCTTTCACATTCCTCTCTCTATCCACCCACCACCCCGACCTGAGAACCTCTTTGCCTTTGTTTACCCCCATAGCTAGCACACCAGCACCGAACAGGATGGCCTGCAGCTCCCCAAACCTGCCTGTGTGGCAGTGGTCATTCATTCCCCTGTTCATCAGAGCAGTGCTTTTCCCAGAGGTTGCCCAATGCACCCAAGACTGAATGAGAGTCCACAGTGAGCTTCTTTACCCCAGCCACAAAGAAGATGCTGAAGATTGAAAAGCAGTAAATGCAACTTGTTGGATTCTAACAGGAAATCCATGAGAACTTTAGAAACACTTACCTTGGGGGCGGTGGGGGGGCCGTATAAACCTCAGAGTAGAGAAGGAGAGAAATATGAACCCCAGAACTGTCCTGGCCCTCTGCCAGATGTAAAAGGTACATCATTTATGACCTTTACTGTCTTCCGGTTCCTAGGAAGCAGAAGTGAGATTATTAAAATTAATTGTGGGCCGGGTGTGGTGGCTCACGTCTATAATCCCGGCACTTTGGGAGGCCAAGGCAGATGGATCACCTGAGGTCAGGAGTTCAAGACCAGCCAGGCCAATGTGGCGAAACCCCGTCTCTACTAAAAATACAGAAATGAGCTGGGCATGGTGGTGGGTGCCTGTTGTCCCATCTACTCAGGGAGGCTGAGGCAGGAGAATCGCTTGAATTCGGGAGGCGGAGGTTGCAGTGAGCCGAGATCGCGCCACTGCACTCTGGCCTGGGTGACAGAGTGAGACTCCATCTCAAAAAATTAAATTAAATTAAATTAAATTAAATTAAATTAAATTAATTGTGAGGCTGCCAGTACTAGGCACAGAGATCAAAAAGGCACCAAAGAGAAGATCATCATCTTTCTCGATGGAAGCCGACAATGGATTCATTTCAATTTTACTAAGCAATCCACTGTGCCAGGAGCTGTACTAAGCTATGAGGCTCTGACAGCTAAATACTGGTTGTTGCAGGAGCAAAGACCGTAACTCTAATGCTTATCATTTTCCTTCCAAAACATGCTTCTACCTGATGACCATTTATTAATAATTCAGTACACTACTGTCCACCTCAAGGCCAACGCCAGAGTTGGTGTTGCCTGCATCACCTTCTTGGATCCCACATCCCTTATCCAGTCAGCAAAACCTGAAGACTTCACTCCCTAGATATTTTAAAGTCCTACCCTCGTCAATAGCACCTCCTTGCTCCTTTGCATGAGCAGCTAGCCCTTAGGTGACCTAGCCTGTGCCTAACTCTCCAGCCTTGGCTCTCTCATGTCCTCCTACTCTGCACCCCATGGGGTTCTGCACTGGATCAGCAAACATAACCAGGAGGCAAATGACAAGCTGGGGACAATATCTCTAACACATATGAAATTCCAACAGTTAACATATAACAAGCTACTACAGATCAATAAGAAAAACATAAGCAGTCCAAAAAGGATGAAAGCTATAAATAGGCATTTAAAAAAGAAAAATATAAGACATGGGAGGGAAATAAATAGAAGAAAAAGGGCTCAACCTCAATAGTAACAAAAGAAATACAAATCAAAACAAGGGCATGACATTTTCTGCTGGTGTTAGTGAAATAAGGGGGAAATTAAGATCTCTCCTATGAGCTATGAAGTACAAATTGGCAAAGAATTTCTCATGAGAAACTGCTGTATGAAAAAAAAGTCTTTAGAAAATCTGCATATCATTGACTAAGTAGTTCCACTGATATAAACTTATCCTAAGAAAATAAGGGGTGAATTGGGAAAAATTTTCAACTTGGAGATGTATAACACAATGTAGTTTTTAATGGTAAATTAATGGAAATAATCCAGAGTTCCAACAGAGTGTTTGTTAAGTAAATTCTATACAATAAACTCTGCAGCTATTTAAAAGGGAAGTGTGAAAGCATAATTGTTGACATGAGACAAGTGATTATTGGTAAGTTTTAAGAGAAAACACTTTATACAAATTTATGTACAATATTTTATTTAAATAATTTTTTTGTGCATAAAATGTCAAACTGTATATAATGGTTATATCTAGAATAAACTTACAGGTGAGGAAATTTTGGGGAATCCTATCTACATTTTTCTACCTTTGAACAATAAAACGATTTCTGTTTTTGATGAAAATTGGTTTAAAAAATGACTCAAACAAGATTGCCAAACTTAGAGCTATTATTCAATGCAAAGACTTGAGCAATTTAATTTTTAAAATAAAGTCAACAATTTAGTCCAGAAGATATTCATTCATTCTCTAAGAGCCAGGCATGGTTGTGTGCTGAGGTGAGCTGTACTTCAATGGTAATTCACACGGTTGCTTAAGTAAATCTTGTGAAATTTCAATTTATGAAAATGTGGCTTGATCTATGAATTTTGACTATTATGCCGAAGCTATTTTGGTGTTGGTTGTTAGGTAATATAAATAAAATATAATTAAGAATAAAATGACACATTTACAGGAGTATACCCATCTGTCAAAACTCATCTAACTGCACATTTAAGATCTGTGCATTTTGCTGTATGTAATCATATCTCAAAAATGTGAAGGCAGACAAAAACATTAAAAAATCTTACTTTTAATCTTAAATTTTTAATGAATCTCTAAGGCTGCTATATTAAATCAACTAAAAACCAAAACAGGCAGACTTCCACTTCTGACCATGATGGAGTCGTTGGTTTCAGACAGACCTTCCACTGAAAATAACTATAAAAGATGGGTATAAAAACACAACAAGAATAAGTACAACCATTTGAAGGCATCAGCAAGATACCAAGGAAGCTAAGTTTCCCCAAGAGCCTGGAGTTTCAAAAGACAAAGTGAAGATCCTGTAAAAAAGAAAAACACATCAAGGTGAGCCAGGCATTCTGTGTTCAAATGTCTCTCAATGCATTTTCTGCCCCTAAGTTGTGCTGGCATGGGACTACATAATGAGAGAGAAAGAAGAAAGCAGCTGCTGAGAAGGTAGAATCTAAGTAGAAATTCTGATTTTGTGAAGTGCTACAGAGAAAAATAAATGAGTTGAGGACATGCAAAGGAGAAGCATAGCATTATTACCCTGCTTCATAGAATCCCTCATTGTTATGGTTTGAATGTTCCCTCCAAAACTCATGTTGAAATTTAATTGCCATTGTGACAGTAGTAAGAGGTGGGACCTTTAAGAGGTGATTAGGGGCCCGGGCGTGGTGGCTCACGCCTGTAATCCCAGCACTTTGGGAGACCGAGGCGGGCGGATCACCTGAGGTCAGGAGTTAGAGACCAGCCTGGCCAATATGATGAAACCCCATCTCTACTAAAAATACAAAAATTAGCCAGGTGTGGTGGTGTGTGCGTGTAATCCCAGCTACTCGGGAGGCTGAGGCAGGAGAATCGCTTGAACCTGGGAGGCGGAGGTTGCAGTGAGCTGTCATCTTGCCACTGCACTCCAGCCTGGGAGACAGAACAAGACTGTCTCAAAAAAAAAAAAAAAAAAAAAAGAGGTGATTAGGTCATGAGGCTCCTCCCTTGTGAATGGATTAATGCCTAATGTCATTATTGTAGAAGTGGGTGAGTTATCAGGAGTTCGGCCCCTTTTTCTTCTCTGTATCATGTGCTTGCTTGCCCTTTCACCCTTCCACCATGGGATAACACACAGAGATCCTCGCTGGTTGCCAGCACTGTGCTTTTGGACTTCCTAGCCTCCAGAACAGTGAGACAAATAGATCTCTTTTCTTTATACATTACCCAGTCTGAGGTATTCTGCTATAGCAACAGAAAACAGACTATGACACCCATGTTGTTTCAAAGTTATCTGTCTTTACTCTCACTGTATGTGAGCAGAACTAAAATTAAATGGAAACTTTCATCTAAGCTACAAAATCTTAGTGGTATAAAGGATTCTGTTAATCTTTTAGTTCAGTTATTCCCAAACCCCACTGATTCATGGACTCTACACAAGTCATCACCAAGTCCATGAGAGAGGCCTGGTGTAGTGAACATTTAACAAGTGCTGCCAGATGATTCTTACTTTCAGGGAAGTTTGGAGTACAGTGATCTAGGGCAATGATTCTCAGAGAACTGGAGCTTGCATAGCAACATGAATATAACTTGAGGTGCTTGTTAAAAAATAGAGGTTCTTGAGCTTCACTCTGAGTGTCTCAGTTTGTAAATTACCACAGGTGATTGTTGTGTGCAGGTAGGTGTTGACTCCAGGTCCAGCCCACCTCTCCCAGTCTCCATCCAATGATTGTCCAGCCCACTCATGACTGTTTCCAGAGAGGGGACTTCTAGGCCCCTTTCCCTGCCCATGGAGGTCACTCCTTGAATATTATTGTAAACCTTTGTCAAATATTGTCTCAACAAATTTAGGAATGTATATGCCTCTCACACCCAGTATTAAGACACAAGAATCAGACTTTTAAACTCAATTTTTTATGATATCATTCTAACAAAAGACTGTTGCCACTCATTTTGTCAGGAAAAAAAAATGCATTTTTGACTAATCTCTTGTGGACGGCCACGTTTATAGGTCCTTTTGGGGGTGAATGGAATTTGTGGATCCATCTGAAGACCACCATTTTGCTTCTCAAAGACTCCAAGTGTTAAGTGGTTGCTCTATTAGGAAAAAAACTTTTTTTTCTTCCAGAGAGGAGAATTAAAAGATATCCAGAGTCAACTTGACAGTGCAGAGCATGGGATCTATCATTCATAAACACCTCCACAGTCTCACAGAGAAGAGGAGGGAAAGGCAGCTGTCAATAAGAACATGGACCCATTTATTTGGCTCCCAAGGCAGAGGTGCAATGTAGGATTTTAACTTTTCCCGTGGATAGCTGGTGTTGACGAAGAGAAGAAACCTTACTTGAGACAATGAAGTTCAGATCATAAACATTCACAAGCATAAGGGAAAGCATGTACAATCATGATGCAATTCCCTTACACTCTGCTTCCACTGTTTGCTAATGAGCAATTTTATTTCTCTGAGCCTCACTCTCCTCATCTGTAAGATGGACTAGTCACACCTTCCTTACCATCCAGAGTAAATGGGAGAGTAAATGAAAACTGCCTAACTCATGAATGGCATTCAATCTACAGTAGATATTTTTCAGTTGTTAATAATGTCCTTACCAGGTCATTTTCAGATGCTCCTGAGTTAGAGTCAGTCAGGAATTTCTTTAATTGCTCCAAAAGGACACAGCATTGTCAGCCTCTTGGCTAGTCCATATTAATGTGATAAATTGGTCCCGGCAAGTGGGCTTCTAGCTTGTCTTCCCTCATGTCCCAGTCCTTGGTTTGTTTCCATCTCTCCATGTTTTTCTAGCTACTCCAGAAGCGAGGTCCTAACTGTTCTTGCCCTCCCCCTGTCATCCCTATCCTTCTAGATGCTTAATTCCAGACCATAAGGCTGGGCTCTGACTACCTGTTGTTGATGGTTTACTCTGCCCTCCAGGGGACCTCGAGGGTTTCTGCATGCCTTGTGTCACCCCTGAGAAGAAAGCAAACCAGTGACCAACACGTTCAGAGAGTGGAACTTCCCATGGAAGGGCAAAGCGTTGACTATTTCTGCTTTCTCAGAATGTTTTTTTGGGAATCTCCGCTTTTGGTCCCTGGTCTTTTGAGATATCTCTTAGGTCATTCTCTCTTTATTGGGTTGTTTTTCTTTCTTCTCTCCCAAGAAAGAGTGCAGAAAGTGGACCCAGCATTTCCCCAAACTGGAGACATTCCCTTAAACCCAGAAAGCCTTCAAAGAACCAAGATGAGGTACAGGAGAGAAAAGATACAGAGCATGAAACACACCAGCACCGAAAGTCTGGCTTCTTTAAAACTCCACTCCCTCTGGCTCTTCCTTGGACCCATGATCTGTGTTTCCTTGCTGGAGATCTAATAACTCTCCTGGGAACACCCCTGACTCTGACTGCCTGCCTAGATTTATAACTTTTACTTGCTCTAGGGGCTCCCTACCTTAACCACCCCTCTTCTGATGTCTATATACCACAGCTGGTCCTTCTAGATTTGAAAGCTCCCAACACTAGCATTAGAGAGAGAAATGTTGGTTTTGCCGTATGTCCCAGCCATAATCAATAGCTTCTCACTAACATGAGAAGTTATGTGCTCACTTGTATCTGGCTCTGCTTATGATGGGGAAGAATTCAATGGGCTTAGAGGATGAAGTCTATAATTCTATTCCCCAAACCACTTTACTAGAGAATTCTAGGCTGTTTAAAATCTCCACTGAATATTCTTGAAGAGAGGGAGAAAAAGAAGAAGGAAAACCCTTATCTGCTCTGATTTTGCATCCTGGAGTCTGACTCACCCCTGCAATGCACTAAAGTCAGGCAACAAAGAGAATCCTTTAGCGAATCCCTTGAATCATCTGTTCTAACACCAACCAGCTCCTGACCTCAGTGTTGGGCCCCATTCCCTGCCCCTTGATCTGGTATATGAATGTGATTTGCTTAGTCACAGTGTCTAGCCTCCTCCAAGGACTTGGGTTTGTGCTACCTGTGGGTTCTTCTCCTGCTAGACTTTTTTTTTTTTTAGCTTTAAAAACATTGTTCCAATTATGATGAAATATATGTAACAGAAAATGTAACATTTCAGCCATTTTAAATGTAGAGTTTAGTGGCATTAAGTACACTCACATTGTTGTGCAACCATAACCAACATATCTCTAAAACATTTTCATCTTCCCCAAACTCTGTATAACCATTAAGCAATAACTCTCTGTTCCCCTTTGCCCCCAAGCCCCTGGAAACCACCATTCTACTTTGTGTCCTTATGAATTTGAATGCTGTAAGTACTTCATGTTAGTGGAATCATACACGATGTAGTCTTTTATGTCTGGCTACTTTCACTTGGCATAATGTCATCAAGGTCCAGCCATGTTATAACAGATGTCAGCATTTTATTCCTTCTTATAGCTGAATTATATTCCATTGTATGGATATGCCACATTTTGCTTTTTTATTCGTGCATCAATGAACACTTGATTTGCTTGTACCTTTTGGCTAAGGTAAATAATGCTGCAATGAACATCGTTATATAAATATCTCTTCAAGATCTTCCTTTCAATTCTTTCAATTCTGGTATATCCCAGAGTGGAATTACTGGATCATATGGTAATTCTATTTTTATTTTTTAGAAGTTCCACCGTATTGTTTTCCATTATAGCTGCACCATTTTACATTCCCACCAACAGTGTCCAAGGGTTCCAATCTCTCCACATGCTTGCCCACATCTGTTATTTTCTGTGTGTGTGTTCTTTTTTAATAGTAGCCATCCTAGTAAGTATGAAGTGGTATTTCACCATCATTTTGCTGCGCTTCTTGACTAGCTCACCCACTATCAGCCCTTCTTGACTACCCAGCCCTAGGAGGCAGCCTGCCATGCTAAAGTCTTGTCTGGACCTATAGCAGGAGGACAGTAGTTCTTAGAACTCATAATAGCTCCCTGATACTGTCATTTGTTGAGCCAAATTGTTTCTTAAATCTAAGATATATAATATTTCACATGCACAGTTAAGGCACAGACCTGTGAGGAGGGAGTGGTCAAACAAGATGACTTACCGAGTGTTAGATATCTGTGAATGAGCACCATCTCCAGTTCTCCATTGCAAACTAAAGAAGCCCTCTCTCAGGAGGTTATGCAGCTGTAGGGCTCTTTATGTTACATGTAGCATGTCAGTAGAATAACCATAACGATGGGATAGAAAAATAGTGAGTAAATGAAAAAGGTAGACTGGCAGACTGGGGTTCATGTTGGCAGAGAGATGACAGGGACCGAGAATGAAAACAGAAACCACAATTTTCAAAACATAAGCCTCAGTTTCGAAGCAGGCCAATTTCTCCCGACCACACCGTGGTGGGCATCACAGACGATCTAAGTTCAAACCTTGAAACACCAGCTCTTTCAGGCCCATTTGTTCCCAGATAAGACCATAGAGAAATTGACCTGTCAGTAACTCCACACAGACTTGTGAATCCCAAAGATAAGACCACTTACTTTTCCAGAAACTCCCCAGTTTACAGAATCTGATGAAATCCTGCCAACACCATCCTGTGACTAACTCCAGCCCCCAAAGCTTTATTGGGTGCCCTTGTCTTAATCCACCCTTTTGAGATGCCTCAAGCTTCCCCACAGCGTGCAGTTTCCCTTGCTGTGGCGTTAATCAGCCTAACTTTGTTGACTACAGGTGTGTTCCAGGTGGTCTTAGGCTACAGGACATTGAAGAACATTAAATTACATGCAATGCCTAAAGCTAGTTCTCTGCAACTCCATGACTCTGGAAATGACCAAAGCCTCTCTTTCTGGCCACCTCTCAATTTTCCCCCAGCTCTCACCTTCTCTATCCTCTTTCTCCAAGCTCCTGAAATGCCACACTGGACACCCGGTACTTGTACTTTTATTTATGCAGGCTTCTTACAAAAATGAATAATTAACGTCATGAGAAAATTCTCAGGCTGACCTGAGAATAAAGCAATCAAGACCACATTAAAATTATATCTTTTTTTCCAAGACTCATTAAGGAGCTGTGAGAAAATCAGTACACCAACCTGTTGTGAAACCCCAATGTAATGTTTAACTAATTTTCTGCCTTTGAGCAATATCCCCACTATTAGCTTTCTTTTTTCCTTACTGGCAGTTTTACTTAATTTCTTTAAGGTGACATAATGAAAGAGTGAAAAAATGTACCCTGTGGTTCTGCAGCCACCCCCT
Organism: Homo sapiens; assembly: GCF_000001405.40. Taxonomy (NCBI): domain Eukaryota; kingdom Metazoa; phylum Chordata; class Mammalia; order Primates; family Hominidae; genus Homo; species Homo sapiens. The sequence continues at coordinate 36,747,458 of NC_000007.14, read as the reverse complement.
ACAGCTCCACTTTCTGACTCATGGCCAGGAGAGTGCTGGCTCTGTTTTTCCAAGTCCAAGGGGGAGGAGGGTACCTCTTCTGTCCACCCCTACTGCTTCCCGAAATCACTCTCTCTTCTTTCTGGACTTTCCTTAATTTACTGGGGAGAGTGACTGATCCTTCCTGGCAGCCTAGGGTGAAGCCTAGACCCCTTATTCGTACCTCCCCGCTTCTCTCCCATCCACAATGTTGTTTTGAAAGCTGTTTTGTTCCCTTGTCCTCCCTTGCTCCTGGTGGAATTGATGGGTGTACAGGAGGCAAACCAGTCCCTTCATGGCAAATTTCAACTGAGACAGAGAGAAACTTGGCCCTGCAACACGTAAGCTCAGGAGCTGTTGGCCTTCCCAACAAAAAACGAGGCAAGACAGTCCAAAGCCAAAGGGAGGATGAAGTAGAGGCTCAGAGGAAAGTAGAAATGACACCCTTCCTGGGCTCTTTACTGTGTCCCCCGGTCCAGTCCTGTGCCTTCCCTAGGTCCTGCAGTCTCTGTTCTCTGATTCCATGAGCCTCTGCAGTGCCCCATCCATTGCATTTGCTCAAGTTGGCTCCCATGGCTTTCTGTAACTTACAACCAGAAGAGCCTGAGAAAGGCGCCAGGCTTCTGTAGCTCAGTTTCATGACCCAGGAGAGCCTCACTCCCTATAAAAGGTGAGCGTGTTCCCTGGTCCCACTAACTGCACCAACCCCCTTGGGAAGCCGTCCCTACTCCCTAAACTAGCCTCTCTTGGCTCTGTGCTCCCTGCCTCTCCTGTCAGGCTTCTGCCATGGCCCTTAGCCCTTCAGCCTGAGGTCACTCACAAGCCTGACTAAGAGATCCCACTGGCAGGCAAGGGCTGGGTCACCCCCACTCCGGACCGCTCCATCCTTATCATTGTTGCCACGTGTACTGGGCTGCACACGCTGCCAGCTTGCTTGCTCAGTTTCATAAGAGGTTGCTTCCTTATTAGGAATTTTCTGTTCTTCCTGTGCATGATGTGCAGGGCAGTTACACTTCAAACTCACCAGTTAGTAATACCTCTGTTTCTGTGGGTTGGAGTCTGCTTTTGGGGGTGGCCAGGCTGCTTGTGCATCAATGCTTGATCTTCCAGATCTCCCTACCCCTTCCTTTTCAAGATGACCTCTGGGTGTGGGGAAATCGGGGAGTCCAGGGAAGTGAGGAGGAATGGACTCTAACTCTACGTATTTGATTCCGTAGTCCTTTGGTGTCCTGGAAAGGACTACATGTGGATGGCCCCTATACCATGCTGACCTCTGGAGCTGAAATCTGTAGCTGGCGCATTTGCAGTTGATCTCTGGGCTCCATCTCAGCCCCGTAACCCTCCCCAAAGTTTTGGCCCCAACCAGGTCCTTGCTGCAGCCCTGACCAGGGTACTGTGCCCTCCCCCCATAGGTATGGGATCTCTTTGCCCCTGGAATAGCAGACCTCATCAGCCACATCCTCAATAACTTCTGCTTCTTCTACAGGCTGCGTATAAGGCTTGGGAATGCTAACCCAGGCTCCCTGCTACATCTGCTGTACCACACTGTCTACTCTGCTGCAGACACCCCTCCCAGGGTCCCAAACTCCACAGTTTTTTTTTTTTTTTTGAGATGGAGTCTCGCTCTGTCACCTAGGGCACCCCACCCTGGGTCCCAAACACCACACTTTTCACTCTGCTGCAGGCACCACTCTCAGGATCCCAAACAGGAAATCCCTCTGCTCCTGGCTACCCTCTCAATCCTTCTAACACCTGGGAGCTTTGGTTTGGGGCTGAAAGGTGGAGTCATATATTTCTGACTGTGTGTTCACCTGTCTCTGATCCTCTTCTCTTCCCCCACTTTGCTGCCTCTAAATGGACAAGCTTCCCTCTCCCATTTTGTTTGACCTGAAACCCTCTTAGGTCATTCCCTTCCCCTTACCTAGGCCAGTGCATCTTCAGGCCTAGGTGCCCAAGGCAAAGCCTCTATGGAAGGAATTATGTGCTGAATCCAGTTTCAATCAACGTGAAAGCTGCAGAACAATTAAGAGTAGGGACCGGCCAGGTGCCATGGCTCATGTCTGTAATCCCAGCACTTTGGGAGACCAAGGCAGGTGGATCACCTGAGGTCAGGAGTTAGAGACCAGCCTGGCCAATATGATGAAACCCCGTCTCTGTTGAAAATACAAAAATTAGCCAGGCATGGTGGCGCGCGTGTGTAATCCCAGCTACTCAGGAGGCTGAGGCAGGAGAATTGCTTGAACCCAGGAGGCAGAGGTTGCAGTGAGCCAAGATTGTGCCATTGCACTCCAGCCTGGGCAACAAGAGCGAAACTCCATCTCGAAAAAAACAAAAACAAACAAACAAAAGAGTAGGGACCACCAAAAGTGAAAATATATTGATTTAACAGCCCCCGAATATTATACCTATTAAACATATATTGAATGCCTAGTATGTCTCTGGAGCTCTATATATTTTATAGTTAATGAATATTATATTTTATATCATATTATATATTTTATATGTTATATTTTATAGCTGGCCCACCTAGCAGGTATCATTAGCATCATTTGTAGATAAGGAAACTAAGACCAGACAGGTTAAACTGCAAGTGCATGGAGGCAGGATTCAGACCTAGATATGCATAATTCCCAAGTTTTGTTCATCACAGCACACCATCTTCTGGGCATCTGGTACCCTCATCCAGCCCTAGTTGCCATATGGAACATGCTCTCCTGGTGTTAACTGAACAATCAGATGAGGAAAGAATGAGTGAAGGAATTTCCACCAAAAAACCCAAAGACTTCTTGGTATATCCAAAGGACGGTAGAGATAAATAAAAATTTCACTGTGTTTTTTTTTTTACAATAAGTGTTATTCTATTATGCTTTGCCGCTAACAAAGCACTTTTGTGTAATATCTCATCTGGCCATTGTAAGGATCAAGTGAGGCAGAGGAGAGGGCAGATGTTATAAAGCCCATTTTACAATGGGAGAAACTGAGGTTCAGAATGCATCAAGATGCACACAGCAATACGACTGGGGAGCAATCTTCTAATTACTTCTCTCTCCACCTACGTATGACATGGCACTTTACTCATTATTGAATTATTGATTGATACAAAAAAACTTGTAAGATTTAGATCTAATAACACAGTGACAATCCCATTTATGTGGGGAATGCTTACCCAGAATGCCCAACAATGCTGAACACAGATGAAAAAGGAAATGTAGGTGAAATAAATAAATAAAGCGTCTTTAGGGTCAAAATAGATGCCACAGTAAAACCCCGAGAGGTTATGGGGTTCCTTAATAGGAGAGTCCCTTGAGCTTTCATTCAAAGCCCATTTTCTCTTTTTTAAAAAGTCAATTATAATTTCTTTGGTTTTTAGCCTTTAGCAGATTAAAGATAGCAAATGGGAGCAGGGAGGCATGCATGTTGTCTACAAGAGGACAGTGAGGGAGGAGACAGGCAGAATATAAAAAGCACACACAAGAACTATGAAAGCATAACAATCTAGAGCCAGTGAGTGAAGAGAAACAACCACTTACATCTAAATGATCTCCAGCCTATCCTTCCTTGCAGATATTGCAGAGGACAGAGCAAAAGTAGATTGGGAAATTTGATCTTGCTTCTACTTTAACCCTTTGTTCTTTTTGAATGGAATGGTTAATAAGTGTATCAGTTTCCAATTGCTGCTGTAACAAATCACAACAAACTTAGTAACTTCAAGAAATACAAACTTACTATCTTATAGTTCTGGAGGTTAGAAACACAAAATGGGACTTGCAGGCTAAAATCAAAGCGTGGGCAGAGCTGTACTCCTTTTGCAGGCTCTGGGAGAGAATCCGTCTCCTTGCCTTTCCAGCTTTCAGAGGCTGCCTTTGTTCCCGGCACATACTCACTTCCCCTTATTGCTCCAACCCCTGTTTTCATGATCAGGTCGCCTACTCTTACTTTGAACTTTCTGCCTTATGATTATGTAGATCCTTATGATTATATAGGGCCTATCCAGACAGTACAGGATAATCTCCTTATTTCAATATCCGTACTATTCTAAACAGCTGCACAATCTCTTGTTATGTAAAGTAATATATTCACAGATTCCAGGATTAGGACATAAACTTCTCTTGGGGGTGATTATACAGGCTACCACATTAGCAAGTGAATTTCACAAACAAAGAATTTCATAACTAATGTCACCACTTTACTGTCTAGAATCACTGCTCCTCAGCAGGGGAAATGGAGGCAGCCCACACTGGTGAGCATCCACCTGTTCTTCTCTGAATGGCCAAGATGTGGTAGTCAGCAGATTTTGCAAAAGGCAAAAAGAGGAACACAAACTTATACAAAAGGGCATATTCAAACATGTAAAGTGAATGTACAAGGGAACTTTGGCTTTATTCCCACAACTGGAAAGAAGAAATGAAAGCCAGTACATGGTATCTGGCTTGAAGAGAGGAAACCAGGCCTGGGCTGGGGTTTCCCACACATCATCTTGTGCCAGCAGCCCAGCGCAAGGACTGATGTTCACTCCAATGACCTTGCTCAAGGGGAAGAGCTTGTATCATGATGATAATAAAAAAACAGGTGTCCCCAAGGTTTTCACGCAATATCTCAATCTAAGGGGCTAAAATTAAAGAGGAAAACTTCATTTCACAGAAATTTCACATATGTGGAATTCAGAGTAAGAAGTTGAGAAAAGTAAGAGCTTCCAGACCAGGGGTCCTTGGGCCTGGGATCCATGAAAATAAACAAGTTAGTTTCAGGGGTCTGTGATTTTTGTAAATTCATGTGTAAATGTTAGTGTGCTTGCATTAGCTGCTTTTTTTTCTGGAAAGAGGATCCATAGCTTTCATCAGATTCTCAAAGGGGTCTGTGACACCATAAAATATAAGATTCTTTTTTGGATTATTTTGAGACAGGGTCCCACTGTCACCCACGCTGGAGTGCAATGGTGTGATTACGGCTCCTTGCAGCCTTGACCTCCCAGGCTCAAGCCATCCTTCCACCTCAGCCTCCTGAGTAACTGGGACTTACAGGCACATGCCACCACACCTGGCTAATTTTTAAATTTGTTGTAGAGACAGGGTCTCCCTGTGCTGCTCAGACTGGTTTCAAACTCCTGGGCTCAAGCGATCCTCCCACCTCTGCCTCCCAAAGTGCTGGGATTACGGGTGTGAACCACTACAACCAGCCTAAGATTCTTTACATAAGGTGGTCAATTAGGAACAGATAAAAAAAGCCTCATGTCATTAATTTCCTGATGCAAGAAGTTGTTTCCTTTTATCTATGGAATATGCTTAAAGTCAGTATAGGGACCAGCACATGTACAAGCGTGAGAGCCCAGCCTCAGCTACTCCTCAAAGGGCACTGTAACACAAAGAAAAGCAGCTTCCTACTTTACAGGAATAGTAGGTTTGTGAGTTTCCCAACAAAGGGCTTTGCATATCGGTGCCAGCTCTGATCGTGTGGGTGAATAATAACAAAAAGCAAAGCAATTTAACCATATTGAAATAAACTAATTTGCCATATGGCACAAGTCAACAGTGAGGGCAGAAATCTTTACAAATTTTCTTAATCTCCATGTCTACAACAGTGCTTGACTGTAGGTGATCAATAGTAGCTGATTAATAGACAAGTATTGAATGAATTAATTAATGAAGAGTTTTCTAGAACCCTATGAAGACTGTGGATCCGCTTAATATAGGCTGACTTTATAATTTCTTTTACCATTAATAAGAAATATGGCTGAGCGCAGTGGCCCATGCCTGTAATTCCAGCACTTTGGGAGGCTAAGGCTGGTGGATCATCTGAGGTCAGGAGTTCGAGACCAGTCTGGCCAATATGGCGAAACCTCATGTCTACTAAAAATATAAAAATTCGCCAGGCATGGTGGCTCATGCCTGTAATCCCAGCTACTAGGGAGGCTGAGGCAGGAGAATTGCTTGAACCAAGAGGCAGAGGTTGCAGTGAGCCAAGATCGTGCCACTGTACTCCAGCCTGGGTGACAGGGCAAGACTCTGTCTCAAAAAAAAAAAAAAAAAGAAAAGAAAAAAGAAAAAAAGAAATATGTATGATTTTGTGTAAAAGCCACATATTGGCATTGAACAGAAAATTCTAACAATTTCATTTATAATTGTTGTAACAGGTCACTGAAACATTTTTACTTTTATCAATGCACTATTTCCTTATATTTATGTTAAAAATTCACGTATGAGAGAAAATGGAGAGGAAAGGCCACTACCAGATTATTTCCATCCATATCATATAATTTAAGACCTATGACTCCATGGACATAAAAGACCTAAGTTTCAGAGCTGACAGTGACAGGATGAAAGGTTTCTGTTTCTGTTGATTGAGAATGAACTATTTTCCTGCATGGTGGAATTCAAGCACATTATTCGTGGGTGCCATGCACTTACTGTCTTGTTCTTGGTGTGGCCTGTGTAAGCCCCTGAATCAGTTCTACATGCGCACCTTGAGGCAGCCCACCAAACAATAGCCTTTAAATAGGTCTGTTTTAGAGTCTGAGCAATTTCTCAATCAAAGAGTGGAAGGAAAGCTTCTGAATCTGAAATTAAGACTTTTTATATCATGACCTGTAGCCATGAGGTTTTCTGACCCCTCCAAGGGGGAACGCTCATCAGGGTTTTTGAAGCAAGGTGCTGGCTGGTTGCTTTACCTGCTAGGTTTGCGGAGAGACAACTTCATATGAGCCATGTTACAGGAAACACCTGGCTAGATGATCCCATTGTCTTTTGGCTTGAACTCTGCGAGAGCAGAGGCACTGGACAGGGCAGTGAGAAGGTGGTCGTTCTGGAGGAGCTAAACCACTTCTGAGTGTATTCCAGCAAAGCAGTGAATGCCAGGGGAGCGGATGGTCTAGCAAATGGCCTGCAAGAGTCTGGTTCCAGGAGAAGACCCAGGGATGAGGTCTGAAGGCAGAGTCGCTCTGGGTCAGAGCAAACTGGGCAGGTGGAACAGGTACTAGTGACTCTAGGTCATACCCAAGGCACCAGCTAATTTTTTAGGTATTAATACAGGCATCACAAGCATTTGCATTTTTTTCCAGGAGACAGGAAAAGGCATTGGAATGATTCAAAACTCTGGTTCTATCCTAGAGTGACTTCGAGCTGGGTACATTCTAACTTAGATGGCCTCAGCTGCAAAGCCAACTGGACTCCAGCCTTGCAGACCAGTGAGGATGGAAATGATTGCAAAACCAAGATGGACGATGTTGAGATGGACTCAACCCTGCTATTGAGATTGGCCCTTACAGGGGAGGATATTTGGTCTAGCGTTCAGAGTCTAAAGGCACAGAGTGAGAATTTATTTCAGGCAGATATCAATAACCCCGAAGGCCCAGTCCAGCTGGTAGGGCATACCTGAGATGCAGGCAACGGGTAACATGCAAAGTCAGGTGCACAGTGGGATGTGGTTTGAGAGATTAGTGCCCCTCCCCAGTGAGATTTCCACAGCCATCTGTGGGATGGGGGACTGAGGCCATTCTAGCTCCTTAGGAAGGGGCAAGAGGTCATTGGAGGCAGGGACCTGGTGTGTAAGAGTACTGGGTGGGAATCAGATCAGGCAAGGACCAGGAGAGATTGGCAGGGGGCTGAAGGGTCAGGCCTAGACACTGAGCCAGCAGGCAGTGCAGAGGGCTCATGGCACCAGGGCTTACCCCAAGCACAAAGGCCTGAGATGGATTAGTCCCTAATTTCAGACCTCTCTAGCTGTGGATAGCTGACATATTTTCTTTCTCTGGGATAAATTAGATGAGGACCTGGGAGGACCGCATTTTCTGGGAGAAGCCCTGGAATACAAGATTTGATATACTTAAAGGGAGCTCACATTCCCATCAACCTGGAGCAACTCACCTGGGAATGTCTGAGTTGGCCTCAAAGTCTCAGCCAAATTCGGACCTGTCTAAGGAATGTGGAAGCTGAAACCACCTTCACCTGGATCTTTGCCCCGTGGCAACATCCTTGCCCTGTGAATTGCTGCCTACATATATGGAAGTTGAAGAGAGGAGACATGTTTTAGCCAAACAGATAACATAAATGATTTTTATTATGGAATTAAATAATTATGTAGATATATTAGAGCAAAGTTATTTTATCTGGATTGTATTTTGGCCTATGTGTCCTATTCAACAACAATCTTTTTAAAAAAATTTACATCCTCCTGCAAAACATTTATTCAATTAAAATGTGAATGACTAACATCATAATGGTCTCTTGAAAGCAGGATATGGGAAATCAGGGCATTTGAAGGAATGTGGAAAGAAACAACAGAAAGGATTCTGGCTTTGAAATTAGTAACCGGGCTTTCATTCTGGGCTTTGACCCTGGCCAAGTCATTTCAAGCCCCTTGTCCTCATTTTCTGTACTGTTCTGACTGTGTTACCTGCTTCTAACCTGATTCAGGAGTCCTGGCCCCTTCCTTGACTCCTGGCGGTACGGGTGGAATCAACATAGATGTCTCACTTGCCAGCTCTGGGAAGATTCTATCAGCCTCATGGTTGAGGGTAGTTAATAGGTTATCCCAAACCCCGATCCAAAGAGTAAATGTTGACAAGATTCTACAACCTCAGTCCCCACCCCAGTTGTGATATGTTCAAGAAGCCCCAGATAGATAACTTCACCTACCTGCCCTCACTTTCCTTTCCCTGCCCCATCACAGTAACAACACACACCCCAAAACAAGTGATATCAGTATTATTAGGAGACTTAGAAAGTGCGAGCCAAAAAATGTAACCTTTGCCCCAATGTGAAGATCCTTGTTGTTGAAGGTTTCCTGTGTTTCTTTTCTGAGTCTGGGTTCATGTTCTTTTGTGACATGCAGCAATTATTCTGATCACTAGAAAAGTCTACTGCTTTTGGACTGATGTGATCCAAATTGAAGAACCCTAGTACTCCCCAAAGCACAAGCACCGAAGAAATAACGCAGGTCTGCCAAAGCCCTTAACAATCTGCATGAGGCCAACTCAACTGGCTGACAATACACCAACCTCCAATCTCACACCCTGTTCTGATTATCTACTGTTACATACAAATGACCCCAACAGTTACAGGCTTAGAACAATGACCATTTTATTCTCTTTTTTGTTGATTGTCTCAACTGAGCAATTCTTCTGCTTCAAGTAGTGTCAACTGGGAGACCTGGACACAAAAAAGTACTCGAAACTTTATATAATAAAAGGGAATGCAAAATGGTAGAGTCACTTTTATTTTCTTTTTTTAAGGGAACAGAGATTTATTTATTTTTGCTTCCATTAAAGATATTGAGTTCATTTCTTGTCTTGAATGTTACAAACAAGACAGAACTTTTGGTCCCATGAAATTCACAAATGTAGTTACTTTTAAAAACTATACATTTTAGAAATATTGACTGGTGACCAACTTACACACCTTCCATGGAAAACTGCCTTACTTCAATCCTTTCCCAGAGACTACAGACAAATAATGAAAACAAGTTTGGGGCCAGGCACAGTGGCTCACATCTGTAATCCCAGCACTTTGGGAGGCCGAAGTGGGTGGATCACCTGAGGTCAGGAGTTCGAGACCAGCCTTGGCCAATGTGGTGAAACCCCGTCTCTACTAAAAATACAAAAATTAGCCAGGCATGGGGGCGGGTGCCTGTAATCCCAGCTACTCGGGAGGCTGAGGCAGGAGAATTGCTTGAACCCGAGAGGCAGAGGTTGCAGTGAGCCAAGATTGCGCCATTGCACTCTAGCCTGGGCGACAAAAGCAGAACTCCGTCTCAAAGAAAAAAAAAAAAAGGAAAAGAAAACAACATTGTATCTGCACAATTAGCAATTGACTTCATATTTACATTTCTATTTATTTGGACCGGTAACATCTCTTTAAAATAATGATATTTCCTAATTTTTTAATTAAAATTTTATTTTATTTTATTTTAAGTTCCGGGATACACGTGCAGGACATGAAGGTTTGTTACATAGGTAAACGTGTGCCATGGTAGAGTCACTTTTAAAAGCACTCTTTGGGGCATGGGTGGAAAATAAAAATGAAGGCCAATTCAGACTGACCCTCTAGGCTTCAGTCCCTTAACGTACCAGGTACCAGGTCCCAGTCCTACAGCCTCACTTCATTTTGCCAACTCTGCAATCTCCACTTACGGCAATGTTCTCCTCCCACCTGAAACGAATTTCAAGCCTGGCAAGAAGTAATTCGTTCCAGCTAAGAGCAGTTTGGGCATCTCTGAGCTGTTGAAGGAGGACCTGCTGCTGCAGGCGCAGAGACCAAGGACCCTCTGTGTCTTCTCTCTCTGGCAGGCGAACATCCGTCTGGCTGCCCCCTTCCCCGCTGCTCTTCAGAGCAGCTCTGGCTTGAGGGTCTGAGCTCAGTTAGGTGACAGCAGTGCTGCGCTTCTCCACTCCTCTGGCCTGGGTCAGGCCTGCAGTCTTTAGGGAAATGAACTTTGTCATCTTATTATAAAAATTGTAGCAGAAGAGGAGGAAATTGCAAGACTTCAGACTTTACAGCCTGACAACATAACACTCTCATTTCCTGTTTTCTCTCTGCCCAGTTTCGGGACTGCATCTCAAATCCTAACTTGATGCTCTGCCCTCAGTGCATCCTTTGCTGACCTGATTCCTCGGCATTTGCATCAGGTTTTAGTTCTGAGACCCAAATTTGCTGTCTTTAATGCACTTCCTTTACATAATCCTCCTGAGAACATTAAAAAAATCCCCATCTATTTAACTGTACTGGCATAATATCTAACATTGCCTCATTTTTCTCTGTTTTGCTCACTTATCCCCCCATGAACATTTGAGTATCTGCCATGAATCAGCTACATATTCTACAGTGATGGTGCTCGATAACCTGCTTTCCAGGAACCCACAGCCAATAGAGTAATCAGATGACCACCCTAATGATGAAGTGCCTGGGGAGTGGTACAGACAGAGCAAACACTTGTGCTTGGCAAGGGACAGGGAAGGCTTCTAAGAAGAGGAAGCCTTAAGGAAAAGGAGGCATTGTCCTGGAAGATAAGGAGAAGGAAGTCCCATCCAGGTGAAAACTCATGCAAAGGCACTGAGGCATGAACATTTGGGCCTGTCTGGGAGCATCCCAGGTAACTCAGTGTGACCGTACATAGGGCACATGTGAATGACTAGAAACATGCCCAGAGAGAAGAGCAGGTTCCAGATGTTGAACAGCTCTGTGAATCCTTCTGAGTAATTTGCTCTGTATCTGGAGGGCAAGGGGGAGCTTTGACAGGTCATAAGCAATAGGATGATATGACCTATCATGTTTTAGATTCGGATTAGTATTTTTCTTTAATTTTATTTTTTAATTGTGCTCCTGGACCTTTCTTTTTCTCTAAAAGTCTATATTATCTTAACAAAAGGTCATTTAGGCATATATTTATGGTGGCTATTTTCCCAAATCTATAAAAGGATATTCATCCCCACTCCAACTTCCTCCCATCACCCAACCCTTCCATGGAAAGCATTTGGCAGCTGTTTGGATGTGGATTTGGATTCAACATTTTGAGCTCTTGCTCTGGGCTGAGCACCACGTAAAGCAATTTTATGATCTTCTCCCTTGTCCCCCTATTCTGTTTGTTCCCTAACTCCTGGTACAATAACATGGAATATCAGAAAGAGAGACCTTTAGCCCTCATGCAGGAACTTCAAAGAATCCAGTAATAAACTGATCTGAGCTTACATTGTGCATTTGGGGCAGCTGAGGGCTTGATCCCTCCTGCCCATGCAGGAAAATAGTCACTGTCCTCTGCAGTACAGGTCAGTTCTCAGCGTTGCCATGTGTTTAGCCACTTCATCTCTCAGATCATTCAACCACGACCACCCTAGTTTGGCCATATCATTTAAGAATCCCATACAATTGCAGTGTTCTACATCCTACAACTGAAACATAAAGCTGTTTTTGGCACTTTGTTCATGTTTAATTTGAAGCTTACTGGATTTTACTTGGGCTTCATCTATGAACGTATCCCCAGAGGAGATTTAACTAATTTTTTTTTAATGTAGTGGCAAACCCCTGGTAAGGCAGGAGCCTGTCTATTATTCACGATAGCCCTCCAACCACAGGTTAGCATGACTCATCTGAGTCTCAGCTATTTTCATGAGGATTTTTGTCAGCTCTTATTTTCATGAGCTCCCAAGGACAGATTGGAGGCAAAAGTGGGAACATCTATCTGCTCAGCACTCAAAGAAAACCCCACTGGGGAAAACAGGCAGAACTGTGTGCTTCTTTTCACCTTCCAAAAACTTATAATACACAGTGATCAAATATATTTAATTTAGACAAAACATTTACATACTTTATACATGATATATATGGTGAACAATTAATTCCCAGTATCCCGTTTCCCTTTTTTATAACCCTGATTTTTTGCTAAACACTTTGCCGACATCTTCCCTTGTAATTAAGAGTGGTCATATGGTGCTATTTGTCAGCGTCCCTTGCAACTAGGCATGGCCAATGAAATGTAAGCAAAGTGTCAGGGGAGACTTTTGGGGGAAGATCCTATATGTGAAGGTGTGAGTTCCTGGAACATAGACATGATGACTCAAGCTCTAGCAGTCATTTTAGACCTTTAGCTCATCTTAAGGATGCAAGTCAGCTCTAAGAGTGGGACAAGAAATTAGGAGTTTAGGTCCCTGAAGACATCATGGGACTGCCATACCAGCTCTGAAGTGTCCAGCTCTGGACTTTTTAAATCTAAAAATGAATGAATAAATAAACTTCAAGCTTGTTTATGCTATATTTATTTTGTTTTATTCTGTTATGTGCATTCAAAATTAACTCTACATTTTGGAGGTCTAGGTAAAAGTAGTTTAATCCCACCCTGCCCCCAATTTATAGCATATGTATGTCTAAAGCCCTCCCCAAGATATTATACTTGCTAATCCCTGAGGTACATATTTGCATGGCCACTGCACTTATGCACTTGTTTTACTTGTGTCTCCTTAGCCCTGTCATTCTCCAATCCAAACATCTCAAGTTTCCTCATTGGTTTCCACAAAAATGCCATTCACAATCTGGGCAAAGTATCATTTCTCCCATGCATAGCACAACAAACTTACAAATTCATATAAGATCTTCCTATTAGCTCTGGTCTTGTTGCCACCCCACCTCCCAACACTTCTCTCAACATTTCTCATTCTCTTTAGCCAAGAAGAATCTGGTGTCTCATCTGTCCCTGCTTCTCCCTTCTCTCTATCTGTTCTCCATTCTTATCCCCTTCCATGCGTCCAAATTCTTCCACCTTACATATAAAAAGCAATTCACTTGCCATGATTCCTTTCCCCAAGCCCCAAACTTTCTACCACGTGCCCAGCAGACAAAAGAACTATTTAATGTAATTCATCATCTTTAGAAGAAAATTGTGATTATAAATGGCATACTTTTTCCAATGTATGTAATATTTCTGGAAATTGAATAAAAGTATCTCAAAACCCCCATTCTTAGTGGGTATGTATATATCTCTAAAAATCTCAAGAATCTCAAAGCATATGAATGAATGGATGGGGAATGAATGAGGAGAGGGTAGGAAAGGAGTGTTGAAGAACAGATCCTATTGTTGGCTGGGCCAGTTTGCAGTACTGGGACAACCATCACTACATTATGAATGCCTCAAAGATTACTGATGTATTTCCTGCAGCTCTTCCTGCTGGTTGCTATCAATGTACCTCTTAGGAGATAGGTTCTCTCCCACTATGTGATTACATCAGATGTTCCTCCCACCAGTGAGAGTATCCATGGTTGGTCAATCCTCCGGGCTTTTCTGAAGTCCTACTTTGTACCTTTGTGCATGTGTTGCTAAAACAAATTCATTTAAGTCTTCTGAGATAACATACAAAGGAAACCATATTAAAATTCCAATACCGATTTAGGTTGTGACATCAGGAAGATGACATAACAGAAGATCCCCAGGTTGTGACATCAGGAAGATGACATAACAGAAGATCCCCCAGCATCACTCCTCCTACAAAAATATTACCAGAAATGATTTGAAGACAAGAACATCATTCTGAATATACAAGGATTCAGCGGGAGAAGCAGAGAAATCTTTTGGACCCACAGAATCATGAGTAGCTGAAACTGGTGAAATAAATTGTCATTTCAAACTGCAAACCCCTTCCCCAAGCTGGCACAATGCACTCACGGAGAAGTTCCCTAGACTCACAGTTTCGAAGACGAGAGGAGGGAATTGAAGATGAATGTATGAGCTCCCCAGCAGTGTGGGAATCTTCACGGGAAGCCCATTCTGGTCCTCTCCTATGGGAAACACTAGGAGTCCAGGAGAGCTGAGCCACCTGGGGTGAATTGAGGACAAAGAGTGAAGGGCTGATCACAGCGACTGGCACAGGAATCATGGCAGCTAATCAGCACCCTGATCAGTGACACCATGTTGAAGAGACTGGCCAACACCATGGCACCACAGGGGGCATGATTCACAGGAAGGCCTGAATCCCTGGCAGGATTTTCCACAAAGTTCCAGTGCTTACTGGAGCCTCCCTGGCCTAGGAACAACTGAAAGGTCAGGATTAAGTTCTGGTGCTCACTTAAGTCTTCCCCAGACTAGGAAACAACAGCAAAACAGTAATATAGTTCCAGGGCAGCATTTAATATCCAGTACCCACTAGAAGTTTTCACCAGACTTGGAAACAACAACACGGCAACAGTTTACTTCTGGAGCAGCATTTAAGTTTTTGCATTTGTTGTAAGTCTTCCCCAAACCAAAAAACAATGACGAAGCAATTAGTTAGTTCTAGTGCAGTGTTTTAGTTTCAGAGCTCATTATAAGTCCTCCCCAGAGCAGGAAGCAACAACAGACCTGTGTTTAAGTACCAATACTAAGAAGTGAAGGTCAACCCCACCAAAGAATACCTGCAAAAATGGAAAGATATGACTGTATCCTCAAATGTGCTGGCGTCAATGCAAAGATGCACGGATTGTGAAAACTCAGGGAAATAGGACACCGATAAAAGTAACCAAGAAAACTCCAGCAATGAACCGAGAAGCATTGAAGACCTAGAAAAAGTCTGACAGATAGGTCAGAATAATGCTCTTAAAGAAGTTCAGACAATCATAAAAAGAAACAGGTAGAAACTAAATAAAATTTGGAAAACAATTCAGGAACAAAGTGAGACATTTGACAAAGAAATAGAAACAAGTTTAAAAAACTAAATAGAAATTCTAATTAAAAAAAACTGAACCAAAAAAACTCATTAGAAAGCTTCAACAGTAGGCTTGATCAAACAGAGGAAAGAAATTAGAAAGCTTGAAGACAACCTACGAAATAACCCAATCAGAGAAGGAAAAAAGAAAGAAGAGTGAAGAAGCCGACGATAATTATGTGTCACCATCATGTGAAGTAATCATGTGAAGTAATTTCTTTAAGTAGATTTAAGTTATTCCTGAGGCAGATGAGAGACAGAAAGGCATGGAATGCATATTTAAAGAAATAAGGCTGAAATTTTCCCAAATGTGGAGAGAAATGACAGCATTTCAGGAAGCTCAGAGGTCACCAATTAAATTCATTCCAAAGAGGAATTCACAAAGGCACATTATAATCAAATTAACAAAAATCAAAGACATAGAAAGAATACTCAAAGTAGCAAGATAAAAGAAACATATCACATTCAACAGAGCTCCAATATGGCTTTCAGCAGATTTCTCAGCAGAAACCATGCAGGCCAGGAGAAAATGGGATGCTATATTCAAAGTGCTGAAAGAAACCACCTGCCAACAAAGAACACCGTATCTTTTCTGACCACAATGGAATTTTTAGTTTTCTAAAAATCAATAACCAAAGAGCATTGGAAAGTGTACAAATCCATGGAAAGTAACCAACATGTTCCTAAACAACAATTGGGTCAATGAAGAAATTAAAATAAACATTAAAAAATTCCTTGAGACAAAATAAAAACACACCATACCAAAACCTATGGGACACAGCAAAATCAGTTCTAAGACAGAAGTTACAGCAATGCCTACATCAAAAAAGCATAAAGATTTCGAATTAAAAACCTAACAATAGATCTCAAGGAACTAGAAAAGCAAGAGCAAACCAAACCCCGAATTTTTAGAAAAAATAATAATAAAGATTAGAGCAGAAATAAACAAAACTGAAACGAAAAAATACAAAAGATCAATAAAACAGAAAGTTAGTTTTTTAAAAAAATAAGCAGAATTGACAAACCTTTAGCTAGACTAAGAAAAAAAAAGACCCAGATAAATAAAATTAAAGATGAAAAATGAGACACTACAACTGATATCACAGAAATACAAAGGATTATTACAGACTATTTTGAACAACTATATGCAAATCAATTGGAAAACCTAGAAGAAATGGATATATTCTTGGGCACTTACAACCTCCCAAATTGAATCATGAAAAAAATAGAAAATCTGAACAGACCTATAATGGGTAACAAGATTAAAGCAGTAATGAAAAGTCTCCCATCAAAGAGCAGCCCAGAACCTGGCTTTTATGCTGAATTCTACCAATCATTTAAAAAAGAAATAATACCAACCCCACTCAAACTATTACAAAAAGTTGAAGAGGAAGACACACTTCCAAACTCATTCTGTGAGACCAGCATTATACTAATTCTAAAATCAGCCAAGGACATAACCAAAAAAAGAAAACTATAGGCCAATATCTCATATGAGAATAAATGCAACAATCCTCAACAAAATACAAGCAAACCAAATTCAACAACACATTAAAAAGATCATTCACCATAATCAAGTGGGATTCATCACATGGATGCAAGGATGGTTAACATATGCAAAACAACAAACATGATCTCTATCACATTAACAAAATCAAGAACAAAAATTATTTGACCATTTCAACTGATGCTAAAAAAAAAAGCATGTGATAAAATTTAACATCCCTTCATGATTAAAAACTCTCAACAAAGTGCTTTGAGGACATACCTCAAAATAGTAAAGGGCATATATGACAGACCCACAGCTAATGTCACACTGAATGGGCAAAGACTGAAAGCCTTTCCTCTAAAATTTGGAACAAGACAAAGTTGCAACTTTTACCACTTTTATTCAACATAGTACTGGAAGTCCTGAACAACAAATGGGTCAATGAAGAAATTACATAGAACAATTAGGTAGGAGAAAGAAATAAAAGGCATCCAGACTGGAAAGGAAAAAGTCAAATTAGCTTTGTTCACAGATGACGTAATCTCATATTTAGAAAAATCCAAAGACCCCATCAAAAAACTATTAGAACCAATAAATGAATTCAGTAAAAGTTGCAGGATACAAAATCAATACATAAAAATCAGTAGCACTTCTATACACCGAAACTGAACAGTCTTGAAAAGAAATCAGCAAAACAATCCCATGTATAATAACTACAAAGAAATAAAATACCTAGGAATAAATTTAACTAAAGATTTAAAAAGATCTCTGCAATAAAAACTATAAAACACTGGTGAAAGACATTGAAGAGGAAACAACAAAAATGAAAAGATATCTCATGTTCATGGATTAAAAGAATTCATATTGTTAAGATGTTCATCACCCAATGTGATCTACAGATTCAATGCAATCTCTATCAAAGTACCAATGGCATTCTTCACAGAAATAGAAAAAACAACTGTAAAATTTGTGTGGAACCTAAAAATAGCCTAAATAACCAAAGAAAAAGCAACAGAGCAGCTGGGCATGGTGGCTCATGCCTGTAATCCCAGCACTTTGGGAGGCCAGGGCAGGTGGATCACTTGAGGTCAGGAGTTTGAGACCAGCACGGCCAACATGGTGAAACCCCATCTCTACTAAAAATACAAAATTTGCTGGTCATGATGGTGCACACCTCTAATCCAAGCTACTTGGGAGGCTGAGGCAGGAGACATTCAACCAGGAGGTGGAGGCTGCAGTGAGCTGAGATCATGCCATTGCACTCCAGCCTGGGCAACAAGAGTCAAATTCCATCTCAAAAAAAAAAAAAAAAAAAAAGAAGAAGAACAAAGCTGGAGGCATCACACTACCTGACTTCAAAATATACTACAAAGCTATAGTAACCAAAGCAGCATGGTACTGGTATAAAAACAGACAAATAGACCAGTGGAACAGAATAGAGAACCCAGAAATAAATATACATATTTGCAACCAACTCATTTTTGACAAAGGCTCAGAGAACATGCATTGGCTAAAGGATAATGTCATCTATAAACAGTGCTGGGAAAACTGGATATCCATATGCTCAAAAGTAGAACTAGACCCCAATGTCTCACCATATACAAAAATCAACTCAAAACAGATGAAAGACTTAAGTGCAAGACCTGAAAAACTATAAAACTAGTAGAAGGAAAAGGTGGGAAAATGCTTCAGGACATTGGTTTGGGCAAAGACTCTTTGGGTAAGAACTCAAAAGCATAGGCAATAAAAGCAAAAATAGACAAATGAGACTACATCAAGCTAAAAACTTTTTGCATAGCAAAGGAAACAATCAACAGAGTGAAGAGACAATCTGCAGAATGGGAGAAAATATTTGTAAACTACCTACCTGACAAGGAATTAATAGCCAGAATATACAAGGAGCTCAAACAACAGCAAAAAACCTGATTAGAAAATGGGCAAAGGATCTGAATAGATATTTCTCAAAAGAAGACATTCAAATGGCCAACAGGTATATTTAAAAATGCTCAGCATCATGAATCATGAGGGAAATGCAAATCAAAGTCACCCTGAAATATCATCTCACCCCAATTAAAATGGCTATCATCAAAAAGACAAAAATAACTGATGCTGGTAAGGATGCTTTGAAAGGGCACTACTAGCACACTGTTGGTGGGATTATAAATGGTACAGCCCACTATAGAAAACAGTATGGAGCTTCCTCAAACAACTAAAAATAGATCTAATATATAATCTATCAATCCCACTGCTGGTTATGTATTCAAAAGAAAATCAGTATGTTGGAAAGGTATACTGACATACTTTGTAGTATAAACCCATGTTTATTGCAGCACTAGCCACAGCAGTCAAGGTATGAAATCAACTTAAGTGTCCATCAACAGATAAATGGATAAAGAAAATGTGGTACATGTACACAATGGAATACCATCTGGCCATTAAGAAGAATGAAATCCTGTCATTTGCATCGACATGGATGAAACTGGAGGTTATTATGTTAAGTGAAATAAGCCAGGCACAGCAAGACAAATACTGCATGTTCTCACTCACTTGTGGAAACTAAAGAAGGTGATCTCAAGGAGGTAGAGAATAGAACGATAGATACCAGAGACTTGGAAGGGTGGGAAAGGGTGAATAAAGAGAGATTGATTAATGGCTACAGAAATACAGTTAGATGGAATAAGTCCTGGTGTTGAATAGCACAGTAGGGTGACTTTGGTTAACAACAATTCATTGTATATTTCAAAATAGCTGGAAAAGAGAATTTTAAATGTTTCCAAGACAAAGAAATGATACATATTTGAGATGACGGATATCCTAATTACCCTAATTTGATCATTACACATTGCATGCACGTATTGAAATGTCACATGTACACCAGAAATATGTACAGTTATTATGTAGCAATTTTTAAAATCTTGATTTAAAAAACTTCCCCCAAAATTTCAATGCTACTTGAGAAGAATAATGTGAATTCATTGTCAGCTTCACATTCATCTAACAGTTAATATTATGTTTTTAAATTCATGTTGTCTCTCTAATTCTCACAATTTTCTTAAATATTGACATTATATGCCCTATTCTATAGTAAAATAAACTGGTATTCTGAAAGGTGGAGCAGCTTACCCAGGGCACACAGCTACTAGGAGGGGAGCCCATGACACAGGCCCCCCATCCTAGCCCAGAGCTCTTTTAATGAGCCCCCATGCATCCTCAGCATGGGTTAATTTACCCTGTCCTTAGCAGACAGCAGAACAGAATAGAATGAGGCTAGCGTTAATAAGCTCTGACTGAGGAGGAGGGGAGCAGCAGAGGGCCTGGTTTTGGTAGATGGGAACTGAGGACTGCTGTACACAGTCCTGGGCAGCCAGGAGTAACAGGGCAGCATGGACCTGGGCCTTAGAGAGAGGAGAAAGTCTAAGACGAGACACGTGTTGGTGACAGTGCCAGCTTTTACAGGATCTCCCATCACCCACCTCTTTTTTTTTTTTTTTTTTTTCTGATTAAGGAACTTGCTGTGGATGAGGTGGTTGAGGCCAATGTGGTCAAAAAATATTCAGGAAGCATATTCATACTGAACAAGCAGACCACAGGTGCAACACTTGGGGATCACAAAGCCTTAGCCTTCCATGGCACAGGGGAAAGCAGTGGTTTGAATCAGAGCTGTTTGAGTGAAATCAGTAACAAAGTGCTTCAGGGAAGAAATCTCATTTTCAAGAGCAGATTTCGAGATGATTCAAAATTGGAACATCTGACAGTGGGGTCCTGCAGGAACATTCTCCAGGGCCTGACTAGTTGTTCTAAACCACAGGTAGGTCCAGGGCCTTTTGGCAAGCTGTGCAAAGATCCCAAGTCATTTGCACTCAGTACTTGATGAGCAAAGGCAGCCCTGTCAGGGGCAATGATACCAGCCAGTGTGAAGGACAACTGTGCAAATGGGAGGGTCCACTCCATCCTGGTGACGGAGAGGGATGTTTTGTTCAGTGGTCTGTGCACACGTGCACTTTGTTCCAGCTTCTGCTGGCGAAATCACTTTCTGATTTCTGCATTCTTCCTTTGATCATGCCCAGTAAGAACTCACCCTCCAAGCATGAAAAATCCTTCCATTACTGAAAACCTATGTGTCAGGTTTTACCATGATATATTCCTACGAAGTAGATAGTCTCACCTCCCTTTTCTAGCTGAGGACTGTCACCTCTGGAAACAGGAAGGGGCTTGCTCAATACTGCACAGCTAAGTCAGCGACTCCCACTGTGACCAGCCCCGAAGCCTGAGCACACTAGAGAGTTTCAGAGCCGACCATCCCTGGGATGGTTGTGAATGGCACTGCCTGGCCCACATACATGCGATGAAGGGCACAAAACTTGCATTTCCGGCATACCAAGAAATCCCTCTCACTCTAAGAGTTTCCAGACCTGCTCGCAGCTATACATTGAGACCAGGAGAGCCTCAAGAGGCCCAAAGCCTGTGTCAAATGCTCTTCCAGAAGCCCTCAGGAGAGTCCTCACCCATTTATGGATTAGACAAACTAGACCACACACTCCTGGAGTGCTGTAGCACAGCTGGAAGGTATTCAATAAATCCTCCCTTTTCCTGTCCTCACCATTTCCCATGTATGACATGATGGCCTACAACTACCATGGGCGTCTTGGAATTCTCTTGAAGCTGGTCTGGGGTGCAGGTTTCATCACACTCCTGCTAGAGTCATAGACAGATGCACTAAGCACTTACTTCTTGCCAGCCATGCTGCTTTGTTGTTTGGATACATCATGTATTCGAGTGCTTCCAGCAGCGCATTGGAGCGGATATTACCATTATCCCAATAGAAATGAGCTACTTGGGAGGCTGAGGTGGGAAGATCACTTGAACCCAGGAGGTCAACACTGCAGTGAGCTGTGATCACACCACTGCACTCCAGCCTGGATGAAAAAGCAAGGCCCTGTCTCAAAAAACAAACAAACAACAACAACAACAACAAAAACAAGACACTGAAGGGGGGAAAGTTACATCACTGGTCTAATATATTACTCAGAATAAACAGTAGACATGAGACGTAAGCATGAGCCTTTCTGTCTTCACAATCTGAGTTCCTAATCAATCAGTCCTTTATTTAGCCTCCCTTGGAAGTCTCTGGAACTTCTCTAGGCCTCACCCCTGTGGTGGTCCTAGTGACCCCAGAGCTCCCCTTAGTCACAGAGTGAAGAACTGAAGCAGCAGCACCTTAGAGTCAGAGGAAGTCACAGGCCCATGGACGCCTAACGATATCCTCAGTATTGGGCTGGAAGTGTAATTAGGGAAACACTCTGACTTGTGCTATCTCTGCAGCAGGTTTGGGAATTGTAGCCCCATCGGTGCTTGTAAGACTAATGACTGCACAAGAAATCTTCCAACCATAAAAACTGGTATTTCCTACATCCTGGAAAGGATGCTACTCTAAAACTTTGCCTGCTACTCCAAATGCTATTTTTTTTAATTGCTAACAATTTAGATAGCTTCTATAATATTTCAAAATTTGTAATAAGCTCCCTCAGAGCCTAAGCAGAGAGAAACAGAATCTCATGACCTCCTACACTTACCTAGACTGTGGTACTTTGGCCCTGTCCTCTTATCTTGACTGAGAATGGCATATGATTTTGTTTTATCTTATTTTAGAGAGAAACATTTAGATTATATGTCTTTTATCTATGATCTGGTTCCGATTTTTTTTTTCCCTCAGAAAGACAGTGTTCAGTTCTATTCTTCAGAGCAGAAAATCAGTCTCTTAACAAATCATCCACAAAATGCACTTCGAAATTCTGGAGAAAAAAAAGATGCATTGTGCACAGCCTAGCAACTGTGAATTGATTAATTCTAACCCATGTTTTTTCTCATTAGGTCTAAAATCCCACCATGCTAACTGCCCATTATTTTCTGTACTGTTTATTTTCTGCACACCAAATAAAAGGCCTTGACCCTTCAAGGAATAACCCAATTTCTCCAGAGGAAAGATATTATTTGACCAGAATATCCTTTTACAACAAAATAAGGATCACAACCTTACCATATAAAGCTGTTGAAAACAAGACTAAGTAAGTTCTGAATGTAACCAATTAGAATTTCTACAATATGTGGGTGCTGCTGATCAAATTGTTAAAGGGTTGTGTGCTTGTGGATTAGTTTTTTTTTTCTTTTTTCTTCTCAGTTTTGGCTTTAGTATCGTTTTGTTTTGTTTTGCAAGAATGAAAGGGGAAGGGCCTCCTAACCAACCCAACAGATCAGTTCCGGCAAGCCTCGAGGCTCACGGGGTTTATGCACACTAACTTCACTGAGCCAGGGAGCACGGAAGTTGTGCCACTGTGCAACTTGGGTTTTCTTTATCCTGCAGTCTTTACCTCAGCAGAACCGCACACCACAGACTCCCTCCAGCTCTTTGTGTGTGGCTCTCTCAGGGTCCAACAAGAGCAAGCTGTGGGTCTGTGAGTGTTTATGTGTGCTTTTATTCACTTCACACTTATTGAAAAGTGTGTATGTGAGAGGGTGGGGTGTGTGTGTCAAAGAGAGTGAGGAAGAGAAGGAGAGAGAGATCAATTGATTCTGCAGCCTCAGCTCCAGCATCCCTCAGTTGGGAGCTTCCAAAGCCGGGTGATCACTTGGGGTGCATAGCTCGGAGATGCAGTCCCCCTGGAAAATCCTTACGGTGGCGCCTCTATTCTTGCTCCTGTCTCTTCAGTCCTCGGCCTCTCCAGCCAACGATGACCAGTCCAGGCCCAGCCTCTCGAATGGGCACACCTGTGTAGGTATGCAAATAAATATTTTTGTATTTTCTATGTAGACATAACAATGGGATCCAGTACTTTGCTTGCGTAATAAATCACATATTTTATTAAATCAAGAATTGTAAGATTCCAGGTAAGGCACCAGTAACCTCACTGACACAGAGAAATGTGGAGTCTAAGAGTAGACATTGACACTACATACATCTATGTGAATAAAAAGCATACTAGTTTAAATTGGGCATAAAACTCTTCCACCTCATTGGCGATTGGAATTTTTTCTTCTTGTATAGGTAACTATTATTTCAGGCTATTTTAGTCTGAAATTTTTACTGCTTTTCATGGGCTTTGACCTCATATAAACACATCTGAGTTTGAATCACTGCCCTCCTCCTACCCTTCTCTCCCATTTCCTACTGGCTGTGGAAACCTGGAGCAATGTACTTAACCCTCTCCATGCTTCTGTGTCCTTATTGGTGAACTGAAGTGAGTGAGACCCATCTCATAGGGATACCATGGAAATTGTGACCATGCATGTAAATCTGTGGCATGTGCACACAGTAAGGACTCAACCATCTTAGCTTCCTTCCGTCTCTCAGAGAATCCAGATTTGGCGATCACCTGGAGACGCTGAGCGTTGATATGGCTTCTTGGCTCATCTGTTAATGAAGTGTTTTATTTCCAAGAGGTTTTTTTTGTTTGTTTTTTTTGGATGAGAGCAGGAAGTAAGGTAAGATCTTTGATATTCACATTGTAGCTCTCATAACATGGGAATTCTCATAATAGTGGTGGCATTTAGATGGTACAGTCCATGGAGCCACATAGACTCAGAACTCTGAGTAGTAAGTAATTGTTCAATGAGCAGACCTCAAAATACAATCCTAGCTTGAGAAGCCAGGAAAATAACTCTAGGATAAGTCTGATGGCTACATGCTGCAAATGGAAAATCTGGACACAGATTCTGACACTTAGGAATTGTTTCTGGAGACAATATGGAAATATATCTGAATTTGTCCTACTTCCTCAAAATCATGGCCTCAGGTCATTGTACATGTTAGGAGATGCATCTCTACTTCCAAAGTCCTTTTTTTTTTTTTTTTTTTTTTTTTTCTGAGATGGATTATCGCACTGTCACCTGGGCTGGAGTACAATGGTGCAGTCTCAGCTCACTGCAACCTCTGCCTCCCTGGTTCACACAATTCTCCTGCCTCAGCCTTCGGAGTAGCTGGGATTACAGATGCACACCACCACACCCAGCTAATTTTTTGTATTTTTAGTAGAGATGGGGTTTCCCTATGTTGGCCACACTGGTCTCGAACTCCTGACCTCGTGATCCGCCCCCCTTGGCTCCCAAAGTGCTGGGATTACAGGCATGAGCCACCGCGCCCAGCCTCCAAAGTCTTGTTTTAATTAAGACCCAGATTCCCCAAGACTATTTTCCAGAGACCTGAAGGCAGAGGTGTGTGGTCCTTTGAACCATGCCTGGGAGATCATCCTCCCCCAGTATTTGGTTTCCTTAAATAACTATTTGCCACCTTTTCATTTTTCTCAAAACAAAACCCTACTGCCCATCAAATGGAAATACACTTGAGAAAAGCTCAGATGAAATCAGTTTTACTTCTGGGCTCATTGCAAACTAAATGTTTGAGTTTGGGCAAGTTGTCAGGGCTGAGATCCTTGGACCTTCACTTCAGTAAAATGGACAGGAGGTACACATTCCTTTCTCTGCCCTGTTCCCAGTGAGGTCATAGAGGGTAAGAAGGAGGTGTTGGGGAGATTTCAGGATGGGGTTGCTCTGGTTTTTCTATTATTGCTGCATCAAAAATTACAATAATAACCATTTGTTGTATTATGATTTTATGGGTGAAAAATTTGTTCGAACACTGGCTGGTGATTCTTCTTCTCCATGTAGGAGTGACCGAGGTTAGGAGGTGGTATTCGGATGGTGGATTGATGGATCTGGGACTGACAAAAACAGCTTCACTCACATATTTGGCACCTTAGGGGTGAGGGAATGGCTAGAGGGTTGGCTCATCTGGGAGTGCCATCAGAGTGCCCACACATGGCTATCTTGGGTAGTAGGCTTTCTTACCTGGCAGCTTAGGAATCCCAGAGAGAATTCCAAAAGACAGGAATTAGAAGCTGCCAATCTTTCAAGTTTTGGGTCTGGAAACAGGCACAGCATTACTTGCCATCTTCCATTGCTCAAAGCATTCACAAGTTCCTCCACCCAGACTCAAAGGGAGGGGGCAGAGACCCTTCATTTTGATGGAGAGGGTCAAGAAATGTGTGGTCATCTCTATCATTCACAGAGGTTCACTTTGGTTGCCCATACAAATTCTCATGGCCCCAAGGGCTTGGAGACTCTGTTGCTGATTAGGTTTGAGGATGATTTAGCATCCATTTTCCCAGCAACTCCCAACTTCTTCTGGTTAACTCTGCCTGGGTGACTTATTCACCTGTTGTCATAATAGCAAGAAAGGTGGGTGCAAGAGGAGTCCAGTCTTGTGATGAACACTTACTGAGCACTGCCTATGTGCTGAGACAGGGGCTGAAGGTGGTCCAACTTGGTGCTTCACTGATTGAAGTTGGCTTTTGGGGGAGACAGGATTAGAAATGTGTGTGCAGGGGAGTTTATTGAGAAGTGCTCTTGGCAAAAAGACGAGCAAGAGAGGAAGGCAGTGGGGTTGGCAGAGAGAAGCCGGGCTGTGCTGCAGCCATAAAAGAAGTCCCACTGAGAGCTCTGGGACTAAAATAGCTCTTCAGAGTTGTCCTGAAGTAGGTGCAGGTCTTGGAATTCCCACATCAAACAGTCCCTCGATGTGACCTGACCACAGGGGAGGGCTGTAATTTTGAGACATCTCCCGTTGGTGGAGACAGTTCTGGCAAGGGACTCTGATGCTGGCATAATCCTTCAGACCAATGGCTCCAGAAGCTGGGGAGCGAGTGTCTCCTGATACGGGATCCTGGGGTGTACCTGCTGGAAGGGTTGTATGTGGGAAGCATCTCAGGAAGCAGTGAGGTCCGCTCTCTCGCAGCTGGTGGGAAGAGGAAGAAGTGTGTGGAAGAGAGGAGAAAAGAGAAGGAATTGTTGATTGGAGTTCTTCTAACTCTACATTTGTTGCCAACACCCTAACAACTTTCTGACAAAAAGCAGGGTTACATGACTTCAAACCCTCCAGCAGAAAGGTGGTCCCCAAACATTTCCGCGCACTCAGTTCTCACATGGCCACTGAATATGCGAGAGCAGGGATACACAGATGAAGGAGAGGAAGGATTTTTAGAATGTCTGTCTTCAGGAAATTCACTGTCCAGTTTAGAGGAAAACGAAAACCTGGAGCCTTGTAAAGATTACAGTCCTTTAAAATGAATGTTGAACTGGGCCCTTAGTGCCCTTGATAATACCCTTTCTCTAAAACTCTTTAAACTGCCAATGCCAGAGCCAGCAGAGCACCATGAAGTGCAGGGCAGAGGCTCATAGCTTGGAAGCAGGCACTGCAGACTCCGCTCATAAAGCCACCTGGGGAAGGTGAAGTAATAGCCTCAAAAAGAGTGTTTAAAACTTTAAGATTTTAGGTCGTGTGTGGTGGCTTACGCCTGTAATCCCAGCACTTTGGGATGCTGAGGTGGGCAGATCACGAGGTCAGCAGATTGAGACCTGCCTGGTCAATATGGTGAAACCCTGTCTCTACTAAAAAAAAAAAAAATGTAAATATAGATATACAAAAATTAGCAGGACACGGTGGGGCATGCCTGTAGTCCCAGCTACTCAGGGAGCTGAGGCAGAAGAATCGCTTGAACCCAGGAGGCAGAGGTTGCAGTGAGCCGAGATCACATCACCACGCTCCAGCCTGGGCGACAGAGCGAGACTCCATCTCAAAAAACAAAACAAAACAAAAAAAAAAACTTTAGAATTCTAGAAACATTTCTACCTGAATATTGCTAGTCAAAGAAGGAAGCTTCAGTTATCTCAAAGATTCTGTTGCATTCACCTGCTTGCTGAAAGAACCCAGGCCACAGAAACTTTTCTGAGCAAAAGGTGATTAGGCAGCTGGATTTCTGATCATCCCATCTGAGCAAGAATGATTCATCTTTTTTTTTTTTTTAATAAAGACAAAGTCCTACTCTATCACCCAGGCTACAGTGCAGTGGTACAATTATAGCACACTGAAGCCTCAACAGCCCAGGCTCTAGTGATCCTCCCACCTCAGCCTCCTGTGTAACTGGGACTACAGGTGCACACCACCATGCCTGCCTAATTGTTTTATTTTTATTTTCGTGGAGACAGGGTCTCATTATGTTGTCCAGGCTGGTCTCAAACTTCTGGGCCCAAGCAATCTGTCTGCCTCAGCCTCCCAAAGTGCTGGGATTATAAGCATGAGCCACCGTGTCCAGCCCTCTTCATTTTTGTTAGTTGTCAGCTGTCTTTTAATTGCCATTCCAACATAAATTCTTACCTTGATCATAAAAGGATATCCTTGCCTTGATTTGTAAGATCATAATAACCTAAAATATTTATATCACCTTCCCAACACATGGAAGAAGTTCTTCCTTCCTATTTTTCTTCAAGATCAACTGAACTAGTTGGGTTTCATCCATTTTTATGAAGATTATTGTTGAGTAATCAAATTTGCTTCTTACTCATAAAGTTTGTTTTGCTACTGGTCTCCCCAACACTTCTCCGTGGGGGTTGTACCTTCCATCTTTTCTCTGACTTGAATGTGGACTAATTGGAGTGATGCCTGGAGAAAGTCACTACAGCCAAGTGCTCTTCAGCCACACAAATTACATTTGCGAGTTAATAATTATAATAATTGCCAACATTTATTGGACACTGACTGTATGATAAGCCATCTTCCAAAAGATTTATGTGTACTAACCCATTTAATCATTACAATGACCTTATGAAGTCTGTATTATCATTATCCTTGTTTGGTAGGCGAAAAAATAAAGACAGAAATAAGTAACTTGTTCAAGGTTACATAGTTAGTTAAAACTTGGCTTATTCCTCGCTTTAATTATGATTATGTTATTGTTGATGTGATTAAATCAGGGTAAAATATTTTTCCCATATTGTTTTAAATAACAGCTTTATTGAGAAATATAATTCATGTATCATAAACTTCACTCTTTTAAAGTGTAAAAGTGGCATTTAGTATATTCATGAGTTGTGCATTGATCACCAATATCTAATTCCAGAACATTTCACTGCTCCCCCCAAAAATCCAATTCTCTTAGCATTTACTCCCCATTTCCTTCTCTCTATAGCCCTTGGAAATCACCACTCTACTTCCTGTCTCTATGGGCATTTCACATAAATACGATAATATAAAACATGGCCTTTTGCTACAGGCCTCTTTGACTTAGCATAATGTTTTCAAGGTTCATTCATGTTGTGGCATGTATCAACCCTGTTTCTTCTTACAGCTGAATAATATTCCATTGTATGGACATACTTGGTTTTGTTATTTATTCATTGTTGATGAACATTTGAGTTGTTTTCACTTCTTGGTAATTATGAATAATTCTGCTATGAATATTCATGTACAAGATTTTGTGTAGACATGTGTTTTTATTTCTTTTGGGTATATACCTAGGAGTGGAATTTCTAGGGCATGCGGTAATACCATCTTTAACATTTTGAGGAACTGCCAAACTATTTTCCAAGCAGCTGCACCATTTTACATTTCTACCAGCGGTGTATGAAAGTTGTAACTTCTCCACCTTCTTGCCAACACTTAGTTATTCATCATTTTGCTATCGCCATCATAGTAGCTGTGGAGTGAGATCTCATTTTTGGTTTTAATTTGTATTTCCCAAATGATAATGATGTTAGCATCTTTTCATGTGCTTATTGGCCATTTGTATATCTTCTTTGAAAAAAAATTTCTATTCAAATATTTTGCCCCTCTTTAAATTGGGTTTGTCTTTTTATTGTTGAATTGCAAAAATTCTCCATATATTCTAGATAGACGTCTTTTTTCAAATATATGATTCACAAATATTTTCTCCCATTCTGTGTTTCCTTCCCCCACTTTCATAATGGTGTCCTTTCACGAACAAAATTTAGTAATTTTGATGGAGTCCAGTGTATCTATTTTTTTCTTTTGTCTCTTGTATTTTTGGTGTCATATCTAAGACCTATATTTTAAAATTGTTGTTGTAGTTATTAGTTTTCTTTTGTCATGTGCCTGTTCCTTTGTCTTATTTCCCAGACACCAAGTTCCTCACCACAAATATAGCAACCAGGAGCGAAACTCCTGGGGTTGCAAGTAACAGGAATTAACTTAAACTAGGCTAAGCAAAAAAAAAAAAAAATAAGAAGAGAAAAAGAGGAAATTTGCTTGTGAGAATTACAAGAGTGAATTTTAGAATCAAAAGGAGAAAACAGGCCTACAAATCAAGCTAGGAAACAAAAAATGTTGGCCGCCAGGAACCCAGAGAGTTCTCTCTCCCGGTGCCTCGCCACTGCCTCCATCTCTATCCCTACAGACCAGCTGGTTTAATGCCCTCCACCCTTTGGTTGACTACTGGCTCCCAAAAGCTCTGAGTTCATATGTGGTAGTTCAGCCCGCAGAAGTGTGTTCACCTTCTGGTTACCAATTCCAGCTTCCCAGCAGAGAGAATTTGGGCTAAGTCTTTAGTTCACTGACTAAGGGGTGGGTGGGAGTGGGGAGAGCTCAAAATACAGAGATGGCTGCCAGGCTCATGGCGTGAGGGGATAGCTCTCACTGAAGCAGGGTATTGTTGTGACTGGAGGGATACTCTAAAAGGAGCCCTCACTGAAGTTACTGAGCTATTGAGCCTACAGACCCATCACAAACAACCCCAGCTCCAATCCCAAAGCGTAACCCCGCAGTGGGGAACTAACCAGAAGACCTGAGGACGTGGCCATAAATGTATTCCCAAAGCAGATTGAAGCTGTGGAAAGCCCCAAGATCCCCTTCCCCAGTTTACCATATTTGTTAGCACTGAACAGTATGTCCCATTTGAACACTAAGCAAATGCAGGGTCGACTATGCTTTTTTATTTATTTATTTATTTATTTATTTATTTATTTATTTATTTATTTATTATACTTTAAGTTTTAGGGTACATGTGCACAACGTGCAGGTTTGTTACATATGTATACATGTGCCATGTTGGTGTGCCGCACCCATTAACTCATCATTTAACATTAGGTATATCTCCTAATGCTATCCCTCCCCGCTCCCTCCACCCCACAACAGGCCCCGGTGTGTGATGTTCCCCTTCCTGTGTCCATGTGTTCTCATTGTTCAATTCCCACCTATGATTGAGAACATGCCGTGTTTTGTTTGTTGTCCTTCTGATAGTTTGCTGAGGATGATGGTTTCCAGCTTCATCCATGTCCCTGCAAAGCACATGAACTCATCATTGTTTATGGCTGCATAGTATTCCATGGTGTGTATGTGCCACATTTTCTTAATCCAGTCTATCATTGTTGGACATTTGGGTTGGTTCCAAGTCTTTGCTATTGTGAATAGTGCCGCAATAAACATACGTGTGCATGTGTCTTTATAGCAGCATGATATATAATCCTTTGGATGTATACCCAGTAATGGGATGGCTGGGTCAAATGGTATTTCTAGTTCTAGATCCCTGAGGAATCGCCACGCTGATTTCCACAATGGTTAAACTAGTTTACAGTCCCACCAACAGTGTAAAAGTGTTCCTATTTCTCCACATCCTCTCCAGCACCTGTTGTTTCCTGACTTTTTAATGATCGCCATTCTAACTGGTGTGAGATGGTATCTCATTGTGGTTTTGATTTGCATTTCTCTGATGGTCAGTGATGAGCATTTTTTCATCTGTCTTTTGGCTGCATAAATGTCTTCTTTTGAGAAGTGTCTGTTCATATCCTTTGCCCACTTTTTGATGGGGTTGTTTGTTTTTTCTTGTAAATTTGTTTTGAGTGCATTGTAGATTCTGGATATTAGCCCTTTGTCAGATGAGTAGGTTGCAAAAATTTTCTCCCATTCTGTAGGTTGCCTGTTCACTCTGATGGTAGTTTCTTTTGCTGTGCAGAAGCTCTTTAGTTTAATTAGATCCCATTTGTCAATTCTGGCTTTTGTTGCCATTGCTTTTGGTGTTTTAGACATGAAGTCCTTGCCCACACCTATGTCCTGAATGGTATTGCCTAGGTTTTCTTCTAGGGTTTTTATGGTTTTAGGTCTAACATTTAAGTCTTTAATCCATCTTGAATTAATTTTTGTATAAGGTGTAAGGAAGGGATCTAGTTTCAGCTTTCTACATATGGCTAGCCAGTTTTCCCAGCACCATTTATTAAATAGGGAATCCTTTCCCCATTGCCTGTTTTTCTCAGGTTTGTCAAAGATCAGATAGTTGTAGATATGTGGCATTATTTCTGAGGGCTCTGTTCCGTTCCGTTGGTCTATATCTCTGTTTTGGTACCAGTACCATGCTGTTTTGGTTACTGTAGCCTTGTAGTATAGTTTGAAGTCAGGCAGCGTGATGCCTCCAGCTTTGTTCTTTTGGCTTAGGATTGACTTGGCAATGCAGGCTCTTTTTTGGTTCCATATGAACTTTAAAGTAGTTTTTTCCAATTCTGTGAAGAAAGTCATTGGTAGCTTGATGGGGATGACATTGAATCTATAAATTACCTTGGGCAGTATGGTCATTTTCATGATACTGATTCTTCCTACCCATGAGCATGGAATGTTCTTCCATTTGTTTGTATCCTCTTTTATTTCATTGAGCAGTGGTTTGTAGTTCTCCCTGAAGAGGTCCTTCATGTCCCTTGTAAGTTGTATTCCTAGGTATTTTATGCTCTTTGAAGCAATTGTGAATGGGAGTTCACTCATGATTTGGCTCTCTGTCTGTTATTGGTGTATAAGAATGCTTGTGATTTTTGCACATTGATTTTGTATCCTGAGACTTTGCTGAAGTTGCCTATCAGCTTAAGGAGATTTTGGGCAGAGATGATGGGGTTTTCTAGATATACAATCATGTCATCTGCAAACAGGGACAATTTGACTTCCTCTTTTCCTAATTGAATGCCCTTTATTTCCTTCTCCTGCCTGATTGCGCTGGCCAGAACTTCCAACACTATGTTGAATAGGTGTGGTGAGAGAGGGCATCCCTGTCTTATGCCCGTTTTCAAAGGGAATGCTTCCAGTTTTTGCCCATTCAGTATGATATTGGCTGTGGGTTTGTCATAGATAGCTCTTATTATTTTGAGATACGTCCCATCAATACCTAATTTATTGAGAGATTTTAGCATGAAGCGTTGTTGAATTTTGTCAAAGGCCTTTTCTGCATCTATTGAGATAATCATGTGGTTTTTGTCATTAGTTCTGTTTATATGCTGGATTACATTTATTGATTTACATATGTTGAACCAGCCTTGCATCCCAGGGATGAAGCCCACTTGATCATGGTGGATAAGCTTTTTGATGTGAGGCTGGATTTGGTTTGCCAGTATTTTATTGAGGATTTTTGCATCGATGTTCATCAGGGATATTGGTCTAAAATTCTCTTTTTTGGTTGTGTCTCTGCCAGGCTTTGGTATCAGGATGATGCTGGCCTCATAAAATGAGTTAGGGAGGATTCCCTCTTTTTCTATTGATTGGAATAGTTTCAGAAGGAATGGTACTAGTTCCTCCTCGTACCTCTGGTAGAATTCGGCTGTGAATCCATCTGGTCCTGGACTTTTTTTGGTTGGTAAGCTATTAATTATTGCCTCAATTTCAGCTCCTGTTATTGGTCTATTAAGAGATTCAACTTCTTCCTGGTTTAGTCTTGGGAGAGTGTATGTGTTGAGGAATTTATCCATTTCTTCTAGCTTTTCTAGTTTATTTGCGTAGAGGTGTTTATAGCATTCTCTGATGGTAGTTTGTATTTCTGTGGGATCGGTGGTGATATCCCCTTTATCATTTTTTATTGCATCTATTAGATTCTTCTCTCTTTTCCTCTTTATTAGTCTTGCTAGCGGTCTATCAATTTTGTTGATCTTTTCAAAAAACCAGCTCCAGGATTCATTGATTTTTTGAAGGGTTTTTTGTGTCTCTATTTCCTTCAGTTCTGCTCCGATCTTAGTTAGTTCTTGCCTTCTGCTAGCTTTTGAATGTGTTTGCTCTTGCTTCTCTAGTTCTTTTAATTGTGATGTTAGGGTGTCAATTTTAGATCTTTCCTGCTTTCTCTTGTGGGCATTTAGTGCTATAAATTTCCCTCTACACGCTGCTTTGAATGTGTCCCAGAGATTCTGGTATGTTGTGTCTTTGTTCTCATTGGTTTCAAAGAACATCTTTATTTCTGCCTTCATTATGTTATGTACCCAGTAGTCATTCAGGAGCAGGTTGTTCAGTTTCCATGTTTGAGCAGTTTTGAGTGAGTTTCTTAATCCTGAGTTCTAGTTTGATTGCACTGTGGTCTGAGAGACAGTTTGTTATAATTTCTGTTCTTTTCCATTTGCTGAGGAGAGCTTTACTTCCAACTATGTGGTCAATTTTGGAATAGGTGTGGTGTGGTGCTGAAAAGAAAGTATATTCTGTTGATTTGGGGTGGAGAGTTCTGTAGATGTCAATTAGGTCTGCTTGGTGCAGAGCTGAGTTCAATTCCTGGATATCCTTGTTAACTTTCTGTCTCGTTGATCTGTCTAATGTTGACAGTGGGGTGTTAAAGTCTCCCATTATTATTGTGTGGGAGTCTAAGTCTCTTTGTAGGTCTCTAAGGACTTGCTTTATGAATCTGGGTGCTCCTGTATTGGGTGCATATATATTTAGGATAGTTAGCTCTTCTTGTTGAATTGATCCCTTTACCATTAAGTAATGGCCTTCTTTGTCTCTTAATCTATGTTGGTTTAAAGTCTGTTTTATCAGCGACTAGGATTGCAACCCCTGCCTTTTTTTGTTTTCCATTTGCTTGGTAGATCTTCCTCCATCCCTTTATTTTGAGCCTATGTGTTTCTGCATGTGAGATGGGTTTCCTGAATACAGCACACTGATGGGTCTTGACTGTTTATCCAATTTGCCAGTCTGTGTCTTTTAATTGGATCATTTAGCCCATTTACATTTAAGGTTAATATTGTTATGTGTGAATTTGATCCTGTCATTATGATATTAGCTGGTTATTTTGCTCATTAGTTGATGCAGTTTCTTCCTAGCCTCGATGCTCTTTAAAATTTGTCATGTTTTTGCAGTGGCTGGTACCGGTTGTTCCTTTCCATGTTTAGTGCTTCCTTCAGGAGCTCTTTTAGGGCAGGCCTGGTGGTGACGAAATCTGTCAGCATTTGCTTATCTGTACAGTATTTTATTTCTCCTTCACTTCTGAAGCTTAGTTTGTCTGGATATGAAATTCTGGGCTGAAAATTCTTTTCTTTGAGAATGTTGAATATTGGCCCCCACTCTCTTCTGGCTTGTAGAGTTTCTGCTGAGAGATCCGCTGTTAGTCTGATGGGCTTCCCTTTTTGGGTAACCCAGGGGTCGACTATGCTTGAACAGGCTGTGCCTCTTTCTGCCACTTTTCAAATGTTGCAGAATAAATGATAAGACATGTTAATTTTTGCAAAACATTTCTTTACATGGGTGATTTAGGGGGAAAATAATCCTTGTGTTTCTAAGTCATTGACATTTAAATTAATTCACTGAATGTTCGTTTTTTTAAAAGCACTATTTGGTACTCAGGAAGCTTTTTAAAAGGTTAAGAAAAAACCTGAATTTTTCCCTTACTCACATTTGGTTAAATATAAAATGCCTTCAGTGTCAGGTTATAATCCCCTCTCCACACCCGCATACCACACACAGAGTGGTTCACGATGACTTCATAGTTTGATTGATGAACACAGAGGTGGCCACATAATTTCAAGCCAATGTGAGCAATAAAATAACAGTGTCACTGACAAGAATAGGAAGGATTTAGACAGAGCCAACAGAAGGTTGAAAATTTATTATCACGACTTAGACACACAGAAATTTCACTCTTTCTATTTCTCTATAACTAAACGCTTGTTCATAAGACACTGTTTCTGCTGATAGCAGAAAACATTTCATCTTGCCATTTATGTGGTTAAATTGAGTCTCCTTTGGTAACTAGCTTTTCCTCTTCCTTCCCTCCTCTGTGAGGGTTGATCTTAGTTCTCCAGGAGGACTTACCCGTCACTCTGATGTTCATGGTTCTCAGCCTTTGGAGGTGGTCTCTGTCCTCAGCCCTAAGAGCGCCAGCAAGTGAAGTTTCAGGGTTGGTGGGGTTCATGGTCTTGGCTTAGCCATGCAGTCTGGACATTGGCCCTGCATCTGACCCACCACACATTCCACCCTCATGGGCCAGGCAGATCTTCGCGGTCTAGCTGGACCACCCTCATTCTCTGGACACAGCTACTGCCCTCTGCACGTGCCCTTTACCGTGGCAGTTCCCATACACTCTCTCTTCTCCATAATCTCCTACCTTTATTTTTAAATTATCATTGCATTTAACCCCAACTTTAGCACAAATGGTAGGTTTCTGATCATCTGAATTTTTCACCACCTGTCTGCCTCTCTCTTTCCTGGATTGCTCTGAGGTGGAAACCTGAAGAGAAAGACCACAGGGACACTCTGAGAAGGGCCTGTGACTTTGGGGAAAGGTCACACAGTGAGCAATACCGAAAGAATCCATGATGACAGCATGCTGTGCTTCAGGAACAAAGGAAGTAATTTTTTTTTGTAAATATATTAATACTGGAGGTAAGAATACAGAATATTTTAAAATTTGTTATGGAAAAGGGAAAAAAGAAGAAGTTGTAAAGCATTAAGCAGAGTAAAATCCCCATTAAGTTATAATGTGCCCACCTCTCTATTGACAGAGCTATTTTCCTAGACAGAATGAATGCCAAAATAGTCATAGTGATTACATGGCTGTCTCTAAATGAAGACATTACTAGTGATTTATATTTCCTTCTCAGTAATTTTCTGAATTTTCCACACTTTCTATAATGTGCTTGTGGAAGCAATAGTAAGGCATGGGGTTAAGACCTGCAGAGTGTGGGGCTCTCAGATTTGAATCCTGGTTCTGCCACTCTGTACAAATGTGACTTTGGGGGCATAGCTTCACCCTCGGCACCACTTCACTCCCCTCATCTGCAAAATGAGAATTACACAGGGTGATGCGAACAGCCTGTCACTTAGAACTGTGCTTGGTACATAGCAAGGACACAAAAGGGTTGTGATTATCTATTCTTTTGGAAATCAAGAAAGAAATGCATAGAAACTGTGCTCCAGAAGTTGTGAAATTAAACCTATTGTAAGGCAAAAAGTCCTGAGTAACTGAATAATTTCATGGCAACCTGTATCTTAAGTAAATAGAAATTCTCAAATCTTGGGTGTTTCAAAGGAAGATTAATTTATAAAGGAAGATTGCACAGTGTATTAGCTTTCTATTGCTCCGTGATAAATTGCCACACACTTATCAGCTTAAATCAACACAAATTTATTACCTCACAGTTTCTGCACATCAGAAGCCTGGACATAACATAATTGAGTTCCCTGCTCAGAGTTTTACAAGGCTGAAGTCAAAATGTTGGCCAGGGCTTCAGTCTGATTTGAGACTGTGGTCCTCTTGCAAGTTCACTGGTTGTTGGCAGAATACGGTTCCTTGCAGTTGCCGGACTGAACTCCCATTTGCTTCCCAGCCATCAGTTAGGGATCACTCTCAATTACTAGAGTCTGCCCCTCTTCCTAGGGAGTGAGTAGCATAGCTATTTCTTTCTTTCAAAACAAGCTAGAGAAAACTCTACATTTAAAGGGTTCCCTGAATATGCCTGGCCCATCTAGGAAAATCTTGATTACCCCAAAATAAACTGATTGGAGTCCTTAATTACATATGCAGAATCCTTTTGTCATTGCCATGTAACAGAATATAACCGTGGAAGTGATATCCAGTCATTTTCACAGGTTCTGCCCTTATTCAGAATAGGGAATTAAGTAAGATGTGTTCATCAGGAGGCAGAAATATTATAATTCTACCTACCACACATAGAAATGCTTTTAAAAGACCAAAAAGAGCCTTCAAACTTAACACCCAGATAATATCACAAGAGAGAATTTATGTGACTTAGTTCCAAAGTGATTCACCAAATAGACATGAATACATAATAGAAATCAATAGATGAAGATTAAGTTGCAGACTGAACAAGTTTTTTGGGCTTTGGGGGTTTTTGGTGGTTTGGGTTTGTTTATGGTTTTTCGTTTTTTATATGCAAGCTTTTTCTCATGGATTTCACACTCTGGAAATTTGGAAAGAAAACATAATCACTCCAATGTCATACCTTTTTGCATATAAAACAGTTGTTTTTCAATGTTAGGAAAATCCTTGCCTGAATGTTGCTTTGGAAAAAAAAAATCTGTCTTTTAAAATGACCCTTGCAATTTAACAAAATGCAGATGTAATTAGAGAAGGCTAACTTGCCCTTTGGAACCTAAAACCCCTAGGCTCCTTCAGATAAAAATAAGTACAAAAGAGAATTCTGATGATGATCGCATGAAGGTGTTAGAAATTCCTCTGTGCAAAAGACTAAGTATAAAACTGGAAAAATTATCACAAGCATTTCAGGGCGCAGGAAATCATCAGTGGCATACAATGAATTGAGAAATATTTATTTTTGAAAAACTGCATGAACTTCAGTAAAAGCAACTATACTGTGGCCTCCTTGCCTGAGGCTGCTCTGTCTACACTGCCCTCAGCTTGGTTAGTGAGAACAGTAGTTTTATCACTGTGGAACTGGCTGCAAAAACCAGCTGGTTTACTGCTATTGGGACAGATGATTTCACCGAGGTGTAAAGATCCATGGCTCTCCTGGCCAAAAGTGATGGAGGCCGTTGGGAATTAACAAGCAGAACCTACAGCTTTGCTAGCTCAAGGTTTGATCCCTGATGAAGCAACGGTGATCAGCCATAAGTTTAGCAGGGAGATCCTGGAAATAATCTGGAGAAGAGCATCATGGAAGGGCTGAGATAAGCTCTCTACATATCCCTAGTTGATTGGGAAACCATGCATGTGTCGGGGGAGACCTAAAAGAGCTCAGCAGAAAGTGAAAGAAAGCCCAGGGGAACTTGAGAACTGGCTGCCACTTAGAATATATTCCCTAGCTCACACGTGGATCGATCAACAGATGGTGACTCTTTCACTTGAACAGTTAGAGGCCATTGTAGGGTTACCACACCTTACAAGCTTGAAGTGTTTCAGCAAAAGTTGCTCGATGACTCTAAGCTATGTAGACACAGGAGTGATCCTTAGAAAGCCAGGCTAATAAATGAGCAGAGATGTAAAAAACTCTACATTCCGGGGTAAACAGATCCACAGTTGAAGCCCAGAAAGTTACTAGAAAAGAAGAGACAACAACTCTTAGAAAAATAAGACAAAATCCAAAGTTGCTAAATGCATTATTTATAACTTCCAGTTTTCAACAACAAAAAAAATTAGTAGACATGTAAAGAAACAGAAAATCGAGATCCATACTTATGAAAAAAGCAGTCAATAGAAAGGGACTCTGAGTGAATTAAAGACTTCAAAGTGCTGTTATGGGGATATCCACAGAATTAAAGACCACCATAGCGAAAGAATTAAAGGAAAATATTGTGACAGTGTTCAATGTTCAGCAAATAGAAAAAATTTCAATAGAGATATAAAATTATAATAAAGATCCAAATGGAAATACTAGACTTAAAAATCAATAATTGAAATTTAAATTGTAATAGATGAGCTCAACAGAAGATTTCAGTTCAAAGAAGAAAGAATCAGTGAACCTAAAAACACATCAATACATATTATCCCAACCAAAGAATAGAGAAAATAAAGCTTGAAGAAAAATGAGCAGAGCCTCAGAAACATGTAGTATACTATCCAGTATCTCAACATTTATAAAACGGGAGTTCCGGGAGAGGAGGAGCAAAAAGTCTTTGAAAATGTAATGATTAACAGCTTTTTAAAAATGAAGAAAAGGCCAGGTGCAGTGGCTCACACCTGTAATCCCAACATTTTGAGAGGCCAAGGTGGAAGGATCACTTGAGTCCCAGAGTTCAAGACAAGCCTGGGCAACGTAACAAGACTCCATCTTTACAAAAAATAAAAAATTAGCCCAGCGTGGTGATATGTAACCAGCTACTCCAGAGGCTGAGGTGGGAGGATCTCTTGAGCCTGGGAAACAGAAAAAGACCCTGTCTGTTTAAAAGAAAAAGAAAAGAAAAGAAAAGAAAAGAAAAACATTAGCCTACAGATCCAAGAATCTCAAGAAACTCCAAATAAACAAAGAGAAGTAAATCTTGATACCTTATAGTCAAACTCAAACTTCTGAAAACCAAATACAACATAAAAATCTTGAAAGCACAAACAGAAAAATGACTTATCACTTACTGGAAAACAGTAATATGACTAATCGCTGAACTTTCATCAGAACTTTTTAGGCCAGAAGGTAGTAAAATGACACGCAGCACTTCTTTTTATTGTGCTTCATTTTATTGCACTTTGCAGATATTGCATTTTTTACAAATTGGAGGTTTATGGCAACCCTATGCCAAACAAGTCTATTGGCACCGTTTTTCCAACAGCATGTGCTCACTTCATGTCTCTGTGTCACATTTTGGTAATTCTCAGGATATTTCAAACTTTTTCATTATTATATCTGTAGTGTGGCTCTGTGTTCAGTGATCTTTGATGTTACTATTGTAATTGTTTCGGGGTGCCATGAACCACACCCATATAAGACAGCAACCTTAATTGATAAATGTGTGTGTTCTGACTGTTCCACCAACTAGCTATTTCCCCATCTCTCCCCCTCTCCATTGCCCTCCCTATTCCCTGAGACAAAACAATATTAACATTAGGCCAATTAGCAACCCTACAATGGCCTCTAACTGCCCAAGTGAAAGAAAGAGTCACACAAAACTCACTTTAAATCAAAAGCCAGAAATTATTATGCTTAGTGAGGAGGCATGTCTAAAGCCAAGATATGCCAAACAGTTAGCCAAGTGGTGAATGCCAAAAAAAAAAAAGAAAAGAGAAAGTTATTGAAAAAAAATTAAAGCACTATTCCACTAAACACACCAATAATAAGAAAGTGAAACAGCCTTATCATTGATGTGGAGAAAACTTTTCATGGTCTAGATAGAATATCAAACCACCCATGCTATTCCCCTAAGCCAAAGCCTAATCCTAGCTCTCTTCAATTCTATGAAGGCTAGGAGAGGTGAGGAAGCTGGAAAAAAAGTATAAAACTATCAGAGGTTGGTTTATGAGGTTTAAGGAAAGAAGCTATCTCCATAACATAAAAGTGCAAGGTGAAGGAACACATGCTGATGTAGAAGCTACAGCAAGTTATCCAGAAAATCTAGCTAAGATCATTGATGAAGGTGGCTGTTCTAAGCAAATGATTGTTGATGTAGACAAAATAGCCTTCTATTAGAAGATGTCATCTATATGACTTTCATAGCTAGAGAGGAGAAGTCAATACCCAGCTGCAAAACTCCAAAGGACAAGCTGACTCTTGTTAGGGACTAATGCAGCTGGTGACTTTAAGTCAAAGCAAATGCTTGTTTACCATAATGAAAATCCTAGGGCCCTTAGGAATTTTTCTAAATCTACTCTGCTTGTACTCTAGAAATGGAACAATAAAACTTGGATAACGGCAAATTTGTTTGTGTATGGTTTACTGTATATTTTGAGCTCACTGTGGAGACCTACTGCTCAGAAAAAAGATTTATTTCAAAATATTACTGCTCATTGACAATGCACCTGGTCATCCAAGAGCGCTGATGAAGAGGTACAGGGAGATTAATTTTATTTTCATGTCTCTAACACAACATCTATTCTGTAGCTCATGAATCAAGAAGTCATTTTGACTTTAAAGTCTTATTATGTAAGAAATACATTATTTAATTAGCTCCCAAGTGTCAGTTTTGGCTTTTGTTGCCATTGCTTTTGGTGTTTTAGTAATGAAGTCTTTGCACATGCCTATGTCTTGAATGGTCTTGCCTAGGTTTTCTTCTAGGGTTTTTATGGTTTTAGGTCTTATGTTTAATCCATCTTGAGTTAATTTTTGTATAAGGTGTAAGGAAGGGGTTCATTTTCAGTTTTCTACATATGGCTAGCCAGTTTTCCCAACACTATTTATTAAATAGGGAATCCTTTCCTCATTGCTTGTTCTTGTCAGGCTTGTTGAAGATCAGATGGTTGTAGATGTGTGGTGTTATTTCTGAGGCCTCTGTTCTGTTCATTGGTCTATATATCTGTTTTGGTACCAGTACCATGCTGTTTTGGTTACTGCAGCCTTTTGGTTACTGTAGCCCTATAGCCTTGTAGTATAGTTTGAAGTCAGGTAACGTGATGCCTCAAGCTTTGTTCTTTTTGCTTAGGATTGTCTTGGATATACGGGCTCTTTTTTGGTTCCGTATGAAATTTAAAGTAGTTTTTTTCTAATTCTGTGAAGAAAGTCAATGGTAGCTTGAGGGGAATAGCATTGAATCTGTAAATTGCTTTGGGCAGTATGGCCATTTTCACGATATTGACTCTTCCTATCCATGAGCATGGAATGTTTTTCCATTTGTTTGTGTCCTCTCTTATTTCCTTGAGCAATGGTTTGTATTTCTCCTTGAAGAGGCTCTTCACATCCCTTGTAAGTTGTATTCCTAGGTATTTTATTCTCTTTGTAGCAATTGTGAATGGAAGTTTGCTCATGATTTGGCTGTTTGTCTATTATTGATGTATTGGAATGCTTGTGATTTTTGCACATTGATTTTGTATCCTGAGACTTTGCTGAAGTTGCTTATCAGCTTAAGGAGTTTTTGGGCTGAGACGATGGGGTTTTCTAAATATACAATCATGTCATCTGCAAACAGAGATAATTTGACTTTCTCTCTTTCTGTTTGAGTATCTATTTCTCTTGCCTGATTGCATTGGCCAGAACTTCCAATACTATGTTGAATAGGAGTGGTGAGAGAGCACATCCTTGTCTTGTGCCAGTTTTCAAAGGGAATGCTTCTAGCTTTTGCCCATTCAGTATGATATTGGCTGTGGGTTTGTCATAAATAGCTCTTATTATTTTGATATATGCTCCATCAATACCTAGTTTATTGAGTGTTTTTAGCATGAAGGGGTGTTGAATTTTATTGAAGGCCTTTTCTGTATCTTTTGAGATAATCACGTGGTTTTTGTCATTGGTTCTGTTTATGTGATGGATTACATTTAGTGATTTGCATATGTTGAACCAGCCTTGCATCCCAGGGATGAAGCTGACTTGCTCATAGTGGATAAGCTTTTTAATGTGCTACTGGATTCAGTGTGCCAGTATTTTATTGAGGATTTTTGCATTGATGTTCATCAAGGATATTGGCCTGAAATTTTCTTTTTTTGTTGTGTCACTGCCAGGTTTTGGTATCAGGATGATGCTGGCCTCATAAAATGAGTTAGGGAGGAGTCCCTCTTTTTCTATTGTTTGGAATAGTTTCAGAAGGAATGGTACCAGCTCCTCCTCTTTGTACCTCTGGTAGAATTTGCTATGAATCCATCTGGTCCTGGGCTTTTTTGGGTTGCTAGGCTATTAATTACTGCCTCAGTTTCAGAACTTGTTATTGGTCTATTCAAGGATTTGACTTCTTCCTGGTTTAGTTTTGGGAGGGTGTATGTGTCAAGGAATTTATCCATTTCTTCTAGATTTTCTAGTTTATTTGCATAGAGGTGTTTATAAACTAAAGAGCTTCTGCACAGCAAGAGAAACTGTCATCAGAGTGAACAGGCAACCTACAGAATGGGAGAAAATTTTTGCAATCTATCCATCTGACAAAAGGCTAACATCCAGAATCTACAAGGAACTTAAACAAATGTACAAGAAAAAAACAAACAACCCCATCAAAAAGTGGGCGAAGGATGTGAACAGACACTTTTCAAAAGAAGACATTTATGCGGCCAACAAACATGAAAAAAAAACCTCATCATCACTGGTCATTAGAGAAATGCAAATCAAAACCACAATGAGATACCATCTCACACCTTCAGACAGAAAGAAAATAACACCACATGGTAACTTGCATCCAGTTAGAATGGTGATCATTAAAAAGTCAGGAAACAACCGATGCTGGAGAAGATGTGGAGAAATAGGAACGCTTTTACACTGTTGGTGGGAGTGTAAATTAGTACAACCATTGTGGGAGACAGTGTGGCGATTCCTCAAGGATCTAAAACTATAAATAACATTCAACCCAGCAATCCCATTAGTGGGTATATACCCAAAAGATTATAAGTCATTCTACTATAAAGATACATGCACACATACGTTTATTGCAGCACTGTTCACAATAGCAGACTTGGAACCAATGACTTCGTGTCCTTTGCAGGGACATGGATGAAGCTGGAAACCCTCATTCTCAGCAAACTAACACAGGAACAGAAAACCAAACACCACATGTTCTCACTCATAAGTGAGAGTTGAACAATGAGAACACATGGGCACAGGGAGGGGAACATCACACACCAGGGCCTGTAGGTGGGTGGGAGGCAAGGGGAGGGATAGCATTAGGAGAAATACCGAATGTAGATGACGGGTTGATGGGTGCAGCAAATCACCATGGCACGTGTATACCCATGTAACAAACCTGAGCGTTCTGCACATGTATCCCAGAACTTAAAGTATAATTTAAAAAGAGAAATAAAATACATTACATAAAGTTATAGCTGCCATAGGCACTTATTCCTCTGATGAATCTCGGAAAAGTAAATTGAAAACCTTCTGGAAAGGATTTACCATTTTAGATGCCATGAAGAACATTCCTGGGAGGAGGTCAAAATATCAGCATTAAGAGGAGTTTGGCAAACGTTGATTCCAGCCCTCAAGAATGATTTTGAGGGGTTTAAGACTTCAGTGGTGAAACTGCAGATGTGATATAAATGGCAAGAGAACTTGAATTAGAAGTGAAATCTGAAAATGTGACTGAATTGCTGCAATCTCATGATAAAATCTAAATGGATGAGGAATTGCTTCTTATGGCTAAGCAAATAAAGATGTTTTTTGAAGTGAAATCTACTCTGAAGAAGCTGTGAACATTGCTGAAATGATGACAAAGGATTTAGAATGTTTCATAAACTTAGTTGATAAAGCAGCAGCAGGGTTTTAGAGGACTGACTCCAATTTTGAAAAGTTCTACTGTGGGTAAATGCTATCAAACAGTATTGCCTCCTACAGAGAAATCTTCCATGAAAGGGAGAGTCAATGTGGCAAACTTCGTTGTCTTATTTTAAGAAATTGCCACAGCCACCCCTACCTTCAGCAACCACCACCCTGATCAGTCAACAACCAACAACATCGAGGCAAGACCCTCCATCTGCAAAAAGATTATGACTTGCTGAAGGCTCAGATGATCTCTAGCAAGTTTTACTTGTAAAGTCTTTTTAAAATTAAGATATGTACATTGTTTTTAAACAT
The DNA here is from genome assembly GCF_000001405.40 of Homo sapiens. NCBI lineage: Eukaryota > Metazoa > Chordata > Mammalia > Primates > Hominidae > Homo > Homo sapiens. The sequence goes on along the minus strand of NC_000007.14, from coordinate 36,702,621 downwards.
AATGCCAGTGCACATTTAAAAGACTCCAGTATGGTATAAATAAAACTCTTATATGCACTAGGAAACCAAAATTTCATGTGACTATTGAGTTATTTGCTTTATTGTGGTGGTCTGGAACTGAATATCTCCAAGATATACCCATACTTAAAATGCTCAGAGGAAGAAGAAGTTATCAACCAAGAGTTCTGAATCAGTTAAAACATTATTCAGAAATGAAAGTGAAATAAACACATTCCCAGATAAACCAAACTGAGAAGACTCAGTGCTGGCAGACATGCCACACAAGAAATGGTAAAAAAGAAGTCCTTCAGACAGAAGGAAAATAACACCACATGGTAACTTGCATCCATAGGAAGGAATGAAAAGCACTAGGAATGTAAATATGTAGATAAATATAAAATAACAGTATATATGTATATGCACATACACACAAACACTTCTCTTACTTTACTTCAAAATAAAAATTTGTTTAAAGCAATAATTATAAAACTGTATTGTTGTATTTATAACACTTATAGATATAAAATGTATGACAAAAATAGCCCAAATACAAGGTGAGGATGGAGCAATATTAGAGCAAAGTTGTGAAGTCTTACCACAATTAAATCAGTACTAACTTAAAATACATTATGATAAGGTAAAGATGCACATTGTAATCTCAGTAACCACTGGAAATATGAACATCTAAATAAGAAATTACTAAAAAATGTTATGAGAGGAAGTAAAATAGTGCAAAAAATACTTGTTTCCCACAAAACAGATAGTAAACAAGAAGAGCAAAAAAGCAACCCAAGATGTCCAAAAATAGCTGCCATATGAAAATGACATTATATGTGAATGAACTGCACACTTCAATCAACGACAACATGATTATACTAGATTTTAAAAGGCAACATCTAAGTATACTCTGTCTGCTAGAGATAACTTTTAGACTCAAACACACAATAGGTTGAAAATAAAAGGATGGAAAAACATATATCATAAAAATAGTAACTGTAAGAGAATAGGGATAAATATATTAGTACCAGAAAAATACACTTTAAGATGTAGAATAATCCCCAAAACAAAAAGGTATATTTCATAATGAAAAAGGGGCTATTATATCAGGTAAGAAATAATAATTATTATATTTATATATAATATAATTGTCAATATTAATTATGTATATGAACTTAATTTAAAAGCCCCCAAATACTGAAAGAGTTGAAAAGAAAACCAGGCAATGCAACAGTAGAGTTGAAAATTTCAACACTCCTCTCTTCTTAATCGATAGAATTAAACAAAAAGTATGTAAAGATACAGAAGACCTGAATAACCCAACTAACTTGACCACCTAACATCTACAGAACACTCCATTCAATGACAACAAAGTATTCATGGACCATTCTCCAGGATTGACCATGTGTTATGCAATAAAGTAATTATCAATTCATTTTTAAAAATTGAAATCACATAAATATTTCTCAAATTAAATTAGAAATCAACAATAGAAAAAAGTTTGGAAATACCACAATAGGTGGAAGTAATACAACACACCTCCTTAAAAAAATTTTTAAAAAGACTCTGACAATTCAACAAAATAGCCCTAAATAACTCCATTAAAAAGTGGGCAAAGGACATGAATAGACATTTTTCAAAATAAGACATACAAATGGCCAACAAGCATATTAAACAATGTTCAACATCACTAATCTTCAGAGAAATGCAAATTAAAACCACAATGAGATATCATCTTATGCTAGTTAGAATGGCTATTGTTAAAAAGTCAAAACATAACAGATGTTGAAAGGATGTAGAAAAAAGGGAAGGCTTATACACTGTTGGTGGGAATGCAAATTAGTACAACCTCTGTGGAAAACACAGTGAAGATTTCTCAAAAAACTAAAAATAGAACTACTTTTCAAACCATCAATCCCACTACTGGGCATCTACCCAAAGGAAAAGAAATCATTGTATCAGAATACACCTGCTCATATGTTTCTGTTTATTGCAGCACTATTCACAATAGCAAATATATGGAATTAATTAAGTGTCCATCAATGGATCATTGGATAAAGTATGGTGTGTATATATGTGTATAAATATACAACAAAATACTATTCAGCCATAAAAAAGAATGAAATCATGTCTTTTGCAACAACATGGATGGAACTGGAGGCCATTATCTTAAGTGAAACAACTCAGAAACACAAAGTCAGATATTAGACATTCTCACATATAAGCAGGAGCTAAATACTGTATACACATGAACATAGAGTGTGGAATAATTATGACTGATGAAGTGAAGGAAGGGAAAGGAGTGAGGAAAGAGAAATTACTTAATGGGTACAATGTACAATATTTGGGTGATGGTTACACGAAAAGCCCAGACTTTACCACTACACAATATATCCATGTAATAAAACTGCACTTATACCCCTTATATGTATACAAATGTTTTTTAAAAGAAAGATAAAAATGAGAAAAAGAAGAAATCAAAGGAAAATTACAAAATAAATATAAATCCATGCATTTACAGCCAATTCCATTTTTTGACAAAGACACCGGGAACATACAACCGGGAAAGAACAGTCTCTTCAATATGTGTTACGAGAAAACTGGATAGCCACGTGCATAAGAATGAGACTAGACCCTTGTCTCTTACCATACACAAAAATCAAATCAAAATGGATTAAAAACTTAAATCTAAGACATGAAACTACAAAACTACTAGAAGAAAACATTGGGGGAGAACTCCAGGACATTAGTCTGAGCAAAGAATTTTTGTGTGTAAGACTTCAAAAGCACAGGCAACAAAAAGAAAATTAGACAAATGAGATTACATCAAGCTAAAAGCTTTCTGCACAGCAAAGAAACAATAAACAAAGTGAGGCCATAACCCACAGAATGGGAGAAAATATTTGCAAATTATCCATCTAACAAGAGATTAATAACAAGAATATATAAGAAGCTCAAATAGCTCAATAGCAAAAAAAAAAAAAAAACAAATAATCCAATTTAAAAATGGGCAAATGGTTTGACTAGATATTTCTCAAAAAAGACATATACATGGACAACAAGTAGATGAAAAACATTCTCAACATCACTAATCATTAGAGAAATGCAAATCAAAACTACAATGAGACATGATCTCACCCCCAGTTAAAAAGACAGGGAGGAATGCATGCTAGCAAGGATGTGGAGAAAGGGGAATCCTTGTTGGTGGGAATGTAAATTAGTTCAGCCACTGTGGAAAACAGTAGGGAAGTTCCTCAAAAAACTGAAAATAGAACTACCATACGATCCATCAATTCCACTGCTGTATTTATATTGGAAAGAAAGAAAATCAATATATTGAAGCAGTATCTGAACTCCCATGTTTACTGCAGCACCATTTACAATAGCCAAAATATGAACTCAACCTCAGTGCCCATCAATGGATGAACACATAAAGAAAATATGGTACGATACACAATGGAATATTATTCCACCGCAATAAAGAATGAAAGCCTGTCATTTGCAGCAACAAGGATGTAACTGGAGGTTCCTATATTAAGTAAAATAAGCCAAGCACAAAAAGACAATTATTGCATATTCTCACTCATACATGTGGGATAAAAAAAAATGGATCTCATAAAGATAGAGTAGTAGTGGTTAGCAGAGGCCAGGAAGAATAGGGGGAGGGGAGAATGAGGAGAGGTTGATTAATGGGTACAAATGCATACCTAGATAGAAGAAATAATACCCACTGTTCAATAGATTAGTAGAGTGACTAGAGTTTACAATAACCTATTGTGCATTTCAAAATAGTTAGAAGAGAATGATTCAAATGTTTCTAGCACAAATAAATGACAAATTTTTAAGATGATAGATATCCCAATTACACTGATTTATCTTTAAACATTATATGATTGTATTAATAATCACAGGTGCCCTGAAAATATGTATATCTATTATGTATCAATAAAAAATAGTAAAATTATTTGAAAATTAGAAAATAGTTTGGTCTAAGTGAAAATGAAAACATAATATATTAAAATCTATTGAATGCAGCTAAAGCAGTGCTTATGGAAAAATTTATAACTTTAAACACATATTAAAAAGAAAAATCTAAAATTAATAATATGTTTCCACCTCAAGAAGCCAGAAAATGAAGAATCCAAAGCCAAAATGAGTAGAAGAAAGGAAATAATAAAGATCAGAGCAGAAAATGGTAAAATAAAAAACAGGAATGCAATAGAGAGAATCGATGAAACCAAAATATAGTCCTTTTGAAATGATCAATAAAATTGATAAACCTTTAGCTAGATCATTTAAAAAGAAGACATAAAGCTACCATCAAAATCAAGAATAAAACAAGACGGGACATCACTGTAGACCCAAAGGAAATTAAAAGGATCATAAGGAAAGATCGTAAACAATTTTGTGCCAAGAAGGTAGAGGGAGAGTTTAGATAAAATACACAAATTCTGAAAGGAGACATGATTTAAGAAAAAATAGAAAATGTGAATAGACCTATACCAAGTAAAGAAATGGAATTCATAATTAGAAATTGTATTCGTTTCCTAGGGATGCTATAAAAACATTACCATAAATTAGGTGGCTGAAAATTACAAGACCTTATCCTCTTACAATTCTGAAAGCTGGAAGTCTGCACTTAGGTGTCCACCTCTTTCTCCTAGCCTCTGGTGGTTGCCAGCAATCCTTCACATTCCTTGTCTTACAGCTGTGTAACTCCAGTCCTACCCACATCATCCCCTGGCCATTTTCCCTCTGTGTGTTTGTCTTCACGTGGCATTCTCTTCTCTGAGTGTGGTTCTCTCTTCTTAGAAGAACACTGGTCATTTTGGATTAAGGACCACTCTATCCTAGTATTACTTCACCTTAACTAATACATCTACAAGAACCCTATTTTATATAAAGCACATTCTGAAGTCCCAGGAAGGGCATGAATTTTAGGGCACTGTTCAACCAGGTACAGAAAATCCCAAGCCTAGATGGCTTCACTAGTAAACTCTGTAAGGTACTTAAAGTAGAAATAATGCCAATCCAACACAATTTCTTTCATAAAATAGAGGAGGAAGAAACACATTTCACTTTATTTTATGTTTTTCTGTCATGTAAATCCAGACAGAGACATCACAAGGAAAGAAAATAACAGACTTTTATAAACAGATGCAAAAACCCTTAACAAAATATTGACAAACTGAATCCAGCAACATGTAACATGAATAATATACCATGACCAAGTAGAGTCTATCCTAAAAATGCATGCTTATTTAACATCTGAAAAGCAATTAATGGAATGCACCAAATTAGTATAATAGAGGCCACAATTACATTGTCAGCCCAATAGAAGTAGGAAAATTATTTGAAAAAATTTGTCACCCATTTATGTTAAAGTCTCTCAACAAATTATGAAAGAAAAGGTGACTTCCTCAACCTGATAAAGGACATCTATGAAAACCCTACTTGTGACTTTTTGTATTTAATGATAGCAGACTGAATGCTTACCTCCTAAGATCAGGAGGAAGGTAGAAATGTCCATTCTCACCACTTCTAGTCAACATTGTACTCAAGATTCTATTCAGTTTAATAAAAAAAGAAAAATAATAAAGGCATGCAGATTGGAAAGGAGTAAGTAAAACTGTATTGTCAGACAACATAATCCTAAATATAGAAAAATCCTAAGGTATCTACAAAAAAAACTACTAGAACTGATAAGCGAGTTTAGCAGGATTCAAAATTGATATACAAAAATTGATTTTTTTGTTTCTGGAGACGTAGCCTCGCTCTGTAGTCCAGGCTGGAGTACAGTGGCATGATCTCGGCTCACTGCAACCTCCGCCTCCCGGTCTCGGCTCAAGCAATTCTCCTGCCTCAGCCTCCCGAGTAGCTGGGATTACAGGCATGCACCACCATGCCCAGTTAATTTTTGTTTTTTTAGTAGAGACGGGGTTTCACCATGTTAGCCAGGCTGGTCTTGAACTCCTGACCTCATGATCCACCCGCCTCAGCCTCCCAAAGTGCTGGGATTGCAGGCGTGAGCCAATGCGCCTGGCTTGATTTTTTATTTATATTAGCACCAAACGTTTAAGAATTAAAATTAAGAAAACAATCTTACTCATAATTAATAAAAATACTTAGGAATAAGTTTAACAGCAGAAACGCTATTACTCTACACTGAAAATTACAAAATATTGCGAAGAGAAATTAAAGAAGGCTTTATGGAAATGAAGAAATGTGTCATGATTCAATAGTGTTAAGATGGCTGCACTCTCCAAATTGATCTATAGATTAAACACAATTCTAATCAAAATCCTAATAGGAGTTTTTGTAGAAATTGGAAAACTGATTCTAAAATTTATGTAGAAATTAAAAGAAGCCAGAACAGCCACAATTTTGAAGAACGGTATTGGAGAATTTACACTACCTGGTTTCAAAACTTACTGTAAGTACTACAGTAACTGATACAGTGTGGTATTGGTGTGGGGACAGACACAGACAAGTGATACAAAATAGGAAGCCCAGAAATAAACTGGTACATTTATAGGCAACTGATTTTCAACCAAGTTTCCCAGATAATTCAATGGCAAGAGGGTAGTCTTTTAACAAATGGTTATGGAATAATGGGATTCTATATGTAAAAAAAGGATGAGGGAGAACTTAGATACTTATTTCAAACCTCACACAATTGTGAACTCAAAATAGAATATAGACCTAAAGGTAAGAGCTAAAACTATAAAACTTCTAAAAGGAAATCTCCGTGACATTGAATGAGGCAAAGATTCTTAGCACTGTCCAAAAGGAAATGTTGATAAGTTGTACTTTATCCAATTTAACCACTTTGCTCTCCGGAAAGCATCATTACAAAACCAAAAGATTAGCCACAGATTTGGAAGCAATACTTGCAAATCCCATAGATGTTAGTATAGCAATGATTGTTTTAATTAACATGATTGATAATTTTCAATTTGGAAGGATGCTGTTTTAATATATGTAGTGTGGCACTTAGGAGAATATAAATTTTAAAGTAAAATAGTTCAGAATTTGAATCACTGGTTAGCCACTGCTGATCTGAAAGGATTAAAGTACATTGTTTAACCTTTCTGGGCCTCAGATTTCTAAGGAAATGTGGAAAGAAGCAATCTTATGAGAACATTGTGAAGATTAAATGAGATAGAATTTGTAAAAAACGCCTAGCAGACATCCTGAAACACAAAATGGTATTCTAGAAATTTTCATATTTCATGTTGTTCCAAAAAGTATTAAGGTAGAAGGCAGCTATTAAGAAACATATTTAATAAGTTATGTTTGATAAAGTAGAATTTGCTTTTTTCTAATTATAAAAGAATGCATGGTTTTCACAGAGATTTGGATATAGAAGAGTACTTTTAAAAAATATAATCAATTGCAATTCCCAAATCCTGATGATCACTATTGATATTTTGGTATTTTGGTATATTTTCTTTCAAAATTGTCTAGGTATACATTTGTGGGCTTTGGATCTTCTTCTATTCTTTTGTTATATTTCTAAATTTGAACAGTTAAATAGACAGTCAATGAAACAATTGCGAAAATTTTGGCAGTAGTAAGCATTTGTTGTCAGTTGAAAACTTTCCACCTTAGCAAGTAGGTTTGTGTATAAAGACAGAATAATATTGGGCAGAGTGTAAAATTATTTCTCTCTCTCTTTCTCTCCCTCTCTCCCTATCTATTTACCTATATATCCATTCCATCCATCATCTGTCTATCCTCTTTGAAACCATTCATCCATCAATCTATCCATCCACTCATCCATTCATTTTTCTATCATCTATCCCATTCTCTATATCTTTTTATGTCTAACTATTGGCCTTAGAATGCAAATATTGAAGTGAGTTGAAAAATGAAGTTACATTCTTCTGAAAGAAAAAATCGATTGATTAATTTCTTTAATAATAAAATATGGATTTGTCATTTTGGTTTATACAGAGGACATTTTTTATAACTTGAATGAAGTAAATCTCAGCTCCAACATTAGACAAAAATGTATATAAAGCACACCTTAAGATAAAGGATTTTTTTTAAAATATAGTATAGACAAAAGTGTATTGAAAAGGACAATATTTTCATTATCCAGTTATTTCTGAGTGGTTTTTTGTTCTGTTTTGAGATGGAGTTTTGCTCTTGTCACCCAGACTGGAGTGCAATCTCGGCTCACTGCAACCTCCACCTCCCAGGTTCAAGCTATTCTTCTGCCTCAGCCTCCCAAGTAGCTGGGATTACAGGTGCATGCCACCACACCTGGCTAATTTTTTGTATTTTTAACAGGGACAGGATTTTGCCATGTTGGGCAGGCTGGTCTCAGACTCCTGACCTCAGGTGATCCGCCCGCCTCAGCCTCCCAAAGCACTGGGATTACAGTCGTGAGCCACCACACCTGGCCCTGAGTGCATTAGGCTTTCACAGGGTCTTGCTAAGTAAAATAGTAACTGCGATAAATTTTTTTGCATACTCCCCCCACAAAAAAATGAGAAAGTAAAAGATGATTGATTTAACGTATTTTTATAAGTCAGGTAGTATCTAGTTCTTTGCTTCCAGTAAAATGGAAGGGGAACTTAATGAAATTGTCAGTTTATAGACCATTTAAAATAATGTTCAATGATAGTTCACTCCAACATGTTTGGCATTTACCTCAGAAGAAGTTCAAAGAATTCTGTGACATTGCTATATCAAAGGTCCTTCAATTCTGATCTATTTATTCAAGTAAACATGTTTCTCAGTACTTACGTGTTTAACAATGAAAAAGAGGAACAAAAGTGATGCTGAACTTTGTCACTTTACATGAATAAGTGGTATTTCTCAACAGACATAGGTACCAATTAAAAAGTCTCAAAAATGTCATTAAGAGGTGCAATTCCAATAACATTTTACCTTTATCGCCTAATAATAGTTTATCAAATTGGCAATCTGTTGCTTAGATAAGCTAATTTTACTAACAAAGAAAGCTCAATCCAGACTCCAAACTTGAAGTATCACAGGAAATTAAAATTTTTAAGTTTTATACACGTTTTTAGTATTGAGATCAATACTAATACTTTATTGATCAATAGTGTGATCAAAAAAATAATTTCAACTATAAAAATACATTAAATTTGGATAAAATTCTGTGGTTGAAGAAGAATTCAAGGAGGTGGGCTTTTCAATTCAAGAAGAGGAATTATCAATGCAAAATTAATCAGTGTGAAATAAGATTAAAGTCTCATTTTTAAGTGGATGAGACTAGGTAGAAGTCACTATAGTATTTAGATACCTTTGGATACACATAGAAGGTTACTGTAACAGTTCCACTGTAATATTTACAGTCTGTCCAAATTTATATCTTTTGTAACTAGATAGATATCCATTAATAATTTCTTGATATCCATTAAAATGTGTAAGTTTGTAGTTTTTCAAATTTATTTTAGAAGATACAGAGCAAAACATTGAAAACCATTAGTTCACAGTCTGCACTCTAGACTACTTCTTGAAGCCTATAGTCTGTAGTATGGCCTTCAAGGTGCTTCACAATCTAGCCCCTTCCTACCTCTCTCACTCTTCCATTCCCACTGACTCTGAATTTTAGCCTTGGCCAACTCTTCTATTTCTTACCTCCAATTCTTAAAAAATCCTACACTTTTTTAAGAGTAGGAAAGCTTTTTCTCCTTTTTCTGATGAATGAGTTCCTCCTATCCCTTAAGACTCAGCTCCTCTGAGAGGCTATCACTGAGAGATTACACCAGTGTGTCCCCAAAGCACTACCAGGTTCCTCTATCACAATACTTACGGGTTTCTGGGATTGTTTATTTAGATATCAGTTTGCCCCACCTGTCTGTGACTTCTTTTATTCATATGTGTCTCTTCAAGCTTCTGGGCACATAGTACGTGCTGAAAAGTACACGTTGAATAAATGACAGGATGAATGTGTCCTGACATCTTCACTTTCATTTTTAGTATATTTCTAAATCAGCTAAACCAGTCACCTTATGTCTCTTAACACAGCCTGCTCATTTCTTCTCACGCCTTGCTTGGGCTTTGCTCACTTATCAATGCCCTAAGCCTTTGTTTTCACCACTAATTGCCCAAAACAGTGCCTCTCTGGTTGACAATGTTCTTGGCAACGTTGGCAATTTTGAACCCACTGAGCATTTTCTCATAAAAAAAAAATGTTTCAAGTAGTAGTTAGGTTAGGCCACAGAGTCTAATCTACTCAAATGTAATGAAAACACTAGTTGTCTGCAATAAAAGAAGATTCAGCCCTATGAAAGTAAAAATGTTGTTGATAATGCAACATATTTTTCAAAGATGAGCTTCTGTGCCTTTATTTTTCAAAGAGTTCGTGGAGAAGATGTGTCTTCCCTGTGGTGGCCTTAGTAGACGGGAGAGGAACTAATGTTTGCTAAATGCCTGCTCCATGCCAGGCACCATGTGCATTTTATGTGTGGTATCACGTAAGCCTCATGACACTTTTGCCAGATGTACAGATAGCCTTTGCTGTATTACAAACCACCCCACACTTACACAACCATCATTTATGAGCCCAAGATATTCTGTGAGCTGGGCACAGTTGGATAATTCTTCAGTTGGTCTCCTGGGGCTCACTCCTGCAGCTGCGCTCAGCTGGTAGATGATGAAATGGCAGGGACAGGGTGATCTGGAATGATCTAGGTGATCTGCTGGCTGAAGCACCTCGGTTTTCCGTCATGGGGCCTTTCCAGCAGGTTGGCTCAGGCTCACAGCTGCAGTGTCAAAGAGGGCAAAAGTGGAAGCTGAAAAGCTGTTGGAGGACTCAGTTACAATCTGACACACTGTCCCTTCCTTCACATACTGGTCAAAGCAAGTCACAAGGCCAGATTCAAAGGGCTGGGATATAGACACCATCACTTCATGGGAGGAAGTGCAAAAACTATGTGGCTGTTTCCAATATACCAAACAAGGGGCATTGTTATTCCATTCCATGGGTGCCAAAATCCTACCAAATGCACCAATTCATAAGTAATAGAAGGGGTATTTGAGTCCAGGTCTCTCTGACCTCCCAATTCTTCTACTCTCTACTATACCAGAGCACCTTAGGTAGCCTTCCTTTTCCTCCTTTCCATTCTCTTTCTCCTCCTTTGTCTCTCTCTATCCATGTCCAGACTCTAAGATGAGGAAGCAGAAGAAAGAAAGGGTAAGGTGCAATGAGATTCACACCGGCGTTGTGTGCCATGCTCTCTGAGTAACTAGCATCTTAGGGAAACAAGGCCAGCAGTAAGATACATTTTAGGTGATTATTTTTACACCTTTCTTTCTTCTTTTCTTTTCACCAAATATTGTGTTCAAGTCTCAATTTCCCCTGTTACTAGCTGTATACTTGGCAAGGTACTTATCCACTCAGCCTCCATGTGCTCATCTGTAAAATGAGAGTAATAATTCGTAGATCTATGAGTTGTTGTGAAGTTTGAATGAGATAATAATATATGCAAAAAACATTTTGAAAACCGTAAGGTACACTCTAGCAATGTGATGAATTATTCATGCTTCTACTCAGGGTCAAAAAGGAAGTATAGTCATGCTGACTGTGGCTCTGACAACTGCCAGGTGCTTTCAAGGCTTTTCAGCAAAGTGTGGGTTTCAGACAAATGGGAAATCTAATAGACCACTCTCTGCAGTTGGCTGTATTTCCAGCCAGCACAGATATGATTATAATTAGAGTTTCAAGAGCCTGTTTCACATCAAAAGGATTCCTTGGCCCAGTCTGCAGTCTACCTGAGGTATGTGGCCAGATGTGATCCCTCTGGCAGCTGTTTTTATTCGGGCCCATTTGCTTCTTTTCCTGTGCTACCAGGAGTGTCTGTTTCTATTGTACTCATTATTTTCAGATACCAGGTGAGAAGAGATTTTCCATATGTGAGATTTCAGATGGTGACCACTGAGCAAAATGCATAGCTCTCGCCCCCTCTTCTCACTTCCTAAATGAACAGCAACTCTGACAAATTCACTTTAACAGAGCCAGGTCTTTTATTAGCAGCCAGAGAATAGTCTGTAATGGGAGGAATTACTCTGCCCGTGCATCTCTCCCAGGAAAAACATTCGTTAGCCTGTCAAGGAAGCGAAACCTCTTATTAGAAACTGTAGAAAAGTCAGTTTCTCCATTTTTGCTGCTAAAGGATTCAGAACACATCTCACTGCACACCTGAAATTAACAATTCAACTGGAAGGGGAGGTGAGCCCACTGGAGACAGGCGGAGATGGCTGAATGAGCAGGACTCCAGATCAGAGCTGAGCCCAACCTGGGTGTTCATGATTTCAAACCCCATTATGGCCTTTCCTGCAGGGTCCTTTTGATCATCATAACTCTTCACTGGGCAAAGTGACGATAGCGGTAAGACTCACCCAGTGTTCAGAGACAGATAATTTTTTTTGCTTCTTTTTATCTAGCTAATGATTTTCCAATTTTAGCCAGCAGTGCTGAGAAGCCACAACTGTCATAAGAGTCCTTGATGGGATTTCTCTGAGTGAAATTCAGAAGAAAAGCCCATATGTGTAAGTACAAAGAAGCAGGCTGGTTTCAAGCTGCCCCATTCGCTTTGCATTTATCCTTCTAAGCCACGGATTAAAACAAATGCTAATGATGGAGTTGAATTTTCAGGGAAAGGAAACAGCATCCAAGGTTTATGATCACTGGGGTCATAGGAATGGAGACTCCTCAAGGACGAATTCCAAGGAAAGGTCACCTTATGCCCTACGATCACCCACTATTCCTGCTGCACCAAACTATTGTTGGTTTTCAATTCTTGCATCTCATCAAGTCTATTATGCCATTGATTGCAAGAATATTATTTTAGGTATTAGTGAGAAAAGTTGCTGCTAATTAAAGTGAGAAACATATGGAGAAATATACCAGGCTGTTTCAGGCCACCGAGTCTTTTTTCTCTCTTGGGAGTGCCTCTTCTCTCACCAGCTCTTCTCCTGCCTGTTATGGTCTCTCCAAAATCACATCTTCCCTAGCTTTTGACTGGTATTTACCATCCAGTTCATGTGATTTTTGGAAGTTCATTGTGAGCTTCCTGTGAACAAAGATCATATTCTATTCACCAGGGGCCCATCAAAGCCGTGGGAGGACACAATGCTCCAGCACTTCTGCCCCTTCAGCCACTTGAGGATGCAGCAGAAGGTGCCATCTATGAAGGAGAGAGCAAGCCCTCACCAGACACCAAATCAGCTGGCGCCTTGATTTTAAATTTCCCAGCCTCCAAAACTATGAGAAATGAATTTCTATTATTAGAAATTACACAGTCTCAGGTATTTTGTTATAGCTGCATGAACAGACTAACATACAACCCAGTCTCCACCATATTCTTCCTTGATTGTGAGCAGCAGCACATCATGACCACTTGCTATAGAAGCTGCTGTTTGGCTCTAGAGAGGACACTGGTTGTTTCATGCCAGAATAAGGAGTGGAGCCATGTCCACAAGTGGAGACTGGAACAGAGAGGAAGCAACTTGGGTGAGATGACTGAGCTGGGAAGCAACTAAAGGTGCATCCATTAGCCCTTTGCTAGGGAGCCCCCAGCAACCAACCACTGCAGTGCAACTTATGTGGCTCTTCACTTGAGGCCAGGAGTTCGAGACCAACCTGGCCAACATAGCAAGACCTCATCTCATATATATCTATATACACATACATATGTGTGTGTATGTATATATACATCTATATGTACATACACATATACATGTGTATATACACACAAGTATACCCATATACATGTGTATAGATACACATATACATATACACATATATATATGTATATATACACATAAATATATGTGTGTGTGTGTGTATATATATATACTCAAAGTCTCTTGCCTTTATTCTCCAACCCAGGCACTGTGCCAGGAATTCAGAGTTAGAGATGGTAAGACCCCATTCCTGCCCTTAAGGAACATATGGTCTAACTCTAAACTCTTAGAAATAAATTTTCAGAAAGGTAGGTACCTTGTTCAAAGTCACACCATTTGTAAGTGGCTGGTCCAGTACTTGAACTCAAGTTTATGTCAAAGCCTCTCTCTCTTCAACTACACCATACTGCACCCTCTTATCACAGCAATATAATTACTTATCATTATTTTTTAGTTGTAGTTATTAAAATTTATTTAGCTCTCTAATAATTTATTTATTATCAGAGACATAAACTAGGGTGTAAAAGTACATTATTAATGCCAAAAATATTTACTTGTATTAAATGTATTGGATATATTCATAATAAAAGTGAAATTGGTTATCTCTGTCTGGGTGGGTTGAGTGATGTTTATTATCTTTTCTTATACTGTTCTGTATTTTGTAAAATTTAAAAAATAAGGTTGCATTGTGTTTATATTTTTTGAAAAGTTATTTTTTAAATAAAACAAATATATATGAAAATGCAAGACCATAAAGTGCTGATAAGCGTCAGCTACTAAATTAATTGCAATGTAATGAAATCCTCGAGTGCCATGCATTAGGTTAGAAACACAGCCAATCAACCTTGATAATTAATGGTGATCAATGCATCCTTAAGTAGGTACTCTCAGAGCCCAGGAAGACCGTGGTAATCCAGATTTCACTGTCAGAGATGTGGTGAACCTTTCTCTTTGTCCAGAGAGAGGGGACAGAACATCGAGGCCAAAACACCATCAGATATTGCAGCATCTAGAAAGTAGAAGACTCTCGTTTCTTCACTGGCAATCTCTCATTTTATAGAAGATTTTACATCTTTATGTATAGGAATGTCCAATTTTATTGTTCATATCCGTTATCAGCCACCTTCCCTCAAGGAATCCTGCTGGGAATTTGGTTTAAATGACACCACGTATGTAAATGTGGGTCTCTAGCTCCTTGCATTGATGGACAATCAAGAGCCTACTGCTGGCCCAGGCTCCTTGGAACATTTTGTAGGACATAAACCTTCCTTTGCCCCCTTAGAAATGAACCTCTGCCAGCAAGTGTCCACTCTTCTTACTGCAATGAGATCTAAAAATTTCTTCTCACATACTTACTGATCTTTGACCAACCACTTGTTTATACGAAAAAAAGAGTCCCTTTTCTTTGGAAAAAAAAAAAAAGGTTTGGTTTTCCCCTGCTGCTCAGTGAGTTAAGGCAAGCGATAGAATCTTCTAGGAATGTCAGCCTAGGAGCTCTAGGCATTCACACTTACCACATATCAAAGTAACAGAAGGAATATATTCCTAACTTAATACAAGTGTCCACCTAGACACTTATCATGTTCCTGCATGCTTTCAAGTAGTATGCTTTATAGCTGTGAGGCAAAATAATATTTTACAGTGTGTTATGATTTCAAAGACACACTCAGTCTCACTTTTATCTCATTTAACCATCACAGCAGCCCTATGGGAAACATATTACCTGCCTCTCAAGGAGGAAACCAGGTTCAGAAAGGCCACATGGTGAGTTCAAGATTACTAAGTCAGGAGTTAATCCTAGATCTTTCGACTTCAAATGCCAGGCAATTTCCACCGCTTTTCCAAAATTAAAAATTTTATCCTGGATTCTCCTTCTACCAAGCGAATGTGTAGGATGGGAACAATCCTATTCTGCAGCCATCTACTGCAGAAAGGAGAGAAAGTGGGGGAGGAGAGAAGCTAATATCTATTGAGCTTCTGCTCCATGTGGGCTGTTTTCCTTGCACTATCTCATTTAAACATCATCACTTTCTCTGTTTTGGAAAGGTTGGCCTTCTTAAGGACACACACACACACACACACACACACGCATCCTTTCTTTCTCCTGTCCCTCCAGTTCAGTTTTCTGTGTGACACAGATTACATGTTCTTCTCCTCCCTGGCAGGGTGTGTGCTGGTGGTGTCTGTAATAGAACAGCTTGCTCAAGTTCACAACTCGACGGTCCAGGCCTCGATGGAGAGACTGTGCAGCTACCTGCCTGGTAAATATGGGACGAGTCATACTGCTGAGGGTCTGCTTGTCCTCTCACTCATGAGTCATGATGACTGCCTTTACTTCCTGCCCACACTTACAGAGAAGAATCTGATTATGCTATTTCTGTGGGTTGATATTCTTGTGGGGCTTATAGAAATTAAAACCAAAAAAAAATGCTCTGGGCAACTTCTCCCTGACATTCATTTTCCATCATGGCACAATGAAATTGCTGTGGACCCTTAGGGAATAAAATGTTGAATGGCCAATTGTTGTTTGATGTGTTACATTAATAATAATTTGCCTACTTACTGATCATTGCCTTAAGTACTAAGAAGTCAAAATAATGAATAACTTCCAATAATTTTGTGTTAACTTGACCAACATTCACATACCAAGATGTACACCTAGCCCTACCAACACAGAACTTTGGGTTGAGAGGACAACTGATCTCAAAATTTCAAATGGGAAAATAATCTAGAACATTTCATTAATTTAAACTAGATCTCAATAAAATACCTTATACATCCACCAAAGGTAGAAACTGATTGGTGGTTCAAGCAAGTTGCATATTTCTTTTTCAATATTAGTAGAAATAAAATATTAATCATATTTCCATTATAGAATACTGTTACTTGAACAGTCGTAATGAATAAACTTCTTTGACAGTCAAATTTTTATTCACTTAATGGGAACTAATTCATCTAGGGTGCCTACATTATTTTTTCTGTTAAGTAAGGTAGTTGGAATAATGGCAATTGTATCTTTGATTGACACAGTATGCTGTGCCAATAGCATCAAAGTCTTTTCAGAGAAGTTGTTCCGTTTAGTCATAATATGCATTCACAGGCTAAAATGTTTAGAATTCAAAAACAAAGACTGGGAGAGGATAATACACAAACACAAGTGTTTAGAATGTCCCAAATGGACCATTAAGATTTTAAAATATTCACATCATAATTACATCTTTCTTTTGTGAAGTTAAAACATGGCAGCTAAACTTCAGCTTTCCCTTCTTCCAGTTCCATTCTCCCCTGCCCCACCTCCCTAGAAGGAACCCTTCACATGAACTTAATGGGTATCATTCTCATCAGATTTTATATTTACACATTCACTTGTATGGATTCATGAATAATGTGTAATATTGTTTTGCCAGTAATGTTTTTGGTTTTTCTTTGTAAAAACAAGACAACTGTAGAAAACCACGCAAAGCAAATGTATAGCTTCATCCGTTACTGAAAGATGAATGCCCTAGGAAACATAGCCTGGGTCAAGAAAGAACAGATCAGTGGCCTCCCCTGAAGTCCCATCCACATGCTCCATCCCATCCTCCCCCTGCAAAAAGCTCAATGTGCTGATTTTTATGGTAAAATTATTTTATTTATAGCTTTATCACTCAGTGAGCATCCCTAGATATCGTAACCTTGCCCGGTATTTAAATGTTTGATGTGTCTTTTGAGTCTATTTTAATCTATAAGTTTCCTTTCCACCCCTTCCTTTTTCTTATCACTTAGTTGTGGAATTTGACCTGTAGAGTTTCCCACAGTCTGGATGGTGTTGATTGCATTCCTTTAGTATAATTGAGTATGTTTCTCTGTGCTCTGTATTTCCTGAAAATTGGCAGCTTGATCAGAGGTTTGATCCTATTCCAATCTGATTTCTTTGACAAGCCTATAAATGATATTGTTTTCCTTCATCAGGAGGCCGCCATAGGTGCTTTTATCTTTCATGTTTTCTTTTCTCTCTTCTTCTTCTTCTTCTTCTTCTTCTTTTTTTTTTTTTTTTTTTTTTTTTTTTTTTTTGAGACAAGGTCTCAGTCTGTCGCCCAGGGTGAACTGCTCACTGCAGCCTTGACCTCCCGGGCTCATGAGATCCTCCTGCTTCAGCCTCCCAAGGATCTAAGACTACAGGCTCACAGCATCACACCAGCACCAGCTAATTTTAAATTTTTTTGCTGAGACAGGGTCTCTCTGTGTTGCCAAGGCTGGTCTCTAACTCCTAGCCTCAAGTAATCTGTCCATCTTGGCCTCCCAAAGCGCTGAGATGACAGGTGTGTTGTGAGCCACTGTGCCAGGACTTTCTTTTGGTGATGGTCGCAGCTGTCGATGTTCAATGATGAGATCTATTAATTTATTTGGGTTTTAAAACTGTGATATTCTTATCTATTATTTCTTATTTATTAATTGACATATAATGGACACTTCTCACATCATATTTTAGAAACATTTTTCCCACAGTACTTAGTGGAAAGGCATCTAGGAAAGGCAGGATAAATGCTTGATTCTTTTCTTGTATCAGTTTTCAAGGTAGTGCATTGGTTTTCTGTTATCATCTCACAGCAAGCAGTTAGTTTTTCCTTAAAATATCATGATAAACTTATGAACTTAAACACACCTGATGGGTTTCAGTCAAGTGCAATTATTATCCTTTTGAAGCTCAGATGATCCCATCGAGCTTTGACCAGTGGCACCTCCTTCAAGCTGACTCAAGTCCTTTGCACATGAGCCTCAGTAACCTTCGATAGTTTCCTCACTAACTGGTATGACAAAGTGTTCCAGCCCTATCTGGTACATATCAAGCCTGAGGCTTGAAATCAGTCATTTCTCTTAAAAGCCCTGGTTTCTTTTAGTGAGAAATAATGTTTCAACACCACAAACCAGATGCTTAGGAATGTTCATTGTTACTGAGTTGGCCACTCTTTTTTTTTTTCTTTTTGAGACAGAGTCTTGCTCTGTTGCTCAGGCTGGAGTGCAGTGGCTCCATCTTGGCTCACTGCAACCTCTCCCACCCTTGTTCAAGTGATTCTCCTGCCTCAGCCTCCTGAGTAGCTGGGATTACTGGAGCCCACCACCGCACCCGGCTAATTTGAGTTGCCCATTCTTTCTAGGCCTTTTCAGTGGACAGAAATAGGAAACATGTATATACATTTACACATGTCAGCTTTAAGATAAAATATCTGAGTTCATACTGACACTTCAAATTCAAGTTCAGAACCACAATATTTTTTTCTTAATGTCTTCTGTATTATATCTGTATCTCCTTTCCACACAAACTCCCAATTGTCAAGCACAAAGGGATTGATAGAATTAAAATCTCCAATCATTACTCATTTACCTATCCTTCCTTGCACATAAAACAGTCTCAGAATATCAATTCTAATGATACCATCATTAATATATTTTCTAATTCTTATGAGCAGTTAAAATTGTTTTTTTGCATATGCCTTTCCCATTTCTCCACCCTTTTGAATCATTGTCCTACCTTATCTGAGCATATAGCCACTACATATAACACCTATTCCCTTTTCACCCTCATTTAGTCTTAGCTGCATCAGCAACTGTATGATTAATGTTCACCACCAGCCCTTCTATGAATTCTCTCTCTAGTTGAATTGTTGTCTAAAGTTCATTCCTCCAGAAGGGCTCATAGCTACAAATATTCCTTGAATTCTTGCATGTTGATAACAGGCTGTCTGCGCCCTTTATACTTGAAAGTCAATGCTTTTCTGTATATAAAACTCCTTGGCACATGATGTCTTTCCCTGAGCATCTTAAATATAGTATTCAAAAGCCTATTGATAATCTAATTTACCTTGTCCTTACAAGTTATTTGCTGTTTATACTTTGAAGTTCAGAAGATTTTTTTTCTATAAAACTTAGTCATCTAACTAGAAGATAATTTGGTGCCAGCTGTTGTGTATTGATGTTCTCAGGCATGCAGTGTGCTCTCTCAATGTGATTTCAAATATATATTTTCTAATTTTAGGAATGTTTTAGTGTTTGTTCGGTTTCCTTGATTTTGTTTTTTTCTTCTGGGATTTCTATTATCCACATTTTGAATCTTCATTGCCTGTCTTTGCTATTTTGCCTATCTCTTGAATTTATTTTAATCTCTTTATTTATTTTTATCTTAAAATTTTTCCTCCTCTCTACCTTCTATTTCACTTAAGACCTCATCTACTGTTTTCACTTGTTCTTGTATTCATTCTAGTTTAGACTTCACTTCTTTATTCTTTATTTCATGTTTTATTTTTTCCTGAGTTCTTTTATTCCATATCTGAGTTTTTCTAATTCTTATTCTTGCTATTTTTTCATGTCTTATATCATTTTATTAATGCCTCTTAGCTCATTTTAAAATAATATGTTTAGAAATAATATCTTATGTTTTAATCCTTTTTTGGCATGACTTTCTGGCATGCTTTTACTATCTGTAGGGATGTTATTCTGTTCCTTAATCTTTTTCTTCTTATAATAACTTTGTATGGGAGTTGACCTAGATACATTTCTGTTGCTCATTTTTATGTGAAATTAGTTTTCAAAAACTCTTAGAAAGAGAGGCGGTTCGGGGTAGTTTTTCTAAATGCACAGAGCTCCTTCTTCTGTTGTTTTGGGGTAGTGTTAAAAAAAAATTGTGGCAGCTTGCTTTCTGAGATTTTTCTGACTGTTTCCCTATTTACTTTCATCTGGACTTTCTCTATCCCCAAAAGTTACTCCTCAGTGTGGGCCTTGCCCTGGAAGGGAGCTCCAGTGGGTCCCTTGTGGGTGCCAGATGACTCTAGCCACTAATTCCTTCTAGTCTTGAACTCTTTGCATTCACCAGCTATTGATTGGGCAAAACCCCTCCCCGTCCAGTGGCTGTTCTCTAATTGGCCTGCCATGCTTTCTGCTCAACACCTGTCAGCTATCTGGGGATTCTCCTGTTCTCAGTTTTATCTGTCATCCATTGCTTCCCTCTACTTTCTCCCTCACAGAAGTTGATGGCCCATAGGTCTTGCAGTTGCGAAGTGGTTTATTCTCACCTAATTGCACATTGGGGTTCATGGATATACCTAGCTTTGTGGTAACTGCTTTCTGAGGGTTTTCGGTCTTGCTATTCAGGTACTCTTATTTATTTATTTATTTATTTCTGGAGACAGAGTCTTGCTCTGTCACCCAGGCTGAGGTGCAGTGGCGCAATCTCGGCTCACTGCAACCTCTGCCTCCTGGGTTCAAGCGATTCTCCTGCCTCAGCCTCCCGAGTAGCTGGGATTATACCCATCAGGATGCCTGGCTAATTTTTGCATTTTTAGTAGACACGGGGTTTCACCATGTTGGTCAGGCTGGTCTTTAACTCCTGACCTCAGGTGATCTGCCCGCCTCGGCCTCCCAAAGTGCTGGGATTACACTCCTTTTTCTTTTGTAGAGATTCAAAGAGATTTCAAAATTCTGCTGCCTCCACCACCATCTTTCCATACTCCTCCCTTGCGAAGGCTTTAATTTGACATCAATGGTCTACTGTATGCGTTGCTCAGCAAGTTTTTTTTTCACGCAACATGATTTTAAGATCTATACATGTTAAGGCATATAGGCCTAGGTCAAGTCTCTTAATTACTCTATACTTCTTTACCATATAAGTTCTATATTTTATTTGTTTATTCCTCTATTGAACATTCACAATTTGTTATAAGCTTTACTTTGTATTTTCACATCTCCGAGTTACAGAAGAAGAAGAAAAATATTATTACTATTTTACAGAAGGAAAACAGTGAAGAACAGTCACAGTTATCATTAAGCTTTGTTTTAACTGGTTGCCTTTCTGTGTGATAGACAGCATTGGCAGGTATAACCTCAAGTTAGATGTTCTCTTTTTTGGCAAAGTTGCGTCGTCCGAAGGTGAACGACCGACTAAAAATCCTATTTCCTAGATTATTCCCTCTTCTTAATATACTAGCAAAATATAAAACAACCCAAAACAAGATTGCTGGTTCAAGGTACCATCTTAGCTTCTTCTGACTTCGAACAGGAAATGTCAGAGCCTGGTAAGATCAAGTGAGAGGCTGAAAGTCAGATTCTGGTGAAGTGGAAACCGGTATCTCACCAAGGGAAACAGGATAAATATTTTGGTTTTCAGTGATGGGTTGCCTTTTCAACTGGAGCAATTTTAAAGGATTAAGAAGGTTATTGGGAGTTATTTTCATTTTATCAATTCTTGTTTTACCTCCAGCTGAAAATAGAACACTCAGTTCAGGTTAAAGGACACCATGGGCAGTATTGCTTCCATTTTATGGATGAGAAAAACAAGACACAGAAACAGAATGGTTATGTCAGTTGTATGGGGTGGCAAAGATAGACGTTCTCCTAGCTAAGGATTTCTCCTGGAAGACATAATAGGCCTGACCCACAGTGCCTACTGGGATCCAATATTGCATTGCCTTCTGTCTGGTAGGCCAGGTGAATGGGGGACAGAAGGATATGAAATTAAGCACATAAACACACAATTATTTTTAAATTATTTTTCAGTGAAGTATTACTTTCACCTCCAAAGCTAAAAAAGTACAAAAAACAAAGTTTTAGCAGGGAAATCGCGTAAGCACCATTCTTGAGAATAATCTCTTAGTAAATCATGTTGCCTTTCCCTGTGCCCTATAAGACAGTTTTTTTCTAATCGTGCAAAGCATTTCTGACCCTCAGTTTCATCCACTGCTTTTGCCTCTGGCTCTCATTAGGAAGCACCTTGGAAGAATCTCGGAATTGTTAATGGAAAATGATTAATGGAATCATTCTCACTAGTCAGGGGTCAACAGAATCATATGCCCTGAGAGTCTTGCTACAAGTTCACTTTCCTGGGTCACCTATGCAGAAATTTTATCTCTGTGGAATATAATTGTTAAAAACTCATGTAGTCTTAAAAGAAAGAAGGCACTTCATGCCTACTCTGGAGGTTCTGAAAGTCTGAATGCATCCCAGAATATGTACTTATAAAATTGTGTGGTTGGCCGGTTGTGGTGGCTCATGCCTGTAATCCCAGCACTTTTAGGAGGCCAAGGCGGGCGGATCACAAGATCAAGAGATCACGACCATCCTGGCCAACGTGGTGAAACCCCATCTCTACTAAAAATACAAAAATTAACTGGGCGTGGTAACATGTGCCTGTAGTCCTAGCTACTCAGGAGGCTGACGCAGAAGAATTGCTTGAACACTGGAGGTGGAGGTTGCAGTGAGCTGAGATTGCACCACTGCACTCCAGCCTAGGGACAGAGCAAGACTCCGTCTCAAAAAAAAATAATTATGTGGTCCCTTGGTGGCACTGTGCTTCAAGTTTGTATATAATAATTATACATATGTAATAATGTATACATATTATACATATAATAATGTATACATATTATACATATAATAATGTATAACAATATCTGCTATACTTGAGGTAGATAAGGCATCAAATAAAATGTCCTAAGCACATTGAAATGTATACTACAAATAACAAGACCTTTTGGAGTATTTTAATCTCAGCTGAACCACTTGCTATGTTGTGATCTTAAGCTCTCTAAGTCTTAATGTTCTTGTCTATAGAATGAGGATAAAAATAATTACCCCCTCAAAAGATTCTTTTTTTTTTGAGGCCTCAATACTTTTTTTTATTTTTATTTTTTATATATATATTTATTGTACTTTAAGTTCTAAGGTACATGTAAACTAGTTCAACCATTGTGGAAGACAGTGTGGTGATTCCTCAGGGATCTAGAACTAGAAAAGATTCTTATGAGAAAGGAAGTGATGGTAAACATGAAGGTAACTTACAAATTGGAATGTCCTATGTTTTATTTACACATACATCTGTATACACCCAATGTATGATAACTACTTAATTGGTCTTATTTTAACTTTATTTTGTCCTTTGGAATAGCCACATTTTCTTTTTTCCTATGCTGTTCCAAGTCTCTTTTAATCTGTAGAAATTAAATACTCTTGTATGATCCTTGTCACAGGCAGAGTTTAACAGTATAATTTTTACTTTAGCTAAGCTACTGTCAATATGTAAATGCCAAATTTTTCTTCAGGTGTATCAGTAACAATCAGGTTACCATCTGATCATGGCTGACTGGGGATAGCTGGCTCTTTCTGGAGATTTTGCATATTTCTGCTTTGTACCCTTACGGATTGCTCTCAGAATTTAGCTCTCAGAGAGCATTTCCTGTCCCATATCAGCCATTGCTCCAGGGGCCTCTCAAGCTAACAATCACAGAAGACTACCGGAAACTATTCAAATGGTTCTGCTCAGGGAGGAAGGAACCTGCAGCCATCCTCTTTGACTTGAGCTAAACAGAATTCTAACGCGCGCGCGCGCGCACACACACACACACACACACACACACACACACACACACACACACACACACTGCTTATCTTACCAGAAAGAAGATGAATTTTCTCTGCCTTTCAGCCAGTATTAGAACTTTATCAAAGAACACCCTAATGTCCATTTTTAAATTGCTCTGCTCTAGGCTAAGCCAGTTCTGCATTAGCAGTACTTTTAACTTTTTTCCAAAGCTCCTTCATTTAATTTGGAATATCTCTTACAAAAGTCCCCAAACTTAGCAGACATTATAGTGATAGAGACCAAATCCTACACCCACATTTTTCAGATGAGGAA
Source organism: Homo sapiens (assembly GCF_000001405.40). Taxonomy (NCBI): domain Eukaryota; kingdom Metazoa; phylum Chordata; class Mammalia; order Primates; family Hominidae; genus Homo; species Homo sapiens. Next base: position 36,678,296 of record NC_000007.14, on the reverse strand, counting down.
ATGGAAGTCCAGAAAGGGGAGGCAATTTCTCCAAGGCCAGAAGCCAGTGGGCTGGTACTGAATGAAATGCAGGTCTCTGAGTATACTGTGACATCAGAGCTTCTTGACCCTCTCCACAGTAGCACCCCTAAAAAGGATCCCAAGGGAGAGGGAATCTGTATTTAAACACTTTTATTAAGCTACAATTCACATACTGTACAGTTCACTCATTTAAAGTGTACAATTTAGTGACTTTCAGTACAGTCATAGAGTTGCGTGTTCATCAGTCACCACAATCAATTTTAGAACATTTTCATTACACCAGAAAGAAACTACATGCCTTTTAGCATCCGCCCCCAAACACCCACTCTTTCCAGCCCTAAGAAACCACTAATCTACTTTCTGTGTCTATGACTTTGCCTGTTTTGGGCATTTCATATAAATGGAATCATACAATATCTGGTCTTGTGTGACTGATTTCTTTCCCTTAGCATAGTGTTTTAGAGATTCACTATGTTGTAGCATGTATTATAACTTTATTACTTTTTACGGCTGAATAATATTGCATCGTATAGGTATACCACGTTTGTTGATCTATTAGCTGATAGGTATTTGAGGAGTTTACATTTCTTGGCTATTATGCAAAATGCTGCTATAAATATTTGTGTACACATTTCTGTGTGGACATATGTTTATATATATATATAAACTGGATCACATTGCTGGATCATATATAAACTGGATCATATTGCTGGATCACATAGTAACTCTATGTTAAACAGTCTGAGGAGCTGGTAGGCTGGTTACAAACTGGCTGCACGAGTTTACATTGCCATCAGCATTGTACAAGCTTTTGATTTCTCCACATCCTCACCAACACATATTATTCTCTCTTTTATTATAGCACATTATAGTGGACATGAAGTTGTATCTCATTTTGGCTTTGAATTGCATTTCCTTGGTAGCTAATGATGTTGAGTATCTTTTCATGTGGCTTTTGGACATTGGTATATCTTCTTTGGAAAACTGTCTATTCAGATTCTTTGTACATATTTTAATTGGACTATTTGTCTTTTTATTATTGAGTTGTAATAGTCCTTTATATATTCTAGCACTGTGATAGGTCATTTGATATATGATTGGCAAAAATTTTCTCCCATTCTGTGGGCTGTCTTTTTACTTTCTGTTGGTGTTCTATGAAGTGCAAAACTTATTGTTATTTTAATGAAGTCAAGTTTCTCTGTTTTTTTTTTCTTCTTTTGCTTGTGCTTTTGGTGTCATATCTAAGAAAACGTTGCCTAACCCAAAGTCAGTAAGATTTATGCCAGTGTTTCCTTGTATGAATTTTACGGTTTTCACTCTTACATTTAGGTCTTTGACCCGTTTTGGGTTAATTTTTGTATATAGTGTGAAGTAAGTGTCCAAATTCATTCTTTTGCCTGTGGCTGTCCAGTTGTCCCAGCACCATTTGTTAAATTCCTCCAATGAAATGGTCTTTGCACTTTTGACTAAATGTTAGGGTTTGTTTCTGAACTATTGATTCTATTTCATTGATCCATATGTCTGTCTTTATGTTAATACCATGCTATCTTGATTACAGTAGCTGTCTAGCTTTGAAATTGTTTCCCAATGTCAGTCCTCCAACTTGTTCTTCTCTTTCAATATTGTTTTGGTGTTCTGAGTCGCTTGACTTTTCGTATGAATGTTAGGATCTGCTGCTCAGTTTCTGCAAAGAAGTTAGCTAGGTTTTTGGTAGAGATGGCATTGAATCTGTGGATCAGTTTGGGAAGAATTGCCCTCTTAACAATATTAAGTCTGCCAATTCATGAATATGGAATGTCTTTCCATTTATTTAGGTCTACTTTAACTTCTTTTAACAATGTAGTTTTCAGAGTATATATTTTGCACTTTTTTTGGTTAAGTTTGTTCCTAAGAATTTAGTTCTTTTTGATGCTACTGTAAATGGAATTGTTTTCCTTAATTTCAGTTTTTATTTGCTCACTTCTGCTACATAGAAATACAATTGGTTTTGCATATTGATCTTGTATCCTGCAGCTTTACTGAACTTATTTATTTGTTCTTATAGTTTTTAATAGATTCCTTAGGATTTTCTACATGGAAGATCATATCAGCCACAAGATAGTCTTACATCTTTACTTTCCAATCTGAATGCTTTTTATTTCTTTTTCTTGCCTCATTCTCCTGGCTAGAACTTATAACGTTGAATAAAAGTAGTGACTGCAGATATTCTTATATTTTCCTGATAGTGAGGGGACAGTATTTAATTTTTCACCACTAAATATCATGTAAGTTGTCAGGTTTTTTGTAGATAACCTTTATTAGGTTGAGGACATTCCCTTTTATTCCTAATAAAATCATGAAGCAGTGTTATATTTTGTCAAATATCTTCTGCCTATATTGGATAATCATATGGTTTTTTTTATGTTGTTGATATGGGAGTAATACATTAACTGATTTTCAGATGTTAACCCAATTTTGCATTCCTGGGATAAATCCCACCTGATCATGGTGTATAATTTCTGTATTGCTGGATCTTATTTGCTAGTATTTTGTTGAGGATCTTTGTGGTTATATTCATGAGAGATTTGGGTCTACATTCTTTCGGAGGAAGGTTTCTGGTTTTAGTATCAGGGTAATATTAACCTCATAAATAAGTTAAGAAATGGTCACTCTGCTTCCATTTTTTGGAAGAATTCTTGATAAATTGTTAGTAATTCTTTAACTTTTTTGTAGATTTGCCAATGAATCCTATCTGGTGCAGCTAGCTGGTCTTAGGCTTTCCTTTGTGGGAAGTTTTTAATTACTAATTCAATCTCTTTACTTGTTATATGTTTCTTAAAATTGTCTATTCTTGAGTCCATTTGGGCATTATGTGTCTTTCTAAGAATTTTTTATTTTATCTAAGTTACCTAATTTATTGCCATGCACCTGTTCATAACATTCCATTATAATCCTTTTTATTTCTTTAAGGTCACTCATAATGTGAGGACACAGTTTTAATTGCCTACTTCAAAGGCACAATTTATTTATTTATTTATTTGAGACGGAGTTTCACTCTTGTTGCCCAGGCTGGAGTGCAATGGCACGATCTCGGCTCACTGCAACCTCCACCTCCCGGGTTCAAGCGATTCTCCTGCCCCAGCCTCCCTAGTAACTGGGATTACAAGCACCTGCCACTACACCCAGCTAATTTTTTGTGTTTTTAGGAGAGACGGGGTTTCACTATGTTGGCCAGGCTGGTCTCAAACTCCTGACCGCAGGCGATCTACCCGCCTTGCCCTCCCAAAGTGCTGGGATTACAGGCGTGAGCCGCTGCACCCAGCCGAGCACAGTGTATTTAAAGTCTCGTACTTTTTTGTCTAAAAAGTCATAGAATAGATCTATTTTAATACAAAAATAATATTTCACATTATTTAACATTAAGCAAAATTGAAGTACCAGGGAGCATTCCCATATTTATCTTGTTTCACCACTCCATCATCCAGCAAGGCCCGGGCCCCCCTATGTGAGACACATCATGACAAGATAGATTCTCCTTAATCAGGGTTTTCTAGCTCTTTCCAGGACAGCTGATCTGTCCCTAACTCTGCTAAGATCCTGAGTTGAATTACCAGGGCTCCACAATAGACTCACAAACTGGAGAAACAGGACCAAAGAGCTAACAAGTTTCATTGGGTGGATAGAGGAACTCACAAAACATTCATGTGCTCTCATAGGTCAGGGGAGATTATGTTGTTAGTAGGAGTATTTGTGTGGAGTGTATCTATGTCCTGTGATGAAGGTGGCAGTGCAGGATCACCTGTAACTGTCATCTCCTTTTACCTCTGGGATAACAACAGCAAAAACTAAGGACCCCAAGTGAAGTATTTTCCTTTGAATAAACACCAGAAAAGACCATTTCTAACAGAGCTACATTTCAGATGATTGACTAATGCAAGTCTCATTTCTTTCAACTTCAACAAATGAGGTCATAGCCAACATTCAGGTATTCCCTGTAGAAAAAAAAGAAAGAAAGAATGAACGAAAAGGAAAACCCAGCATTAAACTGTGTTTTTAGAATAAATTGGTTATCTTTAACCTGGACGGTTAGGTGGCATTCACATAAACCTGAGATAGAAGTGATATTTAATGCATACATTAGCTGAAACATTTCCTTCAAATCCTTAAAATTAAATTAATCATAAATTAATCACTCAGCTTCAGTTCCTAGCAAAGATAATCATTATTAAGGTGTGTTAAATTCGTCGCAATAAAAATATATTCAATTTCCCTCTTTATATTTTTTAGAAAAACTGTTCTTGAAAACCACCTGCTATTTAGTCATTGACAAGTTTGGATCAGACATCATAAAACTGTGAGTATGCCATGACACATAACTCTGATTCCATTGCTGGGACATGGGAGGAACAAGAAAACTGGGAGGTGGGAGGCTCTGTGTTCAGCATGATGCGCTTTCTGGACAGGGCTCGAGGTGTTATTCCAGCTCTTAGTAATAGTGGAAAATTGGAACCTAATTTGGATCCTTCGTCACTCTACGCAAAGGCTCCCCTTGAATTACAGTGTGGTAACCTGTACTTGGGTGATTGAACCTTTCTCCTGAGCCCTCTCCGCCTCCCTGGATTCCCAGGCCACATCTTCTCTCCCCACTTAGCTGGTTTCCTGGCTTCTCTCCGCCTCCCTACTCCCAGCCCTTGCTCCTCGCATTATCACAGTCTGCTTTTTCTTTTACTGTTTTTCTTTTTTTCCTTTTTTCTTTTCCTGAGACAGAGTCTTGCTCTGTAGCCCAGGCTGGAGGGCAGTGGTGTGATCTCGGCTCACTGCAACCTCCACCTCCCAGGTTCAAGCAATTCTCCTGCCTTAGCCTAAGAGGCTGGGATTACGGCGGGCATGTGCCACCACACCGGCTAATTTTTGTATTCTTAGTAGAGATGGGGTTTCACCATGTTGGCCAGGATAGTCTCAAACTCTTGACCTCATGATCCACCCACCTTGGCCTCTCAAAGTGCTGGAATTACAGATATGAGCCACCAGGCCCAGCTACTATTTTTCTTTTTTTGAGCTCAGGGCACTGAATCAAATAAGCCCTGTTTCTCAGTTCATGGCAGTCTCTCATCAATGATCCATACATGGCTGTCTTACACTTTTTATATTCTTATTTAGTTACTTTGAATACTGAAATAAGCTCCTGAACCCACCACCCAAAACAGTCTAGGACCTTGACCATAACTTTCTCTGCTCCTATGGTCCCTCCCCTTTATTCTCAGGCTTTTCCCACCCAAGTGAGCATCATCCTAAATTCCGTGTTCATCCTTCTTCTGCTTTCTATAAAAAAAATTATGGAGGTTTTTCTATAGTTTTATTATGTATAAAATATACAAATATAAATCATTCATTATCATATAATACATGTTATTATAAACATTTTATAATTTATTACACATAAATTATATGTTTAATTGCTTTCTGGTTTTAACTCTTGTGAACAGTACTCCTAGGAACATTCTATTTTTTTTTAACTTTAAGTTCTGGGATACATGTGCTGAACATGCAGGTTTGTTACATAGGTTTACATGTGCCATGGTGGTTTGCTGCACCTATCAACCCGTCATCTGGGTTTTAAGCCCCACATTCATTAGGTATTTGTCCTAATGCTCTCCCTCCCCTTTCCCCCACCTTCTGACAGGCTCTGGTGTGTGATGTTCCCCTCCCTGTGTCCATGTGTTCGCATTGTTCAACTCCCACTTATGAGTGAGAACATGTGGTGTTTGGTTTTCTGATCTTGTGATAGTTTACTGAGAATGATGGTTTCCAGCTTCATCCGTGTCCTGCAAAGGACGAGCACTCATCCTTTTTATGGCTTCATAGTATTCCATGGTGTATATGTGCCACATTTTCTTTATGCAGTCTATCATTGATGGGCATTTGGGTTGGTTCCTAGGAACATCCTTACATGATTCCTCTTCAAGGGGCCATTAGCCTTACAGCAGAGATGTTCACAAGACAGCATCCCCCCTCTACAACAGGGTAGCCTAGAGTCTACAACATTTTAAAGACAGAAGGAACTTAAAATCATACAGGCAGGGAGGTCATCAGTAATCTGTCATACTGTGCATCTGCCTCTCTTAATAGCGATCTCGCTCTGTTGTGGCAAACAATTTTTCATAACCCCTGGGCTGTGTTTGGAAGGCAGGGACCCTTTATTCTTAGCTAGTGCCACTATTATTGCCACTGCCTCCTAACAGGACTCCAGGCCTACAAACTTGCCCATTGCCCTGCAATTTCATAATCTACATTATAGCTAGACTAGTATGTTTTAATGCAAACCTAACTATGGTACTCCCTTAACGTAAAATTATTCGAAGTCTTCACATCCTCTGGAGGACTCCTAGCCCCATACACAAGGCTCATCAGGAACTGGTTTCTGAGGGCATTTCCAGACTCACCCCTTGCCACTCCATAGCACACTACACTTCAAACCACTTGTAGTCTCCCCACACACCAGGAGGTTTCTGCCTCAGGATCTTTGTACGAGATGTTCACTCAGCTTGGCACATCCAAAACCTCTACCCCCTACCTCTACCCCAAACAAATCTTATGAACCCACTCCTATACACACAGGCAAACAGGCACACACACACACACACACAAACACGTGCACACACACAGATGCACACACGCACACACACATACACACACACGCATGAGCACATGCACACTCATACAGACATGTACATTCATGAGCATGCACGCATTTTCCTAATACCCTGTGCAAGCCCGTAGCATGGCATTTACCACAGCTGTTTGTAACTGAATTATCCATTTACTTTTCTAAGCTGCTATCTAGATGGAAAACAGTTTGAGGGCTAGGACTACATTTTATTCATCTTTGCATCTATCTGCAGGTACTTAGCAAAATACTGACTATATGTTTATGAAAGTAAAAAAGAAAGTAAGAAAAAGAGGTAGGAAGAGTTGGGGGGAAAAGGAGAGAGCTTTGTATCTCCAGGCCCAGGTGTAATACTTAAGCATGGAAAGTCTTCAATAAGTGTTTGTTGAATTAATAAATTTTTTTAAAAAAAGTATGATTACAGATGAGCCATGACTAGATTGCTGTGAAGAAAGCCTTTTAAAAGTATGAAAACAGTAAAAAAAAGAAACCCTTTTCGTCTATTTGATGAATCTATTTATACACCTAGTAGGAGCCTAGATCAGGGAACCAGATCAGCAAGCTGAAAAGTCCCAGAACTCAAAGGGGGCAATACATGCAAATGTCCAAAAGGGGGTGCCAGAGAGCAGCTCCCAACAGCAGTGTGCTGGGAGTTACCGAGAAGTGGCCTGGGTAATTCAGACACAACTTGCTCTTCTGTACCTGGCTATAGAGTGGTGAGTGTGAGAACCAGTGAAGCACAAGGATCAGAGAAAGGACAGACACAATACTCATCACTGCAGATGCAAACTGTACAGCATGTGAACTGTACAAGAGACAAGCGGGCATAGGTATGGAGAAAGAATGGGACCAGCGGGCCGGGCGCGGTGGCTCACGCCTGTAATCTCAGCACTTTGGGAGGCCAAGGCGGGCGGATCACGAGGTCAGGAGATCGAGAGCATCCTGGCCAACATGGTGAAACCCTGTCTCTACTAAAATACAAAAAAAATTAGCCGGGTGTGGTGGCGCGCGCCTGTAGTCCCAGCTACTCGGGAGCTTGAGGCAGGGGAATCGCTTGAGCCCTGGAGACCGAGGTTGCAGTGAGCTGAGATGACGCCACTGCACTCCAGCCCGAATCACATTTTTCTTTCTAATAAAGAGACTAATTCTCGCTAGCATGAGGTGGGCCACTTTTGAAGAACCACAGATGTAATAAATGAATAAATAACAGATGTCTGATCCCACCTTCGTGGTTCTGTCCACCATGTGTTTTGTTTGTCCATAATTTCCTATGTGTATTAGTTGTGAGCTGATAGAAATGTTTCCTCATTGGGCATGTTCTTCATACAGCTTGTTTTAAGCCATCAGACACAGCTCGAGATTGATGGAGAGCCTGAAAATGACAACCTCATGATTTAGTTTTACTTGAATATCAGTCTTCCAATATTAAATGTATTTTCTAACCCAAAGGGCATCCTTCCTTATTATTTCACACCACTCAGTTCTCAATAATTCATGGACTAATTGTGCAGCAATTACATTTCCTTCCTACAGGCAGAGCCACAAGATGTTAAAAAAAAAAAACAAAAAAAGGATACCTGAGAACTCAGGGGTTCCCCTAAGAACCTGAGTCATGCAGGGAGGAGCTACTTCAGGGGGCAGCTCAATCCCAGCCAGTGACACAGCTGGGTCCCCTCTGTGTGTCTCAGACCGCCATTGCTCTCTCCATTCCTGTAGCAAGCCTGACTCTGGTCTCTGTCTGGCTGTGTTGCTTTCTGGTATCTATTTATGCTTCTCTCTAAATCACAAATTCTTATGTCCTAAGCCCAGGAGCTCTCTGAGATCAGGACAGGCATAAACTACTAACAGTTTTAAGAAAAAAATGCAAAACAGAATTGATAACAATTATGGTATACCTTAGATGTAATTAATGGCTTTGGGAGAGGCATTAAAAATACAGGGCAGAGCCACTGCACTCTGTGACTCATGCCTGTAATCCCAGCACTTTGGGAGGCTGAGGCGGGTGGATCACTTGAGGTCAGGAGTTTGAGATCAACCTAACCAACATGGTGAAACCCCATCTTTACTAAAACTATAAAAATTAGCCAGGCATGGTGGTGAGTGCCTGTAATCTCAGCTACTCAGGAGGCTGAGGCAGAAGAATCACTTGAACCCAGGAGGTGGAGGTTGCAATGAGCCAAAATCATGCCACTGCACTCCAGCCTGGGCAACAGAGAAAGACTCCATTTAAATTAAAAAAAAAAAAAAAAAAAGGTGGGGGGGGAATATAATTCTGTTATTCCCAAGATAATTACAAGATTTATAGAAATAATTAAATTCTAGTACACTATAAAGGATGTGACCTAGAAACAAGATAAAAGTATTAAGTTATATGAAGAAGATCTTCCAGTTCTGCTGGGGGATCTCTGTGACTACAATTTGTATATAAAACCTCCTTTGAAAGTAATGTCACAGGTCTAAATATGAGCACTTTCAAGTGAAAAAGGCTCTATTCCCCTAACCCTGCCACAGGCTCTGTTACTCTGCCATGTGGTCATCCTTGCTCCTCTTTAGATTTATGATGATAACGATGGTCATCATCATCGACTGTAATTCTACCATGATTCTAATTCAAGCAATCAATTAGCTGGCTATGCCAAAGTGTTGAAGCCCTGCCCTTCCTGCATGCTGCACTCTGTACACTTCTATAGCTGTAAAGGTAGTAAAAGGAAGTAAATGAAAATGTGATAGGTTCAACATTATGAAGTTTGAAAGTCACCACTCTGTTCTAACAGCAGGTTAAAAAGCTGAACAAACTGAAAAACCAACAATACTTCATAGATCTTTAAGAGAAGTAAGATCAGGGCTGGGTGTGATGGCTCACGCCTGTAATCCCAACACTTTGGGAGGCCAAGGCAGGTGGATCACTTGAGTCCAGGAGTTTAAGACCACTTTGGCCAACATAGTGAAACCCCGTCTCTACTAGAAATACAAAAATTAGCCGGGGGTGGCGGTGCACCTCTCTAATCCCAGCTACTCTAGAACCTGAGGCATTAGAATCACTTGAACCCAGGAGGCGAAGGTTGCAGTGAGCTGAGATAGCGCCATTGCACTACAGCCTGGGTGACAGGGGGAGACTCTGCCTCCAAGAAATCAAACAAACAACAAAAGAAGTAAGATTATTGGGCAAGCAGCTGCCTCCGAAAGTGGGGAGAAACAGGTGGATACAGAGAATCACAACTTTCCAGGGCAAAAATTGCCACAGGAGCCAGCATTAAAGAAAGATAATCTGTACTGTAATAGACAAATTGCTGGAGCTAGACGTAGACAAGACTGTGTTAAAAATTCCAGGGGAACCAAGTCATAGGGGTGTGCCCACCCACTCTTTTGTGAGTTTTACCTCCAAGAGTTCAACTGATTTCTCATAGTAGTTATTAGAGACACACACACACACACAAAAACCTCTCATGTTTCTGATGGTAGGAGTGAGGGAGCAGGGGAGAAATGAAAAAGAGTAGAAAACAAAAATAAAAACAAAGAACAACGGTAACAAATAAAAAACAGTAACAAATATGGTAGGTATTAACTATATCAATAATCATTTTGACTGTCAATGGTTTAAATGCACCAACTAAGAAACAGAAATTGTCAGAGTGGATCAAAAAATTAGACTCAATTATATGCTGTCTAGCAAGAAACTCACTTTAAATATAAAGATAAATATAGATTAAAAGGAGATAGAGAAAGCTATACCATGCTAGCATTAATCAAAAGAAAGAGCAGCCATGTTAATTTGAAACAGAACATACTTCAAAGTGAGGAAAGTTATCAGGGATAAAGGGATAAGAGTTACATAATGATAAAGTGGTCAGTTCTCCAATAAGACAAAAATTCTTAATATGTATGCACCAAAAACAGAGCATCAAAATATGGGAGGCAAAAACTGATGGAACTGCAAGGATAAATAGATGAATCTATTATTGTAGTTGGAGACTTCAACATCCCTCTATCAGAAACGGACAGATCCAGCCAACAGAAAATCAGTAAAGACATATGGTAATCTTCCCTTATCTGTGAGAAATATGTTCCAAGACCACCAGTGGATGCCTGAAACCATGGATAAAAGTTACCAAATCCTATATATACTATGTTTTTTCCTATACACCCATATCTATGACAAAGTTTAATTTATAAATTAGGCACAGTACCCTTGTGCCTTGGGGCTGTTATCAAGTAAAATAAGGGTTACTTGAACATAAGCACTGTGAGATGGTGACAATCAATCCGGTAACTGAGAAGGCTACTGAGTGACTGACAAGTAGATAGTGTATACAGCATGGGTATGCTGAACAAAGGAACAATTCACATCCCAGGTGAGATGGAGTGGGATGGTGCAAGATTTCATCACACTACTGAAAACAGCATGCAATTTAAAATTTATGAGTTGTTTCTTTCTGGAGTTTTTTATTTAATACTTTTGGACTACAGTTGACCACAAATAACTGAAACCATGGAGATTAAAACTTCAGATAAGGGGGGACTACTGTAGTTGAACTCAACAACACTATCAATCAACCAGATATAATTGACATTTAAGGACTGTTTTATCCAACAACAGCAGAATACACATTCTTCTCAAGTTCACATGAAACATTCACCAAGATACATTACATTCTGAGACATAAAACACATTTTAATTTAAAAGAATAGAAATTATATAATGTCTGCTGTCAGATAACATTGGTATTAAACTAGAAATCAGTAAAAGAAAGAGAACTAGAAATCACAAAATACATGGAGATTAAACACTTCTAAATAACATATGAACCTAAGAAGAAATCTCAAAAGAAATTTTAAGGTATTTTGAACTAAATAAAATTGAAAATAAAACTTATCAAAATTCGTGTGATGAAGTGAAAGCAGTGCTTAAACAGAAATTTGTAGCATTGAATGACTATATTAGAAAAACATAAAAACCTAAAATGAGTCATCTAAGCTTCTACCTTAAGAAACTAGAAAATGAAGAGCAAAGTAAATCCAAAGTAAACACAAGATAAATAATAAAAATCTGAGCAGAAAACAAGGAAATTGACCATAGGAAATCAATAGAAATTTAATATAGAAATAGAAAATTAATAGAAAATTAAACCAAAAGCTAGATTTTTTGAAAATATCAGTAAAATTGATAAGCCTCTAGCCAGCCTAACTAAGGAAAAGAGGGATAACACAAACTACTGATATCAGAACTGAAAGAGAAGACATCACTACAAATCCCACAGATATTAAAAAGATAATCAAGAAATATTATGAATAATTCTATGCCCACAAATTTGATAGTCTAGAGGAAATGGGCCAATTCCTTGAAAGACGCAAACTGCCAAAACACACAAGAAGAAATAGACAATCTGAATAGGCCTATATCTATTAAAGAAATTGGATCAATATTTAATAATCTACCAAAACAAAAAACACGAAGCCCTGATAGATTCACTGGTAGATTCTACCAAATATTTGGGAAAGAAGGTATACCAAGTCTCTATAATCTATTTCAGAAGATAGAAGCTAAGAGAATACTTCCTAACTCATTCTATGAGGTCAGCATCATCCTAATACCAAAACCAGACAAAGACATTACAAGAAAAGAAAACTACAGACCAATATCTCTCATGAATATAGATTGGAAAATCCTCGGCAAAATATTAGCAAATCAAATAAAAAATGTTTAAAAAGAATTATACGCTACAACTAGTGAGATTTATCCTAAATATACAAGACTGGTTCAACATTCAAAAATCAAATATTGTAATCCATCGTATCAACAGGCTCAAAAAGAAAAATCTCATGATTATATTAATAGACACAGAAAAAGCATTTAACAAAATCCAATATTCATTTGTGATTTAAAAAAAACTCTCAGTAAACTAGAAATAACTAGAGAGAAACTTTCTCAACTGGATAAAGAATATCTACAAAAAGACTACAATGAACATCATACTTCATGCTGAGAACTAGAAGCTTTCCCACTAGTATGAGGAACAAGGCAAGGATGCTTCTCTCACCACTCTTTTCAACATTGTACTGAAAGTCCTAGCTAATGCAATAAGAGGGAGAGGAAATAAAAAGTCTACTGGTTGAGAAGAAAGAAATAAAACTAACTTTGTTCTCAGGTGACATGATTGTCTATGTGGAAAATCCAAAAGAATCGGCAAAAAAAAAAAAAAATTCTAGAACTAATAAGCAATTATAGCAAGGTTGCAGGACACAAAGTTAATATACAAAGTGAACCACTTTCCTATATATCAACAATGAACAAGTGGAATTTGAAATCAAACACAGGATACCATTTACATTATCACCTCTAGAAATAAAATACTTATGTGTAAATCTAACAAAATATGTGCAAGATCTATATGAGGAAAACTACAACACTTTATTGAAATAAATTAAATAACTAGATAAATGAAAAGGTGTTCCATGTTCATGAATAGAGGGAATCAATACTGTCAAGATGTCACTTCTTCCCAATTGGATCTGTAGTGATATTGTTTGGATGTTTGTCCCCTCCATATCTCATGTTGAAATGTGACTTCTCATGCTGGAGGTAGGGCCTAGTAGGAGGTATTAGATAATGGGGGCAGATTCCTCATGAAGGGTTTAGTGTCATCCCCTTGGTAATGAGCGACTTCGTGCTCTGAGTTCACATGAGATTTGTTTGTTGAAAAGAGTGTGGTACTTTCCCCCTCACTCTCTCACTCCTGCTCTCTTCATTCTTCATGTGATACTTCCCACTCACCCTTTTCCTTCCACCATGATTGAAAGCTTCCTGAGGCCTCACTCAAAGGAGATGCTGGAGCCATGCTTGTACAGCCTGCAGAACAGTGAGCCAAGTAAACCTCTTTTCTTTATAAATTGCCCAGCCTCAAGTATTTTTTTATGGCAATGCAAAACAGCCTAACACATGTAGATTCAATGCAATATCAATCTGAATCCCAGCAAATTATTTTATAGATATTGACACATTGATTCTAAAGTTTATATGGAGAGGCAAAAGATCAAGAATGGTCGACACAATATTGAAGGAGAAGAACAAAGCTGGAGGACTGATACTACTTGAAATCAGGCTTACTACAAAGCTACAGTAATCAAGACAGCAGGGTATTGGTGAAAGGACAGACAAATAATCAATGGAATGGAATAGAGAGCCCAGAAATAGACCCACATAAATACAGTAAACTGACCTTTGACAAAGGAGCAAAGGTAATATGATTTAAAAAAAGATGGTCATTTCAACAGATGGTGTTGGAACAAATGGACATCTACATGCAAAAAAATGAATCCAGACACAGACCTTACATCCTTCACAAAAATGAACTCAAAATGGATCACAGACATAAATTTAAAAAACAAAACTACAGAACTCCTAAAAGTGTAGGAGAAAATCTAGTTGACCTTGGGTTTTGTGATAACTTTTTACATAGTACAAATAAATAGACTCAGAGAAACTATTTGCAAAGTATATATTTAATAAAGATCTGTTATCCAAAATAGACACATAAAAAAACTCTTAAAACTCAACGACAAACAACCCAGTTTAAAAAAAAAATGAACCTAAAATTAACGATCTTAAATGACACCTCACTTAAAAAGACATACAGATAACAAATAAACTTATGAAAAGAAGCTCAACATTATATGTTGTTAGAGGACTGCAAATTAAAACAATGAGATACCACTGTTCATAGAATGGCTAAAATTTAAAAAAACTGAAAAAAAAGTATAGTTTCTTATGAAACAAAATATAGTCTCACCATACAAGCCAGGATTCATACCGCTGGGTATTTACCCAATTGAACTGAAAACTTATGTCCCCACAAAAACTTGCACAAGGATAGTAGCATTATTCATAATCATCAAAGACTGGAAGCAGCCACAATGTCCAATCATATAAACAAATTGTGGTACAGCCACGCAATGAAATATTGTTCAGCAATAAAAGGAAATGAGCTCTCAAGTCATAAAAAGACATGGAGTAAACTTAAATGCGTGTTACTAAGTGAGAAAAAACAATCTGAAAAGGCTACATGCAGTATGATTCCAACTATATGACATCCTGGAAAAGGCAAAACTATGGAGACTACAAAGATATCCGTGGTTACCAGGGGTTAGGATGGAGAGAGAGACAAATAGGCATAACACAGAGCATTTTTAGGGCAGTGGTAATCTAATCTGTATGATACTGTAATGGTGAATACAAGTCATTATGCATTTGTCCAAACCCATAGAGTATACAACACCAAGAGTGAACCTTAAGGTGAACTAAACACTTTGGACGATGATAATGTGTCAATGCGGGTTTATCAATTTTAAGAAATTACTGGTGGCAGATAATGATAATAGGGGAGCCTGTGCATGTGTCGGGGCAGGAGGTCAATGGGACATCTCTGTATTTTCCTCTCAATTTCACTGTAAACCTAAAACTGCTCAAAAGAAAAAGTCTTTTTAAAAATGAAAAATGTGACTCTCTTGGCTTTATTTGCTGCTCTAGGAAAGAGAAAAGGTGGGAATTGTTCCTATGAGTTTGCAGACTGCTTAAAGATTCAGCAAATGAGGCGTAGTTTAGGCCTTCTGTCCCAAGGCTGAGCAAGAGTACACATGCCATACTGCCACTTCTTATGCATCTTGCACATTCTAGTGGTTTTAAATTTGTGTGGATTTATGGGGTTCAGCATTTTCTCTCTTTATCCAAAGGACTACTTGTCACTTTATGTCTTTTTGATGATAAATCATCTTAGAGGACCTAGAGGGACACCACATGTCCAGTTCCCCTCTTCTACTCTCCAGCTCAGAGATGGCCAGCCTCACTCTCTGAGTGGTCCACATCTCCACTCTCACATTCAAGTTGCCTTACTTGAAGTTGTGCCCTATTAGGGAGGAAAAAGAGAATGGGTCTTGTATATCACATGATGAGTTGGCTCTGCTTGTCCTGGATTGCCACAGATGGGATACTAGCCTTAGGTTAAAAACAAAGATTAACCAGAGCCCTATTTATCACTCTCGAGTCCACTAACTACCAGACCCCCATAAAGACAGCAGTCATCAGCTAAATAAATGAACAATTAAGTTGAGAACAGATGTGTGAAAACAGCCACCCTCTCGATTTACTGACCCCTGGTAGACATTAGTTTGGTAATGGACTTTATCTGCAACAAGCAGCCTGCTTCACTGCTTAAAAGGGATGGCGTCTTTGATACTTTTAGTTGCAGTCTTACCCCCTGACTTCCCTTGAAGGGACCTGGGGCTAAGCAGGTGACTTTCACGATGAACGCTGCATTTCCCTCTTAACTCAGGTGCTCACAAAAGGGTGATAAACCATCTTGCCAGCCACACCTTTAGCTGCATTCAGCTGGAATTAAATTTGGGTGGCCATGGTTCCAGCCTGTTTTCACATATTGGTTATCCTCAAAATATTTGGAGATTTCCAAGGTGGCCCCCCTTTCTGTGATGGGCTTCATTAAGATACATTTTCATTAACACAGGGTAGTTCTTTCTACTGGAAGGTGCGCAGTAGAAATAAATGCTCAAGGCTCCTCCCAGTGTTTGGAGGTGTAGCGGTCACAAGATAATATTTTTAGAGATTTTTAAGGATATTTTGATGTTTAGCAACCGTTACAACTGCTGCTTACTCACAAAGTGAAAATCAAGAGTGTTTTTCTGTTTTGTTTTCTTTGCTTTTTATCATTCTAAATTCCATTTGTTATTCTGCATGCCCAGGTGTAAAATTCCTTTGGTGGAGCAGACCAAACCCAATTGAGTCTGTGAAATGGGCATCAGGGAAAGAAAGCAGAGAGGAGAGTGAAGGGAGCAAGCCAATTCAGTGACTCACATTCAGGCCAGGGATTAAAAGGGGCCATGCACTCCAATTCTAACCCAGGAGTGCTCAAGGGTTGGCCCATGTGTGAGCTGTTAACTGCTTTCAATCACAAGATAAAAGGAAAGAGGAGGAGGTGGAGGAGGCTCAGGGAGAGAAGAGAGGTGTTAGTCATTGCAGTGATTGTAGAGGTAGTTGTTATAATAGTTGGGTGGGGAGAGGTTGGAGTGGATTTATTATAAGAACCTAGGGCACACAGATCAGGGGACTAAAGGTCAGGAAAATACCCAGGCCTCTGAAAGAGACTGAAAATAGGACAGTAAACCAAAGGAACCCAGGGAGTGTGCTCTCTTCCAGCTTCCTCACTGCACGTCCTCTGGGTTCTGCCCTCAGAACCCATCCTGCAGACTGGCTTTCCAGATACTCAGTCCACCTGGCAGGAAATTACGACAGCACTATCCCAGCTCACTCGAGCTTCTCTTATTCTGAGAGTAGCCCAGGGTGAAGCCGAACATTTTTAACACCAATTCCAAATGTTTGAAAGAATCAGATTGGTCCTTCTTGAAACAGTAGTTTAATGAGATCTAATCAACTGGCTGGGAGCTACGGCATATAAACACAGTTACCAGAAGCCTGCGCCAACGGGCAAAGGAAAACAGTGAAGTGGTCATGTGAGCTGGGAAGAAACCCAAAGAAAGTCTCTTCTAGACTCCATCACTGTCCCTCCGCAGAATACAAAGGTTGGTCTCTGGGTATTACCAACCTGTGTTGCTGGATTTGTTTGTTTTTGTTGTCTTGGTTTGACTTGTGGTTTGAATCAATAATTTGCTTCAAAATGTAATAAGAGTTTATACTTATAGAAGTATATAAGTAGAGTTTATACTTAAAGAAGTATATAAGTAGAGTTTTTACTTATAGAAGAGTTTATACATTTGCTTCAAAATGTAATAAGAGTTTATACTTGTTCATGTCATTCGAAAAATTATACTCACTTTTCTTGGTAAGAAGAGTTTTGGGAGTGGGAAAGAAAAAATGAACATGGAATCAGATACGTTGAATCTAGATGTAAACTAAATGTTTTAAAAGAACTGTCCTTATACCATCCCCAGGGAAACAAACAAGTCAGTTACATTGTACTTTCTTCCATAAGAATAAGAAATATGCCCAGCCTGGTGCAGTGGCTCATGCCTATAATCCCAGCACTTTGGGAGGCCGAGGTGGGTGTATCATCTGAGGTCAAGAGTTCGAGACCAGCCTGACCGACACAGTGAAACCCTATCTCTACTAAACAATATAAAACTTAGCCAAGCATGGTGGTGGGTGCCTATAATCCCAGCTGCTGGGGAGGCTGAGGCAGAAGAATCACTTGAACCCAGGGGGCGGAGGTTGCAGTTAGCAGAGATTATTCCACTGCACTCCAGCCTGGGCGACAGAGCAAGACTCTGCGTCAAAAAAACAAAAACAAACAAACAAAAGACTCTGTTCCCAAATAATTGGGGAGACTGATTTGAGTAATAATAATGTCAAGCACGTCCGTGTGAAGAGACCACCAAACAGGCTTTGCGTGAGCAATAAAGCTGTTTATTCACTTGGGTGCAAGTGGGCTGAGTCCGAAAAGACAGTCAGCGAAGGGAGATGGGGAAGCGGTTGCTTTATAGGAGTTGGGTAGGTAATGGAAAATTACAATAAAAGGTAGTTATTTACTGTTAGCAGAGGAGAGGGTTGCAAGGTACATGGTGGAGAGATCATAAGACTTATTGTCCAGAAGAAGAATGTCACAAAGTCAAATGATCAACTAAGATAGGGCAGGGACAAGTCACGATAGTAAAATATTGTAATTTTACTCAGTTAAGGCAGGGACTGGCTGTTTTACTTCTTTGTAGTTTTTCTTTGGCTGCTCCAGACTTCTTGGCTCCTGCAGGCCATCTAGACGGATATGTGCAGGTCACAGGGGTTATAATGGCCGAGCTTCGGCTCAGAGGCCTGACAAAACTCTGACCTCTCGCAGGAAAAAAAAAAAAAAAAAAGAAAGAAAAAAGAAATATGTTTATAAGGGAATAGAATAGATTGTTTGGATTGTGCCTAAGAAAGTAAGGTTAGGTGTTTAAGGCTATATCGTAAATGATTTTTCACTATAAGGTTACCATGTTTCAAAGGCCCAAACTTCAAAATATTGTTTCCATCAAGTTACGTCCCTGCCCACTTTTTCTTTCCCAATTTTATGTGTGGCTTTGCCTGAAAAGAATCCCAGCACTCGCGTGAGAGGCTGACTGGCAGCTCAGTGCTGTGCATGCCCCATCCTCGCCTTTAGGACCTCATTCTAAATGCAGGAGAGAGCAACAGTGGCAGGAAATCATTACCATCCAGCAGCTCCCCGGGATTGGGGTCAAAGGCCACTCTGCAAGGAGTTGAGGGTATTAGAATCCATTCTGGGGATTTACCTTTCTTTGCAGTAGCTTCTGTTTCCTAATGCCTAAGAGATCTGAATAGCCTTTGTTTTGCACCGTTTCCCTCCAGGCTTAGCGCAGATATGAATGCTGATGTGGTATGTCACACTCTGGAGTTTTGTAAACAGAACACTGGCCAACCATTGTGTCATCTCTACCCTCTTCCCAAGGTGAGTGTGTAATCACTCTGAACATCTGTTTCCAGGGACATGCAAGGCTTTTGGAAATGTTAGAAAGGGAGGCTTAGCTTTTACTCGCTCAGTGTTTTGGGGACAGGGAGAGGCAAGATGACATTTTCAATTACCCCGCAAGAAATAATATTCCTGCATTTTGGCCTAGATCCATACTACCATGCTAGAAAGAATGTCTTTGCTGTTCAGCCATTGTGGACTGTAATTTTGAGCTGGCCTGCCAGTAGGTAGGAAATCTGATCAAAGAGACGCAGAGGTTTAAATCCCTATCACTTAAAAATCAAGCAAGTCACTCTCACAGAGTGAGCAACTCATGCCAGTTTGCCCAGGACTTTCCTGCCATGAGCACTGAAAGCCCCACATCTTGGGAAATCCTGGGCAGTTGGTCACCCTACGCTGAGCCTTATTGCTCTTACTCATAAAATGGGTTATGATAAACTACCTCCCACAGTGGTTTATTGTGGGAAGTCGGTGAGCTAATATGTAAAAAATGCTTAGCACAATAACTGATACAGTTTTTAAAGTGTTAAGAGAAATGACTGCTAAATGATCATTATTGATAACATTATTATTCAGTGATAGCTGTTCAGAGGACCCTGTGTGCATTATATCATTTTGTGTAGCTTTTAATTAGATTGCGGAGAGGAGGCTGCAAATGTTGACACAATTCCCTCCGCACACTCTGGATGAGAGGATAATATTGAATCCAGTTAGGCCACAGAATATTAATTTTCAGGAGCTGCCCGTGAAAAAAAATTCTTTGCCTTCTTTCTTGAATTGTAGTTTTTCTGGATATAACACAATAGGTTTCTATTTTAATTGTAATTTCCTTTTTATTCATGTTAAAATGAAGTTCATTTTAGTGCTTTGTGGCCTAACCAATGACCATGATTTTGCTGATGGACAGTATTAAATACATCAGCCTGTCTCCTTGAGCAGGAAGTAAGAGATGCAACTACCTGAGGAACGTGTATATTTCAAGCTTCCTCTGTCACTGACTAAGTGCGAATTAAATTTCCCCTAATTCCACCTGAGAAGCTGCAGGCTCCACTGGTACCTAGAAGAGTTAGTTAACTTTAATTAAAAAAAAAACTTTTCATGTGTTCAAATAGCGTGTGACTATTGTATCATAATATCATAATATTTTCTGTTTGATATTGCAAGGAAGAAATGGGTCTCTGTGTAGAAATGCAAGTGACACAGGTTTTGTGATTTCCTTAAATAATAATGTCATGTATACATTACACCCACAGCTACACATAGTCGCAAAAAGTTCAACTTTAAATTGTCCCATTTAAAATGGCATTCTTTATTTTTATACTCTCTAGAGTTTACTTCTGAAATTTCATGTCCTTGTCTTCCTACCCTGACCCCCTTCTCAATTCCTAACTCTGTAAAATTTCGACTGCCTCTGGCTGCAAGGGAATTGGAGGATTTCATGTGGGAACCGCCACCTTCTACCCCAGCTAGCATTCAGTGCTGCTGGGCAGCCTGTGACGATTCCCTGGACAGCCCCCTTCACTTTCCTCTGACGGCTGTTCTAGGCCTTCACCCTCTGCCTCGGGTCCCCCTCTCCAGCCTCTATCTCTGCAGATGACCCAGAAAAGAGGGACAATGGGTATACACATGGACAGCTTCACCCTCCTCTGCCTCTGAGCTTCCCCTGAATAGTAGTAACTGACATTGACTGGGCACTCACTTTGGGCCCAGTGCTGGTGTAGAGGCTCACACTTGATCTTGTTTTGTTCCCAAGCAGGCCTAGGTTGGAGGTGTCATTTCGACTCCTTTTTACAGTGGAGGAAACTGAGGGTTAGAGAAGTTATGTGACTTCCTGAAAGTCACTTCCCGAGGAAAGAACAGAACTGGGTTCACACCCCGGTTGTTCTACTCAGAGATTGGTTGAGCTCTAACGTGGTGTCAATGTTTCAGAAACTCCCCTGGGGTGTCTTCTTACAACAGTCAGCTGAAATCCTACCACCAGAAACAACTGATGTCGAAATGTGTGTTTCCTTTTAACTTTTCAAATAAATTATATTGTATTGAGAATTTATTTGAGAGTTATGATAATGCATATACAATTTTATACCCTACTTTGTTCCCTTAACATTACATTTTGAGCATCTAGTTTTCAGTGGTATATAGCAGACCTTTTTATCATTCTGCAAATCACTCCTACGTAGCACGTATGAATGCTCAGGTGGAATTACCTACCTGTTAGGGACAAACTGCCCCAAAAAAGCTTCTTGGTACTGCCAACACCCCCCACCAAACCTCTTTGTGCCACCCCTCCCCTTCCCCCAAGCCTTTTTACATTTCGAAGCCCTTATCTAGGTGCCGTGGTGAAGTCAGCAGACTTTACCTATCAGGCCTTGCAGCAATAAAGCAAACCCCAATTACAAACCATCCAGATGGCACAGGGGAAGGTCGCACAAAAAAAAGTCATAAAAAACGTAAACAAACTTTACTTACATCCTTCGGTACATAAACGTCACAAGGTGATATGTGGCAGAGTTAACCAACATACAACCCCAGGGTCTCTCTCCCCCATATAAACCCCTCATTTTGTAAGCTCAAGACTGCCTCCTCTGTCTGTAGTAGAGCAGCCGGCAAGTTAAATAAAGGCTTGCCTAAACTTGGGTCTCTCTCTCTCGTCCTTTCTCTCAGCTGACCTAACATTACCTACTAAGGGCGGGTGAAGACACAAATGCAGACGTAGATAATGTTCAGCCCTCCAGAAGGAATTCTCATGACTCTCCTAGTCAATAGTCCCCAGAGTAGCCACTATTCTGAAGTCTATCGCCACCGGCTAGTTCATTTTTAGGAAACTCTATCCTTGAATGTCGTATCAAAGGCCTCGCGCGGTATATGCTCCTTTGTGTCTGGCTTCTTCCACCTGTGAGTTTCATCCCGTGTTGGGTGAACAGCATCATTTCATGTAGAATTCCCCCAATCATCTTTTGATGTAGCTCCTGCACTACTGTCCCAGTGAGTCCAACCAAATCTGCTCTTTCCTTCTTTCTAATACATTTTTTTCCACATTGATGCCACAGATGCCTTGCTGTAGGAAAAATATGACCTTCCACCCCAGCCCAACCCTTTGCCTGGAAAGCAATTTCTCACTCTGTCCTTCCACTTGGTGGATTATTCCTCCCCATCGTTCATGGCTCAGCTTACATGTCACTTCTTCAGGGAGGCGGGCCCTATTAGATAGCCCTCTTATCATAGCTCCTGTATATTCCTTTCTTGAACTTGCCACTTTACAAGATATATTCCTGTGTGACTGCCTGCCTGTCTCTACCACTATCCTCTGAACTCCAGGAAGGCAAATTCTGTCTTGTTCACCACTCTATACCCAGTGTCTAGGACGGTGCCTCACACATACCAAGGAAATGTGTATTGACGCAATGAACGGGTAAAGTGCCACTAGCTTCTCATTTGCATCCCTGATGGAAATTCTGACTTTCCTCATGTGAAGGCCTCACTGATTTTCCCAGGGCATACTTATGATCCTGAACATAGTTTGGGATCTCCACGTTGCCTACACAACTAAGTACAAATTTTCACTTAGCTTTTCAGGACCTTCCAAAAGCCTTTCCAGACTTGCCTTTCCCTCTTAGGTTTGTGAATCCTGTGCTGCAGAGAGCAGCAAGTGACTGGCTCTGCCTTGAGCCATCCCCAACCCTCCCACCCTACACCTTGGATCTTCATCATTCCCTCTACCCAGATCACCTTTATCAACTCCATGCCATCCCTCAAGCTCATGTCAATGGTCACCTTCTCTGTAAAGTAATTCCTAACTATCCCAACAAAATGTTAACTCTCCTTTGAATAATCATTGTAAAATAACTGTTTGAGCACTTATAATGTGCTAACATTGTTCTAAATGCTTTATGTGTATTCATGCATTTAATCTTATGGAATAGGTATTGTTGTCCACCCTTTATAGATGACGAAGGTGTGGCAGAGAGACATCAAGATACTAGTTTCTAGTTTCGTAGATTTCCTCACTAAGATGCAAGCACATGGGGGTGGGCAGGCCTGTACCTTGCCTGTCTGTCTTTGTTCTCTCCACCATGCCAGGCACATACTTACTTGGTATATGGATAAAAATGAAAATAGCAGAAGTTGGTATTTATTGATGGCCTGCCAGCCGCTGCACTTAACGTGCGTGATCTCATTTAACTGTGCTGTTAGGTCCATATTTATTTTACAGTTGAGGAATTTTGAGACTTGGAGAAGTTAAGGGATTTTCCCAGGCTATACAGCTAGTGAGGAATACAAGAGGATTTATCTAGGGTCTGTTTTTCTTAAAAGTCCAAATTCTCATTCACCGTGCTCTCTGCCTCACTGAGACTCCGTAGGTGTTGTCACATTGAATGGAACCACTGCTCCTGGGCCAGCTAATTCCTCATAAGCAGGACTCTGCACGCTCTATGTCTGGCTTTTCACACATTTCAGACTCTAGTACAATATAAATAATGTGACGCAAGCAGTCTCCCCTGTGATATACATGCTGCAGGGATGGAGAGGATGGATGGGCCCCTCTGTAGCAGGGAGCTCATAGCGCAGAAGCAAGCAGAGCAGAGCAACAGAGATCTGGCTTCAGTGAGGCCAAAAGTTAAAGGTGGAACTGCATTTGGGGCTCACAGTGAACCCCTATTCATCATCTACAGCCCACCTGAAATTCCAGGCCCACTTCTTGCCGGTCCTGTGGACGTGTCTCCCTACCACTATCTACTGTGTGCTCAAAAAGGACAAACTTCATCCATAACTAATTAAAGCAAGAAAAATCTACGATGTCCCACTGGTACAAGAAGAAGAAGAAAAAGGAGAGAGGAGAAAAGGAGGAAGAGAAGAGGGACAGGAAGGAAAGGGAAGGAAAAATAGCTGCAGGCCTCACTGCAAAGACCACCCAGGTGGTTTTGTGTTACGTATCTTGGGAGTTTATTTTTACCGCTCCTCTCATTTGCACATGAAACAGCGCATTGATTGCTGCTGCTGTGTGTGTGTGTGTGTACGCACACACGCACAGGGATGCATGCACGTGACTGGCTCTCCCTTGAGCCCTCCCCAACCCTCCCACCATGTCCAAAACCATGATTCTAACACCACAGCTCACAAATTGAAAACCGAATGCAACTTATTCGTGTGTATCCAGTGGTTCTTTAAAGCTCTATTTTTTGGATCAGAATGTTACATTGCATGAGCCCCTGCTTGAGCCAGAAGCATCCTGGAGCCTCCTTAGCTTTAAGCCACTCCCGTTTGGGTCCCTGAACTTGAGATCTCCAGGCAGACCTCGTAGCTTTGAACTGACTCCTTTCCTAACCACAGCAGTGCTGGAGGAACATGCTGCATTTACCAACATCTCCAAGGCACACTCAAGACTTACTTCAGCCACTTTGATCTACATTAAAAGAGAATCATATTCAGAATGTAAGCCCTGTGTGGAGAGAGGTTCTCCTTATTTCCCTGGGGCCTCCTGAACTGCTGGGTGGCAGGGAGACCTGCTGCCTTAGGAAAGCAACCCAGACTTTGAAACAGCTTTTCCCACAGTGAGTTGCATTTCTACAAGAACCAAAAGCTCTCTGATGCTGAGTGTGGGGGAGGGTGTGTATGCACAGGGAATCATATTTCCCTGGAATCCAAACTACCAGGAAAGTGACATAAATGGGTTTGGCAAGAAGTAAATTTTCACTCTTTATATGAGAAAGTGACGCATGACAAATTATGTTTCGCCTAAGCAATAAACAAGCTGACCTCAGGAATTCACTTTTATTTTTTAAACACTAGGTGTCAAATAAAATACCTGGCATCTCTTTTAGTAGACTGTCTCAGGTGGTAGTGTTTAGAAAAAGAATCACAGATAGACAGGAAATTGGACACTTCCTGAGATTCTGTAATCACTAAATTTCATTCTGCACAATCCAAAGAACCTGATGCTCATAATGCTGTTTTTAGCCCTATGAGCTCACAGCACACTGTCACATGTGTTATTGTCTAGTCTCCCCCAAACTCTGTTATTTCAAATAAACGTTTTTTGGTAATAATTTCAGATTTATAAAAAGTTGTGAGGATACTGCAAGAGAGTATACTGTTCACCCAAGTTTAATTCCCCACAATGTGAACACATTACTATTACTTAGTCAAAACTAAAGAAGTCAGTATTACTACTGTATATACCTTAGTAGCAAATCAAGTCCAGACTTTATTTGGATTACACATGCTTCTCCTCTAATGTCCTCTTCTGTTCCAGGATCTAGTCGAGGACACGCATTGCATTTCTTTTTCATGTCTCTTTAGTGTCCTCTGGTCTGTGACAGAGTCTTCATCTTTCCTTGTTTTTCATGACCTTGGCAGTTTTCAAGGATACAGGTTAAGTACGTCGGTAAAATGTTCCTCGAATTGGGATTTGTTTGATGTCTTCATCTTGGTTCGACAGTGTTAGGGGTTTTTGGAAAGAACACCACAGAGGTGAAGCACCCTTTTCATCACATCCTATCAGGGTTAAATGATGCCACATGGCATTGCTGGTGAGATCACCCTTCATCACTCGGTGAAAGGGTCATTTGCCAGGTTTCCCAACTGCAAAGTCACTATTTTCCCCCTTTTCCTTTACTCAGTTCTTTAGAAGTGAGTCTTTAAGTCCAGCCTGCACTCAGTGAGGCCAGGGAGGACCAAGCCCCTGCTCCCAGAACATGGAATATCTACACATATCTTTTGAAATTCTTCTATGTAAAAAACATCTCTCTCCTCCCTAATTTATTGAATTAGCCAATCATTTATTTATATTAGCACAGATTCATGTATACGTATTTTATACTTTGAGTTATAATTCAAATATACACTATTTTATTGCACAAATTTTTCCAGTTTTCCAGTTTTGCTACCATTGGAAGCTTAGGGTGGCTCCTGTGTCCTTTTGACATGCCTCTGTCCTATTTTTTTTTTGTTCCATACTACTTTATGTTCTGGTACTACCAGATGATCCAGGCTCATCTTGTTATCTTATATTCTTCTGCCCCTGTCCTTGAATCAGCATG
The DNA here is from genome assembly GCF_000001405.40 of Homo sapiens. Taxonomy (NCBI): domain Eukaryota; kingdom Metazoa; phylum Chordata; class Mammalia; order Primates; family Hominidae; genus Homo; species Homo sapiens. Next base: position 36,652,104 of record NC_000007.14, on the reverse strand, counting down.
TCCCGAAGGAGACCTGGTTCCTTTTACTGGAAAATGGTATTTGGAAACCAAGATCTGGGTGCTAGGTATGCCCATTGCTACTGGGATGTCATTGCTTATTGGCCTTCTTAGGTCCTGGTCTTCTTTGTGGAGTGCTAAGTAAAGTATATGTGTATACAACCCATGTATACACAAATACCTACAATTGTTACTGTGTCTGTATGTGTGTCTCTGTGTGTGTGTATGTGGATGTGAGCTCATACTGATATCTCTAATTTTAACCCAGTATCACAGGTCAAACTCTATTTTATAGGTAAAATTATCAAACATATTTTGCAGTTGAGGCTTAAAGCCTTTACTCAAAGCTCATAAGTAGTGAGTGGAATCTGAACTCAACCCAGGGCCCTGGACTTTAGACCTCCAGCTCTTCACATCAGCACTGCCTGTGTTTAGCATAGATTCTGGAGCACATTCAGAATAGTCACTTCTCAGAGCCAGAGGGAATTAAAGGCAGCTTTAGTTTTAGTTTTCATAAAATATCATAAACAGCTTAATTTTCAAGAATCTTGCACAATATCCCAACTTTCTCAGTAACAATGAAACCACTGACATGTTCGCTTACTTAGTCATACCTCAACAAACATTTCTTGAACACTTACCATGTACCATCCCCACAGCCGGGTACCCTAATAAGTTATCTTTTTTTAACTATCCCAAGTCTGTAGGACAAATATGATTCTGTCATTTTATAAATAAGTCTACTGATACCTAGAGAACTGAGAGACTTTCCTGAAGTCCCATACTTTCTACAGAATAATTGTTTTTCTTTTTATCAGCCAACAAATATTTATGTAGAATAAATTAAGTAGAACAGTATTCCAGCACATATGGCATGCGATAGCAATGTAAATGGATATTCTAGCAGGAGGCTATAGACAAACAGTGAGGAAGAGAGAAGTGCTGTCACACAGGGTGCAAGGAGGAACAGAAACCCCAGCAGACGAGGGCTGAGCTGGTCCTGGAGGGAACAGGAGTGGAGGTGACTCCTTCAGGGTAGAGTAGAGTTCACCCAGCACACTCCACCTCGCCTGCGTCAGCCCCTTGTGCTGGGCCCTTTCCCTAGAACTCCCAGTTCCCTGCATGGCCAGCGCCTTGTTCCCCTGCTGGTTTAAGTACCCCCTCTCCAGGAAGACCCTCCCTGACCAACCTCTCTGAAGAAGGTCCCCTTTCCTGCTCTCTCACACCACTTTATTTCTTTGATACCGTCTGAACACAAGGACCGTGTCTTTCTTGCTCACCATCTTATTCCTGGACTGGCATAGTACCTGGCACATAGTAGGTGCTCTGTAAGATTTGTTTAGTAAAAAATAGGATGAGAACGGCAGTCCTGAACATACCTTACCTTCTCCCTTGTGAGGATGTATCTGGTCTCAGTGGACTATATGAGAGTTCAAAGCATTCGGCTTCTTTGAGAATGTGAAGCAGTTTTCAGAAATAAACATAGGGTTCATCCCAGGGCGCCTGCTCTGGTATTCCTGGGTAGGGTTTGAGCATCTGCATTTGCATAACGCTTTTGACGAGCACTGAAGGGTGAGAACTGTTGTGCTGGAGGCTGGCCTAAGCCTGAAAGCTGTCATTGACAAGTCTGAAAGCACTGTCCCTTCTCTTGCTTCTCACCTCCCACACATCCAAAACCATGCATCCCCACTTGCCCTCTAACTGCATCCTTTTCCCCAACCATTCCTTGATTTCTACCCCTTTTCTGATTGATTTATCAACTTAACCTCAGCTATTGGGTTTCCAGTCCCCAGCCCCCTAGGAATAAGGCCTCTTAGAAAGACAGAGAGAACTAGAAGTTTTAGACCCAAACTATTTGGAATTCATTCTTTTTCTACGGATTTTCTCAAAACAGTGTTCTTGTTACCAAGGGGTCCTTGCTCCCAGAGCTCCCAAGACGGTGGTGGGCCACTTCCAAGACGGTGGTGGGCCGCTTCCAAGACGGTGGTGGGCCGCTTCCAAGATGGCAGAAGCCACTTCCAAGATGGTGGCAAGCCTCATGTTCTCTGACCTGGGGTTCTTGGCCTCACGGATTCCAAGGAATGGAATCTTGGGCCATGCAGTGAGTGTTATAGCTCTATTAGAAACCATGGGTCACAGAAGAGAACCGTGGAACCCAGTGACTAGTGTTCAGCTCGATTAGGATGAATCCAGGCATTTAGCCATGCAGGAACAATGGTGAGTCTTTAGCCCAATGGAGAGCGGCAATGGGCGCCTCACTGGATCAGGAGCACAGCGGACACCCTGCCAGATCTGAAGAGATGGAAGTTAGCGGTAGGTCTGCCACGGCGGCAAACAGCAGTGGTGGACAGCAAGTGAAAGCTCAGCTCAAGTCGTAACAAACACAGACCAGAAGAGAGTGCAATTGCAAGATTTAATAGAGTGAAAACAGAGCTCCCAAACAATGGGAGGGGACCCAAAGAGGGTATCCATTGCCGGCTAGAATGCCTGGGTTTACATCCCGATCATTATCCCTCCTGCTGTGCTCTCAGGCGATAGATGATTGGCTATTTCTTTACCTCCTGTTTTTGCCTAGTTAGCATTTTAGTAAGCTCTCTTTCCTACCTGATTGGTCGGGTGTGAGCTAAGTTGCAAGCGCCATGTTTAAAAGCGGATGCAGTCACCTTCCCAGCTAGGCTTAGGGATTCTTAGTTGGCCTAGGAAATCCAGCTAGTCCTGTCTCTCATGCTGACTAATTACAAAGGTGCAATGAAGTTATCTACACCCAAAGAAGAAAATGAGAAGGCCTAGTAACCCGCTCAAGTCTCTCCCATTCTAATAAAATAAATATAGAAACAAACCTCACAGAACACTCATTCCCCTCCAGCTTTCCAGAGCAATCAAATTTCTGTCCTACCTGTGAGAGGCAATTCAACACGATGTCGAAGAGCACAGATCCTGGTGCCAGCCCACCTGAACTTGAAGCTCAAAGCTTTACTAAGCTTCTATTGTATACGTACACATTAGGGGCTATAGAATAAAAGGCAACGACAACTGATTTGAAATTGGACTAAGTGCTTAGCATATACACAGCATCTAAAATCCTCCCACACAATTATAAAGTTATTCCATTATCTTAACTTTACAGAGAAAAAATCAAAATTCAAATTGTTGGTTGTAACGTTGTATAATTGACAATGTTTTTAAAAGTTCCCCTTTAAACATCTGAGGAAATTATGAACAATGAGATAAATGACAAGGCCTTCTAGACACAGAAAGTCAGCTTAAAATGGAGCAAAATATATCCCAATGCATTTGAGATTCTTGTTTTTGATTAAAATAGCATTTCAAATCAGTGGTAAAACACTGGATTACTCAATAAATACAGTGGACTAAAGACTAGACATTTGAAAAAAATTTAAGCTAGATGTTTATCTATACCTTATAGCAAAATAAATCCCAAATGATTAAAGACTGAATCACTTAAAAAAAAAAAAAAGGAACCATAAAAAACCTGAGCAATTGTATTTGTAATTTGTGATTGAAAAGTCACAAAGGGAAATACTAATACATCTGACTAGTAAAAACTTGCCCCCTTCACAAAGTCAAAAGACAAATGGCATACTGGGTAAATGTTTTGTAATATGCCACACAATGAATTATTTTCTGTTTGAATCAAAGAGCTCCTAAAAAAATCAAAAAGAAAAAAAAAGTCAGCAAAGGCCACAAACAAATGGTTTAGGGAAAAATATCAAAGGACTGAAAATTTAGGAGAAAATGCTCATCCTTTCTTATAATTTAAAAAGTGAAAAATTAAAATGAGATTTTATCCACCTCCTATGTATTTGGACTTCACAAAGTTCTGATGGTGATTAGGCAAGAAATTATCACAGAAACAGAAAAGGCTTTCAGTATCAGAGACTACAAAATTAAGTTGCTCTCTGCATATTTGAAGGCTTAAAACTCTAAGAGGGCCGGGCGTAATCCCAGCACTTGGGAGGTTGAGGCAGGAGGATCACCTGTAATCCCAGCACTTTGGGAGGTCGAGGCGGGAGGATCACCTGAGGTCAGGAGTTCGAGACCAGCCTGGCCAACATGGTGAAACCCCCATCTCTACTAAAAGTACAAAAATTAGCCCGGCATGATGGCGTGAACCTGTAGTCCCAGCTGCTCGGGAGGCTGAGACAGGAGAATAGTTTGAACCCAGGAGGCGGAGGTTGCTGTGAGCCAAGATAACGCCACTGCACTCCAGCCTGGGTGACAGAGCGATACTCCACCAAAAAAAAAAAAAGAACTCTAAGGGAACTGAAGATGGCATTGGAATGCTATGTCTGGATTTATGCTCTATTGTTCCATCTTTTCTCCAAGCATTTCACATGATCTTGCCAGAGATTCAAAGCTGTATTTTTGTTAACACCCATATTTGGAATCTTGTATAATTTGTCTACTTAAACTTGTATTAAGACTGATTTGGGGGCTATTAAACTCATAGAGGTGTTAAAACTCTTCAAAGAACAGCAAAAATAATGCAAATGTTAAGTTACTATTGACTTCCGATAAGTGGAAGAAATCAAATTATTCCAAGGAAGGTATTTCTATGATATTTGAGATATGAACATTTTTCTTGTCTGCTTTTGAGAAATTCAGAAAACAACAACTATCTCTCTTGAGAACATGCTTATTAATTCCCTCAGCTCAAGAATCGCTAATGACGCTAATGACTGGGAATGGTTCTAAAAGATCCTTTGAGTTTTAAGGCTTTAATCACTGCTCTCCCAGCATCCACTCTTGGCCCTCATCTTCACTTAATTAATCACCCCCATTAGAGCTCAGCTCAAAGTCATTCCCTCTAAGAAGTTTTCCCTGATGCCCCAAGTTAAGCCAGTTCTTCCATGATTCATCTCCGTTCTTCACACTCCATTTTTCCAGCACTTATTACAATTGTAATTCGATAATTGTAAAATTAATATTTAATGTCTGCATCTTCTGTTAGGGTGTAACCTCCATGAAAGCAGAGACAGTCTGGCTGTTTTATTCCTCAAACATAGTGCTAGTCCCTGAAATTTCCTCAGAGCTGAACATAGTTCACTACATGCATTAATTACTCAACAACTATTTGTTGAATGAGAAATATGATAGACAGAATAATCTCCCTCCACCCTCCAAGTTCATATCCAAGTCCCTCGTAACTGTGTCTGTTACCTTGGACAGCAAAAGGAATTTTGAGGGTGTAATGTAGTTAAGGATTTTAGATGGGGAGATTGTCCTGGATTATCTGGGTAAGCCTGATGTGATCACAAGAATCCTTACAAGAGGCAAGCATTAGGATCAGAGCGAGAGAAAAAAAATGTGACAACAGAGGCAGTGTTCAGAGCCATGAGGCCATCACCACTAAAAACTAGAAGAGGCAAGGAATGGGTTCTCCCTGGGAACCTACAAAAGGAACCAACCCTGCAGACACCTTGATTTTAGCCCTGAATTTCTGACTTCCAGAACTGTGAAAGAATATTCGTGTTGTTTTCAGCCACTACGTTTACGGTCATTAGTTACAGCAGCAATAGGAAACTAATACAAATAATTGATTTGTTGTGTAACATAGAGTAAGACTGATCACACAACCTGAAAGCAAATAGAAAAAAAGTAAAAGACTATGTAACAAAAGACCCTTATGACTGAACCATACCCACCATCTGATTAACCCAAAATTTGCCAGAAATTATTTGTGTAAAGAATAAGACAACATACTATAAATAAGAATAGACCACAGAGCCTAGTACTGGAGAGCTTGTTTATGAGCCCAGATACTAGGGAAGAAACAGTCAAAATGGAACAATGGTATTAGTTGTGAAGCCTAGAAAAATTCACTCAGCACCGGGTCTTGGATTTCTCATTTACAAAGTAGAGTTAAGAACTGTTATTTCCTATTTTGCAAAGTTAGTACAAAATTTAGAGATAAACTCTATACGATGTTTGGTATAGAACTTGAAGCATAGAAGAACCTCTATGGTGTGAACTTTAAGAACTCTATAGCAGAGTGGTATGTGATGGTGGTGGTAAAATCAATGAATAATAATGTCAGGAAAAGGAGTTGGTGGGAATAATGCTGTTTAAAATAACGCTTTTTTTAAGAAAGGTATTGCCTGGAGAATAGGAAGCGATAGCAAGAGTGTGATTAAATACTCTGATGATACTAATAGCTATACAATGCAAAATTAGCCTAGAAGCAGGAAAGAAGAAAATTTAGCTAAGGGTAAAATATGTATGAAGAAGAGGCATTCAGTGATAAAAGGGGATGCATTTAAAAGTAATGGCTTTTTTCTTTTACTTTTACCCTTTTTTTTTTCATCCCTGGAAGAAGAAAATGAAGTGAACAGACTTCATTTTTTGCATATAATTTAAAGTCATAAATGCCCATTGGAGCTGGAAAGTGTCAGAACCTAAAAACCAAATTAGGCTTTGATAGAGCTACATCTTGAGTATTGGAAAATTGCCACTGTAGGATACAGCAGAATGCAGATTTAATAACAGACCTGCAAATTTCACTCAAAGGCTAGACATGCCACTATTTGATAAAAACCCGTAAGCAGTAAAACTTCTTGCCTTTGTCTTCCTACTGAATAGAAATTGCCTTGAAGCCCTTTTCTGTACCTCTCTGTTGGCTCTTTCTGATCTGCCTGTCTTAGTTAGGGCTGCTCTAACAAAGTACCCTAGACTGTGTGCCTTACAAACCACAGAAATGTATTTTCACAGTTCTGGAGGTTGGAAGTCCAATATCACGGTGCCAACAGGGTCAGGTTCTGGCGAGGGACCTCTTCTTGGCTGCAGACCGCTTTGTTCTCATGTGGAGAAAAGAGAGCTGGCTCTCTCTAGCCTCTTCTCATAAGGGCACTCCTCCCATTGTGAGGGCTCCAGCCTCATGACCTAATCACTACCCAAAGGCCCCACCTCTGAAAACCATCATAGGGAGATTCAGGTTTCAATCCAAGAATTTGGTTGGGGTGGGGGGCACAGACACTGCCTCATGCTGTAGTTATTTATGCACTTCCCTCCTCCAGTGGGCAATAAAATCCCTGGAGGATCTCATCTTTCAAATCTTGCTCCATTTTAAAAATCAGTTTATACCAGTGAATTTGGGTGTGAGGAACAACCTGTCCTAATAAACTTTTAGAAAAGATCTGGGGTAGATGAGCAGTCTCCCCCACCCCCACCTCCCCCCTCATTCATGCATGCTCTTTGACAATAAAAAACGCCCATTTGGAATCATCATTTTACTTCCCAGGGGCTTTCTCCTTTGTGAGAATCTGTCACTGCTGTCAAATGTGTGAAGTGAACAAAGGCACATTTTGTACTTTTCAAATCTACTGATGCTATAATTGATAACAGAGAACTTGATCACTCAAAATTGTTCACTGTAGAAACTCATGCCTAAAAGCACTATTTTTCTTTCCTTTCTAAGTGTACCAGAATTCAATTCTTTAACATCACAGAACCTTAGAAAGCCCAGTTACTGAATGTGTCCTGTGCAATTCACCATACCTTAAAAATGTCTCAGGACATTCTGTTGTGTCCCTGAGGATCCTCTGTTCGCTACGGTCTTCGTATGTTTACCACTGTAGTCAATATAGCTGAATGGACTTAGGCTGAAACCATTGAATGTTTAGGAAATGCACAATCTAAATAATATTTATTCCCACAAAGCGGCCCAAAGCCTTGAATACACGAATGCATGGTGTGGCTTTCTTAAGGTAGGAATTCATTCTCAGTTTTCCCAAACTTTTTTAAACTTAAAAAAAAAAAGCACACCGTTTAACATCTATCTCCCAGCGCAGAGTGAAAAATCATGGACTTTGTGCCAAGTGGGTCTGAATTGGATCTGGACTGTGCCACTCATTGGCTCTGTGACTTTGGGGGAGTTATTTACCTACTCTAAGCCTCAGTTTACCACATCTGTAAAAGAGGGAGAATAGCAACTACTACTTAACACTTTCTAAACTGTTTTCTAATTACAGTGTTTACTGTCAATCTTCTCTCCTACATTGTAACAGCCTTGATGTCTCATTCCCTACTATTTCCCCAGCATGTAATTCATGGCACAACATTGTATTAGTCCATTCTTGCACTGCTATAAAGAGATACTTGAAATAGGTAATTTATAGAGAAAAGAAGTTTAATTGGCTCATAATTCTGCAGGCCGGTACCAGGAAGCATGGCTGGGGAGGCCTCAGGAAACTTACAATCATGGCAGAAGGCAAAGGGGAGGCAGGAACCTCTTATATGGCAAGAGCAGGAGGAAGAGAGAGCAAAGGGAGTCCTACACCCTTTTAAACAACCAGATCTCATGAGAACTCACCCACTATCATGAGAAGGGCAAGGGGGAAATCCACCCCCATGATCCAATCACCTCCCACCAGGCCAGTCCTCCAATATTGTGGGTTACAATTCGACATGAGATTCGGGCAGAGACACAAACCCAAACCATATCAAACATAAACACTAAGTAAGTATTTGTAAAATAAATGAATAGAATGAACAACTGCACAAAAAAATGATTGAATGGAAGAATACTTCTTTCTCCTTTCTTACCACTCATATAGCTGCCACCATGCTTGTGCCTGGGTTGCATGAATTTCCACCCAGGTGCGTGGCTTTTTGACACCTAGAGCCAGTCCTCTCCCCTTGGTATCTGACCTTTTGCATTAAACCATCCTCGCTCCATGGGAGCCACACTTGCCATTCCCCAAGGCCTGGTGAAACCTCATCAATCATATTTTCTTGCTTATGTTAAAATTTCAGGCTTACTTCATTCTTGGAAAACAGTGTTTCAGTGGTGGGAAAGGCACTAGAGTCTAGAAACTAGAGTGCTAATCTCAGCTGTGCTTGCAGACTGGCCTGGGTTAAATTGTGTCATCTCTCTGAGCCTCAGTTTTCTCATCTGTAAAACAGGAACAGTAATACTTTCTTCTCAGGGTGATTTTCAGGATCCTCAAAAAAAGCATACATTTCTGTAGGCTGATGTTGCAATTATTATACTCTTTCCAGTTGTTTACTGGTGACATTACAAACCAAAATAAAAACACCAATTATTGTTAATACTAATGTCATGCTTACTAATATGCAAGACACTATTTTAAGTACAATCTTTGTCAATCCTCACAACGCTATTATCTCCACTTTACAGATGAAGAAACTAGGCTCAGAGTGCTTAAGTAACTTGCCCAAGGTCCTACAACTAGTAACTAATGAAGCCAGGGTTTGAAACCACAAACACTCTATGGTCCAAAATCATTTTAAATAGGAAATAGCAATAGAGACCAATATTTAAAGAGTTTCTATTGAAGACGGATGTTTTGCTCACATCCAAATGGTTTAATCTGACCACAGTACTTTCTTTCTTTTCCTTGGGCTCCCATGTGGCTTACGCCTGGCAGAGTACAGATACTAACAGTACCACTTTGCCCAAAATACTGATGGTGATGAGCACTTGGCCCTTGCTCTTTCATCATCCAAATTACTCTTAGCTCAAGGTCGAGAACAAAAATCACCCTGGAGAGCGAGAGTTGTATGAGTCTGTGGGGGCTGTGACCACCAACTGGGTTGCTTAAGCAACAGAAAGCAATTGTCTGACAGTTATGGAGGCTGAAGTTCAAGGTCAAGAAATCAGTAGGGTTAGCTTCTGATGGCTGTGAGAGAAAATCTGTTCTATGCCTTTTTCTCTTAGCTCTGGTGGTTTGCTGGGAATTTTTGACATTTCTCGTAGATAGCATTCTCCCTGTATCTTCACATCATCTTCCCTCTATGTGTCTTTTTCTCTTCCTTTGCACAGTGTTCTGTTTATAAGGATACTAATAATACTGGATTAGCAGCCCACCCTACTCCAATATGACCTTATCTCAGCTTAACTATTAGGTTGGTGCAAAAGTAATTGCGGTTTTTGCTATTGCTTTTAATGGCAAAACCGCAATTACTTTTGCATCAACCTAATAATTACACCTGCAATGACTCTTTTTCCAAATAAGGTCACATTCTGAGCTTCTGCAGGGTTATGATCTCAGATATGAATTTAGGTGAGACAATTCAAAATTCAACCCATAATAGCAGTCAGTAGTCCCCAAGCCTCTCCTCTTGTCTGAAGACTTTGGGCTGGCTTTGATTTGGGTAGACGCTTAAATCATTCTAGACAGAAGTGTTTTAGTGAGCCACCGTGGCTATATACTACTGTGTGCTCTGATGATCAAGGACTAAACAGAGACTGGGAAAGGGCTGTATTTTTCAGACATTTTCTCATTCCTCTGTTCAGTCAATGTTATTTCTTCTAAGGTAGCATGGCAGGTGCAAACGTAGGGAGTGAAGGGGGTCAGGGAGTTGCATAAAGGCAACTGTTACCGTCCTCACCTACCTAGAGCTTGAGGTTTAGTGGGGGAATGCGAAATGTATGCATGGGAGTGTGTTATAATGTAGAATGCAAAGGAAACAGAAAAGGAAAGCTCGGCCCGAAAGCTAGGAAAGCTGAGAAGGCTTCAGGAGGAAGCAACCCTTGTAGCGAGCTTTCAAAGGAAATATCTGAAAATTACAGCCCTTTCTTAGTCTCTATTTAGTCTTTCTCATTTTCATAATTTTGTGAATTTAAGTCAACAGGCACTTGTTGCCTACATGCCCTGGGCTCAATGTTATTGAAGATGTTAAGGGAAATCAAAAATTACAGCCCAGAGCCCGAAGCCCCTGCCCAGGAGCTCTGAGAGTCATTGGGGGAACAAGACTTCAGCGCTGCAACTGGAAAATTATCCAAAGGGGGCTGAGGAGGGGGGGCTTCTAGAATGGCAGTTCCCGGGTGAATCCCTGTGATGCCAGTTTTGAAGGCCAGAAACTCCATTTTTATTATGATCTGGCACACTGTAAACAAGAAAGCCATGCATGAGTCTTGAAGACTGAAAGCTCTGGGCCTGATTCCTGAGCAGACCTCCCTCTAGTCTGCCCCTACCTTTGTGATCACGTGAGGTGCTTGACCTCTGGGTGGACTGCGCTGTAAAGTAGGGAGGATGTATACTTTCTAGGGGTGAAGAGGGATTTGAGTAGGAGCTTAGCTCAAGCTGCAGGTCCCCTAAGAAGCTTTCTCAACCCCTGAGGGTGATGTAAACCATTGTCCTTTGCACCTGTGCCCCCTCGGCTCCTGTGCACAGCTATTCCGAGCCTGGAATCTCTGACTTACTCACCTTTCCCCACCTACTCAAGGCCATGAGCTTCCTGCAGGCTCTTTTCTACCTCATTGCAGCGGCTTCAAGTCGGCCAGGCTGGGGTCCTTCTCTAGCCTTGGGTGATGCCCAGGGTTGGAGCCAGTGGTGGCTTCTGGAGCTTCCCTCCACTATTCACTTTATTGTTGGGTAGAGTCAATTGCCATTTTCTGAATCTTAGGTAGAGTACCTGCAAAGGCAGCTGCAGGACAACTCTGTCACCATCACCACCAGATTGCCATCCCTAAACATGGGGACAGCCTCTGCCAAGGGGCAGTGGTGAGTGCCGCCGAGACAAAGGCTGCAGACAACCCTGGGTCCAAGGGCACGCCTCCACATCTTTGTTACACCTAAACTTGCACCCTACACACAGCCACTCTGTCTGTGCTGGCTAAGCCCCTGTTGCCCCGGCCTCAAGGGTGCTGGTGGGATTCTACCCTAGGGTCCCTTCCCTCACTCCCCATGTAGCCTTCACCTTTGAGAGTGCTAAAGGCCTGACTGCTCCCTCTTTGCTTCAATTTGATGTTACCCAAACTGCATCTTGCAGAAATGCTTCTAATTTTCTAGTTTGTGGGTCCTACCCATCCCCAATTTCCAGCAGAAACCCAGATTTTCCTAGCAGTTATTGTGACTGGAATTTGGAAGTGGGTGCTGAGTAAATGGGTGAGTCTGGATGTCCATCTGGGATCAGGACTCTGTTCCCACTCTTGGACGCTTCGACTCCCCCTCCTTGGCAAAAGCTGGTGCATTTCCCTGCAGCCCCGGCCCTGGCTTCCTGCTGCCACCCCCATGTGCACCAATATCGGAAACCCAGCCACATCCAGATGAACCCACCCTAGACCTCCCGGGAGGACACACAAGCCACCCATCCCGCCTCAGCACAGCCTCTGCTGCAGCACTTGCCACATCCTGTTTTCATAGCTTGTCATTACCTCCCAACAAACATTGAGCCCCAGAGAACCGAGCTTGGTTAAAATGAGATTGGTTCTCTCAAAGGGATTCAGCCCTCTCTCTGCTTCATCTTATTTCTGTTTACTGTACTTGCTCGAGGTCAGTCCCCTTGCCAGGGAGAAAGCTCTGGGAGGGAAGGGATGTCTATGTCATTCACCGTGGGGTTCACCACCAGATCCCCAGGGCCTTCACTTGCATATCAGTGCACGGAGCACATCATTTTCTTCAACAAGAAACAAGACAACATGGATTGAGCTCTTTTTTGAAAGCATTTATTACTGAATTGGTATTCATTGTTTAAAATTTAGAAAACCAGAAAAAGGCAAAAAGGAAAAAGTTATCACCCATCATTATTATAACATATTCCTTTGCAAGGTTTTTTCCTATGTGCATAAAATCTGGTAGCCTATTTTCCTCGTTTAACATAATATCGTAACTATTTTCTTTTGCTTTTATTTCCATGTTTACTGAGCACCTACTATGCCTCAAGGACTGTGCGAGGCTCTGAAGATTTTAAACTGGGCCTGAGAATGCAAAGGACTATTTCTGAGACAGAGAAGCAGGGGCACATGATTGAGGCAGAGGACTACCACCTTCACATTTTAAAATGTGGGGAATGAGCTCTTTGCTGATAAAAGTAGCCACAAAGTCACCATAAGAATAGTTTGCATGAAAATCTGGTGTCTGTTACACTGACTATGCCAGAGAATCTTAATTTATACAATAGGAGAATTTTAGGGTTTGCTAGAATTTCCAGAAAAGGCCAAAAGTGCATTTAATGAGGTCAGTTTTTGAATGGGGTCATTCTCTAAGCAGCTTTTGTATTAAAGATGTCATGTTTTAAAAGTGAAGATTGGGATCAGCTCTTTTGGCCTACTGCCAACTAATCAGAATGGATACTGGGTGCAGTTGGAGCACAGCCTGCAGATGCCCACTGGGTGGGACTATCACAGTGGCCCCATAGTTGACGGATCACAAGGAGGCCTGGGAGAGTCCAAGGAAGAGGCTGGGTGGTCAGAGCAAGAGTGGAGGACTCTCAGGGGCTTAGGGACACAGCTGTTCACCAACTGGCACAGTAGTCTTTCAATATTTTAAGAAACATACACCGTAGCAGGGCATCCTGGCAACCAAACCCACCTGAAGAGCATCTTTTCCTCTTGAGTCATCAACACGCACTCTTAGCAGCCAGCAGACAGAGCTTTCCAATTGTTGAGCAGATTACTTCAGGGCTGTACAGGTAGCAGGCCCAGGAGGGATTTGGCAGGGCCAGGACATGCACATTCAGTTGGGTTTGAAAGCTCTGGGAAGTAGTGATGAGAGAAAACCCTCCTCCTCCCCACCCAGCCCAGGGTTACTCTTCTCCCACCCCTCCACAAATAGACAAACACAGTGTTCTTTGGAGTTTCACAGCAATCATTACTGGTAGTAATGAGCTAACTCTTTATATTCGCAATGTGTGTACCCTTGGAAGATGCACTTAGATGCTCTCAAAATGGTTGAAAGAGGACAGGAGATCTCCAACCAGGGGAAGAGGAGGTGACTGAGAGATGAGGTGTTAGCTTGCACAGCAACAATCAGCCATTCTTCACTGCCAAAGCACAAGGCACTCAAGTAGGCTGTTGACAGCCTCCTGCTGGGGGGTTTTAGACACCAGGATAAGTTGCTTATGGAGATCAGCGTAGCAGAAGGGTCAGGAAGCAGAGGTTCAGATTGCCTCTCTGCCAGACCCTATGAGATCTCTTAGCTTTTCTGCATCTCGGTTTCCTCGTCTATGAAATGGTCGTATCTCACAGGGCTGTTTGAAGAGTAAATAAGATAATGTTTCCAAAGTGCTTAGCACTGCATCTGACACAAAGCAAAGCCCAAAATAAAAAGAGCTATTAATGTGAAATTGCCTTCTTGTGAATTATTTTATTACAAATTTATGGAGTGGTTCATTTATTGAAAACTTATGGACTTTAAATATCCTAATTTTAGAAAAGATGTAGGAAGAAAAGATAAAACATGAGTTGTAATGTTCTCTAACTTTGTTTTTATAGGAGACATGGAAATTTACACTACAGAAGGCAAGACAAATTGTCAAGAAGTCCCCGATTCTGGTAAGCACTAAGCACGTAGAACGCCAGCCTTTTCCTTGGCATGTCCTCTCTCACTGGCCCCGGCTTTCACATCCCAAAGGCAAGGACTACTCCGGATATAAGCCTGCAACATGCCATAGCTACGTGGGGATGGAAGTAGGAATGTGAACTGCTTCCACTTGTGTTTCCTGCCTTCTCACTACAGTGTGGTTTTTCAGCCTCAGCACTGCTGACACCTGGGGCAGAATAATCCTTTGTTGTGCAGGCTGTCCTGGGCTTTGTAGGGTGTTCAGCAGCAACCCTGGCTTCTACCTACTAGATGCCAGCAGCACCACCATCCACCCCTCCCCAGTCACAACAACCAACAATGCCTCCCAGCATTGCCAAATGTCCCCTGGAAGGCAAAATCACCCCCAGTTGAGAACTGCTGCTTTCCAGTAGACCGTCTTGGAGGAGGCTGTATCCTCCTGCTTCTCCACTTTCTAAAAATGTGACCTTAAGCACGGTGCTCAACTTCACTGAGCCCCAGTTTTCTTGTCTGTAAGACAAGGATGATAATAGCGTCCTCCAGTGTCAGTACTGATAGAGTTGAGAGTGCAGAGAGCATCTGGGATCTTGGCTAGGACTTACCAAGTCCTCGATAAATGTGAGTTAGTTATCATAATTTTTATTCATGTTTCCTTAATTTGTCCTCTGTGTAATAACACTCTCGTTCAACAGATAGAATATTTATTTCAGATCAGTTCTCGCAGGCTTACGTATTTGACTTAGGCCCTGGTTGCAAATCAGCCCATTTGAAAAGGAAGCAGAAAAGTAGATCTTTAAAGCACGACATTATCCTCAATGCCAAAGATACTGGCAGTAAGGAAGCATCCATCAGCAATGGGCAATGGGAGGGCAAAGACCTCGTCCTTGGCTTCTCCCTGCTGGCTAGCTCATCATTCACCTTGATACACTACATTTGAGGTATTATTCATTTGGCAACATAGAAATAAAAGGGAGGAAAATCCCTCATGGCTAGGCTTGCCAGATTTCGCAAGTAAAAATATGGGATGCCCAGTTAAATTTGAATTTCAGATAAACAACGAATAGTGTTTTAGTATATCTAGTGTAATATTTTATCTGGCAACTCTGCTCATGGAGGGCCTATGGGTTTTTATGAACAAGGCCAATAAATACATGTTAAGTGACAGGCAATATGTAGGCATTTCTACATAACTGATTAATCAATCACAATGTCTGCATTGACAATCATTATTTAATTCAGTGAATAATTAAGGGCCAACAGTAGCCCGTTGAGCTAATTTGCTTAAGTTGTTGAATAAGATATTAAAAGACCACAGGAAACTCTTGACCACCCCCTTCAGAACTCTGAGCAGAAATGGAGAACAATACAATTGGTATTTTATTCTTCTCCACACACCCCTAAAAACGTATTCTCCAGGCATTGTTTACTTCAGTAGCAAAAACTGCCTTGGCATTAACTCCTAATTAGGATTTTACAATTTTTTACTTCTGTCACCAGAATTGCAAGCATAATTCACGGGGCAGGATTCCAACAATTACTCGCGAGAAGTGAAAAAAAAAATTCTACTGAACAATTCAACAATAAAAATACTCTTCTGAAACCTCCACCAATTTATTTGCTCTCCAGATTACAGCTATCAAGGCAAAAATAAACAGAAAATGCAAATAAGTGTGTCTGAAAAAACTGCTCGGAGAGTAATTAATAATTCCACTGTGATGGCTGATATAACTTCAGACCTGGCCAGGGTACAGAAAGCTGCACTCAGTAGGTTCCATATCATTTCAGCACAGCCTATCGGTTGGTGAGAATTCAGACTTGAAAACAGTTATGCATTATTGAAGGAGATCAAACATTCCAGATAAAGCCTGGATCTCAATGAGGCCATGAGAGGATCCTAGAGGGAACATTTCATGGATTTGGCAGAGCATCGAGCATCTAAGAGCACCTGAGTTATGGAATCATTTCATTCTCAAATAGATAGAGTATTTTTGTCATCAGCCCCATTTTATAGATGAGAGGACTGAGTCTCGGGTAGGTTAAGTTATGTGCTCACCCCACATAGCTAGTAGGTGAGAAACCCCACGTTTAAATCCAGAGCTAGCTATCTCCACGTTCAGTACCCTTTCTACTAGGCCAGTAGCTTTCAACAAGGCCTCCTTAGTACTAAACTTTGGGGAGCACCATTTACGTCACAGGCTATGCGGATATTGGGATCGTACAGTGGACAACCTGTGCAGTTACAAATGACAGCCCTGATCACAAACCCACCCGCTCAATAGAATCATCTGGGAAGCCTATAAAAATTGCCGAGATCCAAACCCCACCCTAGACCAATTAAACCCAGGTAATATAATACACGACAAGGGTTGAAAAGCACTTTGCCACACAGAAATTCAGTTTCAGCCTGGCTGTGTACAGAAGAGTGATGACTGTCCCACTTTGACCTTCCATTTACCCCATTCAGCCCATTTTTCTTTATTCAACCCGTTTGTTGTTCTGCATTCATTTGACATCCTGGTGCATGGGGAAGCTCAGGAAGCCGGTTAAATAGATTGCAAAGCAAAGATGCTGCATGACTCCTGTCCCCAGGGACAGCCCTGATTTGAGACTCTCATTTTAGATGGGATTAGATGCAGCCAGTTGCAATATTTTAAATGTATTGCTGAGTTAATAACAGCCCACATTTTGTCTCTATCTAGCAAAGTTCAAATTGAAAGGAGGAGGCTGGCAAATAGGCAAGCAAGACTCATACAATGTTGCTCGGGGCCCATCTCAGTTCTCTTTGTAAGAGAAGGGTGGTCTTTCCCATACTATGTAATGAAAAGACCAGATAATCAAAACCTCAGTCTAACCAGGAGGAATTCTAGGGGCCCCTATATCATCTGCCACCCACTTAACCCCAATTTCTACACAATGAATGGCAAAGACAGCTGCAGCCATCAGGCTGAATTTTGACAGCAAACAGCTGTGCAATTATATAATAGTATTCTATTGCACCTTTTGTCTAGTAATTATAAAACTGTTCATATCAATTTTTAATAGTTTGCTATTACCAGTGTTAAAATCTAGACTGTTGTTAGGAGAATTAGACCAAGGCCTTCAGACTAAACTGAATATTAAAAGTACCTCAAACATTCAAATGCAACCTGACTTTGGACTCTGGATCTCAGATAGTGTCTGTATTTCCGAAGTGCTGTCAATGTTGTAGTGTAGCAGGACAAGCCGCAAACAAAACTCCTCAGACACCGAGTTAAAGAAGGAAGGGATTTATTCGGCCAGGGGCATCGGCAAGACTCCTGTCTCAAGAGCCGAGCTCCCCGAGTGAGCAATTCCTGTCCCTTTTAAGGGCTCACAACTCTAAAGTGATGCGCGTGAGAGGGTCGTGATTGATTGAGCAAGCAGGGGGTACGTGACTGGGGGCTGCATGCACCGGTAATTAGATTGGAACAAAACAGGATAGGGATTTTCACAGTGTTTTTCTATATAATGTCTGTAATCTATAGATAACATAACCGATTAGGTCAGGGGTCAATCTTTAACTACCAGGCCCAGGGTGTGGCGCCGAGCTGTCTGCTTGTGGATTTCATTTCTGCCTTCGAGGTTTTACTGTTTCTTTCTTTGGAGGCAGAAATTGGACATAAGACAATATGAGGAGTGGTCTCCTACCTTAGTAGAAGCTTATGCTGATGCTTGTTTTGCAGTGTGTCCACAATCCTGATCTTAGTCAGCTACTAAGTCTCTGGAGTCACCCTTCTAACCACCCCTTCTTCACACCATCACCCTCCTCCGCCCTGTTTCCCATCAGTGCTTCCCAACTCGTGGCAATATTGCCCCTTGCTCCCACCCTGGGGACATTTGGCAGTGTCTGGAGGCAGATTTGGCAATGTCTGGAGGCAGATTTGTGCGGCGGGCATCTGGGGGTCACAGGCCAGAGATGCTGCCCAGCATCTCACAGTGCACAGGGCAGCCCGCACAGCAAAGACTGAATTATTATCGGCTCAACATGGCAATAGCACCGAGGTTTGAAACCCTGAGATAGGGCCTTGGGGTCTCTTATCTCAAATGATCCTTCTCCAGGCCATCTTCCCACGCCTAGAGACATCTTTCCGAAACGCAAATGTGATTCCTCTGCCTGACACCTCCACGGCTTCCCCACAGTCCTCAGGGTAACATGTAGTGCTGCACTCCAGGCCCCTGCTCCCCGTCCTGTCTCCTTCCTTCCATGGTTCACTGCATTCTGCCATTCCGATTCTCCCTCCAGGTGGGAATGTTTGGCATTCCTCTAAGACACCAAGCTTTCTCATACCTCCACAGCACTGCTCGGGCACTCCCTCTTCCGGGAGCCAGGCTACTTCAGCTTTAGTGTGCATCCTGGGGACGTTGTTAAAATGCAGATTCTGATTTTGTAGGTCTGCAGCAGGGCCCAAGACTCTGCATCTCTGAAAGCTCCCAGGTGGCATCAATACTCCTCATCTGTGATCACACGTTGAGTGACACAGACCTAGAGCAGTGGTTGTCAAGCCTTAGTGGGCACCAGAATGACTTGGAGGGCTACGAAGACATAGGCTGCCACGACCCACCCCAGGGTTTTCAATTCAGCAGCCCTGAGGTGGGGATGTGGAAGGCAAGGATGTGCATCTCTAGCAAGGCTGTGGCCCGCACTGAGTCACAAAGCCTCAGGCCGTCTCTCTTCCTCCCCACCTGCCTCTATCCCACCTCACTGCAGGGTCATCTGCATTCTCCTCCAGGTTCCTAGAGACACGTGCTAGTGCCTTGGCCTCTGCAGACCCCACAGGGTGTGCCCGGAGCTGGGGCCTCCACCCTTGCCCTCCACTCCACGGAGAGCTGAGGACAAGGACAGCCTCTTTGTCTCCACATCTTACATGGAGCTGGGCCACCAGTCAGGATTATTTCTCCTCCTAGAAAGCTGGGCAGGCATCTCAAAAATCCTTAAGTACCTCATTTATATTCTGAAACGGTTGCTGATTCTCTCTTGCCAGGGTCAAATATCGCCAATGCCCATAACACTCCTCATAGCCATTCGAAGGACTCAGGGCTGGCAGGAATCCAGTGTCTCTCTCCCTTCATTGATAAATGCTGGTGCCTCACTTTTCTACCCTATTGTCTTCTTCTCTTTCTTTAAGTTGAGGAAAGCATTGTGGAAACTGCAATGTTTCTAAAAGCACTGCTTGGTAAAACGTCAGGGCTTTTAGTGTAGCCCACATCTGGAGCCTCATAGAAATCGCTGTCTAGAAACCCACAGCTCAAGAAGCACAAGGGGCTTGGTCTGTGCACCTCTCTCCTCTGTGGGGGAAGGGACCTTCCTTCCTCCCAGACCCCAGATTGGTCTCTCCCTTTAGTTTTTATTTCCATAATGAGATGGAATTATTTTGTTTGAAAATCTTCTTTATTTTTAAAGCACTTGGGTAGAGGAATGCTGTTGCCGGACCCTCCTGGAACAAGGTGGAGAGTGAGGGTGGCTGGGAAGCTGGGAAGAGCTGGCTGGAAGAGAAGGAGGGAAGGCTTCGGGCTGAGGAGCCCGATGGGCAAAGGCACAGGCAGTGGCATGGATATGGATGGTGGGGACAGGAACAAGAGGTAAATTTAGAGAGGTGAAATGGGCTGGATTCTAGAGGAAGGAGGATCCAGAAACCTCAAGTTCAGAGGGGCCTTTAGAAGGTGGGGAACCACTCCTTAAACTAAACAACTCTCTTTTTGTTTTTTTTTTTCTCCCCAGAAATATTCTAGAAGTGGTTCTGACATTTGTTCACTCCCGGTTTTGGCCAAGATCTGCCAGAAAATTAAATTGTATGTATACAATTTCTACCTTCCTGAGCACTAGCATGTAATAACGTCTTTGCTTGTCCCCCTTTTCTAATGACCAAAATGATCTTCACACTTAAAAGGCATCCCTGAAGGTGAGAGTGTTTCTTTCTCAAAACATTGCACAGAAACCAAAAGACAAATGAGCTCTGAAGAAAATCGTTTGGGAAATATACTGAATGCCAGCATCTTTGCATCTCAAAGCTGATCTGTTCCCCAGGCTAGAATGCAGCCCGCAGTGAGGCTCACTGCCGGCAAGTGCCTGCCAGCGAGGTGCCCACTGCACTACACCTGGAAACAGCCCCTCTCTGCATGTGAACTATGGACCAGGGTGGGCAACTGGGCATGGAGAAGACTCTGAGCATCTTTAGTGCAAGACACTCACAAGGTTGGACAGGGACTGTGTTTTCACAGCGCCCAAACTATTACATGAAAAATCTGGCTCAGATACATAGGAATAGGGTTGTGAATGCAGAGACACTGTCCAGAATTCCCACACCCTCCTGTCCATATTCCAGCTCCACTTTGAGTCTGGGGTTATGCTAGACATCGTGGTAACTGCTGTTCAAAACATTAAAGGGTGAAGCCATGTCTTGAGAGGGCACAGGACTCAGAGGCAAAATAGCATGGGGTCTACCCTCCACTAAGCTACTTCTTTTTTTTTTTTTTTGAGATGATGGAGTGTCGCTCTTGTTGCCCAGGCTGGAGTGCAATGGCGTGATCATGGCTCACTGCAACCTCTGCCTCCCGTGGTCAAGCAATTCTCCTGCCTCAGCCACCCTAGTAGCTGGGATTACAGGCGCACACCACCACACCCAGCTAATTTTTTGTATTTTTAGTAGAGACGGGGTTTCACCACTTTGGCCAGGCTGGTCTTGAACTCCTGACCTCAAGTGATCCACCCACCTCAGCCTCCCAAAGTGCTGGGATTACAGGCGTGAGCCACCAAGCCCATCCCATTAAGCTACTTCTAATATGACCACTGCTGCTTTGCTGCTATCAGGTTTATGGGCGCTGTTCCAGGTGCCAGATGCTGAACTTTCGATATGTTTCCTCACTTAGTTCTCACAACAATAAAATGAGGTAAGGGTTATTATTATTCCCATTTCACAGAGAAAGCAACTGAGCCTTAAAGAAGTAACTTCTGCTGGGCCACTGAGGACCCAAGATACACCCCCAGGTGCATTTGATCTCATGTGTTCTTTGGGAATATACATATTCTTGACTTCTTTGCAATGCTGCTTCTTGAGCTGACTTTGAGAACTTGGGCCACTTAATGTCTCTGAGCCTCTGAGCCTCAGCTTCCCCATATCTAAAATTTAAGTATAAACTAAATTATGCCTATGTCTCAGAATCATCTTGAAACGTTTTAAAATCCAGATTCCTTGGCCCCAAACCTGGTGGGGGAGTGCTGTGTTTTCCTGGAAATTTTCCAGGGAATTCTTAGGCCCTTAGACCCCACACTTAGACTCCTGGGTGTCCATGTCCACCCCATTGCTCGCCTTCTAGTACAGGTGCAAGACTGCGAATGCTACACATACAAGTGATGCTTTAATGACTCAGAATAATGTTCTTTAGCCGTGAGATATTTATTTAACCACACCATCTGCCCCAGCCCCTGCTTCTTTTACTCTTCCTCTCCCGCAGGAGCTCCTATTACTTTAGCCTGTGCTAGCTCAGCCTTGTGGATGGCTGAGAACACACAGAGGTGAGAGTTAGGCTGCACACCTGGACTGAGAAGCTATAGCTTCCTATGTCTGCGGTTACAAAACACCACAAACTGGGTGGCTTAGAACAACAGAAATTAATTCTCTCTCAGTTCTGGAGGTCAGAAGTCCAGAGCCAAAATGGCAGCAGGGCCACGCTCCTTCTAAGATTCTAGTTGGATCCCTTCTGTCTCTCCCTAGCTTCCAATGGTGGCCGTGAGGCGTTGGCATACCTTGCCTTGCAGCTGCATCGCTCCAGTCTCTGCTTCATCTTCATATTTGGCCATCTTCCCTGGGTGCCTGTCATTTCCTTTTACAAGGACACCACTCATATTGGATGAGGGTCTGCCCTAATGCCCTCATCTTAACTTGATTTGATTACACTTGTAAAGACCCTGTTTCCAAATAAGGTCACATTCGCAGATACCAGGGGTTAGGACTTCATCATATTTTTTTCATGAACACAATTCAACCCCTAACAAAGACACTTTTCCTTGTTCTGCCATCCTTCATCTCACGAGCTTCATGAGTACTAAGTCCACTGAACATCTCTCATCTGTTGTAATAATATCCAGGGACAGGAGGAGGCTATGATTCAGACCCACATTTGGAGCCTCTTAGAGAGATCCAAGAGTTAAACAGTTAAAAACTCTTCCTAGCCAATCTTCTGGCATAAGCCCCTGCAAGCCAGCTATGTAAAGTGCCATTGCAGGTCCCAGAAGTGCTAGCAACACCCCTTTTCATGACTGGGGATGAATCCAGAGAGCATCAGGACATGGGGAGTAGGGGGCAGATATCAGACATGAAAGAAGATGCTGGAAGACTGAGATGCAGCCAGCTCCCCAGGCCCCCAATCATGTCATCATGCCTAGCTCCCATTAAATCGAGCCCCCTGCCCCCTCCCTGTTGAATGCATTATTGTATTTTCTGTGTTAGATGTGGGCCAGCAGGACACAACAGGGTCAAAGTGACAACTCTTCAATTGAACCACCTTTGAAAAATTGAATTCAAGAGCATCAGTGGCCAGGGATTTTCTTGGTCCAATTTGAAAGGGAAAATTATTCTTTTATGAAAAAGCAAAAACTGTGTTTTCCTTCTTTCTAAAAAATCACTGTGTTTCAAGTGTCATATGCAGCAGGTCACAACTGGTTCAGTGCTTTACAACTTAAAAAGCACGTATACATATAAATGCAGTCTCATGTATTCTTCAAAGCCATCTGTGGTTCAGTAAAAATATTGATAAGTAAAAGTTATCTGGTGCTGTCTATGCACCAAAAACTGTTGTAAATCCAACCATTTAAGGTCAGCACCATTATTTTCTCCTTTCTAAAGAGGTAAAATCATTTGTGCAAGGTCACAGATCCGGTAATGGATGAATCTGACCTTTGAATCCAACAGTTTGCTTTCCATTGACCCCTCAACTCTTAGCCCTACGCTTTAGAGGAACAAGTAGGTTTTAAATGCCTGACCCACTAGCACGGAGTCCTCACGTGGTAGAGACAAGACCTGCGTGTCTTCTGTGGCATATTCCTTCGATAAAATTCCCCCAGGAGGAATGCCTTACCTGCCCAGTGCCTCTCCCTGCCCTCCGTCCCATTCGGTCTAATGCTTTCAAAATTCATTTGAGGTGTCTCCACCCCAGGGACGCGTTCCAGCTCCCAGGTTACTTTCAGTCGCTTGCACAGCCCTCCTGGGTGCTCCTGGCTCCTCTTCAGTGCCCCCAGCTCCCTAGTGCCTGCTCCGCCTTATCCCATTCTTCAATCCCTGCTTCCTTGCTGGTCTCCCACATCACCCATAAGCTCCTGGAGAGCAGGGATCCCATTTCTTAGCAGGAGGAGCTCAATGAATAAATGAGGGAACACATGAAGGAAAAGCACCACTTTACCAGGAAAACAAATGTGTAGCTATCAGGCTATGACCATGGAGTGATCAAGTTTTTTGGTGTTCTGTTTTAATCAGGATACCTAGTGCCTACACACTGTCTGTATTTTACTTCAACAGTGGTAAGTCAGGAGGATCCCCTCTTTTTAAAAATCTATTCTTTTTATTTAATGTCTATATGCAGAAACCCCCATATTATTTCACATAAATATGTGCAAACCATCCTATCTCTTGTTGATTGTGTTAATTCAATGCTATGTTTTTTCCTTTTTAGCCTCCTCCTTCCCCATACCCTGCTACTTCCACCCACATCGGTCCTGCCCCCACCTCCAAGCTGAGCCACGTCTATAGGCAGGTGTGCCCTTCCATGGCTTCTCTGTTCTCATTTCATTGGATAACACATCCACCCACATACGCAACCAACCCACGCCCGGCCCTCGAGAGCTACCTGAGTCTCACATGTGAGGCAGGCACACATGGAGATTCATTCTCACCATTTTTCTTTTGTCATAATGCCCCAGTTTCATGAAATAATTTTAGGGAGTTTGAACTTGAATAGCTCAATACTGTGTCATTAATAACAATCAGCCACAGTTACAATTGCTCCCTGGATCAAGCCGACTCACCTGATATCTGGTGGCAGGCGGGTGCAGAGCAGGGGCAGCGAGTGACACCAGGCTGCATGGTCATTGAATAGAATGTCGTGTGGCCAGAAATCTGAACATCTGAAGAGGGGCCATGGATTGGGATGGGGATGTCTCTAGAAACCAAATCATGATGAGAGCAGACACCTGACTCCTGCTGCCCCTCCCGAGGAGCCATCCTTGCAATCAGGGTTCCCATTGCACATGAAGTAAGAGCTCATGTGTTTTGTTTTGTTTTTTTTTTGAGTGCTTTCCATGTCTAAGAAATAGTTAATGATATTGATTCTACTTTACCAATGAGAAAACTGAGGCACAAAAAGATTAAATAATTTGCATAAGGTCACCTGACAAGGAGACAGCAGAACTGGGATTCAAACCCAGAGAATCTAATTTCAGAACCCGGAGCTACGTTGAAAGAATTCCCGTGGCTTTTCCTTCCCACTACGCTGTCCTCAGTCCAATTGCTTGCCTTGAAAATGCTGTCTCATCCTTTAGCTTTCACCTTAAGATCACTTCTTCTGCTATACAGAGTTAGAAACGTTTTTTTCCTCTCTACATGCACAACCCGCTTACAGCATTTTTCACCCAGGACTATAGTTATCTTTTGATGCATTAATTTCCTTACCCATGTCAAGCTCCTAAATTGCAGGAACTGTAGGAACTGTATCTTGTACTCATCTCTGGTATCTAATATGATTCCCAGCACACAGCAGGGACTCCCAAAATGCCTGTGGAATGAAGGAATGAATGAATGAACATTTCAACATACAGCTAGATATTTCTAAGGATACATAAGGTATCAAGTTCAGATGCAATTCTGCAGAAATAATTTTTAGTAAAGTCAACAATGTCTTATTCAAAACCTTGGAGTTGCCGGGCACATTGCCTCATGCCTGTAATCTCACCATTTTGGGAGACCAGAGTGGAACAACCACTTAAGGTCAGGAGCTAAAGACCAGCCTGGGCAACAGAGCAAGACCCCGTCTCTATAAAAACAAACACAAAAACAAACAAACAAGAAGCCTTGGAGCCAGATATGATTTGAAATTCAGGTTTTTTATATTCTAGTAAAATAATCAATAATGCATATACCATAACCCACCTGCTATCCCTGGCACCTCTTGATCAATCACATTTATATTTCAGAGTGAAATATATGAATTTTCACACTAAGTATGATAAAGCTTACGAATTGCCCTATATCAGTTCAGGTCAAGTTTTGCTACCAAATGAAGTTGTTGCTAAGTTGAAAAAAATTTTGATTAGTGGGCTGTGAAGAAGGGATTGTGGAGATTACACAAGTTGCAATTTATGCTACTCTGAGTACCCAGTCTACCCACTCATGTCTAGAATGCATGGCTTTGGCCAGTCACTTGGGGCCTTTAAAGTAAGCAGACAAAGGTTAATAAATCAGCTTTCCAATCTTAAAGACCACTCTTTGTTCCTTCTTTCAAGGACAAACTCTCACCCCCAAGATAACAAAGGTGGGAGGGGATAGCTTTGGCACATGCCCAAACGGGACCTTTCCTGCAGCTCCTTTTTCTTTCTCAGGCTGAAAATATGGCTGTTTGGGTCTACGTCATTTCTGTCTCTTTCTCTCTCTCTCTCTCTGTTGATCTGTCTGTCTTTGTCTCTTGCTCTTGCTCTCTTTCTTTATCTTCCTTTTCTCAACTAGAAAAATACACGCTGTCCAAGAGGCCAAATACATACATGGGGAAAACTGCCTAGTCTCACAGAAAATGTGACCTTCAAAGCCTTTTCCAAAACTTTTCTTAAGAGTCACAGCTGATGTTGGATGACTGCAAGTCATTTGGTCCAAGCTTTTTCCGCATTTCTTGACAGATGATTAAAGTGAGAGAAAACCATTTGTAGTTCAGAGTAGACAAGGGATGGGGTGGATCTAGAAACCCTGGAGCATCAGAGCAGGAAGGATCCCAAGGATGATCTTGCCCTAGCTTCTCTCCTGCATAAGGGAGAGCAGCGTCACAGCCTCTGAGCCCACTCGGGAAGCTTCATTCCCCTCCGCTCCCACCATGGGAAAATCAAGGTGTGGGTGATCATGGGGGTGGAATTTGGCTACAGCCCACACCTGAACTGTTCCTGGACAATCTTCCACCTTCCCCAAGGCTGGTTCTCACTTTTCCTGTAAGTGTGGATGTGTGGAGTCAGCAAGTAGAACGTTTCTAATTTCCTGCTGGTGGCTCTCTCTCTGGCCTTGTTCAACCCACCCCACCCCAAATGGAAGGGGGAGGTGAATTTCCTCTTTCGGACAGCAGGCACTCATAATCACAGCTGCAAGCACTTTGTGAGGACCAATACTGGGGGCTTTTCATGTGGTTTCCCTTAATCCTCCCAATAAACCCTGTGAGGGAGCTGGCAGGAATCACATTTTACAGATTTAAAAATGAGGCTCAGGGAGGTTAAATAAACTTCTGAGAATTGCCGAGCTGGTGAGGAAGCGGTGGATGGAGCAGTGACTCCAACTGACTCCAGAGTCTTTACTGAACCACCATGCTCAACTCAGTATCTGGCAAGAGCACTTGAATTCAAAAGGATAATTCTTCTTGGAGACACTAAGAGGGAGCCTGCTGCCTTGTCCTTTCAGGGATCCAGCCTCCCCTGTCCCCCAGGGCAGGAATGTAGGAAGGACTAGTGATGAGACATCAGCTTGCAGCTCCCTCTTCATTAGGTCCACTAAGTGGCTATTGACTCCCCACACTCCCTACTTTTCCCTACCCTAACCAGCACTCACTCATCCCAGGGTCCTCCTCTCAGTGGTCCAGTCAGGAAACAGAGCTGTGCAAGGAGGATTTAATATAAGGTACCAGTTTAAAAAGTGCTAAAAAGGCTGAAACAGTAAAAAGAGGAAGGCAAGGCCCCCCGGTTATGAGGACTGCAGGAGGCAACCAGCATCCCTAGGGGGACAGAAGAAGCAAAAGGGAGGAGTTGGTGTTCTCAGGCTTGGGAGGCCACTTGCTGCGGGGTTGCTGGGGGCAAAACAAGAGGCCATGTTGGCCAGTCCTGGAGCCATGGATAAGGGGTCACCCACGGGTGCTGGGACCCTCAGGAGGGCCCACTGTGGCTAGAGGTAGAGTCACTGAAGGGAACATCCAGAGAGAGAAAGACAGAGCGGGAAACCAACTTCTCCGCTCCTCCTCCTGCTCTCTCTTGCCACCAGTGCCAGCTCCAGTTCCCAAGGGAACCTGGTAAGTATATTTTGCAAAATTCCCAGCCCCAAAAGTATAGAGTAGAATACAGGCTGTAGAGCCATAGAAGCTAATATAACCAGCACAGTGCCCTCCAGTGTTTGACCAAAGAGGCCTGTAAGCTGAACTTCTGTCCCATCCCAGAGTTCATAAGACAGGCTCCAGGCTGCCATTTAGGCTCTGCATGGTCTTGGGTTGCATTTATTTGCCTTGAGGTTCTCAGAACTGTTGAGATGCTCTTTATTCAAAAGACCATTTAGTGATTCCTATAAAAGGTTGTGTTACTCACTGTAAATTCTCGGCTCCAAAGAAAGCCTCATCTTGCCATTAATGGTGGAGGGTGTCCAGGTTCTTGGCATCTTGAACAAAGAATTGGATGAAATGCACAAAGCAAGGAAGGAATGAAGGGATTTATAGAAAATGAAAGTGCACTCTACAGTGTAGAAGCAGGCCTGAGAATAGGGGCTCAAAGGCCCTATTACAGAGTTTTTGTGAGTTTAAATATCCTCTACTTGGGGTATGCCCTATGTAAATGAAGAGGATGAAGATGAAGTAAAGTTACAAAGTCATTTACAGCGTATGCCCTATGGAGAGGATATTTCCTGTTATAGCTGAAGTGTGAATCGGCCTTATGTTTCCTGCCTCCAGACCCTATTTTCCTGCCTCATTGCCATATGACTGCATTATTCTGCTACTGTGTAAGTGATTTTCTAAACCCAAGGCAGTCTTTGACATTGAGAAGCTGGGAAAAGTCTGGTGGTGAGGATTCCACAGGGGAAATCCTCCCTCATGGGATGTCCATGGCTTTGGCATCAATTTATTTCGTCATCACATCAGGGTCCTTGGCTTCCAAGACTCATGAATGGGAGTGAAAGTTGCCAGCTAATATCAGCTAAATGGTCAAGATTCTCAGGATAAGTGATTGAAAAGAGTAAAATTTTAAGAAAAGATTTCTATAACAATGTGCAAAATGGCAAAAATTCAATTTGTAGTGCTGAGTTCATTGACTGAACTCAAAGTGCAGTCTCATATTTCCTGGGAATCTCAACATCAATACCCCTTGCCCTTTAAAATTTCACTTCAATTATTTCACTTCCTCATACAGGCCAAGTTAATATCAGACAGAAAACAGTTCTGTTGGGTAAAGAGCAGAGATTGGCAAAGTTTTGCTGGCTCTGTCTGACACCACACAGGATCTTAATTTTCTGTTTAGAATGGCCCTCTGTGGCATAAACTCAACAGAGCTGTATCAGAAAATGTCTCTCTATTTGTTTTCACCAACACTGTTACTTTTTTTGTTAGCTCACCGATTGTTTTGTTTTCTTTTTCCTAGAGCTATGGAACAGTCTGTGCCATTCAAAGATGTGGATTCAGACAAATACAGCGTTTTCCCAGTAAGTATTGTTAGGAATAACCAGATGTTCACTA
Source organism: Homo sapiens (assembly GCF_000001405.40). NCBI lineage: Eukaryota > Metazoa > Chordata > Mammalia > Primates > Hominidae > Homo > Homo sapiens. The sequence continues at coordinate 36,623,155 of NC_000007.14, read as the reverse complement.
ACATCACATTGCTTCCTACACATTTCTTTCCTTTAATAAGACAAGACTGAATTTCATTTGAATGCATTATTAATTTGATGAACAACACATCATTTCACAATTTCTTTTCTTTTTTGAGACCAAGTCTCACTCTGTTCCCCCAGACTGGAGTGCAGTGGCATGGTCTCCACTCACTGCAACCTCTGCCTCCTGGTTTCAAGTACTTCTCGTGCCTCCCAAGTAGCTGGGATTACAGGCATGCACCACCACACCTTGGTAGTGTTTGTATTTTTAGTAAAGTCAGAATTTCACCATGTTGGCCAGGCTGGTCTCAAACTCCTGACTTCAAGTGATCTGTCCACCTCGGCCTCCCAAAGTGCTGGGATTACAGGCATGAGCCACCACAGCCAGCCCATTTCATATTTTTTAAGGATTTTGTAGCATTGTGATGATACACAAGGCATTGAAGTAAATCTTAGGCCCAGACTGGTTTTGTTGCCATTCCCAGCTGGAAGTCTCCATGGGGGCTATGGTTGCCTTGAAAGGTTTTGTGAATTATTTTGGAACTTCTTAAATCTACGTTAACTTACTTTTTAACGTGTGTGTGTGTGTGCGTTTGATTCAGAACAGTTAAAATGTCAGGGTATTCCCTGTGAAAACCAACAAGCAAGTAACATGTCACAAAGTCCCAAAAGTTTGGGAAATCTCAGATATTCTACTTGGGGATGGAGGAAATAAAAATATTATCTGGCATTATTATAACTCTTGATTCACATCATTCAGGTCAAATATTTAAACCTGCATAATTAACCATTTGGCTAGAGACTTTTAAATTATCCAATGAAATTAATCATTTGGCCAAATAAGCCAATTGTTTTACAGCCAGAGAGGACTGATGGTTAGTAGAGGGTTTTTGGGAAGTTGGATGGGTCTGCTGTTTCTGGAGGTGCTTGTAGACACACATACATGAGCAAACACATATTCACACAAACACACGTGTGTACATGCACACACATCTACAATATGAATACACATAAACACACACATGCATATACACGTGCCCCCATACATACACATTCACATTCACACAATGCACCCCCACACATGCACATACAAGCACGCACTTAATGTCACACACACACACATACATTCACATATGCACACACATGCACACACCCTACCACCTGATATTGGCCCTAGTGTTATATTACATGTCACTCACGCAGCATGTCTTATCATATTAATCTTAATTTTCTTAGTGCTCTTTAGTGATCCTAGATTGAATCTGAATTAAAAACTGTGGATGTCAATGCCATTCAGACAACTCTGATTAGCCTTCCTCGTGGATAACATCAAAGCAGGCTGAACCCCTCCTGTGTGTGCTCTTCAATTTCAGACACTGCGGGGCTATCACTGGCGGGGGAGAGACTGTAATGACAGCGACGAGTCAGTGTACCCAGGTAGAAGGTAACTATTTCTGCTGGTTGCTGATTTTTAAAATTATCTTCAGAAAAGGAAGCAGGAGGCACATTTCCTTCCCCCAGCCTAGGGGATTCCCACTTACAGAGAGAAGAGATTTTCATGTTCCGATTGAAGTAAAGCTCAGTGAAAAAAGAACGGCATTCATTCGTTCGTTTGTCCGAGAAATGCTTATCAGGGACCTACAATTTGCCAAGTACTTTGCATCGTGCTGGGTGGTAAACAAAACAGAAATATGCCTCCTCTTCTGGAGCTTACAGTCAAGTGGGAAAAACAATCAAGTGAACAGATTATCTTATTGTAGACACTTATCCAGCCTTCTGTATCAGTTCTCCGTGCAGAATTGGGCCCAGAAATAGTGGCCTCTCCCTCCGGGAGTAAGGAGAAGCCTCTAATGAATGGAAAACATGTCATATATTAGCCCTGGGCTGAGGTTCAATTGCATCTCTGGTATCAAAAAACAGATATGCTAGCCCTCGCCTTTGTTGTGACTATAGTGTCAAAGCATTAAATAAACCAGTTATTTGGGCATTTAGGGGCACAATGGGATGCAGATTTGTTCATTATGTTCATCGGCACCATTCCACAACAATGCGGTCCATGAATATAGTCAATGATGAAAAAGACAGGATTTGGTCCGGAGCTTCCGGCAAATATCCCAAACCAAGGTTAAAGCAAGGAAGCTGAATGGAGGCTTCTGATGTCACAACACACAATGGGATGTGATGCTATTCCATGAAGAATGCTGTTGTCTCTCCATGGCACTTCGTGTAGCATTCATTCATTCATTCATTCATTCATGCATGAAACTGACATCCACTGAGAGACAAGCATATGTCAAAGACCAATGTTAATGTTTTTTTCTTAGGCCGAACAACTGGGATGTCCATCAGGATTCAAACTGTAATGGCATTTGGGTAAGCAACTAAATTCAGCTTGAACCCCATTCTCCTTTGTTCCTCCCTCCCCTAAAGCTCATCACATATTTGCTTTAGTTAGATCCAGGGAAGACTATGACAGCCTAAAGCAACTCTTTTCCTGCTGCTTAGAAGAGGGGTATAGAATCCTGATGATGCATGAAGAGTGTCAATGATGTCATGAGAGTTGAGGCTTTCTCAGTCATGGCCCCTTTAAGCCTTGCTTAAGGTCACCCACATCTAATCCCTTTATACTGTTTTGAACAGTGTGAAATTAAATGAAGAGTGGTGTTAACAAAGTTTTACAGCAACCCACACAGCTGTTGGAGCAAACCACATGCTGTCCTTATTTTGTTGCAGCCATTTTTTTTTTTCTGTTTCATAAGCCTAGCCGGGCAGAGCAGAAATTACTCAGTATTTACCCGACCACTCACACCTTGAGGCGTTTAATGCTGGTGTCCTAGTTTCCTATGAATAATGGATTTGCAGCTCCCGGGGAAAGAAAAGGGAAGAAAAGAGGAAAGCCAAACTAACACAGCAACAGGCTTAAGTTTGTGGGGTGTTAAGCTTACAAGATTTGAGGGTTCCTCATGAAAAAAAGAATATCTACTTAAAAATACAAAATCAAATAGGAAAATGAATAATTTTTAAAACAATCACAGAAATCTTAACAAATTCCTGGAGTCTCAGAAATTCAGTTCCCTTTCTTTTGAGATCTCATTTCTGGTTTACCAGAACTGTTTACATGGAAACATGTTCTGGCCTCCCCTCTCCACCTAGAATACTCTATTGCTCCCAGTCACTCCCAGTACTCACATGGGCAGGGGCTGTGATGGGCCCTGAAGCTTAAGATTCCCTAACTTCAAGATATTATGTTGGTGCAAAAGTAATTGCAGTTTTTGTAATTAACGGCAAAAACTGCAATTATTTTCACACCTACCTAAATAAATTGTCTAAATTGCCTCTAAAGAGTTGCTTAATTTATCTGCTTCAATGAAGAAGAAAAAGTTTCTGTAAATATTTTCCTCTCTTCAGGACACTCATAGTCCAGGCTTGCACCAACAGTCACCTACTGCATGCTTTCCAGTCCCATGGCCTCTAGGATATGGAAAGCATGAGAGACAGCTGTGCCCCAGCCCACACCACCTACCCTATCCGCTAGTCACTCTGACTTTTCATGGAGAACAAGAAGACATCTCCCCTAGAGCTTAAGGTGACAAGATCCCCAAGTCAGCTCTTGTTCTGAAAAACCCAGGTTTAGTTGTCATGTTGGAGGACAAAGGAGACTAATCAATGTGTGATGCCCTGTCTTCGTTCCATGGTCCCACCCAGGCCTCAGATATGGTGTGTCACCCATATAAGGAGGAAGGCCAAGTGAGAGACTGTACTAGATCAATGGAAATCCACCATGAGCTCAGGGAGGCAAGATGCAGAGCTCATCATCAGTGATGGGAGAAGGACATATCACTTTCATACCTATCCCCTTCCACAGAGGAAACACCACTCACAGAACCACAACATCATAAACTCAGAGGGAGTCTTACCATGAAGTCCAATCTTGCCCATACTGTGTCCCAGGGACCCCAGGGTTGAGTGTGATGTTAATAGGTTCTTTCATGTTTTAATGGGCATGGGGAGCTCTCAAGACTGGAGAGTGAGCACACTCTTGTTAACACATCTCTGATCAGCAAGTGCTTTCATCTTGGAATACTATGAATAATCCTTCCAAGGACTAGCAGCTCCACTAAGGGGTAGCTTTAAGTTTAGGTTTTAGGATGTCCCAGCTGTGCCAATTCAGTCCCATTCACAGGCCCAATGTTACTTCCAGGTTTCTTAATCTGGGCACTATTGATGTTTGGGTTGGATAATTCTTTGTTGTTGGAGCTGTCTTGCAAACTGGAGGATATTTAGCAGTATCCCTGACCTCTATCCACTAGATGCCAGTAGCTCCCCCAGCAAAAAATGTCTCCAGACATTGCCAATGTCCTCAGGGGCTAAAGGAATGTGCAAAATGGACCCCTTGAGAATTGCTTCTTTAGAAGCATCAATCTTAGGTACTGAAGATGTCAGGACACTTAGACCTCCAGCTCAGAGACTGCAGAATCCGCCCAGACCCTGTGTCCAGTCACTCAGTGGACCCTCCATGCTCTGAGGGGTGAGACCCCTGGTCCAGGCACCTCTCCCAGAACCCTACCCAGCATCTCCCTGAATGAAATGGTTCAGTGTCTGGCTCTCTTTACTCCCACCCTCAGTTCCTCCCAAACCCGACTCGCTCGCACAGGGCGTTGCTATGTTGAATTAGGGGCTTAAGAAACTTTAAAGGGTTTTATCTACTCATTTGCCTTTGTGCTTTTAAAGCCATTTAGGAGAGCTTTAGTATATGTATCTCATAAATTTAAAACCAAACTGCTAATCACATCGTTTCTTTTTTAAAGGGTGTCGATCCAAAAGATGGAGTTCCATATGAGAAGAAATTCTGTGAAGGTATGAATTGTGGATGTCATTGTGGTTATAATGATAGATATTCTTTTCTAGTTTGAGTCAAATTGAAGTGAGCAGACCACCTAAGTCAGAACGTGCTTGATGCTAGGATTTACTCTATGCTGACCAACTTACATTTATTTTCATGACAGATCAGAAAAAATAAAGTATCTAAAAGGTTCAGAAAAGGAGGAAAGAGGGCAGAATCTTAAAAAAGCAAAACAATTTGTTTAATTGACTCTTTTACTTGACGATTAGGTTGCAAAATGGATAAAAGAGCAATGGGAATCCAGCACTTTTCCAAATAAGAAAATAGGCAGCAATCATAACTGAAGTTTTTAATCTTTTGCATTTTCCTCTAATTACACTACAAGGTCAGACACCCGGACTTCTACTGGTGGGATGAGTCTCTGTGTCCACTAGGCTAAAGATGCATATCTGAATGTCTGAATGACTTCAGAGAGACTGCCAGACTATAACTTGTGAGGGCTTCCCAAAAATAGCTGGGCAAAAGCTCTGTGCTCTAAGTGCCCAGATGGCACAAACATCTGGGCCACCAGTTCCATTGGGGAAACCTCACCACCCCACACATTACTGAAAATATGCTCCTGGTGATGCCAACACTTGATGGTAACATCACTGTTTTATATTTAGGCAATGCTTCTCTCCCCACTTCCACAATCACCTCATTCATTCATTCATTCATTCACTCATTCAACAGGTATTTTCTGAACAACAAGTCCAATTCTAACCAACGGTTATACTTGGCTCTGAGTTTTCTTGGACAAAAAGTATATAGTCTTTGCTGTGTATCAACTTAAAGCCTAATTGTCTTTAAGCCCTCAGAGGGCAGGAAGAGGAATAGAAAATGTAAAGGCTCATTACATATTTATGCAGTTTAGGAATATTTGTTGGATGAATAAAGAATGAATGAACAACTAAACCAATGAATGAAATATATGCAGATCTAGGTGAAACCCTGGTGCAAAGCCTCTTAGATTCCCCACATCCCACTCTCCCTGTGCCCTCCAGGATGTCCTGGGCCTTCTCAGTCCCCATTTCTGTGGCCAAATAGTGGTTTCCATGAAGCCCAGCCTGGGGAGCCACTGCAGTGAGACTAGGCCACCCTCTTGCATGACTTGAGGAGTTTGGAAGTGGAAAAAGGAGGTGCCTCTCTCTGCCTCTGGGAGGCATCAATTCAGTCTTTCAGGATCTTAAGGAATTTGGAAGAATGAGTTCACAGGTGACTGATTCGTGTGGATGGGCCTCAGAGTCAGATGAAGTGATTGTGAACCTCCAAACAAACAGGGCTGCATACAGACCTTTCTATCTCCGTGTCTCCATCAGTCAGAATCATCTATCCAGTGTTTTTGCCTGTATGGATTAAAGGCTTTAAAAGACCATAACATCCTTGAAAAATCAAAATTGCTCCATAAGATCATTAACCCTTAAAGTGAATTGTAATGGACGTTGGTGTGTTTTCAAGAAAGCAATTTCCAGAACCAAAATTTGGGTATATTTCGGATTTCAGATAAAGCTTTGATTCACTTATTCATCCATCATTCACTCAAGATGTTTTATGCTGAGCTGGGAAACACACCTGCATCTCTACATCTTAGCTAGCAGCTCCAATGGCCTGGAAATCTCATTCAGCTCCGAAATGCTATGCCCCTCACTCTCAAACATGCGAAAAGTGGTAATGCATTACTGTGAAAATGCTCGGTGCCTGGAATACACACTAGGGTATCCGCTCTTATATCTACCCAGTCTGGAGGTTCCAAACTACTTGAGTGCATAAATAATGTGAATAAATTGTGCTGCCTAGGTTCACAGCCCAGGGGAATCATTTTGCTGGGAGACTCAGCTGGGGCTCATTTTCACATCTCTCCTGAATGGATCACAGCGTCGCAGATGTCTTTGGTAAGTAATTTTGGCAGTAATCATTCCAGATGTGCTGGCCTTTGTTTTTGTTTCCTCTTGCTCTCTCTAAATGGGATGCCAACTCCACACAGGTGCAAATTTCCCTCTTTAGCAAAATCTGCCATGAAAGGCATATCCACAGTCATTTCAGTCCTAGACAAATGGCAAAAGGTTCCTTCTACTCACCTCCCCAGCCTCAGCCCAGCTGCTGCCAGGAACCCTGAAGGCAGCAGTGGGGAGTCAAGAAGGTGGAGAATGCACAGAAAGGACAAAGCCCACCGGGCCGGCTTCCCCGTGGAGGTCAGGATGAGGCACTCCGGGGCCTGTCCAGCTTGTTTTTCGTCTGAGCAAGCAAGAAGCTCTGGGCAGAGCAGGCTGCTCGGCTCCTGATGGCCTCTGCTGTGCTCCACGGAAGGCATCAGGGGACAGACAAGCCCGCCATCCATTCCCAAAGAGTGATGAGACTGTCTGGGAGGGTTTTTTAATAAAAAAAAAAAAGAAGAGGGCCACAAGGCAAAATTGCAAACAATGACAGAGAAGGCAAAGAAAGGGGAGGGAAACCAACATTTATTGACTCTATATCAGGTGTCAGGCACTATAAGAGAGATTTGTATGCATTACTCAGATGAATGACACCTAAATATGGGGTAGACATATAATGGCAACCCTGTATATTACCAGTTCATCACCTGAGCACACACCTGCTGCATTATCAGGAGGGCCATTATCTTCCTCTCAAATTGTGCAAACACCTGGGGAGATTGTGTGGCAAAGGGTGGGAGCTGGAGGGTGCAGGGAAGGGCAGTCTGAATGCCACACACACAAGCAGGGGGTTCAGTGGTATCAGATGGGTCACCTGCAGTTGGGGCTTCCTGTGGCCATAAGTTATCGTGAGGAAATGTAACAAAACCTGTGCCTAGGGATAGCTACATACTTGGCAGGGCTCAGTGCAAAATAAAAGTACAGGTGCCCTCAGCAAACCTTGTTCGAAAGTTCCGTTAAAGGTGCTAAAATATAAAGCACTTTTCTTTGGCAGTCTCCCTCAATATGTCATGGTATTTTCTTATTTGCTATTTAATGTCATTCTAAAAAAATAAATTTTTAAATTATTGACACAAATGTTATGTTCATCGTCACATTATGCAATGCCAGTTTTACATGCCACTGTAACAGCACTGAACTCCTATGCAGATGGAATCACTGAAATTACACAATTCTTATGTAGTAGCTTGTCCCTGGAGGGTGCTTTCAGCTGCCCAGAAGACAGAAAAGGCAAGCCAGACTCGGGAAGTTTGGAAGGAGGAATAGAGGCTTCCCAGGAGCACAAGTCCACCAGACTGAACACTTCCTCAGGCCAGGAGATGCTTAGGGCAATTACAGACCCTCCCAGGCACTGAGGCTCCCAACCTGAAACACTCAGGCCTGAGAGCTGCTGGGTTCCTCCTCCTGCCAGTGTTCCATGGGTCCCCAGGTAAGCCAGGAATCTCTCCTTCCCAGGGCCTGTCTCCCCAGTCCACAGCAGTCAGGTGACCCCCAAAAGTCTTCAAACCTCTGTGCTGGAACATGCTAATTATTTGGATGGGTAATGAGTTTGTCTCCTCTGCCCACCAGATGCCAGCACTGCCGGCTGGGGCAGGTGACAGCTGCCACCATGCCCAACCCCAATCTTCCTCTTGCCTGTGCCCAGATTCCCAAAAGGACCAAAGGTTAACATTGGAACACAGGCCTCCCCCATTGACACCATTTAATTGCCACTTTGTTGGAGGGTGCAGCAGTCGCAGGGCAAGAAGGAGAAGACAGGCTGGGGAGTGAGTGGCCAGGAACCCATCTTGAGAGGTGGCAGGAGACAGGATCCAGAGTCGACCCCGTTTCCAGTCCCCTCGCTCACACATGCTCAGTTGGCCCACTGGACTTCACTCACATAACAAACACAAATTCAAAAATAAGATTGTTAAGAAGTTCAAGGTGGGGCAGCAGAGCATTAAACCCAGTGCAGGGCCCTTTCTAAGCGAAGGACCTCATGGGACCCACTGGTTGCACACACATAAAGCCCTGCCCGGGTCTGATGCACTGCACAGGGAATAGCAGCTCACAGCCATTACTTCTGGATGGACCTATCAAACAACACAATAAAAAATGTGGGGCAGTGCCACAACAGACTCGTCCCAAGAGCCACCGTGTCCATTAGAGAAGGGGGTGGTGCCCCTGCCCTCGAGAAAGGGACATGGGCACGGTGGGGAAGCCCTGTCATACAGCCACCTATGGATGTGCTTCCCTCTTCCCTCTCCCAGAAAACTGAAACTGATCCAGAGAAATTAACCCGCAGAAATTATCATTTTTTCCTTGACCTCCTCTTCCTAGATTAAATAAATTGAACATGAACTCAAACAGTCTCTGGTTGAACCTCTCCCAAGCCCCCACACTGGGCAAGCATAGCTCTCCCTCTGTAAAGATGAGCAAGTGGGGAAACACATCCGGATACATATGAAAACTGCTCAAGAATACAAATGAAGAGCGCTGTTTTGAAAAACGCTTATGGGAAGAAAGAGAGTGACATTTTGCAAAATGTTAACTTCAGGTTCTCAACAATAATTGAGAGGAAATTGCACACATGAAAAAGAAGAACTCAGAAATCAGGGAAGACTGCCTTAAGGTGAAACAACTACCTGATCTAAAAATACAGTGGCAATACTGACTTGCAAGTTGGATGGTGCAGAAAACAGGAGAGCAAAGTGGTCAGGCAGCTGGGGAAATTCTGGAACTCAGGAGAAAGGCTAGTTGTGAAAATCAAGAGGGAAGAGAGGAGAGAGGCATGCAGGAAAGGTCCTGGCAATTGAATAGAAACTGCAGAAAAAGAAAAGACATCAGGCAGAGAGGAAGCTGTGGCTAAATAAGTAATACAAGATAATTTTCTTGAGTTGGGGAAATCCGTCTTCAGCCCACAACCCCCACTACGTGCCAGGCCAGGGTATAAAATAGACTCTCTGTGTTTCCTGCTTTTCCTTATTTATTCCAAGGATAAAGAAAAATCTTGGAATCATCCTGCCCAACAAACCAACAACGAGGGAAGATACTAGGAGGGAAAATCCATCTGGCATCAGACTTATCACTAAACACTAAATTTCAGGAAAAAGCGGAACAGCCTCTCTACAGAATTTTAAGAAGGAAAAATTGTGTTGAAAGTGCTGTATGGCAAGCTATTGTTCTCACATGAGGACTACAGAAGCTTATTCTCAGTCATTCAAAGAGTCAGAAAATATACCAGACATATGCCTTCCCAGAAAAAAAATTATTTTAAGAAATACTCCAGTCTCTCTAAGCATAATATTGTAAAAGGAAGCACACAAAAAAAACTAGATATAATTACATACAATTTTCAAATGTGTACAATGTCAAAAAAATTCACAAAATTAAAAGAGAAATGTAAAAGTAGAACAATACTTACAAAATATAAGGCAAGATTTAAATCCTCTAATTAACAGAGTTTCTACGTAGCAATAAGAAAAAAATCTAATTTTTAATGATGAAGAACATAACCAGTAAATATAAAAGTTTCATTTTCAGCAGTAAGAAACAAATTAAGATAACAATGCAATTCATTTATCGTTGTCAAACAAACAAAGGTTAAAAGTGATAAAGACCCAGTTTTAGCAAAAATATGGTGAAATAGGCATGTTAATTCACCAACAAGAGATGAAGTTACTAGAACTTCTCTGAAAGGCAATCTGGCAACATGTATAAGGCAACATTAAAATATTTGTGATTTTTAACTAAAAATTTCACATCTGCAAATTTCACATCTGTAATTTCACATCTGCAAATTTGCCTTTTAAAATGATCAATTATCTGCTCAAGAATATATGTACAGGAATATTCATCACAGAGGTATTTATTTATAAGAGCAAAAATGAGGAAAGAAACTAAAAATCAAAAAATAGGGGATGTAAAAATATACTATATTTGTACAATGAAATTTTGTGCAACCAGTTAATACACATATTAATAGACATATTTATGGGCAAGAAATATGTTTATGATAATCGGTTAAGCAACAAAAGCAGGTTACAAAATAGTATGTATGAGCCAATTTTGTGAATATATGTGTGTCTGTGTGCAAACAAAAAAATAATTGGAAAGTTGTAGGTCAGCATGTTACCTACCACTGGCTATCTTTGGATGGTAGAATTATAGGTAACTTTTTTTTTCTCACTTTTCTTCACTGAATTTGTATTATGTGTGTACCAAATATTGTGGCTCAAGATCTTGGAGATTTGTTTGTTCTATTTGTTTTAAGCAAATAGCTAAGGAAACCAGTTAAGGAAAACCAATGCATTTTTTAATTCAATCTTTGCAAAAGCCCTCTAAGGTAAGTGTTATTACAACACTGCCTCACTTTACAGATTCTCAGAGAGGTTGTGTGGACTGCCCAAGGTCATACAACTAACAGGTGGTGGAATGACTGCCTGTCAGCGTAATCCTGAACAAGCCGCTTAACCAGAGACTCTGTAAATGATGATAGTAACAGTGTCAGGAAGGGCCGTGTGCTTCAATGAGCTAAGGTCTATGAAAATGTTGCGGACCAGTATGTTGAATTCCAACCAGACAAAGTAGACTGACACACGGCTCTGGCAGTGCAGTGGTGATCGTTAATGAGGTTGCCTGAAATCCTTGTACTTGTCCTCCCTGTTCCTGCTTCTGGCCTCAGAGGCTGAGGAAAGGAGTGTCTTCGTAACCTGGGGCCCACACTTTCTCCAGGAGGACAGTGGCTCACTCTGCAGTGTGCTAATTCTCCAGGAAAAAGAGGGGCCCACCCAGTAGACATTTTAAGAAAATCACTCCAGCAAGCCCAGCAGCCGGCCCCATCCTAGAGACTTAACAAGTAAAATTTAGATTGTAATCGTTTTCATCTGCTGTTTGCAGCAATGAATTGATTCAAGTGCTGTCGAACAGCATTTGTTGGTATTGGTTTGGGTTACTCCCCACTCCTACGTTTTGGCAGTAAATTGTTTTGAGAAATGCCTGTGAGAATGGGCTGATGAGAAACCCAAATCAGGCATAACAGTTCATTGGAATTCACGAGTCTTATCAAGATGGTAATAACACTACGGGTAGGAGGAACAACACTACAGTTTCAGCATCATTTTGTCACCTGTTTTAAGCCTCTAGTGTTCCGGGGTTATTAAAATCTCTCTAGATTAACATTCCTCTCCAAGCTAAAAATTGGCCCAGCCACTCTCAGCCTGGCCACTTGGTAAGAATAGGAGACGGGACAAGAATAAGAGATCCATTTTGCTCAGGATGTTGATACTGAAAATGAAGCTTTATCACCAAGTTATTGTCAAAATAATAACCACCAACCACTCCAAATCTCCAGTGACTTAAAACAACCATCATTTCTTCTCACCCGTGCGTCCGGGGTGGTCTGGGATCAGCTGTTTTCAATTGAGCTATGTTGGTCTTGGCGCCAAGCTTCAGGCTGGGCCCAGGTGTGTGCCATGTGTCTCTCATTTTTCTTGGCTGGGCAATCTATCCAGAGCGTCTTCTTGTCATGGTGATGTCAAAGCGCAACAAGGCAATCTGTGCCCTGTCCACCATCAACCCAACAGCCAAAGCCAGTCATGTGACCACAATCAAGATATTGGGGAAGGAGGCATGACTGCCCAGAGTGGGAGAAGGAAGAGAGTGCATACGCTTTATTGTTTTTATCTAATTATATATGTTAAATATATGATTGAGAAAATGTGAAAATAAAGAAATTATTTGGAAATTATTAAAATTCCTCCTTAATACTACCACCCAGAGAGAGTCACCTTAACATTTTGGAGTATCAGGCTTGTTTTGAAATATTCTTTAATATTCTTTTTTTTTAAAAAAAAAAAAAAGTTATAAAGCCAATGATAGAGCTAATTTTAAGAAGTAAAAAATAACCCCACCATCTTAAATTTTTCACAGTATTTTTGCACTCTTTCCAGCACTCCCCCTTGTATGCATATATGTATATTATATATACACACGTCATGCTGTTACAAGAAGAGCAAGTTTGCAATTGGCAGTTCTTTTATTCAATTCATAAGTATTTTCCTCATTACGACTTTGTTTTTATACTCATTATATTTATTGCTGCTCTGTAATGACCTTTTCAGGGGCCATGCAATAATCTACTAAACCACCCACCTACAGCAGGATGTTAAACCGATTCTTTTTTTTTTTTTTTTTTTTTGCTATTATGGAGCATTCTCCTTAAAAAAAAAAAGAAAAAAGAAAAAAAGAAAAAAACCTTCCAATTTTTAAAAACTATTATCTACAGAATCTCTTCATTTGTGCAAGGAGTCAGCCTAGGTAAGAATACCAGGCTTAGCCAATAGCCATGAGGTGTGTTGAGCTCAGACACCTCGTGTTTCCATTGTCTGGTTTTTCGTGCTTGTGGCAAGTGTAAACAAAATGTCAGTTCTAACTTAGGCAAAAATTCTAGAGTCACATCTCTGCAGGCCCAGCAGCACAGCACTGTTCATGCAACAATTAATTCAACAAATGCTAGCCAGGTCTACTATGTGCCAAGCCCTGTGATCGGATGACAATGGGGAAAAGGATGGAAAGATCCCTGGTGCCCATAGAGCTTAAAACCCCATGGGGCAATGCGGACGAAGAAGTAGCAGTTCTAGAGCCATTAGTGCTGTAATGTGCACACGCTCCCCCGCAAACTGGAGGAAAGGCTGCCTGAAGGGAGAGACACTGTGTTCAAAGCAGGGGAACAGAGCTGGAGGTAGTCAGGTCCCAGTCAACCTAGGAAGGCGTGCCCTAGCAGAGGAAAGAGTACGTGCAAAGGCTTGAAAGCAAGAGGGTCCAGCCTTCTGAGGAGGAGCTCAGTGCAGCTGAACTAAAGCTCATCCAGCACCAGGTGGGACAGTGAGACAAGAGCCTAGAGAGGTGCATGGGAGGCAGATCTCAAAGGGCTGGAGTTTATCCTGAAGGCAAGCAGGAGCCATTGAAGGGTTTTAAACTGAGAAAGGGGCAGATTTGAATTCTAGAACATTTACTCTGATTTCAGTGGGCAGGATGAATTTATTTGGTTTAGGGGGAGAGCGGGGATCAGGCAGCAAGACCAGCTAGGAAAATTCTAGTTGTAATTCCAGTAAAAGTGTGCTAAGCTAGAAAAGTACAGTGGGGAAGAAACAAGATGAACAAACTCAGAAGTCTGGAATCAAGAGTGGACGATGCACCCTTCCCATCCCGTATACTTTATGAGGGTTCCTCAAGATGCCACCCTACCCCAGCCAGATGACTCACCGGGTTGGGGTTGACCTTGGGCTGTCCCCCAGCATCCTTCCTCTGGGGGAGACTGCCTAGAGCTCATTGCCAATTGCAGGTCTTCCCACAGGGTCTCAGCCAGCCTTTGGAGACTACTAAAGAGCCATCCCTGTTAGGAAACTTCTGGTGCTTTTTGTCTCTTTGTACCAGACCCCCCCCCCTCCCCGCCGCAACAGCTCCTAATATTAATAGTTATGGTGAGCATATAATTTATTGTCCAAACTGGACACTTTGAGAGAAGAGGGATTGCTCCCATAATTATGCCATGACAACAGGCATTAACCTGGACTGGCTCAGACAAGTCTGGATGTCTGGCCACCCTACTGATAGCCACATGCCAAGCTCACTCCACAGTCATGACAGTGCCCAGTGGAGAATCTCAAGCCCCTAACTTACATGTAGAATAGTCTCGGACATTGACTCAAACAGACCAGTGTTCAAATCCTGGCTGAGCCACCTACACTCACTTCTTTACTCTGAGCTTTAGTTTCCTCATCTAAAAAGTATAAATAATGATGGCTACCTTGTCAGAAATCGGGAATCATTTTTATAAATGTTAAAAATTGGACTATTTATTTCTATCTACATTTTAGCTAAGGCCTGAGACAATGTGGACAAATTATTCCCACCTTCCCACCACCAATATTTCTTCCAAGTGAAAGATGAGACCATGTCCACAGAGCCTGCAAAGGAAGGGAGTGAAGCCAATTCTGCAACCTGTCACTTATCTCCAGAATCAAAGGTCCAGAAGAGTTGAGGCTGGGAATGGCCAGTGTCAGAGGGACAGTGGGGCTCAGCTTTCCCTGTCGGGGAAGGTAAGTGTGCTTCCCCCTCACTGTAAAGACGCCACTAAGATAACTGGATAGGGGTCTGCAGAGACTGAGCCCAAGAGGACTGGTGTTGGACACCCCCATGGGGAATGTAAGAGCAGTGACCGAGGCAGCAGGACAGAAAGAGCGTGGGCCCTGGACAAGGACATGAGCCCCAGGAAGGGAGAGCCAGCCTGGGCCACTGGACATCCTGCAGAGGATGGCCTGCAGGGGCAAGGTGACTTCACAGGGCTTAACCTCCAGCTGAGCAGGGCTGAAGCAGCAAACTTAAGTGACTAGTGGAGTGCAGAGAATGCACACACTCCACCATGGCAAGTTCAGTCACCTGTTCCCCACAGTGCCTCTCAAGAGCCCCACAACAGCCCTCATTATAGAAAGTCAGCTTTGGATATCTGCCCGGCTAGAGGCAATCACACCCGACTGTACCTCTTCTCCCTCCACCGCAAGTCTCAGCCAGCAAGAGGAAGGAAAAGCTGGCCAAGTAGACAAAGAAAGTGGACCACATTCCCATCCCTGGGTGCAGATAATCAGCCTCAAGCCCAGGATGGACAGGGAGCAAGAAGTTTTACTTAAAATTGTGAAGACTGAACATTTTTCTTTTCTGAAATGGAATTGAATATAACCGGAAGAGTGTATGTTTCTGAGAATGAGCATGTGCATAATTGGGCTGGTCTGGATTTTCTTCCAGGGCAAGGGATGAATTAGCACCACAGATGAGTGTGCAGTGGGAAAAAGGAAGGAGTTGTCTCATTGCACCCTATGAGTACTGCCTGCCTCATGTGCCAGTTAAAGACCTCAAACACCAGCAGGAGTCTCCCTTGGGGTCTGATGGTAGGAATGCATTTACAAATCAAGACCCTTCAGGAAGCCCAGACATGTTTCGTTCCATTCCTTTGCTGCACCAAGGACCTGATCGTATTGTCTGGCAAGCACAGTAAATGCTGTAGAAAAACAAGTGGGCATTGTTTCATAATGGGCCCTTCTGCCTTCTATGAGGCTAGTTGATACTTCTTTGCCTTTGTCTCCCTATAAGGCAGAAAACACATCTGTGCGTACATGACCCCATCCCAGCTGTATTCGCTGAAAAGGAATCCACTGTCAGGCATTCTCCCTGCAGCAGCCCCTCTCCTCTCCTGCTCTTGCCATCCTCTGCTTAAGTAGTGGGGCACCCGGGAGTCCTGTTTACAGCTAATTAGATTAGGAGTGTATTCATCTGGAAAGATATTTGTAGTTCAATAAAGAGAGTATGAAGACTCTCTCTCATGGTTCCAGAGACACAAAGGGTTCTGAGTCTCATTCCGACCTGTCTGCTCCCTTTCTTCTTAAACAACCTGAGCTTCTCTCCGAAATATCTAAACCTCAGTAGTTAGGTTCAAATCGACCTTCTCACGCCACAAGAAAGACCTCAACTTAGAAAGATGTCAAAGGAAGATGAAGAGCAAATCCAAAAACACTTTCATGCTGGTTTTGTTTTTTTTCTTCTTTTCTTTCAAGGGAAAAAACAATCTCTGCTTGAGTTGTTTGTTGAAAAAGAAGAGGAGGTGGAAAGATCATTGAGGCCAGCAAGGGATGCTGCCCTCCTGCTTCTTCCCCCATCTGTTCAAAAATTATTTCCAACATATTAAATGCTGCATTTCACTGAATCAGAATTGCATGACAGGTTGGGGGAGGGGGTGAGGAGAGAGAAGCAATTCTGAAATACAATTTCCCAAATGTTTATTTTGCTAGCTAAGGCTGTTGCCTATCCCATTATAAAATCTTTGCACGACCCCTGGCAGGCTGTTGTCTGTAGGGTAAGTAGGCGCAGATTGAATTTCGTGCTGTGTCAAGGACAAAATGAATCCTTAATCTAGCTGCTGAAAATGCATATTCACTAGAGAGCAAAGCGGCTCCCATCTCTCAAGCTTATATGCACTTCATTTCTCCCTTTGAGATGATTTTGTATATCAGATTTGGCTACTCTTTATTAACCCACAAACAGCACAGGCAGTATCGAAGCTGTCACCCTACGCTCACTCACCCGCCCTGCTTCCCGCTGTCTGGATTTATCACTGCACATAAAGCCTCCCTTAAGCACAGAGGAAGATTTTCATGATGCATACAAAATATGGGAATTCTATCTGAGTTACCTTCATGTCGACTCCAGAAATATCTAAGCATTATAGTGCTTTCTTATTATATTTTAAGATGAAGAAAAGCTATTGTTTAGTAAAACTGGACAAAATCACATCTTCTGCTCCTCAGCCATCTTGCAGGCTAGCGGATTAAAGATGCTAGGTGATGAGGAGAGAAACCTCAATCCTAGTTACTTCTCACTGATTCTGTCAGAAAAAGAGAGTTGTGTTCACCGTGGTGAATTCTGCTCTCCAGCAGCAGTGAGGCCACAAGAGACAGAATGTTCTTCCGTTTCCTTTCCCTGTTCATGAACAGGCCAGACAGGCCGTTCTTGAATTCTGATCAACTCGATGCCCTTCTCTCCCTACTCAAGGTGAGAATCTGCGTCTCTCACCTGCCAGCCATGTAGGGTGCACTCCCAGGCTCATGGGAACATCCATCATCTTGGCCCTGCTGCCTACTGAGAGAAGTAAAAAGCCAAACACCAGTTGTTATGAAAACTACAAGAGGAAATTATTTTAAACTCCATACTTCTGAAAAGCATTTATAATTACTCAGCCCACATACCTGCTCTGCCAGAACATGAAATAAAGACTTCTGTATCAGGAGGCAGTGTGAGTCAGTCAATGCCTGTGCTATCCAGCCTGCTGCTGCAACTAGAGGACAATCTCTTGTCCCCTGGTTAATTATGTCTGTCACCTGCTTCACTCTCCCCCACATTCCTTAGCCATCAAATGGAGCTCATGAAATTACTCATCACAGGGGAAACGCCTAGAATCTCAAGTTCATTGGCATGTGGAAAGAGAAAATTCCATCATTTAAAAATAATGTTAGGTGGTTGGAATTAATTGTCATACACTGTTCATTCATTGTTTTTTCAACTAATTCCTTCCATGCAATTCCTTAGGAGGAGTGGGAGTAGGCAGAGATTATCCAGCCCAGCTCTAGTCAAACGTCTAGGAGGCAAGACTGGCTTCTATATGATTTCCTAGGGAAATCATACAGAATTTCCACTCAAGGAAATGGTTGGGAGTTAGGGCACAGTGATGAGCTAAACCACTAAATTAGGTCATTAGTGATGACCTAATTCCTGCAGGAATATAAGGAAGAGCATGCATGAAGTACAAAGTCCAAAGATTCCAGAGGCAGAAATTGAGGATAGCATCACTAAGCCTGACCGCTAAAGAGCTCAAAGGAAAGCGGAGCAGAAAGCAGCAAAGAGGTCATGGTCTCATGTTGGTAACATATATTTCAGAGCCAACAAGAATGAGTGGATGCATCAGCTCTTCTTAACAGAGCAGGATATGGGCTCAGCTGTGGTCACAGAGTCCCAAATTTGGTGACTTAAGATGGAAGTGTTTCCCTTTTATGTAGTAATCCAGAGGGAAGCAGTCCAGGGCTGGGGGAAAGTTAGGTCATTCTCAACATGCAGCTTCCATCCTGGGGTCTGAGGTAGCTGCCCGTAATCCTGCCACCTGTCACCTGGAGGGAAGAAAAAAGACCAAGTGAAGGCACACATATCCCTTGGGAGAAGTTGGCACGATGGTGGCAAATATCACTTCTTTCTCACACCCCATTGTCCAGAGCTTAGTCATATGGCCATACCAGGCTGCAACAGAGACTAAGAAGTGCAGTCCCTGGCTGGGCAGCCCTATGCCCAACTATCACTGTTCTATTATTAAAGACAGAGAAATAGATAAAGGTGGATAACTGGGGCTCTGGAGGTGAAAAGCACCGGCTCAGCCTCAAAAAATGTAAAGTCTAGCTGGGAAGATAAACAAATAAGCTCACGATAATTAATAATAATAATAGAAAGCAAATATTACCATGTGCTTACCAAACACCAAGTATCCTATTTAACATTATCTTATTTAATACTTGCAATGGTCTGAATGTTGGTGTCCCCCCAAAATTCATATGTTGGAACTAATACCCACTGTTAATATGAAGAGGTGGGGCCGATGAGAAGGGATTAAGTCATCAGGGCTCCATCCTCATGGCTGGGATTGGTACTCTTATAAAAGAGCTCCCTTGCCCCCATGTGAGAATCCAGCAACAAGGCACCATTTACGAAGCAGAGGCCTTCACCAGACCCAAATTTGCCAGCACCTTGATCTTGAACTTCCCAGTCTCCATGAACAGTGAACAATAAATTTCTGTTGTTTATAAATTACACTATAAGGTATCTTGCTATAGCAGAATATAGACAGAGAAAATATAGCAGAATATGGACTATAGCAGGAAATGGACTAAGACAATACTGAAATGACTCTGCTATTATATGTATTTTATAGATAAAGAAACTGAGACTTAGCAAGTTTAGCTAACTGACAAAAGGTTAAACATGGAGCCCAGATACAAACTAAGTCTGTTGGATCCTAGAGTAGAGGTCAGAAAACTATGGCCCTTGGGTCAGACACTGCCCTCCCTGCTTTTGTAAACTAAGTTTCATTGGAACACAGCGATGCCCGTTCACTTACATATTGTCTATGACAACAGCAGAACTGAGCAGTCACAACAGAGACCAAACGGCCTGCAAACCTGAAATATTTACTGTCTATTCCTTTACAGAAAAAGTTTGCCAGCCTCTGCCCTAGTGCTAGAGGGTTAGGTGCAGTCAGCTAGGCATGCACAAGCTACCATGAGACCTAGAAGAGGACACCTAAGAGAGAAAGGCCGGGGCAGGCGAGGAAGGCTCTGAGAGGAAGTCCAGATGTAACCAACCCTTGTCTGTTGATTAGCAACTGAGCAGTCAAGACAGTGGAGCTGGAGGAAGAGCTTGTGGTGAGACCTGGAGGTCTGCGGGGATAGGGGTAGGTTCAGGGGACCCAGATTGTTGACGGGGGTGGGAGAGGAGGGCTGTCAGGAGAGGTTGGGGACATGGAGGTTCCTTGTGGTGGAGGATGACATTGAATAGCTACAGTAGCCTGCAGATTAGGGTTTCCCTACATGGCCAGTCATTGCAGTCAGGTAGGGCACTTATTCAAAATGAGATACTAGGGCCCCACCACAAACCTACCCAATCAGGATCTGTACTTTAAAGAAGCTCCCTGTGAGATTCTGGGAAACACTACTGAAGATGTAGGAAGAGAGTGAGGAAGCAGGGCCCCTGGCCAGAGGTTGCTGCAGTCACCCAGGGCCAGCAGATGTGTATGCCCAGAGGGGTGGAATGGCAAGGTTTTGGGACAGCCTCTTGGTATAAAGTGAAAGAGCGGAGAGAAAGAAAATGAGATCATCATTTATGATCACGGTCATGGGGAACAAGAGCCCAGGTCAGTCCTGGTGAGCAGGTGGCCCCAGTGAGGTCTTCTCCACTTTCCCCTCTGTAACTTGACCTTGGACTTCTTCTGGTATCAAATTCCAGTTATTACCCCCAAAAAAGAAAAACTACCCACATCCCAGACAAATTGCAGTCTGGCTGTTGTAGAAATGACTAAACTTTTACAGAATCAAAGGTATCAGAAGAGTCAGCTTTGAGGACGTGTACCTCTTCGTGCTCATTTCAGGCCCTTGGAGGAATTTTTTTTTTTCTGTTTGTGGAAGAATTTGTTTCAATGGCCTTAGAAAAGAATTGATTTGTGGTTATCTCTGCATATGAGGAGGATATTTTATACTCTTGTTTTCTTGCTTTTATGTATCTAAAAAAAAGTTCAATCACCCTAGGGGATGAAAAAAAAAAAAAACAATGGAAGGAAGGGAATTCAGTAGAAAGAGTTTAACTGTACAATGCGTTCTCATTTGGTATGCGGCAGTGAGAGAAATGCATCCCTCGACTCATTCATTGAATAAATAAATCATAGGGTTAGAGCTTAAGTAATAAATAATAGAAAAGGAAAAGAAAGAAACTAAGAGGAGCTGACAAGGTAAAAATAAATAAATAAAAAGAGCTGCATTCAAGCAAAATGATGAAACATGGAGTGTTATTTGCCATTTTGTCCTCTTTGTATTTACTTGTCATATTTTGCTAGAATTTTTTATTTGATTGTTTATTCACTGCCCCCATAAGCTTTTGTACTGGCAGAGGGTCAAAGAGGAAAGGCTCTACTTTTTCCCTGAAAGTGACTTATTTCGCTGAAGTTGAATGTGCATCGAATAAGCATCGTACCAGGTGCTGAGTAGTTATTGCTACTGATCTGCTGGTGTGTAGTACATTTTAAGTCACTAAATTTGGGGATTACCTGTTACATGAAAATGTGTAACTGTAATACTTGGTGTTTGTTGGTCTCCTTTGGATATGATATGATGAATTTAGCCCTGAGGTTTTGCATGCGGTGTTAGCAATACTGGAACTATTTCCCCCTGGCCCCTCTGTGCTTGGTTCTCTCTTCCTAGCCTTCCAGGACTCACACGTTAGATAAGACTTCCTTCAAGACTCCTTTCTTGAAAGCCCCACATGTGGGGCAGATGTCCCTTCTATGTGCTGACACAGTACTCTGGACTGCCCTTAATGCTACTAACATTTATTGAGCTCTTACAAGTCTAAACGTCATGCATAGATTATCTTTTTTAATTCTCTCAACCACCCAATGAGATAGGTACTATTATTAAGCTATTTTTATTGGTAATGAAACTGAAGCACAGAAGGATTAAGGAAAGACTTCCAGGTTACCCAGATGGGAAGTGTTTATTGTCTGTGCTCCTCTAGACGGTGAGTCCCATGAAGAAGGAGCCCACAGCTGCCTGGTATGGAGTCCAACAGAGTGCCCAGCACAGTCTGGTGCCTGATGTTTCTCTCTCTCTCCCTCCCCTTCCCCCCTCTCCCTCCCTCTTTTCCTCTGTGTGCCTCTGTGTGTATAATGAATCATAGGGCCACAGGGACTTTCCCTCAATATGAGACTCATCTCACACACGGGAGATTATAAGGTTTACAAATCAAATGCACAGAGTTAAATTACTTTCTTGAAGTTGTCTATATTAAAGCCTTAGTTTATGAGAACTGTGCTACCTAATCTAGTTAAGCCTGAGATGACAGAGGCAGAAACCAGATGATATATCCTCTCTCTATTCTCCCAGAACTTCCTCTGCCAGACCCCACTGGAAGGCAGACCTCCAGAGCAGTGGTGTGCGCCATCTCCCGGGGGCCTTTCCCCTGGGTATGTCAGGCCAGACAGGCCCTGGGTGCAGAAGAGTAGGGTGTGTGGGGGTTTCTGTGTAGGGTCACATATGGTTTCAGTATTTTTCCCCAAAATATTCATTCTGCACTCTTCATAAATTAGACACGGTCTCCATACAAGAGAAAGAGAGAAGGAAAAGATGGCGGCAGCTCTCAAATCATCTGTGGACTTCAGAACTTTTCACCCAAAGCAGTATCTGGGAGACTGCCCCCTAAACAGGCAACCAGGAAGCCTCACGTTCAAGGACTATCTAGCCCAGCTTGGCCCATTTTGTGATTTTATGGGATTTGGCAGCTTGGGGGCAAAGCAAGGACCAGATACAAGTGGGCTATGGGAAGCTGAGGATGGTGCTGACCCGGCCTGCTCTACACCTCTCCCTTTCTTGTTCCACCAGAACCTGGGCTCAAATCCCAGCCCTACTATTTACCAGATCTATGACCTTGGCAAGTCATCCCAAGCAGTGGTGTGCGCCGTCTCCCGGGGGCCTTTCCCCGGGATATGTCAGGCCAGACATATCTGAGTTCAGACCAGAGCAGTCCTGGGCCCTGCGCTGCCTTGCATAAGGGATTCTTTCAACAACAGAAAACACAGAAGTCCTCCAGGGGCCTGAATCAACAAGGGAAGGTGCTCATCATAAGAGGGGCCCTCCCAGAGCCTCTCACTGGGTTAAGGGTTGGTCATTTAATTTGCTGCTGTTTGTCTGAGGTGTGAATACTTGTTCTTTATTAGAGGGAATATCCAATCTGATACATGGTAGTTGCTCTAAAGTGTTTGTAGAAGGGAGAGAGGGAGGAGAGGAGGGAGGAAGGCTGCCTCACAGAGTTGTGTAATTGAATTGAACAATTTGTGCAAGTTTTTCCTGTCTCAGTGCCTGGCACATAAGGGGAACCCCGCATTAGTTCTCTTCCCCACTCTCGCTTAATGCAAGTTATCTGGGAAACAGCACATCCAAGCATCATGAGTAGGTTAGACATTTATTTGTAGGACAGATTCATGCAGCAGAGGCTACAGAAATGGGAGTCTGGCAGGAAAGTGTGTGTGAAAGCCAAGGAAGGCTCTGAAAGTTGCATAATGTGGTGCTCCCACAAGAAAGGCACTAAGGTAATGGGAGCGGTGGGGACCTGAGCAGATGGGAGGCAGTGTGGTGGCACGGTGGGACTGAGAGGCAGAAAGCAGGAGGAACCCTGCTTACCTTCTGCAAGCGCCACTGCAGGACAGACGGAGGAGGAGCCAACTAGCGGAACTGGGAGACCCATGGTTCCAACGCTAAGCAGGTAGCCCTTGTCTTTGATTCCCGGGCCTTGAAACTCTCCAGCGTTATTAAAAATACCAACCCAAGAGCTATTTTCTTTTTTTGGTAAAGTAACAATCCCCCATCTGCTTTGAGACTTTAATTCTGGGGAATGGATAAAACAATGCTTATTTAACTGGTGATGACATTTTTTATCTTTTTCCAACAGCAGTTACTTAGATTCCTCCAAGTGACTTTGTACTGTTTGAAAATAATCCATTCAGGTCTAATGCAGGTACATGTAATAGAAAAGGGAATATACTGTGTAGATTGTCCACAGCAGTGCAGGATGGAGAGAGCCCAAATGTAAACAGTGAAGGAAAGGCACTGAGGATACTCCCTGCTTTGCTGGAAGACTGGCAGAATCAGATGAATGAGGGATTGGTGTCATTACTCTCTTTCTCCCACACAACAAAGCTTTAAGAACATCAATTGCTTGCTGACATTAGGGCTTAAAATATTACCAAATTCGAATTATTGTATTTACTAAATATCCATCAAAAATGGGAACCAGTGGGCTTTCTCGATGCATGGAAATACACACACACATACCCACACACAGGGAAACGTTAAATGAAACTATTACACAAAATAGTAAACATGTGCCAACTATGCTGTAAAAATAAATATCTATCATTGATAAAGGTCAGAAGAAATTTTGAAGCAATGCGGTAGTGATCTAACACTCACTAGGTTGCTCACGCTCTTTAAGTTTGGAAAATTTTTCTTGGTAAATATTCAGTCTTTTTCACATATGTACATTTAAGGTACATTTAAAACGAGTTTCCTAAGAACATAAATGCTCAAGAGGAATAAGCAGGAGTTGATGAGGAAAATCTTAATTTGCATTCCTCCTGCCTCAAATGCCTGAAGTATCTTGGATATAATGTTGCGTGAATAAGGCTTTTAGTGTTTAATGTGATAGGACTTAAACATTCTCTTTTTGCTAGGGTCTATAAAACATTTGCTATTAATAGCCACTACTTTTCATTTTTATCTACCAAATTTACTAAGGAAAAAAAATATGCCAAGGCTTCTATTAGTGTGCTCAAACCTTTTCTATTATCTGGCAAATAAATGTCACTCCTCTTAAACCTGGGACAGTTCACTTGGAAAGGGACACTAGGTGGTCTGCCCTAAACATGATGCTTCACATAGTAGGGCTCTGACTTGTCAACCTGCTTCTGACTGTGTCTTTTGGTCTTCCTCACAGTTTTGCTGAAGTAAATAAGGTGATATTTCTATAGTCATTGGAGATACTGAAACTGAAATACATCTTCCCCAAGTTTGCACACTAATAACAGTAAAGCCTTGGCTTAACACCAGAAGTGAAGTCTAAAACATTCAACCAGGAAAGCACAGGTTTGCTATATTTTGAAGTTCATCGAGTGACCTGGTCTGCCTGGGCCTTCCAGGGCTCCCGCTGAGGAATACAAACTCACCCTGGCCCCAGTTGTGATTCAGCACCAGCCACTGTCCACTCCAGCTGAAATCCTAATGGGGATGATTCCAAGACTAACTAGTTTCTGAGATATCAGCAAGGATTCCAGGAATCTCCCAGGTAGCTGAGTCCCATTTCTTCAGATTAATCCACAGAGAACTGAGCTTGGAGAGTGTTAGCAACATGGAGATCCCACTTCCCAAGACAGGATTGCCTGCCGTTTTCCCACCTACCCTACCCCTCCTCTCGACATCCCCTCTTCCGCCACTGAAGACAAGAAGTTCATCACCCACCCCTGACCGAGAATGAGGGTTGCCGGGGGTATGGAACTTATTTCCAGTGGTGTCAGATCCAATCATGGAGTTTTCTTGATTTGTGTTTCTTCTTTGTATTTGTAGAGCCAGACGCAGAAGACAGATCATCCGATTTCTAGAGCAAAGCCCTTTCTCTACTTTGCTGGCACACTTCAGAATTATTTACCCCTCCCTTAGTGTGCCAGGCTACAGAGGGTATGCCTATGCCTGCGTAGTTCTTGTCTAACTCCTTCCTGTGAAAGGGAGAGCAGTCCCAGACAGAATCAGAAACCTAGTTCCTCATCCAGTTTCCCAAGTCTGGAGTTGCCATTGCACGGATGACAGAGAAAAAGGTGAGGGAGTGGGGTGGAAAAGAACCATATCATTCTTGTAAGTTTCAACGTGTTTTGCAGGTTACTGACTCAACACAGCTCATAAATTCTGCCTGCATCTCGCAAGCCACTTGCTTACTCACTATCTCTGCTAAACATATCTTGTGAGTTTCATCCATTCTATTTGTTTTTCTTGTCTTGTCTGGCAGAATGAATATTCTCATCCTACAGTAAACACACATTGTAAGCAGAAAGATGTAGGGAAAAATAAGATAAAACACAGAGAAAAGTTTTGCTTTGTAGTGGCAGGAGAAATAGAAACTCAAACAGATAATAGCTGAGTCACAGTAATGGTGGAGTCTCGAGCAGAAAGTGGTGGGTGCTGAATGCTAAGGGGTGACAAAGTACCTGTCACTGAGACTGCATGGTCCTCTGAGATTTACTGGGAGCTTTCTTTCTATGGGGTTGTTTCTGGTTTTTAAAGAGGATAAATCATCATTAATACAGGTGCATCCCAGGACGCCATACTTCCTGACCAACTCCTCCCTCTTCCAGCCCCTACCGTGCTGGAAATCACACTTAGGATAAGAATAAGGATGGAGGTTTCGTGGCATGTGTGGAAGGAGGAGGCAATTGAAGAAGGAGGAGCAGAGGAAGCTCAGAGACCCACAGAAAATATACAGGATATCATGGGATGACTGCTGCTGCGTTTGAACACATTTGTTTGTTCTAGGAATTATTTTGAAAGTAAACATAGTAAAGGGGTTCATGTCTTAGCCCTTTGAATAATAAAAGCAACAAGCATATTGTCCGATTCAAGCCATGTATTAGTTTCCTTGGCTGCCATATCAAAGTACCACAAGCTGGGTGGCTGAAAACAACGTAAATTGATTGCCCCAGAATTCTGGAGGCTGGAAGTCTGAGATCAAGATGTCAGCAGGGTTAGTTCCTTCTTGGGGGTCTGTGAAAACATTTATTCCATGCCTCTCTTCCAGCTTCTGGAGACAGCTGGCAATCTTTGCCATTAACTGGATTGCAGAAGCATCATTCAAATCTCTGCCTCCACCATTGCACGGCCTTCCCCCTGTGTCTTCATTTCTGTCTCTTCCTCCTCCTCTTCTTATAAGGACCAGTCATACTGGACTGGGGGCCCATCTTATTCCAGTATGACCTCTTCTTAACTAGTTACATCTGCAACGACTCTATTTCCAAACAAGGTCACATTCTGAGGTGGGGTTAAGACTTCAACACATCTTTTCGAGAAACATAATTCAACCCATAACAGTCCACAATTAAGAAATATAAATTTGCATTTTATTTATTTTGAGTGCTCATTCTCTATCTCTCTGAAAATAGGAGGATTGAGTTTTTCCCAGTTTAAAGATTTATGGTAGATTTCACGTATAAACTGTTTTATATATGACACAAACTGTTAACCGTGGTTATCTCACAAGAGTTATCTCTTAGGGGAAGGTGACGGGGGGTGGGGGGGCTTTCATTTCTGCATTGTAAATGACTATAATGTTTGCATTTCTAAAACAAACCCATGTACTACCTTGCAATAAGAAAGAACAATGACATACTTTCAAGGAGTTAATGGCTTTTCTTTCCCTCGCAGCCTCTAGCATCAGAGTCTCCTTAGGAGAGGGATCTTCATGGATGAGGAAAAAAGCAGGAGGCCAGGGGCATGTGCCATTTGGAAAATTATGCTAAAGCTACAATTGTTTTGACATGCTTGTCTTTAGACATTACTTTATTTTAAATTTTAAAATAGCATTAAAGGAGGACTCAAGGTTTTCACATTTACCCGAAGGGAGCACGGATTTTCAATATTGAGAAATACAAAGGCTTCTTGCAGCCACTCATGGAGGCTTCCAGTCAGCGAAGGCAAAAAGGGAATATTGGCTTTTAAAGCTTTCATCCAAAGAAAGATGCCCAGATAAAATACAAGATACTCAGTCAAATTTGAGCTTAGGATAAATAACAAATTTTTCAAGTATAAGTATGTTCCAACCATTGCATGCATGAGACATACTAATCCAAAAAATTATTCCTTGTTTGCCTGAAATTCAAACCTAACTAGGCATCCTTTATTATTTATGTATGTATTTATTTATTTTTGAGACAGAGTCTTGCTCTGTTGCCCAGGATGGAGTACAGTGGGGTGTGATCATGGCTCACTGCAGCCTTGACGTCCTGGGCTCAAGCAATCCTCCTGTCTCAGCCTCCCATGTAGCTGGGACCACA
This sequence comes from Homo sapiens, assembly GCF_000001405.40. Taxonomy (NCBI): domain Eukaryota; kingdom Metazoa; phylum Chordata; class Mammalia; order Primates; family Hominidae; genus Homo; species Homo sapiens. Next base: position 36,595,408 of record NC_000007.14, on the reverse strand, counting down.
GGCACATGCCATCATACCTAGCAAATTTGTTATTTTTTGTAGAAACCAATTTTAACTATGTTGCCCAGGCTGGTCTCAAACTCCTAGGCTCAAGCAGTCCTCCTGCTTCAGCCTCCCAAAGTGCTGGGATTACTGGCACAAGCCACAGCACCTGGCTGGTACCCTTTATTTTTATTTGCTAAATCTGGCAGCCCTATTCCAAACATACCAATTTAGATAAGCTTTTTCTAAAATTTAGACCACAGGAGAGATTAGTCCCAGAAGTCACTCATAAAAGGAGTAAAATGAGGTTGTAACTCATCACATTTTTCTTTGCTGATTTTGCACAAGCCATGGAAATGTGGTTCAAATGAATCCTATTTTTGTCAACACTTTGTATCAGGAGTTCTTGACAAATTGTGCAGGAGTTGCAGGGGGTCCGTGAGCCTCCTGAAATCACAGGCCAGGTTAAATACACGTGCATTTTTGTGGGGAAAGGAACCACAATTAGATTCTCAAAAATGTCTGAGACCCCCAAGAAGGTCAGAGGGCACCACCTTAATGCCTTAAGGCCATAGCTTTGAACCCAGGGAAGGCATTTTTTTCTGAGGGATTAGGCATTATTTTTCAGATTAATTACTTTTCAGATGATTGACTTTCTGATGGCCTAAACTGCAAAATGGAGAAAATCTCAGAAAATGTAAGAATGGGAAGTTTAGTCTGCTGAAGCATCCCTCCCAAGTGTTTGAGATGCCAAATGTTCTGCATGTTTCACAAGAGCTGAGCGGAAGCCAGGTCAAGGGTGGTGCTGATCATTGTGACTTCCCTGATGAAGTTGAAGGTTAGAGACATCTGCCTTGAATACCAAAAGCCCTTAAAGCGAGAGATTGAGAGTGGGAAACAGACACACAGAGAGCAACACTCAGGCCATGAATTTTCTTACTACCTTTAGAAAATAAATGACCATTTTGATAATTGCTACTTTATTGTTTTCCTTAGAACTCTTTCATCAATCTACCAACAGCCCTTACCAACGAGCTTGACTGGCCCCAACTCTCTGGTGCTACAGGATTTCTGGACTCCACTGTTGGGTAAGTGTCTTTGTGCACCCTCAGACATTTCAATACCTCTGTGTAAGGAAAGAACAAGAGATGGGGGTTGCTACCAAGATGTTGAAATGCGAATTATTAGGAACTGCTTCTAGAACATGAATTTGAGTTCATCCACCATACAGTAGGATGTAATGCAAATTGTATTTTAGCAGCACTGGCAAGAAAAGCATATTCCTGCTATGGGCAGGGTGGGGGTGGAGTTCCATAGTTTACCTCTGATGGAAAATACTAAACACATCACTGAAATTTTCTGATTCAAGGAAAAACAAAGTTTACTTATTTGTTCTCAGAAATAAATTTGTAAAGATAATGGCCAAAGCTGATTGGCACTTCTCAAAGTCCTAGAATCATCCTGGCTTTAATGCCCCAGATTTGTAGGTAGAGACCAGGCCTGGTGAGTTTGAATGACACACAAACCCAATTCACTACATATGCCTGGGTGTTAAGGCCTGGGGTCTGCTTCCCAGGGCCCACACTTGGCAGGGACACCTGTGATGCTGGTGAAACTTGGCAAGTGTCCCTAACATGGTAGTAAACCACAGATATGAGTCTATGGCCATCCCACCCTGAACACACCAGATCTTGTCTGATCTCTGGAAGGTAAGCAGGGCCTGGTTAGTACTTGGATGGGAGAATGTCACAGATATGAGAGGCAATTTCTCTCCCAACATCTCCTAAACATTTATGACAGTTAATAGGCACAAGGAAGATGGCAAATGAATGGCTTCCATGTGTAAAAAAGAAGAAAGGGTAGAGCTTTGCTTTTAGGTCTAAAGACAGGACAGAACCAGCTAGGAAGCCCCTCTCTGACTCAGGCAAAAATGGCAGAAGGCTGGAAAGCACCATGAGATAAGCCATGAGAACTGTGAGGAGGGCAAGTGTGCATGGGGTGTGATTTACCCAAATCTGTAAGGAACAGGAATGCCCCCAAAGGACAGACATTAATCATTTTAACAAGCAATTATTCTGATGAACAAAGAACATTGTGTGCCATGAATAATTTATTTGATGATTTTTATTCATCTGCTTTAAAAATATTTCTTAAATACTTAACCACCTAATCAGGCACAGATGTTACAGGTGTCCATTTAAAGGTAGATAGGGCTTGTCCCATCTTTGTAGTCAATTGCAATTAAGGCAGATGAGACAAGTGAACAAATAATGGTAATGCAAGGAAGATATACTAATGACAGGTCTCCTACAGAGCCACGGGGCTCCGAGGAAAAAGAGTTCATGGAAGTGATCAACAGTCACTTCCTTTGGGTGGGTAACACATGGGAGACTGGGGTCATAAAAGGGGCATAGAAGAAACTAGGAAGGGAACTAACCTTCAGGGAAGCGTACTCATATTTACATAGAAATAATCTGCCAATATAGGGAAAGCCAAGGAGATGTGTTTTCCAGTGTAGTTATACCTTTTCAAACTTAATCATGTTATTTTAAAAAAGGCTAGTCCTTGTCATTAGTGTAAAAATACTAAAATACTTACTAATAGGGATAGTAAGAAGTAACCTTTGAGAAGTAACAAGTAACTATATGCCAAGCATTTACTGAGTGTTGTATAGATATTCTCTCATTTAACCTCCTTGTGAGGTAGTGGGTATTGTTCTCTGCATTTGCAGTTGAGAGATCCAAGGGCAAATAGACAGAATAAGAATCTTGACCAAGGTTGCCCAGCCAAGAGTGGTAGGGTCTGTTTTCATGGAACCTTGTGTCATATCATAACAAAGATATGTTCTTGCCTCTCAAACTTTGTGTTGTTTTTATTCTTTGTGTGGGAATATGGCTCACTCTAACCATTGTCCCTCTGTGTGAGAGCATAGCTATGGGATGGAGAAATGACTAAGAACCAAGAGAAGTCCTCCCCATGTAGAGGTGTGGCCTGCACTATTTCAGTGACCCATCATATGCCTCCTTAGGGTCCCAATAAGCACAGACATCTGGGACTTTCTGAGTCCTAGCCTCAGTCCCATCTTCCCTCTGCTACAGCCTCTGTTGTCTTTACCTGGAACACATCCAGAGATAACCCAGCCAAAGCAGGTTTATAGAAGAGAGAACCTTGGTCATCCCCCCAATTTCAACATCAGAAAATAAAAAAATATATATGTTTAAATGCCCTCCACCCAGTCTAGTCATTTCTCAATAAAAGTATCTGGAATTTTCTCTCAATCAAGGCTTTTATGACAATAACAAAAAGAATTAATTAGGTATGAACAATGAACACAGTTTACTGTACCTTTAATGAAAGCTTAAATTTTTACATATTGACTCTATAAATCCCAACTACCTTTTGGCCCCATGAAGTTGCCATAAAAGAAATACCGATCCGATATTTAAAATTAATTTCCAAGTAGTTTAAATCTTTACTGGAGTCACTCAAGGAATGAAAGAGGAATCCATTCACCATGCCCAGCAAACAGATAAAAACATGTTTCCTCATCTCTTTCTGCTTACAGCTCGCACACACCAGTAGTTGCTCTGTATTTCCTAAATCTAAACTTCCCCAAAACTTGACCCACACTTAGCTCCTTCTCCCAAACAGACTCTGTTCAGTCATTTTGAGTTTCTATTGGGGGATGAGAGGGAAAGCTCCCTTTTCCTTTCTGCATCTGTTCTGTCCTCCCACCAGGGGTTTACTCCCTTATCAATGTAAAATCCCACTAGCTCTTCAATCCTGCAGCAGTTTTTACCCATCATCCTGATCAGTGCCCAGCAGGCAGACAGGATCTTCCATCAAAGCATGGCAATGGGGTAAGGGGAAGAGGAAAAGTTGAGAGCCTTCAGACATGAATGGTTTCTAACTCTTATAAGCATTATGCAGAGAAATTCTGACACCATCTCACAAAGTAAGTGACCATCTAGGTGTGGCTTATATGAAAACCATCTCTATCCTGAGCTAGTCTTTATTGACCTAGTACCTTTTTATATTCGGTTCTCTATTACTGCTTACAAAAAACGCATAGTCTGCTTAAGCAACTTCCTTAGTGTTGACTCTAAGTCCTGTCCTTACCTGTTGTATTTCTAACGAGGCACACACCACAGCTGGTTGTTCACCTCCCCTGCAGGAACTTTTCTTTCTATGTGTTTGTGGGACCCCAAGCTCCCTAGCTGTTCCTCTCAGAATGCTCTTTTTGCCAGCTGTTTCTGTGTACTGTGCCTGTGTTTGCTGCCACTCAGCTGGAGTGGAGAAGAATATACCAACTCCTTTTAATGGAAAAGGAAATTCTCTGTTTGGAATCTGAGTTGCAATGGATTCCCCCATTAAGCAGAAACAGAGGCAGCATGACACTGCATCTGTGGGATCATAATTTGCTATGTCCCTCCCAGCAGTAGTTACAGCTAAAGTATCCATATACCATTGTATAAATTATATTCACAGATAATTTGTGCTAGGCCAATCTCCTTATTAAAGGAATAGAAAGTTATAAAGTATATAAAAATATCAAAGAGATTAGCATATGATGGAGGTCCTCATTTGTGGAATCAGGAAAATGAAAAGAATGTTGACCCAGAAGCAGCACTTCTGAGAGGTGTATACAGCTCCCATGGGCATTTTGGGCACATGCCCTTTGAATCCAAATGCTTATCCACAGAATTGGCGGATTTCTCTATTCAACTGGATCTCCAGAATGCGCTTCCTACCATCATGATCAGCCTTCTGCTATGGGTGTCAACAGCGTCCTTTGGAAAATGTGCCTTGTGAAAGCATCAGGAGAGGAAATGGCTCCTTCCCTTTCATTCTTTGTTTATGCTCTTTGTCCTCTCAAAATTTATTATCCCCTTCATAGATAACTTTAATTGAAATTATGTGCATGCATTAAATGACAAACATAACCCCTTAGTTTTACAAACCTTTAGTTCTTTTAGTTGAGTTGATGTTAACAAAAACTGTTTTCTTGACTCTTGGGCTTCAGAAAATTCAATAAGTGATATCCCTTAAAAAATATACTGGGATTTTTCTTCAGTGTGATTCAGGAAGAGATTGAGTAGGTCAAAAGCAGAAAAAAAAAATCTCTGTGGGGGTTAAGAGCTTGGCAATAGAGCAGTATAACTGTAAATAGGAAGAAAAAAGTATTTTTAAAAGATTAAAAATAGCTACTGGGCATCTGAGGTGAAAAGATTACTGGAGGCCAGGAGTTTGAGATCAGCTTGAGCAACATAGCAAGACCTCATCTCTAAAAAAATATTTTTTTTTAATTAGCCTGGCATGGTGGCATGTACTTGTAGTCCTTAGCTACTCAGGAGGCTGAGACGGGAAGATTGCTTGAGCCCAGGAGTTTGAGATTGCTGAGATTGCTGTGAGCTATGATCACGCCACTGTACTCCAGCCTGGGCAACAGAACAAGACCCTGTCTTTAAAAAAGTAAAAATAAAAAAGTAAAAAAAATTAAGATTAAAAATTGTACTTCATGTTCAGATCACTTTCCAAAGCAATTCATATAACAGGAAAATCCTACTTACATTAAAGAAACCAAAGATCTAATACCACATGTAGAAAGATGGGAAACAATACCAAAACTTTTACAAGAAGGAAGGACTTCTCATTTGAAAGCATCATTTAAAATCCCAGAGTAGGCATGATAGAGTGAAAGGAAGTCTGTATTTTCAGTTATAAGGGTGCTCATTCTGTGTTATTCCAGGTGGAACATTTAGCATTCCTCAACCTCATTTATGTGCTCAAGTTAAGTTGGACTAGATGATCTCTGACGTTCTCTCCCACGCTCATTGGGCATGGTTATTGGGCAACATGATCCTACTTTATGACGCTACTTGGTTTAGAAGTACTGAGGGAAATTGTTCAAGAGAGATGCTCCTGCTTCTGCTACCCACTATGTCTTCCCCTACTCCTTAACTAGCCTGTACCTCAAGACAAGACATGGCTAACTTTATGGGTCAGAGCCTGAAGTTCTTGAAACAGTGTTTGGCCAGGGTATAGAGCCTATGGTATAGTGCAGTCTCATGCACAGTAAGCCCTGTGTTGTGTGATATTGAGTGCTTGACAGGCTGTTAAATAAACATGGGACTCCATTATTGTCCTTTATGTTTACTATATCTCTCCAGCAAACCCAAAAGAGGAAAACAGGCATCTAAGTCCTTAACAAAAATAGCCACCTGAACCCAACACATCTAAACTGAGCATTTCTGGCCGTTCGTATCCCCTTATTCTGAAGGTGGGGCCAGGAGTCAGTCCAGTCAGTAGGGTTCTGCAGACAAGGATAAGTGATAAGGATGAAAAACAGGGCAGCAATCAGAGCTTTTTCAAAAAAAGTAAAAAGCTAAAATTCATCATAAAAAGCAATGAAGGCCAAAAGAACCAAAAGCAGCTACCAAAATTGTCACACCAAGCTGGAGAAATAAAACTGAGATCTGTAGTCAGCATAAATGAGTGCAAACCAGATGACATTTTCTAGATTAAATGTTGCTCCCTCTGCCTCCAGCTTAAATTTGGCATATTGAACCAAAGATGTAGCAAATACTCAGACAAAGCCATTGTTATAAGTGGTACAATAATGCTCTTCAGGGGCATTTAAACACACCTTTAGTGAGAGGTGTCCTAGAATAGAAGCGTTAAAGGTTATCTATTCTCTCCTACCCAATAGATGTTATATGAGAGAATAATTTTGAAAATCAGTGTATAACACTGAACCAAGTCACTTGGGGCAGTAAAGCCAGAAAATTGGAGAGTAGGGAATTGCAGCTAAAATTTGCTAACCTAATTTCATGTTTCAAAAAAGGACATGTAAGTACTAAACACTAATGGGCCTAATAACCTTATTAAATCCATTATTCGCAAATTACATGTGATATAATTGCAAATGATTAGCCCTGTTATAATTATACTTTGCAAAACAAATAATTAACCAGAGAGGTGGTCCTCTGAAGTTGGGTGAGGCTGATTGGAGTGGGATAGTGTCCATAGCAGCAGTTCTCCAAGTGTGGTCCATGAACCCCTGTGGGGTCTCTAAGACCCTCTCAGGGGGTCCACAAGTGAAAAACTACTTTCACAACAATACTAAGGCTTTCCACTATGTAGCCATTGGTACAGATGGTACAAAAGCAATGGTGGGTAGAACTGTTGACACGTTAGCGTGAATCAAGTGCTGGCACCAAACTCTATTAGTAGTCACTGTGTTCTTCACCTCCCAGTTTAAAACAAGAGGGGGACATCCTCCCTTAAAAATGTCACATAGTACAAAGCAGAAAAAACATTATTAATTTTATTAAATTGATTTTTAAATAATTTAATCTGATGAAATGTGAAATATGCATAAAGCATTTGTACTGCATAATAAATTAACAAAGGATGATGGCTGTCTTAGGGAAAAGCACTTGTGTAGGCGAGATGAGAGCTGAGTTAACTTTTCATGGAACACCATTTTTATTGAAAAATTACTTGATAACAAATCATGGTTTTTCAGACTTGGATATATGGCAGATACTTTATCTAAAATGAATGAAATGAGCTTGTAGTTTCAAGGAAAATAATTGTTTGAAAATCATATTTTCAATGTTTTGTTTCAAACATTGTTTGACAGTATTGTTTGAAAATCATAAAATTTGAGCTTTCAAAGAAAATATTTGAATTTTGAAAACTTTGCATCTGCTAGTATGAACCTGACAGTTTCCTAAGAGTCTAAGACTCTTCTAATGTGATATGTAGCAATATTAACAAAAATGATTTTTTTATATTATAGCATTAAATGTATCAACATTTGGAATATCTTCATAACTCAGGAACCAATATTTTCTAAATATTAGTGTATGATTAAGATGATGCATGGGTAAAAGATTCATTAAAAGTGCAAGACAGGCCAATGCATTTTAACGTAACAAGGTATTAAAGATAATTGATATAATTTCAGCTTCCACCTTGCAACTAATCAATCTTTAAGAAACTACTACTTGTTGAATTCTTGTGTAGAATCAAAGACAGCTATCCATAGTTATCTAAAAAGGATACTGAAGTGCTCCTCCCTTTTCCAACTACATGTGTATATAAAACCAGATTTTCTTTTCTTTCTTTCTTTTTTTTTTTTTTTTTTTTTGAGACGGAGTCTCTCTCTATTGCCCAGGCTGGAGTGCAGTGGCGTGATCTTGGCTCACTGCAACCTCTGCCTCCTGGGTTCAAGCGATTCTCCTGTCTCAGCCTCCCGAGTAGCTGGGACTACAGGCACACGCTGCCACACCCATCTAATTTTTTGTATTTTAGTAGAGACAGGGTTTCACCATATTGCCCAGGCTGGTCGCGAACTCCTGAGCTCAGGCAATCCACCCACCTCAGCCTCCCAACGTGCTGGGATTATAGGAATGAACCACTGCCCCCAGCCAAAACTAGATTTTCTTAATATACCCTCACCAAAACATCGTAACAGACTGAATGCAGAAGCACATGAATCTACCTGTCTTCTATTAAGCCAGACATTAAAGATCTTTGCAAAAATGTAAAACAATGCCATTCTTGGAGGGTTTTGGAAAACATATATTTGTTTTTAGAAAAAAAGTGACAAGTTAACATGTAATGGATTTATTATAATAATCTAAAATGAATTGATAATTAAATGTACATTTAAATTTCCCAATTTTAATACCTAATGTGATAAATTTTGACAGCTTTAACTCACATAAGCAAAAGCTCTCTGAGTTCTTCAATAATTTTAAGAGTGTGAAGTGGTCCTGAGAGCAAAAGTTTGAGAACTTTTGTTCTAAGGAGTAAGTATAAAAAGGAAACATAGCTGAAGACAGAGAGGCTAGGAGATGCTGACATTTAGAGATCTGGGCAGAGAAGATTGAAAAGGAACAACCCTGAAAGTAGAAAGAAAACTGGAAGGGCTTACAGTCCTGGAGGGCAAGGAAATAAAGTGTTTCCAAATAAGAAGAGAGCATCAGCCAAATGATGGGGGAGGCAGAGGAAGATGAGAGCTGAGAGTGACAACTGGGTGTGCAAGACAGGGACCTGGAGAGACCTGGAGCAGAAACATTTCAGTGGGGCGAAGCTGGAAGCCTGATTGGAAAGAATGGGTTCAGGAGGTGATGACATCAGCTTGGGTGAGCATGTACAACTTTTAATGGGTTTTGCTTCAGAGAAATGGGGCAATAGCAGCAAGGGAATAATAGATCAGGAAGACTTGTTAAAATGGAAAATCCTGCAGCATACTTGTATTGATAGGATGATCTAAAAGGCAGAGAAAGGGAATGAAGGAAAGAATGAAGCCTAGAGAAGGCAAGAAGGGATGGGACCCAGGCATAAGGAGGCACCATCCTTGGGCAAGACGGACCATCTGTAGACACCATGGATCCTGGTGGAGGGACTCTCCCTGCCATATATTGACAAAGCCCTTCACCTGCAATGACTTCCCCTTGTCCCTATTTATTTTTAATTTTTCATTTTTAATTACTCAAAATATGAATATATTTTCATTGTACAAAAAAATTAATGTGTATAAAGTAAAAAGCTGAAGTCCTCACTTTTTGTCCCCAGTTTTACTCCCTTTCTTAGAAGAAAGCCCTGTGATCAGTTTAGTGTGATTCCATCCAGGCCCTTTCTGTGTATTTTCATTTGTACATGAAGAAATGAACACTTTGTTGGGATTTTCCCATAAAGGCTATCATATTGTGTTTAACCTACTGTAAATCAGTGCTTCACCTTAGCCATACTTCTTGGAGCTCTTTTCCTTCTTGTCCAATACTGCATAGTGTTTCATAGCATAGTTATTTTTTTCTCCTACAGGTGGACATCCAACTTATATCCAGAGTATCATTATTCTTCGTAATGCTGCAATGAGCATTTTGTACTGACTCTTTGGAATATGTGTGAGGATTTCTTAAGAAAAAATTATTGGACCCAAATGTTTACATTTTTAATTTTAATAAGGCCTCCAAATGGGCTATACCAATTTATATTCCCACAATTAGTATATGAGAATATTTGTTTTCCCACACCCTTGCCAATACTGGATATTGTTCATCTTCTTAATTTTTTCCACTATAACAACAACATTGTATTGTTGTTCTCACTTGTAACCTCCTGACTACTAGTGAGTTTGAGCATCTTTTCACAGGCATCGCCCGTTGTCTTTGTCCTATCTAGTCGCCCTCTGCCCATGCTGCAGCACCTACCCCTCAGGGATCATCCCCCAGCCTCTCTGTCTTCAGCTACATTTCTTTTTTATACCCCTCCAGACAGCCCCTTCATACTGACCCCCCATCTAACTGGATGATTATTTTCTGAGATCCTATCATGTCCTTCAATACCAATGTCACCTCACTTATAATACCTGTTTACTACTTGTCTCATGCTCCACCTTCCCATGCCCAGACTCTGAGCATCCTGAGTATGGGAATCAGGTGACTTCATTTTGTAGCCCTCTTACCTGGCACAGTACATGACACATGGCAGGTGCTCAATAAAAGAATTGCTGAACCAGCTCATAAGGATATCAGTTTGCCCATGTAGAGTGCTTTACAATCTGCAAACCTCCTTCATGTGCATTTTGTCAGATTATCTAAATCAAATAAGATTTGTTGGGATTAACATTTTGGGGGAAATAGGCAAAGGAGTATAGCTGAATTAGCAACTGCATGATGTGATATGTAAAAATATGTAAAAATAAATCAGCGTAAGTTAAACCCTTGGAATTCTAAGTGTGTCCTATAATAAGTATTCTGCAAGAAATTAGCAAAATTAATTAAAATATTAAATCACACAATTAACATTAAAATATTAGCCATATGTAATCAACAAATAGGAGAAAATGAATTTAAAAGAAACATCAATTCAGTAGCCAAGTGGAAAAAATGAAATAAAGAGATTTGCTAAGAAGTGAATTTGGCTAATGATAAGTCAAACCTTGATGTGAATTTTTGCCCAGAATGATGTAATTTTGCAACCCAGATTAATCAAAGTAAATGAACACTCTACAGATTTCTCTAGTAGAATCGTTGTAACCAACTGAACTTGAGATTTTAGGCCACCTCAATGCTTAAATACAGATCACAGAGATAATTCATCAATATTCTTCATAAACTCTTCTGCGAAATATGAGTTCCACAAAATGTTAAAGGGTACTAACACACATTTCTTAAAAGACGTGTTAAGTCAAATAAGTTTTGGAAATGTTAATTTAAATAAAGGGAAACAAGCTTATTTGGTATAAGGCTTATTATAGCCTTCACTATGCGAAAAAGCATTGTATATCCTCAAAAAATATAAAACATTCAAAAATATATAAAACATTTCCTAAACTTATTTGACCACAGAACTATGTAGAATTTGTGTGTGTGTTTTATGAGAAAAATTCAAAGAAACTGGTGTTTCACAGAACATCCTTTGAGAAATGCCGTTTAGGTCATTAAAACCATCTGCTATGTCACAAGTAATCTTTTCAGATGTATAAGCCTCCACAGCCTTAAATGTCTCCACTTTATCACAGTTTAATGTTCACCCTAATACAGTGGCCTAGAATCAAATCTGGGGCTGGGAAAGGCCAGGATGGAGAGAGCTACACCTGCTTCAAGCTCAGAGAACAGGAGGGGAGGAAATCTTAGTGAGAGGTTAACCTAACAGGTAGGAAGCCTTGTCTGAGCCCAGCAGCTCATGAATTATTGAACACAATGCCTATGAAGTCTTTTTCCCTGTACTATTTTTCTGGTCCAAATTCAAAATTTATCATGCTGTCCTGCTAATCTTTTTGTATGTGAACTCCTAGGACCTCCTCTGTAGCCATCCTCACCTCTGCATAATTAGCTTATTGCCAGTCTCTCTGAGTCCACGGTGAGTCATATTCTGTATGTTTATCACTCTCTGAGGCTACATCTTAGTTGTTCTATGATGTAGTGAGTTAGGGGTTACACAGAACTCTGGGATGTGGCTAATATCAAAGGACTGAAAGGAATCTTAAAAGGTCTTTAATCTATCTCCCTGGCCCTATGCTGGCCTGACCTCCATCCACATTAGAAAGAAAGTTATCCACCCTTTTCTTAAATTTTCCTAGCAGAAAAGGTCCCTGGATAAAGCCTTAAAGCCTGTCTAGTCTCTAAGTTACCCAAGTTTATCCTAATTTACTCCCCTCCCTAACTCTTCACATCAAATATCCCCAGGTATTTCTCACCAACCCTACTGCTGGAGCCTGTTTTTTGTAACTTATTCCCTAAGATTCAACTTAATGGAGACTCATAATTTATACCCAAGCAAGCTGTGCCTCTGGACAGAGTCAGAAATTGCCTAACAAGAGGATCACCTGAGGTCAGGAGTTCAAAACCAGCCTGACCAACATGGTGAAACCCTGTCTCTACTAAAATTACAAAAATTAGCTGGGCATGGTGGCATGCGCTTATAATCCCAGCTACTCAGGAGGCTGGGACAGGAGAATTGCTTGAACCCAGGAGGTGGAGGTTGCAGTGAGCCGAGATCATGCCACTGCACTCCAGCCTGGGTGACAGAGTGAGACTCTGTCTCAAAAAAAAAAAAGACACTGACTAAGAAATTTCATCAGAATATGCTACATCACTCTTGCTTGAATCATATCACATCTGGTTTACCTCAGAGATCTCTGGCAGGCTACAAAGCCTTTGGAAGAACTCCATTTTTGCCTCTCTCCAAATAGGTTCTGCCTTGAGTCAACATGGGAGGCCATCTTTTATTTCATTTTAAATCAACCTGTTTAATTTGTCTACATTACTCTTGAGGCCCATTCTTGATATTACTCTGTTTTGTTCTACCGAAATGCAGTGGGGGAAGGCATTAGGAAGCTCTCAGAAAAAGTGATTTTTTTGTGTTCCCTGAGCCAATGTTGGGAAGAGTAACAGCCATTCTGTTTGAGTTTTACTCATTTTGAATTACGGTGCTAGAAATCAAAACCCAATCAGTGTGTTTTCACATGAAATGCCTGTACTGCCAGGCCCTCCAGTAGAAGGAGCTGGTGAAACTGGAAAGTTAACGTGACTCACTTCCATGCCTATGCCTGGAGTTGAGGATTCAGTTCTGTAGGCATTGGGCAAAGTGTGGAGAAAAGAACTTTTAAGTACCCGTCTTGTGCATCCCTCAACTTACAAGCCCAAAAGCAGTCACCTCCTCCTAGCACATTGGACCGGATTTTGATATATACAACAGAGCAGAAAGAGAAAAATAAAAGATCACACTGGAACACTGGATTTTTGTGGAGAAAGGAGAGCAAGAGGAAGAGGATTTGAGGCCAGAATCATCATGATAGTTTAGCCTCATTATGCATAGCATCCTAGTAGCCTCAGCTTGTCCTATGACTACAAGCTCAAGACCCTGCATATATATAATTTTCTATTAAGCTATCTTCTCAATTTGCAGGCATATCAAAATATTATATTGATCCCACTATATACTCAGGATTTCTGAGCACTCCTTGAGAAATGCAGTTCCTAAAATATATAAGAGAGATTATAGATTCGGGATGGGGATGAAAGAAAGCAGTATCTTTTACTATGTGAAATACTTTCTAGTGCTTGGTACAAGGCTTTCATCCCAAAATTCTAGATGCTATTTCTAGTCAGAAATGTTATTAGAACTATCTCCTATTGGTAAAGATTTCTATATTCTTATAATGAAAGGTGCAACTAACTGTATCTATAATATTAATACCTACACTATTTACTCTTCATGAGCAGGACATGAGCAAAACAATATTTTGGTATATAAATTCCATTCTCAGAATGATCAAAAATACATTTGTGACTAAATAGGTAAGAATTACTTTCCCAAAGAAAAATAACCCCTCTTTATTGACCATAAAATTATTTTAGTATCAAACTCAGATCCAGTGTCCATTTCCCATCTGTTTTTCCAAAATATAATAAAATACTCAAGGCAGAGGGCATAAGTGACGCAGTGTATAAGGTATCCATTTCAGGCTTTTGAGTAAGATAGCAGATTGAACACAAGCACTTACATCTCTCCCTTGAAAAGCCCTACTCTAACGACAGTAAATGAATTTGTCCAAGAGGACGAAGAGAACAAGAAGAGCCAACAGCCACAAAACGTTGGAAGCTAGAAATCAGACAGATGAATGGTAACTGACTTAGTAGATTCAGGAGAGCTGCATCCTAAGCTGGTTGGAGGGAATGCCAAGAAGCAACCCAGTTCACACTGCAGAAGCCCCAGAAGACTTGGGGATTGGTTACATGTGGGAGCTGTAGAAATGCAGGTGAGGCTAAACCAGAAGTATTGGTTGGAAGATTGCTGAAGAGCAGTTAGCTCCTCAGACCCCTTCCAACTCTCCACAGGTGGTCAACTGCCCCTCCCATACTCTGGAATAAGACTAGAGCTTTATTCTCTGGAAACACTAAAGTCAAGGGCCTCTGGACTGGAAGACACCAAACATAAATGAGGAGAGGAGTATCCTACGGAAACACATGAATGCTAAATGTTGAGGACCCTTCCCTACATGCCCCAGAGTGTTGCCAACCCAGCCTGTACTCTCCTGGCTGCAGACTAGAAGATCCTTCCCTGGGGAATCTGAACAGCCCAAGAGGAGAGTCCCACAGATGCTGACAGCAGGGTTCCCCAAGAAAGGCCCAGACAGCTCATCTTGCAGTGAGGGCTGTAGTCAACAAGCACAGCCAGGGGCCCAGCTTCCAATCAAAATCAATTAGCTTTTTAGCTGGCAACTAGTTTCAACATTTAAAAATAAGCCTATAACCCAGGATCATCACACATCTGAAGGAAACCTCAAACATGAAAGAAAATACAGAAACAAAGGGGAAAAAAAGCAACTTAGAGAAACACAGACTATGTACTAAGGGGGATAAAACTTTTTAGAAAGTTTAATAGCCTACATATTAAAATAACTGAAATTAATATCTTCAAAAAGATAAAAGAATTCTATAGCAGACAAGTGCTTCAAAAAAGGATAAAAGAAGATGTTACATTCATAAAACAAGAACATTAAAATTAAAAAGATATTCAGAGAACCAATAAGGTCATTTGGAAATTATTCTGGTAATAGCAGACGACATTCATAGAAAGATTAAAAAATAAAGTTGAGGATATTATCCAGAAAATGGAGAAAAAGGTCCATGACATGAAAATAGGACAGAGAAACAGGGAAAATTACAAGACCGGTTCAGATGACCCAATAGTTGTAGGGAAAAAAGAGAAAGGAAGAAATCATCAGTGAAATAATTTAAGGACATCTCTCAAAACTGAACATCATGAATTTCCAAGTTGAAAGGGTTTATCAAAGGTCTAACACTATGAGTAAAATCAGACACACACCAAGACTGCCATCATAACATTTCAGAACACTTGGAATGAGGTGCTACCATAGGCTTTCAAAAGATCAAGACACAGAGTTGCTTCATACTTAACAATGCTGGGGAGGCTAAAAGCCAAAATCAATCAATTCCTTCAGACTTGTGAGGGAAAAATATCATAACTGTGATGGTTAATACTGAGTGTCAACTTGATTGGATTGAAGTATACAAGGTATCGATCCTGGGTGTGTCTGTGAGGGTGTTGCCAAAGGAGATTAACATTTGAGTCAGTGGTCTGGGAAAGGCAGACCCAACCTTAATCTGGGTGGGCACAATCTAATCAGCTGCCAGCATGGCTAGAATATAACCAGGCAGAAAAAATGTGCAAAGAGAGACTGGCCTGGCCTCCCAGGCTACATCTTTCTCCCATGCTGGATGCTTCCTGCCCTTGAATATCAGACTCCAAGTTCTTCAGTTTTGGAACTTGAACTGGTTCTCCTTGCTCCTCAGCCTGCCTACAGCCTATTATGGGACCTTGTGAGAGTGTGAGTTAATACTAAAAACCCCCCCATATATATATATATTCATTCCATTAGTTCTGTCCCTCTAGAGAACCCTGACTAATACCTAATACAGATTTATGTTATTGTTGTATAACAAACTGCCCCAAACTTTCATGGCTTAAAACAATAGTCGTTTTATTATATCTCACAATTTGGGGGGGGCGGGGTTCAGGAATTCAAGCAGAGCTTGGCTGGCCAATTATTCCTCTCTATATGAAATTATGGTTACTCAGTGACATCACCTAATGGCTGGGCTGGGCTGGGCTGGGCTGGAGAATCCAAGATGGCTTCACTCACATGATGTGCCTGGGAAGGGACAGCTGGCAAGGCTGAGTTCAGTTCAGCTACATAGGGCCATTTTTTTTTTAAGCAGTTTTAGGCTTATGAAAAATTTGAGGTGATTGAAACATGGAGGCGGATTTCTCACACATGGTTAAGCACCATCCCTGTTGGTACTGTCCTCAGGATAGGGAGTGAGTTCTCATGAAATCTTGTCATTTAAATGTGTGTAGCACATTTGCTTGTTCTCCTGCTCTGCTTTTTCCATGTGACATGCCTGTTCCCCTTTTGCCTTCTGCCATGATTAGAAGCTTCCTGAGACCTCCCCAGAAACAGATGCTGCTATGCTTCCTTTACACCCTGCAGAACCATAAGCCAATTAAACCCCTTTTCTTATAAATTACCCAGTCTCAGGTATTCCTTTATAGCAATATGAGAATAGACTAATACAATGATAAATACTTAGAAAATTAAGGAAAGAAACAAAAGGCAGTTATTAACTCTACAGAAATAAAAAAGTTAGAAAGAAATTAGAAAGCAATCATTGATTAGTTGTCAATAGCTAAATCCTCTTCTAGAGTAGGAAGTGAACAGATAATGTCAAAGACTAACAATCAAGAAGTAGCCTTAAAAGTATGTTACTTAGAGATGAGGAGAAAAACATCAAAAGACCTAGTCAATTAAGGCTGGAATTAGTTGCCTATGGAAATGGAAAAATGGAGAGTGGAGGGAGGTGTGGGGTTGCTATTTATCATCACAAGTCTTATATACACACATAGGTAAGTTATTTGGTTCTGTGAGACTCACCACCTCAAGTCTTTGTTGATTTTAGCTTCTCAATTAGACTTCCTTTGGCTACTCTAATTCTCATTTCCTTTCTTCATAGAATTTAGAACTTTCTAGCATACTCTATCATTTGCTTTTTTATAATGTTTAGTTCTTTTATTGGCCTTTTCCTGTTGAAATATCAACAACACAGAAGCAGGGATCATGTATTTTAATTTTCCAATATAACTCAGTGCCTAGAATAATACTTGGAATGTAGCAGGTGCTCAATAAGCATCTATTAAGTAAATTACTTTTTAAACTATGTGCATGGGTAGCTTTGATTTTAAAAAATAAATACATTATTCATCTCAAAATTCTACTACAAAGCAAAAATCTCACACTTAAAATATTGCTCAGGCATCTTGGTCTTGTATTAAAAAACACTATCATTGGTTTTCTCAGACTTCAAAAAAGGGATACTATTTTCTATGCATCCTGAATGCCCAAACATAATATATGCTTACCTTTCTGAAGCACTGAGACAGTTGCCAAGCACTGTAATACAATTAGTAAGCTTTCATATAACACTTAATAATTGGTGATTGTATGTAAGGTTGTGAGATGTGAACTTATTATAATGAAAAGAAGATACAATACATTTGAAGATTACTCAAATATTTTGAGCTAAGTTATTATTTTTTAGTTTACATCTGGTCTTATTTCAAAGATTTTAGGAAGCCTATGAAAGTTTAGAGAACATAACATTTAATTACATTTAAACTAAATTTTGTTGCATTAATTAAACTACTTACATCTATATTAAGCGAAAGAAAATGAAAAATCAAAGATGAGACAAAAAGGAGCCAAGAAAATGAGTTAAAATATATATAATTATAGCCTGATACTGGTGTCAAATTTTTCCGTAAGCTCTGTGTTTATTAGTATTAGATTCAAGGAACAGAGATTCAACATATATGAGTTTATTTCTCTCACACAGAAAGGTTTAGAAAATGTGCAGTCTGGAATTGATATGGGAGCTCAACTCCACCCAGTTCTCAGGGATCCAGGCTCCTTCCAGCTCACCCCTCTGCCTTCTCAACGTCAACCTTATTCCCATAGTTTAAGATGGCAGCTTTCCTATTCTGGGCAGGAGACTGGAGAAAGGGTACAAAGAAGGAACCAGAATCACCATTCAATCATTTCCTAAGAAGCGTTACCAGAAATTGCCACTGGATAGTTCTGATCCCATCTCATCTCACCCAGAACTTAGTGATGTGCCACTCCTAGCTGCAAGAGAAGCTGGAAAACGCAATCCTCATTCTGGACAGACATGGGTCTTGCTAAAAATTCTATAAATTCTATTGTAGCAAAAATTCTATTGTAGTGCATGAAGGGAGAATAAAGCTGAAGGACAATAATAGTGTCAACCACAGCTTCATAGCAACCAAAAAAAAAAAAAAAAAGAAAGGCAACATGATCAGGTTCAAAATAACAGAGTCGGTAAAGGTGAGCAATTGCTCAAGAAATGTACAGCAGCTCTTGGTAAAAAGCATTTGAAAGGGATGACTCTGGAGGTCTTTGTACAAAAGAAAAAGTTTTATGTCTTCAACAGTATTCTTACGACACCCATACAACTCAATTTCATAGAACTGCTTCTCATAACAACTGCCAATATTACATTCACAGTTCAGAGAAAACTTGTCAGCAGAGATTTGATTTTTTGAGTTCATTTTAACCATATTTTTTTAAAAGCGTGATGTAAACATGGTTTGTTTAAACTTCTTTATGTGAGTATCCTGACCTTAAATATATACATATATATTTGTTTCAGAATTAAAGAAAAATCTATTTACCTTCGCTTATGGAAAAGAAACCACTGTAATCACAGGGACTACCAGAATATTTCAAGAAATGGTACGTAACTTTCCATTTAAGCCTTCATCAATGTTCCTGTAATGATTGAGTTTATTTCATAAGTACCTCAAAAGCTGAGATTCAGATAACAAGGATCACAGAATAAAATGAACGGTCTCCCTTCCAATGCCATTGCCCTTTCTGAAAGAAGGGCCCTGTGCTTAAAGCCATTTACCCACAGCAAAGGAGAACAAAAACAAGCTGCAGTCAAGGGGTTGACCAAGAGAGCAGATCATTCACCCAACAGCAAAGTTCTAGCAAGGCCAAGGCACAGGATGTTTGAGGCTCAGGAGGCAAGACCTAAATGAGCATTAGCAGAACAAGAGCTGAGAAAAATTAAGGTCATCGCAAAAGCTCTGCCCTCTCTGATGGTGCAAAGTCTCCCACGTTTCTGCTGGGGTTGGAGTTTTCAGTTTCACCTGTGTGGGTTTCAATCTTCCACCTTGGACCTGGAGGCGGTCTATTGCCACAAGATTCTGATGAAACTTCTGATTGATAAGCCATGGCCTGGCTAATGCCTAATGAATTGCCAAGGAATGTTTTGTAACACCATAATGCAGAGATGGTAAACAGTGTATGTGTTGCCACTCTGTCTTCCTAAGCCTGGGAAAGATATTGCTAATCAGCCTTGGCACTCTTGTCTGCTATGCTCAGATTCTGCCTCAGCAGTTCTCGAAACACAGCACGTCTGACAATCATCATCAACAAATTAGGCTTGGCACATGAAGTTAAACCTATTTGCCATCCCTGTGCTATCTCTAATTAACAAAAGATGTTGAGGAATTTTCCAAGCAACAAGCGTTTAAACTAAGTATGTGACCTACAAATAATGTATTTCTTATAATAAATATTCTATACAGAATAAATGCTCTCCTCTTCTAAGAACAATATAGATTTTTTTTACTAATAAAATAATTGCTGCCATTAACTGAGCTCTTACCAAGTGCTAAGAACACTTTATGTTTATTTCTGTTAATCCTTTCAACAACAGACATTGTAAGGCAAGTATTATTAAATTTCTTCAGTACTAATACTATTGATTGTAATAGCTCTAGGGAGTGTTGAGGGAGGGAAAAGGAAGGAAAAATTACAATGTTCCCATTGATTGCAGCATTCAACTCAATACCAAATGCGTTAAAATATACTTCTCAGAATTGGGCATTAAAATAATATTCACACCGTAGCAGCTGGGGAAATGGAGGCATGGAGAAACCAAGACTCTCTTCCTCAGCCACACAGATAGTAAGTTACAGAGGAGACACTTCTACCCACGTTGTCTCACTCCACTCAGATACCAACAAAGATAATACAGTCATTGGGCTATGATCCCAGATGATCTGCAGAAAGAGATCGGCCTCATCCCTCTGCAAGTTGAACACTATCAATAGTTAATGGACAGTTACAGTCAAATCTGGCCATGTGACTCATCACAGATACAAAGTGAACATCAGGTGTGTGGCTGCACTTTCTTTTTCCTTTAGTGACATACTGAAACAGCCCCCCAACACTGTCAAATACCCTCTGTCAATGAAGATTATAAAAAACAAAGCACAAAAAAAAAATCATCTGTGAGGAATATCATGCAGCCCTAGAAAATGATGGCTAAAAGTCAAATATATTTTTATTTGGAAAGACAAAACACTGCCGAAAGAAAAATCAGGATATAAAATTCAATCATACAGTTTAGTTTCTACCACATTTTTCAAAGAAAGGGAAAAAAAAGGTATACGTAGGAAAGATTGGTAGAAAATATAGAAAATCATTATGTTTGATAAATTACGAGTGATCGCTTTCATTTTTTTCCGCTTTTCTGTTTCCTGATGATTTTATTTGTATACAGAAATAACCTTTAAAAAACTCGACAGAAACTGAGTCTAGGAGTAGAACAGGGCTTGTCCAAGGTTCCATAGCCAAAGGTATGAGGTTAGGGTAAGACACTGAGTGATAGGATTCTGCCAGAAATGCAGGCTGCAGGCTGCTCTTTGTTACTTGTGACTCTAACCCAGCATTTCTCTTTCACAACACCCAGGTGTGCAAAGTCGACATCACTTTTCTACCCACAATAAATGTAGTGATCTTTCATAAAATCATAAAGACCAGAGTAAGATAATCCAAAAAGTATAACTAGGACACCTGATAGTAAATGGTTGTCCTTTTGCGATCTCCTGTCTTGACAACACTCCTTTAAAATTCAGATTGCAAAGATAAAAGGGGAGACAGGAGACAGGAAGAGAGCCTAATCGTGTCAAAATGTGCTCGAAGGCCGTGGCTTTTGTCAGACTTTTGTCTAATGAATAGATGCCGGGGAATAGGGGATATTTTCTTCCTTTTCTTTGAATTTGCAGTCCTTAGAAATGCATAAAATGTATACTTTGTCTAGTATTACTATCCTCGACTATTTTTCTAAGACTGTAATAGTAAAAAGATATTTTTTTAGTTTCTCAGTTACTCATTATTTAATGTTCTGGTTTTACTCTCCAGCCCCTCTTCCTATTTTCTCTTGTATTTCCTTGCTATGGACTTTCTTTTGATATTACGCAGCAATGTAACCTGACTACCCATGCTAAATTACTTCAATTACTCTCCAAGGTTTTTATTAGATATAGGAAAAGTCAGCTTTTCACTTTCTGCATATTTATGGGGCTACACTGATTTTTCAGAACCAGCAAGAGAGAAAGGGGAAAAAGGGAAGAGTTGAATAGAATAGTAAAGTGTTTCTTAAAAATTGGGTAGTAAGAATTAAAGAAACAGCTCCTATTTTCATCCTGATCCTTATGTAAGAGATCTCAAAAACGTCTATACATAACTCTGTCATGAACCCCAGTCAGTGATTATAACGCATTTTTTTATTTTTTTGAGACAGAGTCTCGCTCTGTCGCCCAGGCTGGAGTGCAGTGGTGCGATCTCAGCTCACTGCAACCTCCACCTCCTGGGTTCAAGCAATCCCCCTACCTCAGCCTCCCAAGTAGCTGGGATTACAGGCACATGCCACCACGCTCAGCTATTTTTTGTATTTTTAGTAGAGACAGGGTTTCACCATGTTGGCCAGACTGGTCTCAAACTCCTGACCTCTGGTGATCCACCAGCCTCGGCCTCCCAAAACGCTGGGGTTACAGGCGTGTGACTGTGCCTGACCCTATAACGCATTTTAAAATGGAGAATGGAGAAGTCATCTTTAATCCAGGGAATGATTCTCTGGTGCAGGGGTTAGGAATGGCAAGAGTGCTGCCAAATCTTTTTTGCAATCAACAGAGGAGGGGCTTGCAGTGGCTCTCAGAACTTCCTCGATACCAAAATGGCCTGAGTTGGGAGGCAGCCAGCACATGGAAGAGGGAAGGACCCAAGAACTGCAGAGCTGGCTGGCTCCTCTGGTCCTTCTCTAAGATGGAAAATAGGGCCCTGAAAACAGAGAGCAGAGCCCTTCCTCTCCTGATTGCCTCATATAATTGTCTCTTTTCCTTGGGGTATAAAGTAGACTGGTTTTGAATTTGGGTCCTGGAATTAGTGTGTGGCTTGGGCCAATCATTGAATGTCTCTTGCCTGTTTCTGCATCTGTAAAATGGGGATCATGGTTCATTGAGCACAGTTGCCAAAGGTGACCCTGGATCTCATTCAGGGTTGCCCAGACAACAAACCACCTTGAATGGGCCATCTTCCCCATCCTCCTGGGGGAGAGGCTGCACCCAAACTCAGTGGGATAAGGCAGTGCTGGAGATAGCTACCTTCTCATCTTTTGCAAACCCAGCTTTTCTCCATTAAAGCCAGTTATTTAAATTATGCCATGTGACATTTTGGAATTCATCACAAAACCTGGTGTGTGACTGACCAGATATGTCATACCTTGCACACAGGGATGGGAACGGTACATACCTGAGCTTCATGGGGCTGCTGAAGACTGAATGAGAAACACAGGGCTTCATAAATGTCCAGCATCAGGGTACCACTGACACAGTGTCGCTAATTCCACCTACCAACTGTATTATTATTTACTCAGTGGTTTTGAAAACCATTTGTTTTTTCTTTCTTTTCTTTCCTTTTTTTTTTTCTTTTTGTGACAGGGTCTCACTCTGTCACTCAGGCTGGAGCACAGTGGCGTGGTCATAGCTCACCATAACCTCAAACAACTGGGCTCAAGTGATCCTCCCACCTTAGCCTCCCAAGTCCTGGGACCACATGCATGTACCACCACACCTGACTATTTTTATTTTTTATTTTATTCATTTATTTATTTATTTTGGTAGAAACAGGGACCTTGCTATGTTGTCAAAGCTGGTCTTGAATTCTTGGGCTCAAGCAATCCTCTTGACTCAGCCTCCCTAAAAGCTGGGATTACAGGCATGAGCCACTGTGCCTGGCCCAATCATTTTTTTCAATGTCAAAAGATTTTTTGTTATTGTTAGCAATAATTTCATTTTTTATTTATTTTTTATTGCTGCATAATAGATGTACAGATCTTCAGGGTACATGTGATCATTTAATACATTCTTATAATCAAATCAGGGTAATTGGGATATCCATCACCTTAAATATTTATCTTTTCTGTATGCTAGGAACATTCTGATTATTCTCTTGTAGCTATTTTAAAATGTGCAATAGATTAATGTTAACTACAGTTGCCCTACTGGTCTATAGAACACCAGGTCATATTTCTTCTATCTATCTGTATATTTGTACCATTAATCAACTTCAAAAATTTTTAAGAGAAAGAAGTCGATTTGAAAAAAATAAAAATAAATTCAAAAGCTATATGTTAATAATAATAAGGCCTGTGGCTCCTAGATTTAGAGGGCAGCAGAAGGGCTCTAGGGTTGGATACCCAGATCCTAAGAGACAGCAGCAGGCAGGAGGGTAGCTGGGGGCAGCTGAATTGGCCTGGAGTATCAGGCAGAAAGAAGGGACTCCCTCTGCAAGGAAAAAGCTGGGCTAGGGACAGGAGTGAGAAGTGATGGAAGCTAAGATTGACATAAGTGAGCAGCAGCAGACAGACTCCTGAGAGGCAGGAGATGGCTGTAGCCTGGGGAGTGGGCTCAGGACTCCACTTGGGGAGGAACCAGGGGATAAGGATAGGAATTAACCAGGAGAGGAGACAGTGCTGAGGGCCAGGCAGCCAAAGAAGCCCTGAGGATGGTGGGGCTAAGGATTGGAAGGGGCTGGAGAGCAGCCTTGGCTGATTGAGCTGGGAGCTCTTGGATGTGCTGGGGGTGGAGGCTTAAGGTAGAGGAGAAGCAGATGAGGGGTTTCAGCCTCTCTCTAGCAAAAAATGCCCTCCCTTTGGGGGATAGACCATCAGCAAACGGCTCTGGCAGCACCCACCCAGCTGGGGAGACCCAGGGGGGCAAAAGTGGACCCTGAACTGTCTCCTACCCCTGTGCTGTATATTTCACTCTTTGAGACCTGGGCATTAATCCTGGGGGCCTCATTCTCAGCGAGGACTCAGTAAATACTAGACTTTATTCATCCCTCCCTGTCCTGTGTGATCTCATGCCCCTATGCCCAGCAGAATGGATTAGCCACTCCACCTGACTCAGCAGGCGAGCCCTTTGCTCACGCCTCTGTTATTGCACTTTCCTTGGTGTATGGTTCGTTATTTGCTTTAAGACTGATGTCCAGTCCCATGGGGAACAGAAGCCACATGGGGCCGATATTAGCTCAGCCTCTGCTTCGCATAGCAGGGACTTGTACATCTAAAACACTTTTTTTTAACCTAAATAAGTTAGGAGTCCCATTAAACCTTTGAGAAGAACTAAAGCACAAATTGTAATCCAACTGAATCCAGCTTGCCAACTGAAAAACCACCGTGGTGGGCAAAAACCACAATTGGCAAGATTATGTTTCATTTAAAATAAAGTGTAAGAACCACGACGAGATATCACCTCACACCAGTTAGAATGCTCACTATCGAAAAAGCAGAAGACAACAAACAGGATGTGGAGAAACTGGAACCTTTGTGCACTGTTGGTGGAAAGGCAAAGTGGTATAGCTGCTACGGAAAACAGTATGGAGGTTCCTCCAAAAATGAAAAATTAAACTACCAGATGATCCAGCAATCCCACTTCTGGGTATTTATCCAAAAGAATTGAGGATCTCAAAGAGATATGTGCACTCCTGTGTTCATGGAGGCATTCTTCGCAACAGCCAAGAGGTGGAAACGTTCATCAACAGATTAATGGATCAAGAAAATGTGGTCTCTGCATACACAGTGGAATACTATTCAGCCTTTAAAACAAAGGGCACTCTGAACATGCAATGACATGGATGGATCTTGAGGACATTATGCTAAGTGAAATAAGCCAGTCACAGAAGGACGAATACTGCCGGATTCCACTTACATGAGCCATCTAAGTAGTCAAACTCACAGAAGCAGAGAGTAGAATGGTGGTTGCCAGTAACTGGGAGAAGGGGAGGGAAATAGGGAGCTGATGTTCAACTGGTTTAAAATTTAAATTATGCAAGATGAATAAATCCTAGGGATCTGTTGTGTAACGTTGTGCCTAGAGATGATAGTACTGTATTGTGCGCTTAAAAATCTATTAAGAGAACAGTTACCATGTTAAGTGTTCTTACCACAATAAAACAAAAAAATAGATAAAAGACAAAAAATAAAATCAAGAGTAGAAGAAAAACAAATATTAAAGTGGTATAAAATATATTTTTAAGTAGGGGCTGGGCGCGGTGGTTCACGCCTATAATCCCAGCACTTTGGGAGGCCAAGGTGGGTGGATTACTTGAGGTCAGGAGTTTGAGACCAGCCTGGCCAGCATGGTGAAACCTCATCTCTACTAAAAAATAAAAAAAATTAGCCAGGCATGGTGGCAGGTGCCTGTAATCCCAGCTACTCAGGAGGCTGAGGCAGGAGAATCACTTAAACCCGGGAGGCGGAGGTTGCAGTGAGCTGAGATTATGCCATTGCACTCTGGCCTGGGCAGCAAGAGTGGAAACTCCATCTAAAAAATAGATAGATAGATAGATAGATAGATAGATAGATAGATAGATAGATAGATAGATATGTAAATCTGGTAGTTTTATATATATATATGTAAATCTGGTAGAAAGATAGACAGATAGATAGATAGATAGATAGATAGATAGATAGATAGATAGATTTTTTTAAGTAAATAAAAATCTGTAAGGCACATACCTCTAAAGTAAACAAGACTCATCTGCTTTTGAACAGAAACCAATCCCAGGTCTGAATTTGCATTGCGGCCACCCATGGCCTGCAGAGGAGAAGTCACTGAGATGCACACAGGCCCTCTTTACAGTTTCCAGACAAGACTTTCCTCACTTGGAATATAATGTCTTTTTCACTGGCAGCCTTCCTCATTTTGTTTTAGCAAGCTTAGCAAAACCTTTATATACACACCTCTTTGG
Source organism: Homo sapiens (assembly GCF_000001405.40). Lineage (NCBI taxonomy): Eukaryota > Metazoa > Chordata > Mammalia > Primates > Hominidae > Homo > Homo sapiens. Next base: position 36,569,202 of record NC_000007.14, on the reverse strand, counting down.
GGTTGTTTTGTTTTCAGAAATTCAAAAGTGCCTAACGGCATGTTTTCCTGGGACCAGTCTTCTGTTCATACAGTGAGGGGCCTCCCCTCTCTGTTCGCCCACTTACAGGGAGGGCAGAGAGCAGAGGACTCACATGAAGTGTCTGGATATGAAAAAAAATAATTGAGAATTTTAACACTTCATGGAAGTGTCTGTGTTTACAGCCTCACCTGCCCCTCCTCCCATCCCCTTGTGCAGACCACCTTTGGTCTGGAACCTCATAGGCTGCCCCCCATCCCCAACCCACACTCTGAAAAAACCTCATCTTGCTTGTTCTCTTCTTTGGACTTTGGTTAAACCATCTGCAAAATGGGAGAGAATCTGGCAGACCTAGAGAAATTAGAAAAGGGGCACAATTCAGGCCAGCATATGCAATTTCATATTCAGGTCAGGAAGGCTAAGGAGAGAAGAAAGAGAAGGGGAGGGGAGAAGAGAAACGTGGGCAGAGAAGGGGTGAAGAAAGAGTTTCTGAAGGGGATTGAGGAGGGAGGCCCTGGAGCAGAATCAGAGTGAAGGGAAACCCCAGAAGAGAGGGGAACTGGGTGTGCATGGCAGTTATGCTATGAGCACAGCTCAGTACTCCCTCTGGATGATTGTTGGACTGTGTTTTCTCAACACAGCACTGCTCTGAGAATGAACCACAGGAGAAAGCAGGACAATGACTTAGGTGCCCAATGGGTCAGAAAGGCTTGCAAGAGTGAGGAACAGCTCCAGAGAGTTGACCAGGCCCTGGCTGTTGAGAGGCACCAAAATATTTCCCTGCAAAATGTGCCTTTTTGGCATAAGGATTATTTTGAGCTAAAGGCCATTGAGAACCAGCAGAGGCAAGGACAGTTCTTCTTTTATAAAGGAAATTTACATTTGTAAAAGGTATCTCCCGCTCCCTGTACCAGGAAGAGAAGGACTCTTAACACCTGTTATCAGTGGGGAAGGCACCTTACTCTTAAACTTAAATCTGCATAACAAACCTCATTAAACAACCCCTATTTACCATATTTTTCCTCCTTACCTTCCCATAACTTGCCTCCCCCACTCAGAAGCCCAAATCCCTTTTTCTTTAGCCTAAGATGATTTATATAAACCCAAGTTCTAACTGCCCCTTTGGGTTACACATCGTAGGATGGTCTCATGTGTACACGTGCAATGCACATATTAATAAACTTCTATTTCTTTTCTCTTGTGAATCTGCCTTTAGCCACTCTAATGTACAGGGCCCCAGCTGCAAAGCCTAAGCTGGGTAAAGGAAAGGATTCTTTTTCCTCCCCTACAGTGTCTAGCAGAAGGAGAGATGCCGCCTCTGGGAGATATCCTAACAAGAGTAGACGTGAGGGAGCAGTCCATCCTGCTGCTGACCTAAAGAAACCTGACGGAAAAAAATTGCTTCCTCAGTAGGCAAGAGAATTGTCAAAGGAACTTGCCCTGGGCACAAAAACACCACTATTCGGGCCTTACTCCAAGCCAGAGAGAACAGGTTGATGTCCTCACAGGCCCTAGACGGTTAATCATATGTTTTACCCACCAGTATTGCCAGGAACCATTGTTAAGGGCCCAATTCTCCAGGGCTATCCGTTAGCAGAATGTGTGAATTTAGCTGGAGAGTTGTTTCAGGTTGCTATTATTACTTTTATAGATTTTTAGCTAATACTAAGTATCTTCTCTAAGCCAGACACTCCGTTAAGTACTTTATATACTCCATCTTCATTTAATTCACAGAGCAACTCCATTTTACAGTTGAGGAAACTGAGGCTCACAAAGGTTAAGTAACTTGCCCAAGGTCCTTTAGCTTGTCAGGGGTATACCTTAAGCCCTGTCTGTCTCATACTAAAGGCCTTGCTCTCACCCATGCCATACTGTCCGCTATTTGGGTTCTGGCTTCTAAAATCACTATTCTGCTGCCTCAGACTGTTAGCAGCAGGGAATCCATATGAGCCTGCAGCAACCTCAATTCTTGCCTCCTCAGAAGAAAGAATTCGATTGGGGGCATTGGGCAGATGGAGAGAAAGAGACACGTTTTAGAGCAGGAGTGAAAATTTATTTAAGTTTTAGAGCAGTGGCCAGGCACGGTGGCTCACGCCTGTAATTCCAGCACTTTGAGAGGCCGAGGTGGGTGCATCACTTGAGATCAGGAGTTCAAGACCACCCTGGCCAACATGGTGAAGCCCCGTCTGTACTAAAAAAATACAAAAAATTAGACAGGCTTGGTGGTGCTTGCCTGTAATCCCAGCTATTCAGAGACTTAGCAGGAGAATCGCTGGAACCCGGGAGGCAGAAGTTGCAGTGAGCCGAGATCACTGCACGTATGCACAGTGGTCTGCCAGCCCTTGAGAGGGGGCTCTGCGCAGTGTGTTCACTGAAGTTACACGCATGCTTACGTGAGGCATTTTTCCCTTACTAGTCAAGTGGTCCTGGAGGAAGGTCATATATCAGTTACATGCCACCATGTTGCCTCTCAGTGTGCATGCTTGAGTCCACTCACCCGACTCCTGAGATCCTGTGGGGAAGCTGCTAATCACCAGCTTCAGGTGTTTTCTATCTATTGGGAGCTGGCTTTTCCCTGGTGCTGGCTGTGACCAATTATTATTTTAGAGAGATGGTCACCTGACATTCCTGGGGGCAGGAGGCCTCACCTGCCCCACTCATGTCTGACTAGCTACCTACTCTGACAAGACAGCAAACACCTGTTCTGGAGTATGATGAATGTCAGAATTAAATACCTGAACCCACGGAATCCAGCCCTCTGCCAGTCCTCATTATCAAAAGTGGCCTTCTTGAAAAGAGATAGAGGCAAAAAAAAAAAAAAAAAAGTTAAGGATGAAGAGACAAACTATAAATGAGTATTAATCCAGGCTTAGCTGAATTCAGTTACACGTAGAAGGACTTATTTTTATAACACAGTCCCCACCCCACCATGATCTCTATTATGGAACAAAATAGGTTTTGTACCTTTAACTAGCTAACTGAGCTTCTGCTATTGTATTCTTGCCAAAAATTGCATAACCTGAATGTAATCATGAGGAAACATAATACAAACAAAAATTGAGGAACATTTTACCAAAAAAAAAAAAAAAAGCCAGTATTACTTAAAAGCGTCAAGGTCATGAAAGACAAAGAAAGACTAAGCAATCAGTTTAGATTAAAAGGATACTAAGGAGATGTGATAGCTGAATACAGTTTGTGATCCTAAATTAGATCCTAGCCCAGAACACGGTCATTAGTGGAACAGTTAGTGAAATTTAAATAAGGTCTATAGATCAGGCAATAGTGTTATTGTGGATTTCATGATTGTCCTCATTGTTCTATAATTATTGAAGATGTTCACATTTGGCCAGGCACGGTGTCTCATGCCTGTAATCTCAACACATTGGGAAGCCGAAGCAGGTAGGATTGCATGTTCTCAGGAGTTCAAGACAAGTCTGCGCATAGCGAGATCCCTCTCTACTAAAAATTTAAATAAAAAAAAAAAATCAGCCAGTTGTGGTGGCACACACCTATAGTCCCAGCTACTCAGGAGGCTAAGGTGGAAGGATCACTTGAGCCCCAGAGGTAGAGCCTACAGTGAGCCGTGTTTGCGCCACTGCACCCCAACCTGAGCCACAAAGTGAGACCCTGTCTCAAAAAAAAAAAAAAGAGATGTTTACATATAGATAATCTGGGTGAAGGCATGTATAAATCCTTTGTTCTACTTTTGCAACTTTTTGGAAATCATTTCAAAATGAAAATTTTGAAGTAATTTTTTAAAAGCCGCAGAAAAGAGTATTGGAAAGAAGCAAAGAAGTCACCTTTGTCAAGCTCAAGCAGGCACTCAGTAAATATCTGGTGAGCCCAACTACTGGGTTGAGTATTTGGTTTCAACCCAAACCTTGAGAGGATAATGACAAAAATTATGTATAACAAACAATGAGGACATTTCTGTTTGCAGAGCCTTGATACAGAGTGGTGACAGCAACAGATGACAGAGGTGACAGAGACAGATTCTGGTACCAATTTTTGAGATGCTTCATATAAAAAGGCAAATGCTTATAGATATACTCAATGCCTAGAGCATCAAAACCTGCTGTTTCTCCTAAGGACAAAATGCATCTCCAAGATACAGTGTTTAATCACTAGAAACTTTTAAAAGAGAAAGAATTCAATATGACATATCTCATTTAGAAATCACTCTGTTATTACTCATGTATTTATTATTTATTATTCCCATTTTTAATACTTTCAAGGTTTTGAAATTTAAAGGTTCGTTAAATAATGGAGACATTCTGATTCAAATGGGACTATTTCTTAGGACTTACTCATGCAACTCTTCCTGGCTTACTGTTTCATGCAAACCATCTAGATAGGAGCAAGGCATGACAGTGATTGTAATGTGAAGAGTGTGCGCTTTTGATGCATCTGTTTTGTCAAGATTTTTATCCTGCACTGCTTGAAACAGCACAACTACAGAGGGAAAATTCAGAAGCAAATGCCTTACATGTTTTTAATGTCATTGGCAATGGCCAGGGCTCCTGAAGTCCTAGCGGGATGTCCTTTAAACAGATGTCTTTTGTTTAGGGCTTGAGATAAAGGACATCAGGGAAAGTTATCTGCTGCTTGTACTGATAGCTTGAGTGAGCTGTCATTTCTATCAGTTCCAAAGCATCCTGGGATGAGGCTTTTACCTCTGGTCTTCTCTTTCACTTTCCTTCTGCTCATTTTCCACTTGACTTTGCCCCACCACTCCCCTCCTCTCCTTTCTCTCCAATATTGCAATAGGTGCTAGAAATAGAAAGATGAGAAAGACAAAGCCCCCACCTTCAAGGAGATCATCATCAAATGGGAAACAAAGACAAAAAGGGAATCATTGTGTTTCTGGTGAAAGGGCAGTGAAATAAAGGCAAGTTGAGGCCTCTGGACATAAGAAGCACTTAACTCTGTCTGTAGAAGTAGGGGAAGACTTTACATACGAGTTAAAATTTGAGCTGAGAGCCCTGAAGAAATAAATAGGAATTCAAAAAGGACAGGGAGATGGTGACTCAGAGCTGGGAGGCTCTGAGGGGTAAACATCTTTGAGGAAGAGGGAGAGAGAAGTTGGACATGGCTGAAAGATATTTGTGGGGCTATGTCAGGCTTTGAAACTGGAGGCAGATCACAGCTACTGTGGGAAGGCTATTATTATGCATCCTTTTAAAAATCTATGTTTTAGAGAATCATTTAGCTGAAATTCAGAGCCACACTTGTGAATCTGAAAGCATTTACAGTAGTAGAAACTGCCACAACAAACAATTGTTAAGTGCCTACTATTTTGAGCTCAAGGTCAATAGAGTAGTCTCAATGTTTCTGCCTATTGCAAGCAAATATTTTTAGAGAAGAAAAAGAATTTAAATTTCTCATGATGGATTTTTTTAATGGATTGTACAAATCATTCTCCTGAAACTACCTCTAAATCATAAAAATAAAAGCAAAATCTGCAATATTTAAAATTCTAACTCGTGTTCAAAAATGTTAATAGATGTATTTTAGGACAGTGTATGATACAGTATTTTCCAAGAACTTTTCATACTCTTTTTAACAGATTCCAGTTTCTGGTTTCAAGTACAATGGAGTAAACATACCCCACCCTGTCTCTCCCACTGAAAATAGCTGTAAAACCTGGACAGAGTGTATGGAATAGCTGGAGCACTCTGGAAATTAAATAGCAGGCCAAGTGAAGAAGAAAATCAGAATTAGGGCCACCACCAAATGAGCAGTGAGGTTAGCATTATGCTATCCTCTGGTATCTTCCAACCTGGACTCAAGGCAGCCCAAAACCCAGAAGCAGCACAGACAGGTCACTTCAAGAAGAAACCCTCTAGTTCTCACTCTAGATCTGGGAAAGTGGTCTCCTGGCAGTGACAGCAGAAATAGTGGGGACATACAGGTGCCTAGAATTCCAAAGAGGTTTGAGGGAGACTGCCTCTTCACTGGAATAGTTGTGGTCCCAGGAAGGTGGGGCAAACTCCCATTGCCTTTTTTTTTTTTTTTTTTTTTTTTTTTTTTTTTTTTTGAGACGGAGTTTCATTCTTGTTGCACAGGCTGGAGTGCAGTGGCACGATCTCGGCTCACTGCAACCTCCGCCTTCTGGTTTCAAGTGATTCTCCTGCCTCAGCCTCCTGAGTAGCTGGGATTACAGGCGCCTGCCACCACGCCTGGCTAATTTTTGTATTTTTAGTAGAGATGGGGTTTCACCATGTTGGCCAGGTTGGTCTCGAACTCCTGACTTCATGATCTGCCTGCCTTGGCCTCCCAAAGTGCTGGGATTACAGGTGTGAGCCACCGCGTCTGGCCTGCCTTTTTTCTTATTCTGTTCTCCCATCACTTGGGGTTACCATGAGTGAATTTTTAGGAAGAGCACAGCAGAGTGGAGCACTAAAGCCCCGACTTTCTGGCTACAGGACCAAATTGCGGAGTCCAGGGAACCAAAAAGTACTAGAGAGATCATGGGAAGGGAGGATCTTTGGAAACCAACTCCGTAAAGGTGTTTCTGAATATGCATTTATGGAGGGATAACCAATGCTGGGATTATGTGAAACCTTTCTCTTCTTTCAATGCCCTGCACCTTATTTAAAAGAAACTGGATGAATCAGACTTAAAGGCCTGTGTGGACCCTTTTCTTCTCGTCATTGGAGACAGGTGGGCTCTCCATTTGGACCATCTTGACAAATAAATAAAATGTTCCTATTCCAAGGTCAAACCTCTTTCATTTCTCCAAACTATGATCGCAGGGATCAGAATATAGACTTCTTAAGGGTAAAGTGCCAGTTCTTGAAATGTTTGCCTTACTTTGCCACATCCCACAGGCTAGGAGCTATCTATCTTTTCTTGCTGCAGTCCGTATTTTCTCTAATGATAACAGCAGCAGCAACAGCAAGCAGCTGGGGAGAAGTCTATGTACAGGGGAAGAAAGACAATAGAGATGGGGAAGGAGAGAGACACAAAATGTTGATGAGTCTGGCAAAAGGATAACAAAACAACAGCAAAAGGAAATTAACAAGAAACAGTGACATGAGAATTGCATAAACTAATTACATAATCTCAAAAAACAGGTTTCTGAAGGGAAATAGAAATAGTGGAAGGCGCAAGAACTTTGGAGCAAAGAGAATTCTAGGCTCATAGTATGGACACCTACTATAAAAAATAGACATTTGGGTAAAGAAGAACAGACAAGTCCTCACTCCTTGGGTAGCTGTTTGTGATTGCTTTTCAAAAATTTTTCACAGCCAATTGCCGTTGGTCTCGCATCCTTGTCCTGAGTGGCAAAGGGACCCAGGGGTGTGAGCGCAGGAAGGGATGCTCATGTGGCATGTCACAACAGGCTTTCATTTTCATTTTCCTCAAGCTCTGTGGGTGTTCTGCACCTCAGATTCCCAGCTGTACCCTAGATAATGAAGACAAGTGTTGCTCTGACCTGGTCCTTTAATTATTTTTTCCCCACTTATGGCTTGAGCTTTCATTAGTTTTCATTTCTCATTAAGAGAAAAATAAAAGAATGAGAATTAAACATCTCCTGATCTATTATCTCACTGAAAATAAGAAGCCAGGAGTCACCGGACTGGAACTGAATGAAGGGCCCAGCCGATGCGTGTGCCACCGCAAGATCAACACAGCGCATGGGGGCTGTGCTCCTTCTCTTCTGTCCTCTGGAGGACAACAGGGAGCACTCACTCCCAGAAAGACTGGAGCCCTTGTACTGAGGACTCAGTGTTATGAAATCTGGCACCTTCCCTGAATAGAGATAATAGGCCTCAAATCAATTGGCTTTTCCTGTTTTCGAGCATTGGGGTTGGATTTTCACTAATCTCTTAAAATTGTCATCTGGGCATGGTGGCTCATGCCTGTAATCCCAGCACTTTGGGAGGCGAAGGCAGGTGGATTACCTGAGGTTAGGAGCTCAAGACCAGCCTGGGAAACATGATGAAACCCCATCTCTACTAAAAATACAAAAATTAGCTGGGCATGCTGGTGGGTGCTGGTAATCCCAGCTACATGGGAGGCTGAGGCAGGAGAATCCCTTGAACCTGGGAGGTGGAGGTTGCAGTGAGCCAAGATCCGCCACTGCACTCCAGCCTGGGGGATAGAGTGAGACTCCGTCTCAAAAAAAAAAAAAAAAAAAAGTTCCCAGTGCTCAATTATGTGTCTACCCCCATAGATACTATTCAGAAAGTATTGAGGCTGTGTCCACCTCATCTGTTAATCCCTGCTTTATGGCAGGCACATGCCAGTGCTCAAGAAATGGATGGAGTAGGTAAAGGAACAAAATGCACACAGAAATGGACTGATTACTCCTAATTTATATGGCTATGTGCATTTTAATAATTCCTAGGCAGCATTTCCCTTGAGAAGTAAAGCAAGAAGAGGATGCCCACTCTCATCACTCCTGTTCAGCATAGTACTGGAAGTCCTTGCCAGAGCAATCAGGCAAAAGAAAGATATAAAAAGCATCCAAATAAGAAAAGAAGAAGTCAAACCGTCTCTCTTCACTACAATATGATTCTTACACCTAGAAAACCCTAAAGACTACACTAAAAGGCTCCTGGAACTGATAAACAACTTTAGCAAAGTTTCAGGGTACAAAATCAATGTACAAAAATCAGTAAAATGTCTATATATCTATAACATTCAAGCTGAGAGCCAAATCAGGAACATAATCCCATTTACAATATCCCAAGAAAATAAAATACCTAGGAATACATCTAACCAAGGAGGTCAAAGACCTCTACAAGGAGAACTAAAAAACGTTGCTGGAAGAAATCATGGATGACACAAAACAAATGGAAAAATATTCCATGTTCCTGAATTGGAAGAATCAATATTGTTAAAATGGCCATACTGCCCAAAGCAATCTATAGATCCAGTGCTATTTTTATCAAGCTACCAATATCATTTTTCACAGAATTATAAAAAAACTATTCTAAAATTCATATGGAACCAAAAAAAAGCCTGAATAGACAAAGCAATCCTAAGCAAAAAGAATAAAGCTAGAGGCATCACATTACCCAACTTCAAACTATACTATAAGGCTACAGTGACCAAAACGCATGGTACTGGTTCAAAAACAGACACACAGACCAATGGTACAGAACAGAGAGTCCAGAAATAAGATAGCACACCTACAGCCATCTGACCATCAACAAAGTCAACAAAAATTGGCAATAGGGAAAGGACTCCCTGTTCAATAAATGATGTGGGGATAGCTGACAAGCCATAGGCAGAAGAATAAAATTGGACCCCTATCTTTCACCATATACAAAAATTGACTCAAATGGATTAAAGAATTAAATGTAAGACCTTAAGTATAAGAATCCTAGAAGAAAACCTAGGAAACACCATTCTAGACATTGGTCTTGGGAAAAAAATTATGACTAAGTCTTCAAAAGCAATTGCAACAAAAACAAAAATTGACAAGTGGGACCTAATTAAAGAGCTTCTGGACAGCAAAAGAAACCATCAACAGAGTAAACAGACAACCTACAAAATATTCACAAATGATGCATCCAATCAAGGTCGAATATCCAGAATCTGTAAGGAATTTAAACAATTGAACAAGCAAAAACCAAATAACCCCATTAAAAAAATGGGCAAAAGACATGAACAGATACTTCTCAAAAGAAGACATATAAGCAGCCAACAAGCATATGAAAAAAGACACAACATCACTAATCATCAGAGAAATGCAAATCAAAACCACAATGAAATACCATCTCACACCAGTCAGAATGGCTATTATTACAAAGTCAGAAAACAACAGATGCTGACATGGCTGCAGAGAAAAAGGAATGGTTATACGCTACTGGTGGGAATGTAAATTAGTTCAGCCACTGTGGAAAGCAGTTTGGAGATTTCTCAAAGAACTTTGAGAACTACCATTTGACCCAGCAATCCTGTTACTGGGTATATACCCAAAAGAAAATCAATTATTCTACCAAAAGGGCATATGTACCCATATATTCATCACAACACTATTCACAATAGCAAAGACATGGAATCAACCTAGATGCCCATAACAGTGGATTGAATAAAGAAAATGTGGGAGGAGCCAAGATGGCTGAATAGGAACAGCTCTGGTCTACAGCTGCCAGCGTGAGTGACACAGAAGATGGGTGATTTCTGCATTTCCATCTGAGGTACCGGGTTCATCTCACTAGGGAGTGCCAGACAGTGGGTGCAGGACAGTGGGTGCAGCGCACCATGTGCGAGCCAAAACAGGGCGAGGCATTGCCTCACTCGGGAAGTGCAAGGGGTCAAGGAGTTCCCTTTCCTGGTCAAGGAAGTGGGTGACAGACGGCACCTGGAAAATCGGGTCACTCCCACCCCAATACTGTGCTTTTCCAACGGGCTTAGGAAACAGCGCACCAGGAGATTATATCCTGCACATGGCTCAGAGGGTCCTATGCCCACGGAGTCTCGCTGATTGCTAGCACAGCAGTCTGAGATCAAACTGCAAGGCAGCAGCGAGGCTGGGGGAGGGGCTCCCGCCATTGCCCAGGCTTGCTTAGGTAAACAAAGCAGCTGGGAAGCTCGAACTGGGTGGAGCCCACCACAGCTCAAGGAGGCCTGCTGGCCTCTGTAGGCTCCACCTCTGGGGGCAGGGCACAGACAAACAAAAAGACAGCAGTAACCTCTGCAGACTTAAATGTCTTTGAAGAGAGCAGTGGTTCTCCCAGCACACAGCTGGAGATCTGAGAACAGGCAGACTGCCTCCTCAAGTAGGTCCCTGACCCCTGACCCCCGAGCAGCCTAACTGGGAGGCACCCCCCAGTAGGGGCAAACTGACACCTCACACGGCCGGGTACTCCTCTGAGACAAAACTTCCAGAGGAACGATCAGACAGCAGCATCCACCATTCACGAAAATCCACTGTTCTGCAGACACTGCTGCTGATACCCAGGCAAACAGGGTCTGGAGTGGACTTCTAGCAAACTCCAACAGACCTGCAGCTGAGGGTCCTGTCTGTTAGAAGGAAAACTAACAAACAGAAAGGACATCCACACCAAAAACCCATCTGTACATCACCATCATCAAAGACCAAAAGTAGATAAAACCACAAAGATGGGGAAAAAACAGAGCAGAAATACTGGAAACTCTAAAAAGCAGAGCGCCTCTCCTCCTCCAAAGGAACACAGCTCCTCACCAGCAATGGAACAAAGCTGGACGGAGAATGACTTTGACGAGTTGAGAGAAGAAGGCTTCAGACGATCAAACTACTCCGAGCTACAGGAGGAAATTCAAACCAAAGGCAAAGAAGTTGAAAACTTTGAAAAAAATTTAGACGAATGTATAACTAGAATAACCAATACAGAGAAGTGCTTAAAGGAGCTGATGGAGCTGAAAGCCAAGGCTCGAGAACTACGTGAAGAATGCAGAAGCCTCAGGAGCCGATGCAATCAACTGGAAGAAAGGGTATCAGCGATGGAAGATGAAATGAATGAAATGAAGCAAGAAGGGAAGTTTAGAGAAAAAAGAATAAAAAGAAACGAACAAAGCCTCCAAGAAATATGGGACTATGTGAAAAGACCAAATCTACGTCTGATTGGTGTACCTGAAAGTGACAGGGAGAATGGAACCAAGTTGGAAAACACTCTACAGGATATTATCCAGGAGAACTTCCCCAATCTAGCAAGGCAGGCCAACATTCAGATTCAGGAAATACAGAGAACACCACAAAGATACTCCTCGAGAAGAGCAACTCCAAGACACATAATTGTCAGATTCACCAAAGTTGAAATGAAGGAAAAAATGTTAAGGGCAGCCAGAGAGAAAGGTCGGGTTACCCACAAAGAGAAGCACATCAGACTAACAGCTGATCTCTCAGCAGAAACTCTACAAGCCAGAGGAGAGTGGGGGCCAATATTCAACATTCTTAAAGAAAAGAATTTTCAACCCAGAATTTCATATCCAGCCAAACTAAGCTTCATAAGTGAAGGAGAAATAAAATCCTTTACAGATAAGCAAATGCTGAGAGATTTTGTCACCACCAGGCCTGCCCTAAAAGAGCTCCTGAAAGAAGCACTAAACATGGAAAGGCACAACTGGTACCAGCTGCTGCAAAATCATGCCAAAATGTAAAGACCATTGAGACTAGGAAGAAACTGCATCAACTAACGAGCAAAATAACCAGCTAATATCATAATGACAGGATCAAATTCACACATAACAATATTAACTTTAAATGTAAATGGACTAAATGCTCCAATTAAAAGACACAGACTGGCAAATTGGATAAAGAGTCAAGAGCCATCAGTGTGCTGTATTCAGGAAACCCATCTCACGTGCAGAGACACACATAGGCTCAAAATAAAAGGATGGAGGAAGATCTACCAAGCAAATGGAAAACAAAAAAAGGCAGGGGTTGCAATCCTAGTCTCTGATAAAACAGACTTTAAACCAACAAAGATCAAAAGAGACAAAGAAGGCCATTACATAATGGTAAAGGGATCAATTCAACAAGAAGAGCTAACTATCCTAAATATATATGCACCCAATACAGGAGCACCCAGATTCATAAAGCAAGTCCTGAGTGACCTACAAAGAGACTTAGACTCCCACACAATAATAATGGGAGACTTTAACACCCCACTGTCAACATTAGACAGATCAATGAGACAGAAAGTTAACAAGGATACCCAGGAATTGAACTCAGCTCTGCACCAAGTGGACCTAATAAACATCTACAGAACTCTCCACCCCAAATCAGCAGAATATACATTTTTTTCATCACCACACCACACCTATTCCAAAATTGACCACATAGTTGGAAGTAAAGCTCTCCTCAGCAAATGGAAAAGAACAGAAATTATAACAAACTGTCTCTCAGACCACAGTGCAAACAAACCAGAACTCAGGATTAAGAAACTCACTCAAAACCGCTCAACTACATGGAAACTGAACAACCTGCTTCTGAATGACTACTGGGTACATAACGAAATGAAGGCAGAAATAAAGATGTTCTTTGAAACCAACGAGAACAAAGACACAACATACCAGAATCTCTGGGACACATTAAAAGCAGTGTGTAGAGGGAAATTTATAGCACTAAATGTCCACAAGAGAAAGCAGGAAAGATCCAAAATTGACACCCTAACATCACAATTAAAAGAACTAGAAAAACAAGAGCAAACACATTCAAAAGCTAGCAGAAGGCAAGAAATAACTAAAATCAGAGCAGAACTGAAGGAAATAGAGACACAAAAAACCCTTCAAAAAATCAATGAATCCAGGAGCTGGTTTTTGAAAGGATCAACAAAATTGATAGACCGCTAGCAAGACTAATAAGGAAAAAAGAGAGAAGAATCAAATAGACGCAATAAAAAACGATAAAGGGGATATCACCACCGATCCCACAGAAATACAAACTACCATCAGAGATTACTACAAACACCTCTACGCAAATAAACTAGAAAATCTAGAAGAAATGGATAAATTCCTTGACACATACGCTCTCCCAAGACTAAACCAGGAAGAAGTTGAATCTCTGAATAGACCAATAACAGGAGCTGAAATTGTGGCAATAATCAATAGCTTACCAACCAAAAAGAGTCCAGGACCAGATGGATTCACAGCCGAATTCTACCAGAGGTACAAGGAGGAACTGGTACCATTCCTTCTGAAACTATTCCAATCAATAGAAAAAGAGGGAATCCTCCCTAACTCATTTTATGAGGCCAGCATCATCCTGCTACCAAAGCCAGGCAGAAACACAACCAAAAAAGAGAATTTTAGACCAATATCCTTGATGAACATTGATGCAAAAATCCTCAATAAAATACTGGCAGACCGAATCCAGCAGCACATCAAAAAGCTTATCCACCATGATCAAGTGGGCTTCATCCCTGGGATGCAAGGCTGGTTCAGTATGCGCAAGTCAATAAATGTAATCCAGCATATAAACAGAACCAAAGACAAAAACCACATGATTATCTCAATAGATGCAGAAAAGGCCTTTGACAAAATTCAACAACCCTTCATGCTAAAAACTCTCAATAAATTAGGTATTGATGGGATGTATCTCAAAATAATAAGAGCTATCTATGACAAACCCACAGCCAATATCATACTGAATGGGCAAAAACTGGAAGCATTCCCTTTGAAAACTGGCACAAGACAGGGATGCCCTCTCTCACCACTCCTATTCAACATAGTGTTGGAAGTTCTGGCCAGGGCAATTAGGCAGGAGAAGGAAATAAAGGGTATTCAATTAGGAAAAGAGGAAGTCAAATTGTCCCTGTTTGCAGACGACATGATTGTATATCTAGAAAACCCCATTGTCTCAGCCCAAAATCTCCTTAAGCTGATAAGCAACTTCAGCAAAGTTTCAGCATACAAAATCAATGTACAAAAATCACAAGCATTCTTATACACCAATAACAGACAAACAGAGAGCCAAATCATGAGTGAACTCCCATTCACAATTGCTTCAAAGAGAATAAAATACTTAGGAATCCAACTTACAAGGGACGTGAAGGACCTCTTCAAGGAGAACTACAAACCACTGCTCAATGAAATAAAAGAGGATACAAACAAATGGAAGAACATTCCATGCTCATGGGTAGGAAGAATCAATATTGTGAAAATGGCCATACTGCCCAAGGCAATTTGTAGATTCAATGCCATCGCCATCAAGCTACCAATGACTTTCTTCACAGAATTGGAAAAAACTACTTTAAAGTTCATATGGAACCAAAAAAGAGCCCACATCACCAAGTCAAACCTAAGCCAAAAGAACAAAGCTGGAGGCATCATGCTACCTGACTTCAAACTATACTACAAGGCTACAGTAACCAAAACAGCATGGTACTGGTACCAAAACAGAGATATAGATCAATGGAACAGAACAGAGCCTTCAGAAATAACACCGCATATCTACAACTATCTGATCTTTGACAAACCTGAGAAAAACAAGCAATGGGGAAAGGACTCCCTATTTAATAAATGGTGCTGGGAAAACTGGCTAGCCATATGCAGAAAGCTGAAACTGGATCCCTTCCTTACACCTTATACAAAAATTAATTCAAGATGGATTAAAGACTTAAACATTAGACCTAAAACCATAAAAACCCTAAATGAAAACCTAGGCATTACCATTCATGACATAGGCATGGGCAAGGACTTCATGTCTAAAACACCAAAAGCAATGGCAACAAAAGCCAAAATTGACAAATGGGATCTAATTAAACTAAAGAGCTTCTGCACAGCAAAAGAAACTACCATCAGAGTGAACAGGCAACCTACAAAATGGGAGAAAATTTTCCCAACCTACTCATCTGACAAAGGGCTAATATCCAGAATCTACAATGAACTCAAACAAATTTACAAGAAAAAACAAACAACCCCATGAAAAAGTGGGCAAAGGATATGAACAGACACTTCTCAAAAGAAGACACTTATGCAGCCAAAAGACAGATGAAAAAATGCTCATCACTGACCATCAGAGAAATGCAAATCAAAACCACAATGAGATACCATCTCACACCAGTTAGAATGGCGATCATTAAAAAGTCAGGAAACAACAGGTGCTGGAGAAGATGTGGAGAAATAGGAACACTTTTACACTGTTGGTGGGACTGTAAACTAGTTTAACCATTGTGGAAATCAGCGTGGCGATTCCTCAGGGATCTAGAACTAGAAATACCATTTGACCCAGCCATCCCATTACTGGGTATACATCCAAAGGATTATATATCATGCTGCTATAAAGACACATGCACACGTATGTTTATTGCGGCACTATTCACAATAGCAAAGACTTGGAACCAACCCAAATGTCCAACAATGATAGACTGGATTAAGAAAATGTGGCACATATACACCATGGAATACTATGCAGCCCTAAAAAATGATGACCTTTGTAGGGACATTCATTCATGTCCTTTGTAGGAACATGGATGAAATTGGAAATCATCATTCTCAGTAAACTATTGCAAGGACAAAAAACCAAACACCGCATGTTCTCACTCATAGATGGAAATTGAACAATGAGAACACATGGACACAGGAAGGGAAACATCACACTCTGGGGACAGTTGTGGGGTGGGGGGAGGGGGGAGGGATAGCATTGGGAGATATACCTAATGCTAGATAACGAGTTAGTGGGTGCAGCGCACCAGCATGGCAGATGTATACATATGTAAGTAACCTGCACATTGTGCACATGTACCCTAAAACTTAAAGTATAATAATAATAAAAAAAGAAAAAAAAAAAGAAAATGTGGTGCATATACACCATGGAATTCTATGCAGCCATAAAAAGAACTAAATCATGTCGTTGCTAGTAACATGGAGGCAGCTGAAGGCCATTATCCTAAGCGAATTAATGTAGAAACAGAAAACCAAATACCATATGTTCTCACTTACAAGTAGGAGCTAAACAATGGATACTCATGGACATAAAGATGGCAAGAATAGGCACAAGACTACTAGAGGTGGGGAGGCATGGAGGGGAGCAAGGGTTGAAAATGACAGTCAGAGCAGCGATTATTAAAAAGTCAAGAAACAGATGCTGGCGAGGTTGTGGAGAAATAGGAATGCTTTTACGCTGTTGGTGGGAATGTAAATTAGTTCAACCATTGTGGAGGACAGTGTGGCACTTCCTCAAAGATTTAGAACCAGAAATACCATTTGACCCAGCAATCCCATTATGGTTATATACCCAATGGGATATAAATCATTCTGTTATAAAGATACATGCATGTGTATGTTCATTGCAGCACTATTCATGATAGCAAAGAGATGAAATCAACCCAAATACCCATTGATGATAGACTGGATAAAGAAAATGTGGTACACATACACCACAGAACACTATGCAACCATAAAAAGGAATGAGATCATGTTCTTTGCAGGGACATGGGTGGAGCTGGAAACCTTTATCCTCAGCAAACTAACACAGGAACAGAAAACCAAACATCATATGTTCTCACTTATGATTGGTAGCTGAACAATGAGAACACTTGGACACATGAAGGGGAACAACACATGCTGAGGCCTGTTGTGGGAGTGCTGGGCTTAATACCTAGGTGATGGCTTGATAGGTGCAGCAAACCACCATGGCACATATTTACCTATGTAACAAACCTACACATGTATCCTGGAACTTAAAATAAAAAATAAAGAAAATTACCTATTGGGTCTGCTATGCTCAGTACCTGGGTGATGGGATCAATTGTCCCCCAAACCTCAGCATTACACAATATACCCAGGTAACAGAAGTGCACCTGTATCCCCTGAATCAAAAGTAAAAGTTGAAATTAAAATAATAATAATGATTCCTTGCCTCACTACAAAAAAGAAAGAAGATGATATAGTCATTTCTAAAAAAAATTAAACATAGTATTACAATACAGCCCAGCACTTTCAGTTAGATATACCATACGTCCAAAACACTTGAAAGCAGGGACTATCCATAGCAGCGTTATTCACAACAACCAAAAGGTGGAAACAACCCAAATGGCCATCAAAGAATGAATGGATAAACAAAATGTGTTATGAATGAAGCTTGAGGACATTATACTGAGTAAAATAAACCAGACCCAAAAGGACAAGTATGACATGAGCCATCTACATGAGGTGCCTAGAATAGTTAAATGCGTAAGGGCAGAAAGTAGGAGGGTGGCTATCAGGGACTGGAGGGAGGAGTTAGTGGAAAGTTATTCTTTAATGCATTTTGAGTTTCGGTTTGGAATGATGGAAAAGTTCTGGAGATGGGTGGTGATGATGGTTGCACAACAATGTAAATGAACTGAATGCCACTGAATTGTACACTCAAAAGGGATGGAAAGATGAAATGAGGCCAGATGCGGTGGCTCACACCTGTAATCCCAGCACTTTGGGAGGCCAAGGCAGGCAGATCATGAGGTCAGGAGTTCGACACCAGCCTGACCAACATGGTGAAACCCCATCTCTACTAAAAATACAAAAACTAGCCAAGCATGGTGGCACATGCCTGTAATCGCAGCTACTCAGGAGGCTGAGGCAGGAGAATCACTTGAACCCAGGAGGCAGAGATTGCAGTAAGCCAAGATCGCACCACTGCACTCCAGCCTGGGCAACAGAGCAAGACTCTGTCTAAAAAAAAAAAAAAAAGAAAGAAATGAGATGTACATTTTACCATAATAAAATGGAAATAAAGCAATATTTATTTAATGTGCTAACATTTCCTGAATCAACCAAGAGAACATCAGTGCTGCCTGTACAGCTTGCCACTAGCTGCATGTGACAAAGAGGCAATCATTGCATAGCTACACAGCTTCAGTGAGACACAGGCCAGCATACCCTTCATGGCTACACGCTGCCCTTTTTCCCACGTGGAACTGGAAGAACATACCTGGGTCTCCGGTAAAATGCACTTATCCCCAAGCTTCCAAGGCTGGAAGTTATAGAAGAATCTTCCTATGGAAAGGGGCAACTGGATGGTATTTCTCCAACTCGGTCCACCGAGTTGCACCACCCACCTGACAATCACTTGCTTATTTCTAGCAGATCTGTCTCTTGGGGACAAAAAGACAGTACACTGGTTTGGGTTAACTCTTTCTCAACTACAGCCTAGAGGAGCACTGTCCACAGGAAGCCAGAGCTCAGGATGGCAGACGGAAGGGACTGGTATGAACTGCAGTTCTTCGAATGAGTACCTGTGTGGCTTTGGGCAAGCCACTTAGGTGGGCCTCAGTTTCCTAATTTAAAAGTGGGAATACAACAGTAGCTACCTCACACAATTGTACCACAGCTTAAATGAGCTGTAAAAGTTTAACAGCACCTAGAATAAAATAAGTATTCAACAAATATGATTTTCTTTTTTTTTTTTTTGAGACAAGTCTCTCTCTGGTCACCCAGGCTGGAGTGCAGCAGCATGATCTCAGCTCACTGCAACCTCTGCCTCCCAGGTTCAAGCAATTCTCCTGCGTCAGCCTCCCGAGTAGCTGGGATTACAGGCGCACGCCACCACGCCTGGCTAATTTTTTTGTATTTTTAGTAGAGACAAGGTTTCGCCATGTTGGCCAGGCTGGTCTCGAACTCCTGACCTCAAGTGATCCGCCCGCCTCAGCTTCCCAAAGTGCTGGGATTACAGGTGTGAGCCACCACGCCCGGTCTGGGTTTTCATATAAGAGATATGTTACAGGTGGTAACGGGGATTGGGGCAGGATGGTCATGCATATCATTACAAGAGTTGAAATATATCAACTCTACAATCTGAACCTTGTGTTGACCAGACAGCCTGCGGGAGCCTTGGGAGTGTGCAAGAATAATAGGAGGAGATTAAATGGGGCTCTCCAAGGAGGTGGGTAATTCTCGTAACATTCTTTTCGTTTTCCTCTAATTCTTCAACTCATTCTTGAATATTTTCGGTAGTTTGTCTCTTTGGTAGTAGATACATACTTTTTTTCTCACATCTACTAGAAGATTTACTCATTTATGCTTAGGAAATGTCTGAAGACCCATGAATCCAAATAAATTTTGGTTTTGTTAATATACTGCTAAATAAACAGAAAAGCCCTTAAGGAGAGTTCCAGGATTAAACACTACAGAAACTGATTGGAAGAAAATTATTTCCATCAATGTGTTGGTCAGAACAACCTTTGCCCGAACAGTAATGCCGCTTTCATGAGTTCAGTCAATCAGACTCCCATATTGATAGTGTGAAATTGAACTCACTAACTTTAATTGTTTTCTTAATTTTAATTATTCAGGTGCATCTTCCCGAAACCTGAAGAAATTTATAGAAAGGTAAGCAGAAGATAAGAAGTTGTTTTTAATTTGGTTTCTCATTTTGAATAAGGAATGAAAACTCTGTTATTACCCCATAATCATTTTTACTGAGCATAAATAGCTTGTTAGTCACTATCCAAACTCAAGGATATCACTCCTTGGGCCAGTGAGCATAGAAAGTGATTAATTTGCATATGTCCTCAAAGAAGGGTGATAAAAATGCATAGAGAGTTGGTAAAACTTAGCTCTGACAGACAAAAGGATGATGTCATATCCCTGCTTTATGAATGAGAAAACATTTTTTATGCTTATTTGGGGCTTGAAATTCAGAAGCAAGGCTCGAGGTGTCCTGACTGGAAGCCTCAAGAAGCCTTTGCCTTTTCAAAGTTGACTATGGGTCCACGGCTGCCAGGTTATCCTAAGAACATGGACATAAGGAACCCAATAACTCGCCTGTGCTTATTGATGCAATTGCTGTGAAAGATGCCAAGAAGATAGCATTGTGTCTATTTACCCAGGACCTCAATCCATTCTTTTCAATTTTATGCATTTATGTGGCCTTTCTCTAATAGGCAAGTGGGATAATGATTATAGAGAATAAATGGGAGATGGGAATGGTGGTTGGCTGTACTAGAATGAAAGAAAAATAGCAAAAAGTTGCCAAGAGGGTGGTCATACCAAGATTGTTTTCAAAGGCCCAGCCTGTGTCACTGGCTACAAAGCTAGGTTTCCAAGTATCTGACATTCAGATTCCATCTATGCCTTCTCAGCTTGTCTAGAAACAAGGTGTTGGACTATCCCGCCATCGTTATATATGCCATGATTGGAAATGATGTCTGCAGTGGGTGAGTTATTGAGAAAAAGTATTTTCAAGATTCTTTGGCTCTGGGCTCTTCCCCACCCTCTCCTCACCAACTCCACTCCATTATAGCAGCCTGCTGTTCAGCTGAATTTCTCTATCTTAGAAGCACGGCCGGGCACAGGGGCTCACACCTATAATCCCAGCACTTTGGGAGGCCGAGGTGGGCAGATCACCTGAGGTCAGGAGTTGGAGACCAGCCTGGCCAACATGGTGAAACCCCGTCTCTACTAAAAATACAACAATTAGCTGGGCATGGTGGCGTGTGCCTGTAATCTCAGCTACATGAGAGGCTGAGGCAGCAGAATCACTTGAACCCAGGAGACAGAGGTTGCCATGAGCTGAGATCGTGCCACTGCACTCCAGCCTGAGCGACGGAGCAAGACTCTATCTCAAAAAAAAGCAAGTCCTAGACACGTGTGAAATCAACAGTACCAATCTGTCACGCTGAAAGCCTCTTTTGAAAATATCTGCTCCATTAATGATCAACTCTGATGTAACAACAAATGGGTGTGTCCTGATCAGTTATATCACAAGAAATGTGCTACTATTCACTGAGAACCCAAGATTGGGAATTGTGATTTTTTTTAATAAAATAAGGCAGAAGCACAGTTACCCCATAAGAACATCGATCTCACTCATATTCTGATCTACTTTACTTCCTCATGTGGAAGAGACAGCTTAGACGCACAGACCTACAGCATTTGCAAAGAAACTGCGGATAACTCATGGGCAATCCTATCTATGCCCATGGCCCATAGCAAGAAGGTGATTTTGCTAAACTGCTGGTATTGGTAGTAACTTCAAAATGGTGAATTCCTTAGTTCCTATATAACATTTGGGGAGGTTTCTCAAAATCTGTGTACACCCCTAAGAATATGATGCATGTATGAATGCCATCTGTCCTGTGATTGTGGCCAAAAAAAAAATGGTGAGACAGGATTTAGAGCAACTCCCCAGTAGCAATAGCCACCCACTCACTATTTTAGGAAACAGGAAAGTAAGGCCAAACGAGGTTCACGATTTGCCCGAGGCAACAGGGTTGATTAATGGCAGAGCTGGACTCCACCCCAACTGTGCTAGAAGTGGGCCATCCTGCTCACTCCGCCTGTTTGCTTTCCTGTATTTCATACGCCATGCTTTCCAAGCCTGTGCTGAAAACAAAACTCAATAGTATTAAAGTGTGTTTGCCCGCACAGATAAAATTCAGATGGCAAAGGAGATGCAGACATAATCAGTGAAGTGTGTTCAGGGCAGGAGATACCACAATGATCCAGAGACTCTGATACGCCAGATGTCACCTTGGTGCCCTTAGGCTGGTTTACTGCTGTCCCCAGAACCCCAAGTTGGCCAAGGCTACATTCTGGGCACCAAGGTCTGTGAAGAGACACCGGGGACTTTCCAGTAAATGGCAAACACCCTTTAAGGACTGCCATGAACCAAGAGGTACATCACTCTATGTCATTCCATCCTCCCAGCAGCCCTAAGAGGCAAGGATGATGGTCCCATTTTACAGATGGGAAAACTGATTTGGCAAGGATAAGGAACTTGCCTGTTCTGGTATTGAGCATCAAAGCTGGGAGCCAAACCAGGTTATCTAACCAAATTCCATTCCCTGTCTATAGTCCACACTGTCTTATTTCCTTTCTTTGACTCATTCACTTTTTAAAATATACAGTGAGCACCACGATGTGCCAAGCACTGTGCCAGGCTCTAGGATATGGATACAATGACAAAGAAGCCACAGTCCCTGACATCAAGGAGCTAATGGAAGAGGAAACACCATGCTTCAGGCTCTAGCTGCCATCACGAAACAGAACAAAGCTATGGTCAGACCAGCCATTGCTCCCCCAGCCCCCAGAGCATGTCCTCCAGAGAGGAACAGAGAGCAAACTGACTATACTGAATAAAGAACATGTGCAGAAAGAGACTCTGGCTCCAAAAGCCAAAATCCCTGAAACTGTACTTTTCCAGCAAAACCTGCTTACCCAGATCCCTCCAGCCCAGTCCTACTTTTCCTTTCCCAAAGAGCTAAAGGGCAGGCAGACATCAGCCAGAGACCTGTGCCAGCCTCTCCCCTGCTGGAGATCTGGGTAGAGAAGCAGCAAGCATTTGGGTGAAAGAACAGAGTTGGCAGTATGGGATGTCCCTGTGGTGCCCACTTTGTGATGTCCTGTGGAGGGGTTAAAAAAATAAAGACAGATGGCAACTATATCTCCCCATCTGCCAGAACGTCAAGGTGGAGTAGATTTCCCAAAATGAGCAAATGGATTTTATAAAAAGCTCAAGCAGCAAGGAGTTACATAATTAAGTTTGTCCTGGAACAAGTTTTAGGATATTTGCTTGACGTTTTTCTTTTCTTTTTCTATGACAATGCTAGCTCTTACTGAAGTAACACATTTATGTGCTTTCTTCTCAATTCTCTAAACTCATCCAGTTACTCAACAAATACTGGTTAAATGAGTGAGGGTCACGATTGGAAGATAGCTTTTAGCATCAGGAAGTCAAAAAGAAAGATCACATAGAGAACCTGGCTTTCTCATTGTAACCCTGCTCAATTTGATTTAGGCTAACTCAGCTTCCTTTGCGCTTTTCCTATCACTGCCCTTGAGGGCTATGTAATGTGAATGATATGGAAGGAGAAACATTCCTGAAAACAAGGCAAATGTTGGGAAGCTACAGCAGCAGAACCTTGGGGTGGCGGAGGCAGTGGTGGGAAATGGGAATGGCCTCAGAACGTCCAATCATAAAGGCCAGTGACAATCCTTTGCCAACATCCCAGCGCAGCATCCCTGAAACGAACATGGTAATTGCTGGAAATTCCATAGAATTATACAAGCATCTAGCACTAGCCCCATAAATGGATATGGTTTCATTTGTTACAGTGGACAATTATGGGACAGATGGCATTCATACAAGCATCATATTCTTAGGAGTATACACAGAAAGTATAAATTATACATTTTCATCTTATGGAGAGAGCCAGAACCACCCACACAGGGTGTCTGTGCCCATCTGCCCCCAACCATTGTTTTTCTTCAATGCCAACGCTTCAGGTTACACCCTGGGCAGTTGACCAGCACTGAATTAAGAGGAAGCCAGCCGAGGCACTGACAGGTTGCAGGCCCCAATGAGCCTGGACTAGTGAGAAACAATCCATGCTATTTATTCAGATGATAGAAAAGCCAGCAGGGAAGGGAATGGAAAGAGCTCCTGCTGCTCAGAGGAATTCTCTCTCCCAGACTCTTCAGTGAGAGACATGGGTAGCAAAGGGAATGATAAGGAAGTTCCAACCAGCCAGCATGTTCCAGGCCACACCCACTTTTAAGGGATGTTTAATGTATCTCTATGCATGGGGTAATATGGAAGTCCTCATCCCATTCCCAGTCTGTATCAAGATGCCTCTTCTCCCCAGCTACTCAGGAGGCTAAAGTGGGAGGATAGCTTGAGCCCAGGAGTTCAACCCTGCAGTGAGCTGTGATCATACCACTGCCCTCCAGCCTGGGTGATAGAGCGAGACCCTGTCTCTATTTAAAAAAAAAAAAAAGATTTCTCTTCAAGGGGATTGGATGGGAGCCCAACAATGTGATTGCAACTGGCTGGCATGAAGAAAAGGGCTAACCCTCTTACCTGGGTGTTTCAAAAACACAAATGCTAGCTGTGAGTGAGGTGTGAGCACTTGATCACTACAGTGATCTGGGCTTTAGCTATGGTTCCAGGAAGCTGGTTTTCTGCACAGGCTGATCAGTTTCTTCCTTGGAAGGGACACCTCTCTCTAGCACCAGCCAGGTGAAATCTGGCTGGCTTACCTGCCAGGGTAATGAAATGATCAGGCTTATTTTGCCTGATCAGACACAATTCATTAGGGCGGGACAGGCTTCAGAGCCACCTTCAGGAGTGAGGCTCTTCATCTGTTCCCAGCCCGGCCATTTGTTTCTGACATGTGTGAGAGCATGTCAGTGAGCACCAGTTTCTCTCTCATTATTTTCCCCAGTGTGGCCCCTGTGCCACAGGCTGGTTTTCACATCTTCTCTGTTAGCTGAGCACTCTCGATCTCTCACCTATGCATCTGAGTGTCTGGGGTGAGCTCGCTGGTGTGTGAGAAGGGGTGCTGGGACCCTGGAGTCGGCAGACAAATCCGGGGTGGCAGGTGCCTGGGACACCTGGGTTGAAAAGGGTTAGACACCTTCAGCTCAGCCCATTCGTCCTTTGGCAGACACCAGAGAGACCTAGGAGATAGTTCTCAACCACTAGGGTTCTTTGGTCTCCAGAATACTAACACAAAGTCTCCCCCAAACATCACCAGAGGGGAAAAAGTACACAGATCAAAATGGCATTGAAAAATTTTCAGGGGGCCGGGCGCAGTGGCTTATGCCTGTAATCCCAGCATTTTGGGAGGCTGAGGCAGGCAGATCACGAGGTCAAGAGATTGAGACCATCCTGGCCAACATGGTAAAACCCTGTCTCTACCAAAAATAGAAAAATTAGCTGGGTGTGGTGGTGCTCATCTGTAGTCCTAGCTACTTGGGAGGCTGGGGCAGGAGAATCACTTGAACCCGGGAGGCAGAGGTTGCAGTGAGCGAGATCGCACCACTGCACTCCAGCCTGGGCAACAGAGTGAGACTCCATCTCAAAAAAAAAAAAAAAAAAGAAAGAAAGAAAGAAAAAAGAAAAAGAAAAGAAAACTTTTCAGGGACAGAAGTCAAAAGCCACCTTCTATGGCATCTGGGAGGGGTGATCGTCCCATGAATCACATAGACTCCCTTGCCCTTACCTGAGCTAAGAGTTGGTTGATTTTGCTATGCAAATTAAAAGTAAATTATGTAGTTGTACAAGGTGGAACAAAGATAACTGGAGAATGTTCCATTAGCAACACCAAGGCTTATATTTTGATTTCACTTAGCAATTAGCCATGTTGATTATGCTTGCTTAATTTGTGGGTGCCCTTTCATAAATACAAATTAGCTCAGATTCTTCGTTTAGCATCAGGGCTGTGCCTCTAACCGAAAAAAAAAATTATTCAGTGTGGATTTGGGGAGACTTTGTCCATCTTAACTCATCTTGCCCTTATGTGGTTGGAGAACATTAGCTCAGCATAATTGCTTTGTGCCAAAGCGTGGCTGTATCAGCAGGAAAAAAAAAAGTGTGGCAAGGCAAAAGTGAATAGGCAGTATTTGCCAGCTTTACCAGTGCCAGAAGAAAGGATATAGACACCCAACTTGCCTTTCATTTCACCCTTGCTGTTACACTTCAAACACACAGTGAATATAGAACCTAGATACTTGGGGCAGGTTCTTCAGTGCTGCTTCTGTGCATATGGGAATCAAGTCAAAGCCCCTCCCCACGCTTCTGCTCTAGTAGGTAGGCAACCTAGTCGCAAATCGTCATAGCTGGTTTTTATCAGGTAGGAAGATTTTTATTTTTAAAATAGTGTAATTTTTTCATGACAATGGAAAACATGAAATTAGCATGCAGTTCTATACCCTGAGGGTTTGTAAAATTAGACATCTTTTTCTCTCCCCCCTTAAGAGACTCTAGCGATCCATGACATAGTTTAGAAGCACATACACCAACCATAACTGCCACCCTACTGGCTACCCCCATGGCACCAAAAGTATTGTTGTAGTCAACAATACTTTAATACTTTTTAGCCATCTTTCTATATTAATACATACAAATTACTTCTTTTTTTTTATTCAGGTGAAATTCACATAATGTAAGACTAACCATTCTAAAGCAAAAATTCAGTGGCATTTCCAGTTCACAATGTTGTGCAACCAACGATATCTAGTTATTATATTCCTAATGGCTATATAGAGTTCTATTGCATGGGTGTACCATAATTTATGTATTTAGGCTTTTATCTTTTTCCAGTGGTACACTATACCAAGCAACATTACAATATTCGTATGTACATTTTTGCACATTGGTGGAAATGTTACTATAGGATAACTTCTTGAAAGTGAAATTCCAAGGTCAAAAGTTAAGCCAGCTTCAAATTTGGATACATTTTGAAAAATTGCCCTCCGAAAAGGCAGTGCCAATATTCATTTATGAGCTCCCTTAAAAATGAGAATTATGGATCCCTGGGGGCCCCTTTCTGCCCCCTCTTCCCATATCACTTATGCCCTGGGTCCAGCCTCTGAGTGATGGACTTATTTTATCTGGTTCACAATCTGTATTAAGTTCCCTGGAGCTGCCATAACAAAGTACCAAAACTGGATGACTCAAAACGCAGACATGTATTCCATCTCAGTTCTGGATGCTTAAAGTCCAAGATCAAGGTGTCCGTGGGGCCATGCTCCCTCTGAAAGCTCCAGGGAAAAATCCTTCCTTTTGTCTTCCCACTTCTGGTGGCTTCCAGCGATCCTCAGCACTCTTTGGCTTGTGGCAGCCATAACCCCAGTGTCTGCTTCTGTCTTCACATGGCCTTCCTCCTGGTGTATGTCTGTGTGTCCTCTCCTCTTCTTATAAGGATTCAGTCATTGAATTTAAGGCCCACACTAATCCAACATGACCTCATCTTAACTAATGACAACCATGAAGACCCTATTTTCAAGTAATGTCACATTTTTAGGGACACTATTTAACCCACTATCATTAGGGAAACTGGAATTTTAAGTACACAAAAGAGAAAGTAACACTGTAGCATTATTCCATTTAGGGTAAAGACAGGCAGTTAGAGTGTAAAGAGTAGATGAAAACTCTAGAAAATTCTGTATTCTACTCCCAAGTTAATGCAGGTTAGGATCCGAATCCAAATTTGTTGTGTTCCTGAAGGTGTGTGCAAAAGTCAATTGTACAAAGAAATGAACAATAATAAACTTATATTAATGCCAAAAATACTTTAGCACCCCTTGCCTTTTAAACATAGCTTTTTAAAATAATTTCAACTTGTATTTTAGATATGGGGGTACATGTGCCAGTTCATTGCATGGATATATTATTGTACGACGCTGAGGTTTGGAGTACAAATTACCTCATCACCCAGGTGGTGAGCATAGCACCCAAACATAACTTTAAATCAACCAATGAGTGCAATTTTAACATAACTTCAAATGATGTCTTGTAGTATTTTGTACATTCCTTACTTCTTTTCCAAACCAAATGAATATAAGTCAATCAGCTTAAATTCAATAAATGTCTGATTGAGGGTAAAGATTCGTCACTTTCAGCTCACTTAGGAGCTTCACCTTTGTCTGACATGCTTTGATTTTAGGCCTGTGTCTCTCATAACTACTTTCAGTACTTTCTTTTTTTATTTTACTAACTTTTATGAAATAAGAAGAGAAAATATAATTTAAAAATTCAAATACCCTCTATAGAGCACAAGCACTACTATATAAAGACAATAATGCGGGCTGGAATTGTTGTGAAATGCTGTTGCAGGGTATAGCCTGGAATAGAAATCCATCAGGAAATGCATGCAAGTCCAAATCCAGTGTAGAAATGGAAGGATAAAGAGCAAGATACAGTGTGGACGTATAATATAACTTAATCAGTAAGATTCTGTTTTCTAACTGTTATACATGTGAAAAGTTTTAAAGACCAAGTTATAGACCTCGAAGTGTCAAATAAATCATAAGTAATACCAGACCCCTTTCATTTCAAAAACTGTGTGTAAGTCAGGCCAGCGAGTTTATGCTACAGGAACAAAGGAACAAACAGCCCCTAAAATCTTAGTAGCATAAAGCAACAAATGTTTACGTCTCTCTCACACTACTTGTCCATCAGAGATCACCATGGGACTCTGTTCCAGGACTCAGATTGGTGAAGCAGCTATCTAGAACATTGCCTATACCCATGCAAAGAAAAGGAGCATTCTAGAAGGTGTCACATCACCAAATATGACACATGTCACTTCAGCTCACCACTCATTGGTTAGAACTAGTCACATAGTCCACTCAACCGCAAGGGAGTCAGTAAGTACAGCCTATGTGTCAGAAAGGTGGAAATCCAGGAATATTTTGCAAATAGCTCCAATGACCACCACACTGTGTGTGTGTGTGTGCGTATGTGTGTGTGATGTATCTTGTATTTGCGTGCAACTTGCATGCATCTATCCTTACAATCAACCAAGATATTTTCTGTTTATTCCACCAACAGGAAGAGTGACCCAGTCCCAGCCATGACCACTCCTGAGAAACTCTACTCCAACGTCATGCAGACTCTGAAGCATCTAAATTCCCACCTGCCCAATGGCAGCCATGTTATTTTGTATGGCTTACCAGATGGAACCTTTCTCTGGGATAATTTGCACAACAGATATCATCCTCTCGGTATCAGTTTGAAGATTCTTTTACTCTTTAATAACATCAATGTATATACAGTTCAATGTATATATGGTTCAAACCATATAGAAATGTGCCTAAAATGCCATCATGGAACATGGGTCAGGGTTGATAAAGGCAAGAGCCCCTAGGTGCAGTATCTAAAGGTCATTATCCAGAGGTGAGCCGAATCAGATCCAAAGGCAGAAAGGGCAGAAGTAATTCATGAAGAATTGGGACACATTGAAAGGTAAGTGCTCAAACCAGGAAATTCCTCTAACAGAAGGTGAAATGTAAAATGAGCTGAGGAAGCCCAAACAGGAGACAGACCCGTGAGTCAAAGACAGGGATTTCTCTGAACCTCAATGGTAAGTGCTTCCTGGTGGCCTGTTAGAATTCTCTAGAGCACAGTCCTCCAGCCTGCTCATTTCCTGCTTCTACACTCTCTTGGGGTCCTTAGCTCCGAAAGGCTTTAAAATGTCCCTGGAACCTTCTAATGGCAACTCAAATATTCTCGATACTGTACAAATAACATAAAAGTGCTAGTAATTTGCATTAGGAAGGTGTGATCCTTAACCCTGTGAGATAGATGTTTTTATCAACCACAATAATTTCATTTTATAGATGAAAAAAACCAAGGCTCAGAGAGGTTAGATAGCTTGCCAAATGCCACAGAGCTCACTGAATATGTTGTAGCAGGGCTCTGCTTTCTGTATTTCAGAGGAGAATGTATTTATTAAGTGCCAACTATGTGCCAGGCACTATTCTAGGCACAGGGTAACCAGCAGAAAACACAATAGTCCTAAGTTCCTGCCCACAGAAAGCTTATATTACAATGGGAAAATGACCCAAAAGTATATCAGAAGGTGATAAGTGCCACAGGAAGAAAACTGAGCAAGGAAGAGGAACAGGGAGCTGGCCTCAGTCTTCCCTGATGAGCATCTATAAGAAGAGGCCTGGGTACCTTCCTCTCAGCCCCATATTGACAGCACCTGCACCAATCTATCATGAAGAAGGGACTATCCCTTCCCTGGTGTTACCCCACTCACCTCCTGAGCCCAACCCACTAAAAGGTGCTGGCAGTCCAAGCACCTTCTTAGGAGTCAGGCGAGAAATTCAAAGAAGACCTGAAACTCATTCTTTCACGCCCTCCTTAGAGGGAGTGGGTGGGGAGCAAGATTTCCCATTTCAGGCCATCAAGAGCCTTTTCTTGCATATACTACTTTGTGTGAATCTTTCCAGTCTTCTCTTGTCCTCTTCCTGCAGTCCCTGTCTAAGACAAACACCCCACTTCTCCCTCAGGAAATTCCGCCTCTCCCCACCTGGGAAAAGAGTAAGGGTCCTTTAGCTAGCTCTCAAAGGCTCTGGTCTCTTAGTTGGAGGGACAATGGTGGACACCCACATTCCCTATTCTCCACCAATAAGGATGAAACCATTTTCCTCTTGAGTTACTCATGTATCACAAATATTATCATCCAAGCAAAACACTGTACAGCCTCACCTAAGTAGAGCATATTCTTCCTGTTCATGCAACTTTGACCACGCCGCCTTAGAAATAACATGATCACACATGGAACTTCACTCCATTCTGGGCTGCTTTGCATGCAGAAAGGACACCAACCTGGGCTAAGAATGTCTCTTTGAACCACGGGATATGAAAATTGTACATCTGCCCTCAACTGATTCTTTCAGATTTCCAAATGTGTCTCCTACACTAAGAAATGCTTTGGAAAGAGAAGCTGAGGGCAGGGAAGTTTGTTCCCAATTTACTCCATCACAGTAATAGCGACTTGACTTCCATTTTTCTGATTTCTAATCCCATTTTCTTTCCATGAACTCTGGTTACGCCACCTCCATAAATTCTTTCCGATATGCCATGCAATTCACTTGATTTATGAGACATGTTTGGTTTCATAAATATGAGACCAAAGGTAAGAATGACTCCATGCAATTTGGAAAGGACTAGGGGAAGGAAAAATGTATGTAAGAATGTAAGAATGAGGCCAGGCACGGTGGCTCATGCCTGTAATCTTAGCAATTTGGGAGGCCGAGGTGGGTGGATCAACTGTGGCGAGAGTTCAAGTCAAGCCTGGCCAACATAGTGAAACCTCGTCTCTTCTAAAAATACAAAAATTAGCAGGGTGTGGTGGCACACACCTGTGATCCCAACTACTCAGGAGACTGAAGCAGGAGAATCGCTTGAACCCAGGAGGCAGAGGTTGCAGTGAGCCGAGATCGCACCATTGCACTCCAGCCTGGGTGACAAGAGTGAAAAACAAACAAACAAACAAAAACTCTGTCCAAAAAAAAAAAAAAAAAGAATGTACGAATGGTATGTAAGCATGACTCCACGCAATTTGGAAAGGACTGAGGGAAGAAAAAAGGATGATTGGGGGATTTGTCCACTTCTGTGGATTCTCTAGGCCAGTGGTTCTCAACTGGGGGCAACCCACTCACCCCCACCCTGCTTTTATCACATCTGGAGATAGAAGAGGGGTGCAACTAGGCTGGGTGCAGTGGCTCACGCCTGTAATCTCAGCACTTTGGGAGGCCAAGGTGGGCGGATCACCTGAGGTCAGGAGTTCAAGGCCAGCCTGGCCAACATGGTGAAACCCTGCCTCTGCTAAAAATACAAAAAAAAATTAGCTGGGCGTGGTGGCAGGTGCCTGTAATCGTAGCTACTTGGGAGGCTGAGGCAAGAGAATCGCTTGAACCCGGGAGGCGGAGGTTGTAATGAGCTGAGATCACACCATTGCCCTCCACCCTGGGCAACAAGAGTGAAACTCAGTCTCAAAACAAACAAACAAAAAAAAAAAAAAAACAAGAGGGGTGCAACTAGCATCTAGTGAGTAGAGGCCAGGGGGTTTGCTAAACATCTACAATGCACGAGACGGCACCCCAAAATCAAGACTGTCAGTCATGCAAGGTTGAGAGACTGCTCTAGATTTTGCCTTTGCCTTGTCCTTCTCAAGTGGACTCTCTCTGGCTGCTAATCACACCCTAGCATGTACAGCACAAAATGGAAGGAAGAAAAAGATAGAACAAGTTTGTTCTACAGAAACATCAGTAGTTTTGGAAAAAAAAAAAAAAATCCAATCAAGGAGAAAGCTGAAACCATCTAAAATTTGTTTGATGCTTATAAGTAACTATTCACATCCTAAATTATCTCTGCTGCCTGGTTGCCATGGGAAATAAATTATACATTTCTCAACGAAGCATCAGGGTCTTTCCTAGAAAGGCTGGAGAAGTAGGTGGGATTTATCCGGCATCCCCAGGCCTCCTTTGACAGGACTCATCACTCACACAAGATGACAGACTTCAAGAGGGGGCTGCATTAGGAAGGTGTGATTCTTTTTTTTTTTTTTTTTTTTTTTTTTTGAGATGAAGTCTCACTATGTCACCCAGGCTGGAATGCAGTGGTGCGATCATAGCTCACTGCAACCTCTGCCTCCCAGCTTCAAGCAATGCTCCTGCCTCAGCTCCCCCGAGTAGCTGGGATTACAGGCGCCTGCTAACACACTGGGCTAATTTTTGTATTTTTAGTAGAAATGGGGTTTCACCATGTTGGCCAGGCTGGTCTCGATCTCCTGATCTCAGGTGATCCACCTGCCTCGGCCTCCCAAAGTGCTGGGATTACAGGCATGAGCCACCGTTCCCAGCTGAGAAGGCGTGATTCTTAAAACAACCCTGGGAGATAGATGCTTTCATTAAGCACAGTAATTTCATTTATTGCTCTCATGCTGTCTCTCTTCTGCTCTCACTCCAAACCCCATCTTTGGATCTTGAGCCAGCAGTGAAGCAGGGTTCATGCTGGGCCGGCCTCAGGGTTTGGTTGCTCTGCCCAGGCCACTGTAGATCTCATCTTAGTCAGCAGCTGGACACTCAAGTCTGATTCCTGGGCACCGTGTTAAGGGTTGTGCTAACAGTGCTGTGCAAAGAAAAAAAAAGTAGGGGGAAGAGGGTGAGGTCCATTTATTTGGGCCTAGAAATGTGGTGATCATAGTGTTTAGACTTGACTTTGGCCACTTCTTAAAAATTAAGAAAGCGTTCAGGAAACAGAGGCATGGTAGGAGACCCCCTGGTCAGTGACACAGTCTCTGCTGCCTCCTTTTCCCTCAGAAGGACAGGCAGGAACTCAGCCTGAGCAACCAGTGAAGGCAGGGTTAGATGCCACAGCACCCACGCAGCAGGACACTCAGAGGCCCAGAACAAGAGCAGGTGGGTGTCTCACTCCTGCCAGGGACAAGGGGGTGACGAATCTCTCCTCGCATCCCTCCTCAGCCAGGTTTGTGACTCACTACCCAGTCCGTCGCTGGCTGCCAAGGGCTGGGGCACCCCACAGCCTCTACTAGTAGCTAAAATTCCTGGTGAGAGTTTATTGTCTTTGTGAGGAATTACCAGACAGCAAGCCTCATACATTGGGATTCTACTGATGTGGGTCCTTTGAGAAAAGTCAAGCTTGGCCAGTCACAAGTCCTCTCAGCCATGATCTGTGAGGAAGGGGATCATTCCAGAAATATCTCTGAGATTCCTACTCTGTGCTTTTGAGAAAAGATGACATAAGATGCATCTGTGTCCTCAAATGAGAGGGAAAAAACTCCGCTAGCGAACTCAGCACATGGACCCTGACAGCGAACGTGCCGAGTGCCCATGAGGATGGGCAAGTCACAGGCATTCAGGGGCCATCCCAAGGGTTAGACTATGGAGAGGAAGCCAGGGACTCCTGGCTGCAAATTCGTCTGCTAGTGGGCCAGGCTTGAAGGGCTTCTGCCACAAAACAGCAACTTCATCTTGCCCCAATTACTCTTAAACTTGAAACCAAATGTCTTTTTAAAATACCTTGGTGTTTCTATTTTATCACGCACTTTCCCTCCGTCTGAATGAATGTGATTTTAACACATTTACATGGCATTTCATGGAGATGTGCCTGATCTTTGTTGGTACTAAGTTTCTACGGTACCTAAGATTTCAATTATGTTTCCAGAATTAAATAGATACCAGAGACCCTGCCCTAAAGAAGTTACAGATTATGAAGACGCAAACCGTCACTAAGCCAGCTAGGGAAGAACACACCTTTGATCTTCAGAGGAGCTTATGGCAAACACTGGGACAGCCCGCTGGCTCCCCACAACACACACAGGCACACAGACACACACAAACACACACACACAGACACGGACACAGGTACACACAAGCAGACACATACACACACAGACACAGACACACACAAACACACACACAGAGACACAGACACACACGGATACACACACACAGACACATACACACACACAGACACACACACAGACACAGACACACACAGATACACACAAGCAGACACACACAAACACACACACAGAGACACAGACACAGATACACACACAGACACAGAAACACACAAAAACACAGACAGACAGAGACACAGACACACACGAAGACACACAGAGACACAGACACACAGACACACATGAAGACACACAGATACACATAGACAGAGCTCCTCAGCCCCTGGTGATTCCTGGCCACTGTGGGACAGTCCTCCTGGCCTGCCCCTGGGCTTTCTTGATCAGCTTTCCTATCCAGATGGACTTTCTAACCAGGGAGTCACAGACACAACCTCTCTTCATGCACCCCATAGAAGTAGGATCAATAGGCCAAAATTACATTAAAGAAACAAAGATAAAAGGTAATGCTTAAAAAGAAAGAGTGGGGGACCAACTGATATTGCCAATAAAGCAGAAAGTGTAAGAACCATTTCCCTCTTCCCTTCCTCGAAACCATAAGCCCATCGCAAGCACCCCTAGCCAATCTTCCACATGACCAGCCCCAGAGTCCCTACCCTCTAACAGGCAGAAACACCAGACAGGAGGGACACTGATTCATTGCAACTTTCCCAGGTTCTTCTAAATGCACCTAATGTGCCCTCATCCTGTTCAGCAGACCTAGCCACCCACACTAAGGATGTTCCCATTCTCAATCAGGTCCAGCTGGAGGTGGAGCCAGGCGACAGAGGGAAAGGGAGAGGGACTGAGGAGGTGCAGAAGGGAGGTGCCCCTCAGGGTCTCATTGGGAGCTGTGCTGGCCATCAGCAGAAGGACAGCAGGAGAGGGCATCAGGCAGCGTGGAGCAAGGCCAGGGTGGGCCTTCATCCCCAAGGAGGAGCCAACAATGAAGTTCCCAGTGTCACAGGAGCAGGACAAACTCCGGCCCCTCTGGATATCAAAGAAATCCAGGCCTGAAGGTGGGGAGGGGAGAGTGCAAGGTCAGGCATGAGGTGCCACCTCCTGTCAGGCTGCAGAGAGATGCCGCCCCTCAGGGGGAGGGGACACACCAGGGCCCAGAGGGGCGGCAGGGCCCCAGCCAGGCTACCTAAGTTTCACTATGAGGCCCCAGTTCCAACATAGCGACAAGATGGCACCAGGCACCAAGGCAAAAGCAGCCAGACACTGGGCCCTCACAGAAGGTGGGGAGACGGAAGGCCGCAACTCAGTGGTAGCCCCCAGAGGGAAAGAGCGAAGCCAGGAGAGCACGTGGAGGACCCAGGGTGGGGAGTGGAGAAGGAAGATGTCAGTCACTGCAGCTGAGACACATTCAGAAAGGGAGCAAATGACAAAAAGTACACACACACAAACACACACACACACACACACACGCACACAAAATAGAGGGAACAAATCCTCAGTGGGTAGAAGTAGGAACTTGGGGGAAAATGGAAGCTCAGTGTTGGACCCATAAAATAAAAGCAAGGACGAAAGCCAAGGATTTGGGAGTCATTTAAAATGTGAAGATACAGAAGCCTGTACAGAAGACAGACCTGGCGGGTCACTGTGACTTTAGTGGCCATAATGAGCCTGTGGCTTTCCTGTCTTGGGACTCACTCACCTACACAGAGAGATAATAAATTTTTTCTCTCTGACAAGAAAATTGAATCTATCTTCCAGTCTAACTAATCAGAGGTATAAGTGAAAAATAAGACTGTGTTCTATCACCTTCAATCTTTCTCTTCATTCTGAGATAGGTCCTATTATCTTCCTTTATGTTTTCAAGAGTGTGAGGAGTGTTAATGGATACAGTGTCAGTCATTCACCCCCGAGATTTGGGGAGACCTGGATTTTGTGTGTCAGCCACAGCATGAAAGTCAAATTGCTTCAGCGGGGTGGATATGCTGGAAGCGGGGTGGAGCGGTGTTGGAAGAGAGAAGAAATCACCCCCACAGATTCTGGGACTATAGCTGATGTTCAGAAAAACTGGATGAACGCTCATCTGGTACTTTTCACTTTATTATGTACCTCTGTAACTTGCACTAAAAAATAAGGGTGTCTACTAATTAGGGTCAAATAAGATATCCACTGGACAGCCCATAATCCAGTGCCACAGAGACATGAGGTACTGCCTCCCCATCCCATGGGCCAACCAAGTATTTCGTATGGCTTTCAGTTCACCAACTGCAGGGAACTACGTGGTCAGAGCTTCAGATACTCAGAATGTCCTGCCAGGCCCTCAGTGTGGGATAATTCGGTCAGACCTGAGCGTTTCATAAACCTAGAAAAGGGGATTAGGTCAACCGCCACCTCGAATGTTCCCTGTGCCCCATGCAGGGAGCATTTCATACCAGGGCCAGGAGAAAGTACTGCTCTTAAAGGGCTTTATCCAAGGCATCCTGGTTCACATTGAGCTGTAGGATACTTGCATTTCTTTTTCCTGAGTCCAGATGAGGCCACTTCCCCCAGCCCCATCCAGGCCCATGCCCACAGCTCTATATGGCAGTGAGTTCCTCAGGGCTCCTCCTCAACTCTGGGTCTGAATTTCTAGAGGCTCAGAAAGGAGGAAAGCACAGGCATTCTTCAAGAGCAATGCTGCATGAAAAATCAGGGGAACACCCTGGAAATAGTGACTTTCTGCAAGGGAGGCAGGGAAGCCCCCAGGTGCCTCTAAATGCTGCTATTGCCGAGTGGATGCAATCTACCAGACCTCTCTGTTTTCCAGGCCAGCTAAATAAAGACATGACCTATGCGCAGTTGTACTCCTTCCTGAACTGCCTCCAGGTGAGCACTCACTGGCTTGCTTCAAGGCCCGCTTACCTACCCTGATCCTCTGTAATCAAAAGTGTTTTCCCGCTCTCAGGTCAGCCCCTGCCACGGCTGGATGTCTTCCAACAAGACGTTGCGGACTCTCACTTCAGAGGTATGACTGTCACAGGCCTTTTGATACCATCTTTGATCATTCTTTCCCTGTGTTTGCTGCAGAGTTTTCACTGGGGATGGGATCCTGGCAGGCAGATGGTCTCCAAGCTGGTGAATAACAAAATCAAACCTTCCAGGTGCTTGAGGAGCCGAGAGAACCTGGTGCACCCTGTCTCCCTCTGTCTTGCTCTGGGTCTGTCCTCTGCTGACTGTGTTTCTCAGCCACTGTCTCTCTCGTGTGTACACATGTGTGTACACACCCTCCCCTGTGCACACGCACACATACACACACACACACACACACAACCTCTTAAAGCTGGTCCTAAGCATAGTTGTGGAGTTGGAGAGAGCTGATTGAGGTTGGCCCCTATGCATGACAGAAGTTCTCCCAAGGTAAATAAGAACCTTCCTCCCTTCTCTCAGGGAATCCATTGCTCAAAGAACATGGTTTACACTTCTTTCACAGATGGCGAATAATCTCTTTGTAAAAGACTTATTGAGGCTGGGCGCGGTGGCTCACACCTGTAATCTCAGCACTTTGGGAGGCTGAGGTGGGAGGATCACTTGAGGTCAGGAGTTTGAGACCAGCCTGATCAACATGATGAAACCCCATCTCTACTAAAAAATACAAAAATTAGCCAGGTGTCATGGTGGGCACCTGTAGTCCCAGCTGCTCAGGAGGCTGAGGCATGAGAATCACTTGAACCCAGGAGGCGGAGGTTGCCGTGAGCCAAGATCGCGCCATTGCATTCCAGCCTGGGCAACAGAGCAAGACCCTGTCTCAAAAACAAAAATGAACAAACAGACAAAAGACTTATTGAACATTTTTTACATAAAAAGCATATTTCAATTTTTTAGAACTTGGAGAACACAAAAAAGCATAAAGAACAATAACAAATATCACGCAAAATTCCACCACCCAAAGTTAGTATATGTGTATGTCTTCCCATTACCACTTCTAGAGATCAATATATTTGGTTTTTGCCTACATAGTATGAGAATGCACATACTCTTTTATGCTTTCCAATGTTCATAGATTGTTTCTCCACACCATAATGTTGTAACCATTCTAAAGTTTATACGTGACTATATTATGATTTATTTCATCTTTTGTTGTTGGACATTTAGATTGTTTCCAAATTTACACTATGATAAATAGCATTGTGATGAGCCATCGTATATCTAAAGGTGTAAGTCTCTGTGTACATCTCAATTTCCTTGAGACAAATTCCTAGAAGAATTACTGGGCCAAAGGGTATGTCCATGTTTAAGGATTTGATCCATATTGCCAAATTGCTCTCTAGAAAGGTTAAGCTAATGACATTCTCATTCACCTACCCATGACAACATTCAATATCATGGTTATCTTACCTTTGCCAGTCCCAAGGGTGTTAAAACTAGTATCACTAATTTACACTGATTTGATTCCTAATGAACATTAACATTTGTCTCATGTTCACTGGCCATTTGTACGTGACTAGAATTTAATGTGCAGAGCTGCTGTCTGCTGATGGCTTGGAGAAATGAAAGTAGAGTAGGATGGGGAAGATCGATTTCTTTGTTCTGCCTGAATTGTCTCACTAAAGCCAAAGTCTAGATTTCATGAAATTCTCCCTGTTTCCTCTCTCTTCAGAGAGCAGAGCAACTCTCCAACACACTGAAAAAAATTGCAGCCAGTGAGAAATTTACAAACTTCAATCTTTTCTACATGGATTTTGCCTTCCATGAAAGTAAGTAGCTTTGTTTGGGTATTGACAGAAGATGAAAGCAGCAGCTAGTTTAGGGCCTGGGCAACTGGTTTTATACTTTTATAAGCCACCAGGCAGCAGATTCGGCAGGGTTACTCCTGCCTATTCTGACACACTAATAGCTCTCAGTATTGAAAAAAAGATAAAATGTGGGACTTTTTCTGAAAAAGTTGGGTTCAGCATTACCTCTGTACTTCACCATCATTTTAGAATCCCTGATGCAATAGAGCCAGTGACTGGTTAGAAAGAGCTTTGAGCTGGCAACCTACAGGTTAATGCACTCACTAACCTGTTCTTGTCGGGTTAAAAGCCCTGGTTACCTGATGGATGTGACAGAAATGAGGGATATGGTGGCACCTCTCACAGTGGGCCCTGAAATACCCAGGGACTCAGGAGCAGTGCAGATTCCCACACCCCATACAGGATGAACTTAATCAGAACCTCTAAGGGAGGGACCAAAGAACTTGCCCATGGCAAAGTGATCAACCCATGTCCCAACTTTCTGGAAGGAATATTACTAAGTTGCTTTTTTAGCATTCTGTCCAAACACCGGAGTCACTGCTGAGTGGCCACACAAAAACAGGCATGATTACTATAGCTACTGATTTACTCTTTACATCTTGAGTCTGAAAAATTATTGCTTATTGACTGTAATCTTTCCTGATTCATTTTCATTGCTAAGCAATTTTTATACAAGAGCAAAGCCCCCTGTTGACTGCCAGATGAGATAATGCTAATGAAGGGTTTCACAGTGTAGGCGAAAGATGGAAGATTCCTCATCCAGAGTTTATCATCTCTGTCCCCCACCCCCAGTGCCCCCATCCGCAGCATCTGGGTTGGAGCAGATGGCCATCATGAATTATCAAATATTACATTCACTGACATGTTTTGCATTGCAGACTCTAGTAGTTCAATTCTGAACATCCTTTCAACAAGACTGGTCTCCCTTAACTAGATTTCCTGCCTAGGTGATACACATTTCTCTCGTGGGGAGAGACATTTTGATAAATAACTTCTCATTAAAATGCAGAGTTAAAGACCCATTAATGAATTCCTGGTGTAAACAAATGCACCACCAAGTGATCTTTGATCATCATCAACCTTGAATATAGATAAAGTTATTAAAAATATAATAATGTCTAACACTCACATGGGACTTTTTTTTTTTACTTTCCAGAGTGATCACTAGCTCTGTCATTTATTATCTCTGGGACTGCAGGCAATTCTCTGAATATTTTTAAACTCCCTTTCCAGCCCTGGAAATGGGGATACCATATCTTCCTAACAAATCTCTGTGATGATTCTATGAAATAATGTGTCATCCTCCTAAATGTTATGCCTGGTACACAGAAAAGGTACCATTTCCTTACACCCTTGCTACTCAATGTATGCTTTTGGATAAGCAAAATCAACACCACCCAGGAGCTGGTTATAAATGCAGAATTCCAGGCCCTACTCCAGACCTACCTAATCAGAACCTGCATTCAAACACAACCCACAGGTCATCTCTATGCCCATTAAAATTTTGTAAATGGTTTGTGAAGCTGAGATGGGAGGATCGCTCAAGTCCAGGAGGTCAAGACCAGCCTGGGCAACATTGCAAGACCCCATCTCTAAAAACAAAACATCTTTTTTTATTAGCCAGGCATGGTGGTGCATGCTTGTAGTCCCAGCTACTCTGGAGGTTGAGATGGGGGGATCACTTGAGCCTGGGTGGTTGAGGCTGCAGTGAGTTGTGATCACGTCACTCAACTCCAGCCTGGTTGACAGAGAGAGACCTCATCTCTATAAAAATAAAAATAAAGTTTAATAAATGGAGCTCTATAATGCCTCAAGATTAAGAGCTGGGTCAGTCATCAGATTTATAAGTCCTGCTATGTGCCAGGAGCTATGAAGGTGCTGGGAACATAATCGTCAACAAAGCAGAAGAGTCCTTATCTCTGTGGAGGATATAGAGAGAAGAGCTTTATTCTTGTCTGTCCAGAATTCCACTGGTGAACTGATATGCTTGGAAGCAGGGCCTCATCAGCCCTTTCTTGTCCTCACAGCAA
Source organism: Homo sapiens (assembly GCF_000001405.40). NCBI lineage: Eukaryota > Metazoa > Chordata > Mammalia > Primates > Hominidae > Homo > Homo sapiens. Next base: position 36,528,348 of record NC_000007.14, on the reverse strand, counting down.
TAATAAACACAGTGAAAAAGCAAAAAGTTGAATTAAGCTGAACTGAACATTCTACATCAACGTGGGAGAAAGCTCCTAGGCATTTCTCCATGCTTGGCGATTCCCATCAACAGTTCAAGGAACTTCCTGTTTTGTAATCTCCTGCTATTTGTTTAAAATAAATGTGAAGATCTAGTTTTGGTGCAGGGCCTTCTTCATCTTCTCCTCAGGAAGTTAGTGGGCACCCCACTAGGGAAGGCATGTGGGCACAGTGAGACCACTGTGGGACCTGCCTCCATGAACATCTGATACAGCACCTGCATTTGATGTCTAGGTGCCGCCATGTCCACCTCTGAAAGAGCTAGCATTTCTATCTGGTTTTCAGGAACCGTGGTAGTGTCCTGACTTAAGCTCAGAGTCAGGTACTGCAAAAGACATTTTTAACTTGAAATTTTAGCATTTTCCAAAGCAGTGGGAGGGATAATCCCCTCCCAGATCCATCTCTGTGGGTAACCACCCGTGCCTGGGCAGCTCATCTTCCCAGAAACCCACCCCATGTGGGTACGATGTGTGGTTATAGAAAGAGCCCAGAATTTACAACTGTCTTCCTATTCCAGCTCAGACACAGAATAGCTGGGTGACCTCAAGTGAATTAAATAACCACCCAGCCTTTGTTTCCTTGTATGTAGGATAGAAATAACTAACCCACGTAAAGATTAAGTAAAACAAAACTTGTAAAGTTGCAAAGACTCAGTAACTGTTAGTGGCCGTCCCCCGCCACCACCATCATCCGTGTGTATGAAGCAACTCCTTCACTCCTGATGTCCAACCCACCCCCCAGCTCCATTCACGCCTGTGAAGTACTTTGAGTTCCTTCGAGGAAGGTATGGTAGAAATGCATCCATTACCAAGAAGAAAAGTAATCTTTTATCAGAAATTAAAATCCTACAGAGTCACTTATTAAGTCTGCAGTCCTGATAGTCCCATGAAAATCTCTCCTCTCATTTTGGTACTGTATGTGATCTGACAATTGTGTCAAAAATATTCTCATTTTTCATGATACTAAAATTCACAATTTCACATCCTTGTGACAGAGCAAATTGCAGTTAAGGGTCCCTGTCACTTGAGGGTAGGCACAAGACCCATTCATTTTCCACCCTGACAGCCTCAGTCCAGCACTGAAAGATGATTACTCATCTCCAAAGACTTTCTGTCTCTTGCTGACTCATTCTCCAACTGGTTATGAACTAAACAGAGGCAGCAACTTTTCCTCCCTTCAGGAAATGCCAACTTGAGCAGGTGATATTCTTTTTCTTTGTCTGCACCACACCTCCCCAACAGAGGAAAGAAAATGCCACTTGGCTGACAAAGCCATTTTTACACTGACAGTTTAAATATACCTCCAGCTGCCCTCAACTTCCCAGACAGCTCAATTGGCATAAACCTGGCTCTTGGTTCCCCGCACCATGAATACATTTGTAAAATCAGCCAATGACTTTATGGGGCTGGCCAGAAAGCAGCCTTTTCTTTAAAATATCTGCTAGTGTTGCTGTTCATCAAACAGTGTTTGATGAACAAGTGTTTTATGAGTCTTCCTCCCTTGTTTCTATTACATCTTTGAAAAGCTGGTCATTAGCAGCTTCTTTGACTTTACAAATAAACTACATTAAAGAAGAAGAAAACAAAACAAAATACATTATGCTCCAAATCTCCACAGATCATCCATGATCATTCAAGAAACTTAATCCAGATATTCTGAAGAACAAATAGGAATTCATTGGTCTATTTTAAGTTATGGTCCAAAGTAGAAAGGAAGCTGACCAACTTACCATGTTATCTTTGAATGGACCTCCCACTCTAAAATCAATCAAGGAAAAAGTAAAGACCAGTGTCTGGTATTGCATTTCTCCCAAGAAAGCAGAATTTCATCCTGAGATAAACAAAAAAAGGATCTTCCCTTTGACATTGGTCACGATACAGATAAAATCCTAAATAAACACTTGCCTGTGAGTTACTGAAGCTCCCTTAAGTTTTACTGTCCTGATGGCTACATGTATGTGATGACCCATATCCCTCACAGACATAATAATCATATGGGGGAAAAAAATGATGTTTACCTCTGTAAATAAACAGGTTGTAGTCTTAATAAACTTGGAGCATTTTCTTTTAACACCTATTGTATTATTTTATATGGCAAGCAAGTTCTTCCAAAGGCTGGACTCCCTTGTAGTTGCTGCCTAATGTAGAGAAGGGATGGGGGTTGAGAGACAGGAATAATTTCCTAGCAGGCAGGAATGTGTTATCATCGACATTATTTAGAATTGCTGGACTATGGTGATGACAAAAGGTGGACCTCTCCCACTGCCCCCAACCCTAGGGTACGCTCCTATTCCCCCGCAAAGCTTGGCAAGTAAATATCCCTCCTCTTTCTTTGTGCTTTTTCTCCTGAGTTTTCCTTTTATGATCCCCACAATTATGGGATTGCTCAAGTCTCCAAGGGAAGGAGAAGGGAATGGTCATCTCTTCTCATTTTGAAAACACAGTATAGGTTGAATATCCTTATCCTGAATGCTTGGGACCAGAAGTGTTTCAGATTTTGGATTTTGGGGGATGTTTTTGGATTTTGGAATATATGCATTATGTATACTTACCAGTTGATCATCCTACACACAAAATCCAAAATTTTCCAGTAAGCATTTCCTTTCAGCATCATGTTGGCACTCAAAAAGTTTTGAATTTTAGAGCATTTTGGATTTTGGCTTTTTGGATGTGGGATGCTCAACCTGCATCACTAACTCTGATATCTGAATTATCTTGTTCCATGAAGACATCTATCAACACCTCTCTTTCTTTCTCTAAGGGCCATAGTTTTCAGTTTGGTAATTAGTAACACACAAAAAATGCAAATCAAAATGAAAATAGCCTAGAATTACTTTAAGCCTAGATGCCAAAATTGAATCACAGTCTAAGAAACTCATGTATAAGCAAATCTCACCTTTGTAATATCAGGCTCCTAGTAAACATTCTTCTCAAGGAACATGATATTGTTTAAACTGTGTTTCCCTAACAGGTTCAAATTTGCTTTCTACTGTGGATTTTCCAGAGCTCCTGATCACCATAATCCTTTTCTAGACTTTTTATTAGCCATCTCAGGCATGGGCTTTGATTCAACATGTCATTCAACTCTCTTTGCAAACATGGAGAGTCAGAAAGTATTTAAGAGGCTTCCTACCACCACTGCATCAGATGACCCCAGGAGAGTCCAGGTCAGGTCCATGGTTTGCTGTGCATCTATTTATTACAAGAGGACTCTGCCTCATGTCTTATTCATCCAACTCTTCACAACTTTTTAGTAGGCTCTGTCTGAAGTCTTGATGAGGCTCAATTCCCATTGGCCTGCTGTTATTAGCATACCTGGGAATTTTTTAATAACTGTCTTATCTCAGAATGCTGTAATAAAATACCATGAACTGGGTGGCTTATAAACAACAAAAATTTATTTCTCACAGTTCCGGAGGCTAAAAGTTTAAAATCAGGATGCCAGCATGGTCAGGTTCTGGTGAGGGTCCCCTTCCGTGTTGCCGACTGCCAACTTCTCATCATATCCTCACATGGTTTAAAAAAAAAAAAGAGTGAGCGAGCCCTCTGGGGTGCATTTTATTTGATTTATTTATCTTTTAATTTACTTATTGTCGAGACAGAGTCTCACACTGTCTCCCGGGCTGAAGTGCAGTGGCGCAATCTTGGCTCACTACAATCTCTGCCTCCCATGTTCAGGCGATTCTCCTGCCTCAGCCTCTCGAGTAGCTGGGATTACAGGTGCCCACCACCACACCTGGCTAATTTTTTTTTGTTTTTTTTTTTTTTAGGTTTTCTTTTGTATTTTTAGTAGAGACGGGGTTTCACTATGTTGGCCAGGCTGGTCTCGAATGCCTGACCTTGTGATCAACCCTCCTAGGCCTCCCAAAGTGCTGGGATTACAGGTGTGAGCCACCGCACCTGGCTGGGTGTGAATTCATGGGCATGAATTCCATGATGGGGGCTCCATCTTCACGGAATAATTACCTATGCCATCATACTGCGGATTAGGGTTTCAACACAGGAATTTGAAAGGGACACAAACATTCAGTCCGTGCAACACCCTGTTGCGATTGTCTTTCATTCTTTCTTTTCTTTCTTCTGTTAGCATCTGTACAACATAAGGTGAAACCCAAATAAAAATAAAGGGAAAAGTGGGAAAAGGGACAAAACGTTAATCAAGAACTTTGGTGAAGCAAAAAGGAGCACAAGTAGAATGGAGATGATGTCATCTCTGAAGTCACGGAGGGGATGGGGAGGCTGACATTTCACCTGGCCCGGGCCTTTCTGCATCGTTGCTGATTTTTGTTTGAGAGACTCCTGTGGGACTGCAAGGAGAGATGGGACAAAGACCATAAAAGGACAAAGAGAACTGAGAGGGCTCAGTGGTGGTGATCCTGGCTCTCTGCATTTGAAGAAATCTTTCCAGATGGCTGGTTCTCCATTGATGGCAATTTGTTGGATGTTCAGATTGGGAATGGCAGGGGATGGGCTGGATAGCATTCATGAGCAGGCAGGGCCAGCATCGCAGCCAGCAGGGCAGTCTGGAACCCACAGGAGCTTCAGAGTGTCAAGTCCAGAGGGAAATGTGAGGCAGCTAGAATTGAACCTCAAGAAGAAGGTTGCATTCCAAGGACATGCCAAAAAAAAAAAAAAAAAAAACAGGCAAAACAGGCCAGGCAAACTGAAGACTGAGCCAGGCAAGCTTCCCCAAAACTGTGCCTTTACAAGACACTATGGCCAAGGGCAAGAAAGAAATTGTTGAAAGCTGCATGCTGGCTTGGCAGAACAAATAAACTTTCATGAGAGTGAGTGCTGTTTAAGCATCGATGCAGCTCTGAGCTTCCTATTAGAAGAGCAGGTACCTACCATTCCTTCAGATAGAAGTGCTATTTACCAGCACGCCACAACTTCTCCCTGGAGACTCTGTGTGGCGGACACCATATAACACAGTGAACAGTGTCCTCAATTTGAGTTTTCAAGAAATGCAGAGGCCACTTACCAATAGCTATTTCTTCCAACAGCCTCTAGTAAAACCCAGAAGCATAATATGATGCTGTGTCTCAGGGGCAGTCTTTCTGCCAGAGAATAAGCTAACAGGGGCTGGCGATTCAGTGTGTAGGACTCCAAACCATCAGTATGAATTTTTTTCCTGAGCTTTGAGAAGGGCAGCATTATCCTCAGCCCCTGGGGAATGGAGGTTGAGTAGTAAGTGGGGATGCCATGCTGGGATATTAGGACTAATTGTAAAAGCAGCCTTGTATTGACCCAGCCCTGGGAAGTCCAGCCCGTCTTGTCCAATCAAAGCCCCTGACAGAATTTCCGTCCTTCCTTTGGGATGAGAAGGGGAGAAACAGGTCACAGACCTATGTTCTTGAGTTTTCTGGGGAATGAAGAGTAAAGAACGGGAGGAATCTTAGTTGTGCCTGCCCCCCTCACTGGACGCTGGGCAAGTGAGGGCGTAGCTTTGCCGGGAGCAGCTGGCTCAGATGCTGCTCTCCGGAGGCTTCCTAGGGATTTGAAGTTTCCTTGAGGAGTTCTTACTGACTGTATGATGGAATGACGTAGAGTTAATTGTGCTGTTGCCTTGGAGCAACTGACATTCTTGGTCTCTCATCCCTGTTGAAGGACAGTTTCATTGCTTTTCATCATTCTGGGGCTCGTAATATTTTTTCTGCAGCCATACTCCCTCCAAATGTGGCGATGAGATAATTTTATGTAATTATATTCCTGACATACTGTATGATTTTTAAAGGCAAGTGCTTGACACATGCAGGCAGAGTCTGCAAATGGCAACCCATGAAAGGGGATGTTAACAAAATGTTGGATTTTTCCCTACTGTAATACCATCCTACTGCACCACCAAAAAATGACATGTACTGAAATAGATGTTGACTATTTTAGAGCTCACCTTTTCCTACTGCCCTCCCTGCTACACAAACCACATTCATCCAATGCTCTCACGTATTCCCTTCCTGAGTTAGAAAAAGCACACACACAGCGGGAAGATCATTTCTGTTCAGAAATCCCCCAGTGCAAGAGAGCAGCTCAGAGGCAGCCGTGGCTTGGTCAACATGGGCCCGGGAGGGCATGGGCAGTTCTCACGTCCTTGTCCTTGGATATTGGCCGTTGCTTGTGCAAGTGTGTCTGTAACCCTCTCGTTATGTGCCCTGCAGTCATACAGGAGTGGCAGAAGAGAGGCGGACAGCCCTGGCAGCTCATCGAGCCCGTGGATGGATTCCACCCCAACGAGGTAAGCACAGTCACATGGTGGCTGCAGAAGGCTATTTGATGGTTTGTTGGTTTTTAATTATGGTTACACATTCATGTGTTTATTTTTATCCTGTTTTGTTCCAGAAAGGATTTGAGGTAGTGTACATACATGTATAGGATAGAAGATTTAATAAAAACAAAGTGAAATTTGGGACAATAGGGAAATAAAGTAGAAATTATACCTGGATTCCTGATTTAATTTCTATAATTCATAAAATATGTGCAGGGCATTCCTGAGAAACTGCCAGAAGGGCAGCTCTGTGCGATGCTAAAAGGGGCAGTAAGCCATGGCTTCCATAATACAAGAAAAATAAATCAAGCACTCCAAAAAAAAAAAAAGGAAGAAAGAAAAGGAGGAAAATGACGAGGATTTTTTGGAAGTGAGACCCATGAGAAATTTATTCTATGGTCTTTCTAGAAAGGGTGCTGTATAGGAGGAGAACAATGTCCTTAGCAGTATCCTGCAGTAAGAGCTGTTTCTCATCAAGGATCCAAAGTACAGTTCTGTAAAGTAGCTCTCCTCTGGTCTCTTCACAAAGCAAGGGGAGCCAGAGGGTGGGACTCTGTCCCCTCCCGGCTCCACTCCCATCCCATTATCCTGGCTTCAACCAGAGAAGCTCCACTTTTATCTGTTGTATGTCCTGGACTTGCTCACGACATTTCTTTATTAAGAAGAAGAAGAAAAAGAAGTGGGGGAGTTGTTCTGCCACTTGTAAAATGTTGAAAGCTGCTCCTCTATGGGGAGGGATGGGCCATTTACTCTCAGGCAATACCACATCACTAGAGCCTTTCTGCTCCAGCCGTGGGGGAAGCATGGTGTGGCTACCAAAGGGTACAAACCTGAGGAGCATGCCTGGGGGATGCTCGCTTGCTGGCCACCAAGACCTAGGCCACAGGAGGGCTGATTGTCCCCTCAAGAGCCTGAATGACGGTAAACACAGCCCACCTTCCTCCAACTCTAGGCTCAGCCAGTGCTCACAGGCAGGGCTAAGAATCACCTCAAAAGGAACAAGAATAGAAGGATGCTCACTCCCCAACAAATGAGTAAAAGTGGCGTCCCACAAATGCTGAGCAAATTTTAAAGTAAGTATTAAATGCCCACCTCACGGATTTAAATAGCCACACACAAAAAATCAGAATAATGCCCTCAGAATTTCTAACCTTCCTGTGTATCAGTTGGATGAGTTGATCAAAGAAAATTATTGGCTAGATTCTGGTTAAATATCAGGGTCTGATCCCCCAAAAATGATGTCTTTGGTTTTAGAAGAGTTTGTGTATATCCCTACTTTCTATTTTTTTTTTTTTTTTTTCTCGAGACAGAGTTTCACTCTTGTTGCCCCGGCTGGAGTGCAATGGTGTGATCTCCGCTCACCGCAACCTCCGCTTCCTGGTTTCAAGTGATTCTCCTGCCTCAGCTTCCTGAGTAGCTGGGATTACAGGCATGCGCCACCACACCTGGCTAATTTTGTATTTTTAGTAGAGACGGGGCTTCTCCATGTTGGTCAGGCTGGTCTCGAACTCTCACCCTCAGGTGAGCTGCCCGCCTCAGCCTCCCAAAGTGCTGGGATTACAGGCGTGAGCCACTGCGCCCGGCCCCCTTCTTTCTAGCAGTTATTAGGTACTAGTTCTTATCATTCTCTGCACAGAATAGCATCTTACCCTTCTGATTCTGTAAACAATGGGTATATGAAAAGATGGCCATGTAAAGTATCAGGAACAAACTAAAAAGAGGAGGATCAAAGACAGCTTTGTTTTATCCCCCAGGATATATTTATCCCATCTATCAAATGACCATTCCGTCCCTGACTCTTAAAATGATCTTGGGGTTCAAAGTCTGTCAAATTGGGCCTCTATCTTGTACTTAAACAGTTTCACCTATATCTGATTATTGAAAACACAGTCAAAAGCTGAAAATCAATGTGTGCCATAATCTTATGCTATTCCTGCAAGACTTGTTCACATGCTGGTAGCCAGTGATAAAGTGGCCAAAAATGGATAGCCAGGCCTAAAGCCTGCCTATTTATCATGTATATTGAGCTGAAAAGTCCAGATTGGCAAAGTGCCATCCAAAACTATTTATTGAGTGACTACCCAGTGTCAAGTGCAGTGAGAATTCAAGAGTGAACAAGAAAATGCCCTGCCATTTAAAATTATAGTATAGAGTAGGAAAATGATGAGTAAACAGACAATTAAATATAAAGCAGTAAATGCCTCCAACTGTGCAAGTACAGAACACCACAGAGCATTATGGGGTGGGATGAGAGAGAGGGGTGTTCAAAAATGTTTTCAGGCCAGGTGTGGTGGCTCACGCCTATAATCCCAGCACTTTGGGAGGCCAAGGTGAGTGGATCACCTGAGGTCGGGAGTTCTAGACCAGCCTGACCAACATGCAGAAACCCCGTCTCTACTAAAAATACAAAATTAGCTGGGCGTGGTGGCACATGCCTGTAATCCCAGCTACTTGGGAGGCTGAGGCAGGAGAATCGCTTGAACCCAGGAAGCAGAGGTTGCAATGAGCTGAGATCATGCCATTGTACTCCAGCCTGGGCAACAAGAGCGAAACTCCATCTCAAAAAAACAAAAATGTTTTCAGAGGAGGTGATGTCAGAACAAAGACCATGAGCTAGTAGAGTGAAGGGAAGCGAAGAGGGGTTTCAGGAAGTATTCTGAGCAGAGGCAACTGCATGGGCAAAGACCTGAATATGAAAGAAAGCGTGGCATGTTGGAGGAAATAAAAGCGCTCAGTGTGGCCAGAGAGTATGACCGTGGAGTTGACAGACGGAGAAATCTACCGCGTATTAAGGAACCAGATCATGGAACATCTGTCTGGGGCTTGACCTTGATCCTGAGGGACATGGGGAGCCACTGGATGTTCTCAAGCAAGAAAGAAATAGCCCAACGTGTGTCCTAAAAAGATGCCTGTAGTAGCGGCGTGGAGGGTAATTTGGTAGGGAACCAGTCCAGAGAGACGGAGAAAAACAAAAGGAAAAGTTGTATTTTAAAAAGATTTTTTAAATGACCAAACACAGAGTTACAGGACAGCAAGGCAAGTTCTTATCAGAGATTTTATTCAAGGAATCAAAGTCAAGTGCATCCTGGAGTCAGTATAGATCCTGCCCACTCTCTTCCCACATTCTCCACAGCGGTCCCAGGCCAGTGTAAGGATGGCCCAGCATGATTCCAGATCATCGGGTGATTGAATAAAGCATCATGCTGTATTACAAGAAGCTAACTTGATGAACTCTGAAACCGCTTCTGGCTTTACTGTCTTAATACATTGGATGTATTTATATGCAACTTAACAAGAAAGTGGGCTCTGAAAGATGTTCAACTACAAAGGAAAATACCTGGAAAAGAACCTCTATTAACCAGAAGATCCCACTTAATCAGAGCACCCATTCCCTAGCATTCATCTAGAATAGATTTTATTCCACACACATGCTTAGTAGGGCAGCCGATGACCTCCTGAGCTGCCAAGGTTGTGTGAACTGGCAGGAGGAGGGTGTCTCCATCCTCCCGTACTGAGGACAAATATTGGGGTGGAGGGTATATGATAAAAGTTTCCGCTGGTAAAATGAATTAGCTTGCATCCATCTGATGGCATACCATGCACTGAATTACCCCATCTACTAAAAATACAAAAATTAGCCAGGCGTGGTGGTGCATGCCTGTAGTCCCAGCTACTCAGGAGGCTGACAGGAGAATTGCTTGAACTTGGGAGGCAGAGGTTGCAGTGAGCCAAGATTGCGTCACTGCATTCCAGCTTGGGCAACAGAGCGAGACTTCATCTCAAAAACAACAATAACAACAAACAAAACAAAACAAAAAAAAGAGATCTACCTTTAGTGACACAGAAATATGTTTATAATGTACAGCAAAGTATATAGGATAAGACTACAGACCATAGGAGCAATGATTCAACTGTATGCATTTGTCAAACTCATGGCACTGTTTACCAAAGAGAGTTCATTTTACTGTGTCTAAATTCGACTTCAATAAGAGCAGATTACAAAATGATATTCAAGAGGAATCCAGTGTGTGTGTGTGCGTGTGTGTGTGTGTGTGTGTGTGTGGGTGTGTGTGTGTGGGTGTGTGTGTGTGTTCAGATATAAAATCAGGGCCAGGCGTAGTGGATCACATCTGTAATCCTAGCACTTTGGGTGGTCGAGGCAGGCAGATCACCTGAGGCTAGGAGTTCGAGACCAGCCTGGCCATAATGGTGAAACCCCATCTCTACTAAAAATACAAAAATTAGCCAGGCATGGTGGCATGTGCCTGTAATCCCAGCTACTCAGGAGGCTGAGGCAGGAGAATCACTTGAACCTGGGAGGTGGAGGTTACAGTGAGCCGAGATCACGCCACTACACTCCAGCCTAGGTAATAGACTGAGATTCCATCTCAAAAAAAAAAAAAAAAAAAAAGATATAAAGTCAGAAAGGCTCTACACCCCATGTTAACAGAGGCTGCCTCTATTTTAATTACAGATGACTTTAATTGTGTTTTTCTCTTTTTGCTTAAGTGGGTTTTCAGTTCTTCTAGAATGAACAGGTTTTCCTTTAATATTTTAGACTATGAATAGAGAAGCATAAAAGAATATCTGTTGGAGAGGCTGAAGCAAGAGAATTGCTTGAACCTGGGAGGCGGAGCTTCCGGTGAGCCGAGATCTGGCCACTGCACTCCAGCCTGAGTGGCAGAGCAAAATCCTGTCTCAAAAGAAGAAAGGAAAGAAAGAAAGAAAGAAAGAAAGAAAGAAAGAGAGAGACACAGAAAGAAAGAGAGAGAGAGAGAGAGACAGAAAGAAAGAGAAAGAAAGAAAGAAAGAAAGAAAGAAAGAAAGAAAGAAAGAAAGAAAGAAAGAAAGACTAACATGGATAAAGAGAGGAAAGGGTAGCTGTGCCCTGCCCTGTGCAGCGCCTCGTGGAAGTTAAAACAGGAAATTGCGGTATGAGAAACCCATAGTAGATGCTCAGTAAATATTTGTCAAATGAATGAATGATTACAGTGGATCATTTTATCACAAGTCTCTAGTTTGGTGATAAGCATGCCAGTCTCATTTCAGACCCAATATTTTCTCAATGCCTGCTCATAAATATTTTATTCCTTATTAGAGTGACAACCAACTAATTGCGTTCAAACCAGTTACCAAATGCTCATATCTGAGCTCTTTCATTTTCGTTTCCCTCTTCTTGCCCTCACCCTGTCTCCTCCCTTATTAACATAGATAGGGAAATAAATGCCTTGGTACCACATAATTGTTAGAAAGAGCTTAGGTGTATCAAGTTGAAAGCCAATAACACAAAAAAGAAGAACCAGTAATTTTCCACAGACCTGGCAGCAGCCTCCTTTGTTGAGAAATGGCAGGAAAACAGCCACAAGCCCGGGCCTCTGTCTTCAAAGGTCCTGATCACTTTGTGTGAGAGATGATCCGGCCCTCCCTGGAGCACTGGCCAGCTTCGCAGGCAGCCTTTGACATGCTCCTGCTTTTAAGTGCAAAGAAGTATATGTGGGGTGTGAATGCTGTGTGCGCTTTCTGTGTGTGTGTGTGTGTGGTATCCGTGCACTTTCTGTGTGTGTGGGGGGGGTATCTGCGTGCTTTCTGTGGGGGTGTGTGTGGTATCTGTGTGCTTTCTGTGGGGGTGTGTGTGGTATCTGTGTGCTTTCTGTGGGGGTGTGTGTGGTATCTGTGTGCTTTCTGTGTGTGTGTGTGTGGTATCTGTGTGGGGGGGTGTGTGTATGTTATATGTGTATGTGGTGAGTGTGCATGTGGTGGTATCTGTGTGAGGTGTGTGTGGGGTGTGTGTAGGATGTGTGTGTGTATATAAGAGAGATGTATGTATGTGTGGTATGGGGTGTGTGGTGTGTGTGTGTGAGATGTGTGTGGTGTATCTGTGTGTGGTGTGTGTGTGATGTATCTGTGTGGTGTGTGTATGGTGTGTATGTGGCGTGTGGTGTGTGTAGTGTGTGGTGTGTGTGTGTGTGACGTATTTATGTGTTGTGTGGGGTTGTGAGGGGTGTGGTGTATGTATGCGTGATGTGTGGTGTGTGTAGTGTTTCTGTGTGTGCTGTGTGTGGGATGTGGGGGTGTGTGTGATGTATGTGTGTGGTGTGGGGTTGTGAGGGGTGTGGTGTGCATGGTGTGTGGTGTGTGTGGTGTTTCTGTATGTGGGGGGTGTGTGACGTATGTGTGTGTGGTGTGGGGTTGTAAGGGGTGTGGTGTGTGGGGGTGTGTGTGTGATGTATGTGTGTGAGGTGCGGGGTTGTGAAGGGTGTGGTGTGTGGTGTGTGTGTGGTGTTGGTGTGTGGTGTGTGGGGGGGTGTGTGATTATGTGTGTGTGGTGTGGGGTTGTGAGGGGTGTGGTGTGTGTGTGGTGTTGGTGTGTAGTGTGTGTGTGATTATGTGTGTGGTGTGGGGTTATGAGGGGTGTGGTATGTGTGTGGTGTGTGGGGGGGGTGTGATTATGTGTGTGTGGCGTGGGGTTGTGAAGGGTGTGGTGTGTGTGGTGTTTGGGGGTGTGTTTGTGATGTATGTGTGTGGTGTGGGGTTGTGAGGGGTGTGGTGTGTGGTGTGTGTGGTGTTTGTGTGTGGTGTGTGGGGGGTGTGTGTGATGTTTGTGTGTGTGGTGTGGGGTTGTGAGGGGTGTGGTGTGTGTGGTGTGTGTGTGGGGGTGTGTGATTATGTGTGTGTGGTGTGGGGTTGTGAGGGGTGTGGGGTATAGTGTGTGTGTGGTGTGTGTGTAGTGTGGGGGTGTGTGTGATGTATGTGTGTGTGGTGTGGGGTTGTAAGGGGTGTGGTGTGTGGTGTGTGTGTGGTGTTTGTGTGTGGTGTGTGGGGGGTATGTGTGATGTTTGTGTGTGTGGTGTGGGGTTGTGAGGGGTGTGGTGTGTGTGTGGGGGTGTGTGATTATGTGTGTGTGGTGTGGGATTGTGAGGGGTGTGGTGTATGTGTGTGTGGTCTCTGTGTGTTATGCGGTGGGGGAGACACTGCATGGACATGACCGAGATTACGCAGCGGGATGAGTGAAGTTCGTGTCCACCTTAGAAGGCTCAGAACACATTAAAATGCTGGGGACTTTATGCAGTGACTGGATCAGTCCTAGTTTTCTCTAACTACTAAAATCTCACAAACAGTCAGACACAGAAAGGACTTTGGATCACTTTCTGTCGCCCACTCAATGTCCAGATGAGAGGGCTGGGCCCAGAGAGGGAGTTGGCTACGCTGCCTATTAGGAAGGGGACTGTGAGCTGCCCTGTGGGGAAAAGTCAGGGATATCCCTGAGCATCCTTCCCGAACAATGTATTCCCCTCTGGCAGGCCTTCAGCAATCACATTTCTCATTGCTCAGCATTGAAAACCACTGTTGAGATGGAGCCATCTGGAGTCTGCAGGCCTGGCCAGGTCCCATTTGCTAAATGAGGGCATTGTTTGCAGAGAAAGAGCATCCTCCTCAAAGGCATATTAATGACAAGCCAGACACTGGACAACCAAGAATGGACCCAGCTAACATCATGGATAAAGGGAAACCTGACATGCGACAGCAGAACCAGAGAGTAAGCCTCAGGCTGGGAAAGCCAGAGTCGAGCCTGCTGTGTATTAAGCTAAGGATTCCTCTCTGGCACTTCAGCCAGACTCCCTGCCCTCACAGCCTGCCAGGATCCCACCCCCCACCCAGTCAGGGACCCAGCCAGCCTCCACTCCCAGGCACCTGTAGTTCCCCAAACATGCCATTCTCTCCCACAGCTCTGAGCCTTTGCACACGCCGTGTCCTCTACCATTGCAGTTTCCCCACATCATCCATCTAGGGAACTCCTAGAAAATTCATCTCAGCCGCCACCTTCTTCAGAGAGATCCCACCCCTTCCCCCACCAGACAGAAGTGACACCTCTTCCCTTTCCAGTCCCTGTGGGCTTGGTGGTGTCATTTGGCATGTCTGGTTACCTTACTAGGCTGAGACTTTCTGGAAGGAAGAACACACCACGTTCATCTCTAAAACCCAAGCCTTAGGCCTGCAGTAAATGCTAGCTGTCCACAGATAAATGAATAAGTGGATTTCTGAGAAAGTGAATTTTTAATCTATTACTGAAAAAACAAATTCCATACACTTAGCAGCTTAACACAATACACACTTATGATCTCACAGTTTCTGTGGGTCACAGCTTAACTGGGTCCTCTGCTTAGGGTCTCACAAACCAAAATCAAGGCATGGCATCCAGGCCATGTTCTCATCCGGGGACTCATCTGGGGAAGAACTGCTTTCAAACTCACTCAGGCTGTTGGCAGATTCATTCCCGTTGAGACTGCAGGACTGAGGAGCCAGCTTCAGGCTGGATGGCAACCGGGTCACCCTCAGCTCCAGCCCAGAAAGGAGAGCCTCCGAAGCCAGTCACTAGCAAGGCCAAGCCTCACGCAATGTGACACCATCGCTGAAGCAGCGTCTCCTCACCACGGCCACACTTCCTCTGTTAGAAGCAAGTGATAGGTCCCACCGCCAGCAAGGGAAGGAGGTTATACAGAGACATGGGGGTGGGAGTCATGGGGCCATCCTAGAGGCTGTCTCTGGCAGAAAGCACGTGGGAAATCTTGTTGGTAAGTGATTTGTCCTAATTTCCCTTTTCCTCGTCCTTTGGGTTCTCTCTCACAGGTGGCTTTGCTGTTGTTGGCGGATCATTTCTGGAAAAAGGTGCAGCTCCAGTGGCCCCAAATCCTGGGAAAGGAGAATCCGTTCAACCCCCAGATTAAACAGGTGTTTGGAGACCAAGGCGGGCACTGAGCCTCTCAGGAGCATGCACCCCTGGGGAGCACAGGGAGGCAGAGGCTTGGGTAAACTCATTCCACAAACCCTATGGGGGCTGCCACGTCACAGGCCCAAAGGACTCTTCTTCAGCAGCATCTTTGCAAAATGTCTTTCTCTCAATGAAGAGCATATCTGGACGACTGTGCAATGCTGTGTGCTCCCGGGATCAGTAACCCTTCCGCTGTTCCTGAAATAACCTTTCATAAAGTGCTTTGGGTGCCATTCCAAACAAGAGAGTATCTGTGCCCTTTACAGCTAATTGTTCTAAAAGGAGTTTCTAAAAACACTTAAGTCCAGCGATGTTCAGCAATTTACCCAGGGTCTTGGCATGCCAGGGGACTGATCCCCCCTGTGTTGCTGACTTCTTTAAAATGGCCGGGCGAGCTGAGCTTCCTCCTATGCAGGCGGCTGGCCAGCTGCCAAGGACTCACACAAGGGGGCAGAGCAGGCTTCATGAGGCCCCCTTGAAAAACATAACACAAAACTATAAATACAAAATTAGACATGAACTTGAATACACATTTAGAATGAGGAAAGAAATCACCACAAATTACAAATGTTTAAAAGTTGACAAAGTGCCATATAACCTCACAAAGTCCAGAAAAATGACAATACAATTTTTTTCCTTTAAAGTATTTTATTAGTTGATTAGTGGGTATAAATGTACAGTTAGATAAAAGAAATAAGGCCTAGTGTCTGACAGATCAGTAGGGTGACTATAGTTTACTAAATGCTATTGTACATTTCATTTCAAATCGCTAGAAGAAAATAATTTGAATGTTTCTAGCATACAGAAAAGACAAATATTTAAGGTGATAGATACCCAAAGTACACTTATTTAATCTGTACAGGAAGACTCCAGAGTAAAGGGAGGGTCTCCCGGCCTGACTACCTCCCTTCTCCCACCCTATATGTCTTCTCTGAACCTGTCACTTCCCACCCCTCTAAAAAAGACTGTTTAAATTCTCTTAGGCCTGACCACTCACAACCTTGGGGAATCACCTAACATCTAACCAGTTCCATCTTTTGAATGGGCTCAGGTGGGAAAACAAAGGTACCCAAATCCTGAGCTTTGACCTTACTCTGAGGCACAGCACCAAGGAACTGAGGGGTGGAAGAGGACGTTGACCCCATCTCACTTTTTCAGAAAACACAAATACTGCAAATAAATACCACATGGAAATCATTACTAAATACCACTATTGCCTGCAAAACTGGAGTCTGAGGTCAGGCCCTCTGCCCTGGATCAGGTGCCCGGGCAAGGCTCATTCACTTCTGCCTGCATTTTCTATGCTCCAGACACGTTCCTTCTTTGAGATTTGACCAAGTCTTTCTCTCTGGCTTGAGAATGCCGTCCCTGTGCTTTGCGTACTTCTTATAACAGCACCTATCCCGTATTGCTGCACAGGTGCCCCTTGAGCTACTGTCTTCAGCCTTGAGTTTTCCAGAATGATGGTGTCTGAGGATTGTCCACTGACAGGCACCTGAAGGGCTTTCCTGGGTTGGCATGCTGCCCTCCCCATCTCCCCATTCCTGGAGGGGCTGTGGAAAAAAGCACCGGAACCTGAACTGCAGGCTCCATGAGATGGGTACCTGGCCGGTCATGTGTACTCCTGTGTCCAACCCCCAACACAATGCCTGACCACTGCAGACGCACAAGAAATAGCACTGAATGAATGAGTGAATGAGAAGTTAGTGTTGCTCTCCAGGTCACACTGTTATTTCTTGCTATTTAAAAGTAAAATCAGCAGCCTCTTTTTTGACACATTTGAATTAGACCCATTGAATCACGCTCCTCGCTCATCACGGTGAGAAGAGTGAGAAAGAAAAGCCATCAGAGGCGCCTTCTTCCCTGGGCACACTTGGTGAGGGGACTTGGGGCTCTTATGTGATCTTCATCTAAATACCCCAAAACTCTATTATAATTTCTGTCTCCCAGCCGAGCACTGTGGCTCACACCTATAATTCCAGCACTTTGGGAGACGGAGGTGGGAGGGTCACTTGAGCTCAGGAGTTCAAGACCAGCCTGGGCAACATGGTGAAACCCTGTCTCTACAAAAAAAAAAAAACAAAAAAAAAAACAAAAATTAGCTGGGTGTGGTGGCACACACCTGCAGTCCTAGCTGCTTGGGAAGATCACTTGAGCCCAGCAGGAGGTCGAGGGAGTGAGCCCAGACTGCACCGCTGCACTCCAGCCTGGGGGATAGAATGAGACCTTGTCTCAAAAAAAAAAAAAAAAAAAAAGAAACAGATACTCTCTCCTGTTATCAGAGGAGAGACCTGGCTTGCCCTACACTATTGAAATAGAGCTCACTATTTGCCACATGAGTAATTACCAAAATTTCTATTTCCACCCACCATGAGCATTTTTCATTTCATGCTGAGCCTTTTGGGTTCAGGCCCTGGTGACAAAAATAAAGTCAGCCCCCCAGAAAAAGCAGATCAGCTAAAAATCTCTATATGGGACTTGTATTGATACACAATGTGACCGGACCTGAATCTCCCCAGAATCCGCACCAGCTTCCCAATCCCTCCCTGCTCTGTCACTGATTTAATCCAACTGAGAAAATTTTCTTAACTAGGGTCCTTAGGGATCCCCAGAATTAATAGTGCCTGTAAACTTGAATGGGAAAAAAAATAAGTCTTCACTGTCTTCTAAATGCTAATGCTAAAATTTAGCATTTCCTTTCATAATGAATGTAGGTAACAAAACACAGCTGAATTAGTCCTTGTCACAAATATTTTCACATCACATTGCAGTTGTTGCAGTTACTGTTGCTTATTTTTTGTAGCAGTTATGTTCTATAAAGTTGCCATGAACACTGAATTAGCACATGCTGAACCATTGTCCTTAGGGGAAGTACAAGGCTAGGTTCCTGTGAGCCTGCAGTCTCAACATTTTCACCAACCAATCAATATATAACTGTTTTCCGTGTGGCTTTTGTTCAAAAGACACCGTATTTAATATACAGTGGATTCATTAACATTGACCGCACAGGCAACAGCACTGTAACTCCTGCCTGCAAAGAGCTCATCTACCACTGGGGTGATTTTCTTGGTGCGGCACGTTGCAGTCTTCTGTGGCACATCACTTAGCAGCACTAGCTAGCACTTCAGCACTGCCCTTCATGGCCATTTTAAACAGCAACATCACCGGGAAAAAGCATGAAATGCCAAAAATGTGGCACTAAGTATACTGCGAAGAGGACACAGGTTTGCAGTATGAGAGCTGAAACAAGAAGGCAAAACTTGACCGGTCGCAGTGGCTCATACCTGTCATCCCAGCACTTTGGGAGGCCGAGGCAGGTGGATCACCTGGAGGTCAGGAGTTCGAAACCAGCCTGGCCAACATGGGGAAACACCGTCTCTACTAAAAATACAAAAATTAGCTGAGCGTGGTGGTGTGTGCCTGGCATCCCAGCTACTCTGGAGACTGAGGCAGGAGAATCACTTGAACCTGGGAGGCAGAGGTTGCAGCGAGCCGAGGTCATGCCATTGCATGCCAGCCTGGGCAACAAGAGCAAAACTCTGTCTCAAAAAAAAAAAAAAAGGCAAAACTTCACTTTGCCAACCAATCTCATCTGGGGAACATGCCAGTTGGGCAACTCAAATTTGTCATTGGTCTGTGCATGGGCACAGATGACTGCAAAGGCGCCACAAGTATACATTAATGTTACAAATAAATTTTAGCAAGGAGGTGAATTCACAAATATGTGATCAGTGAACGATGCCGATCAACTATATCTTATACTTTAAAACATCAATACCTTAAAACAACTGTAGTTATTAGAACCAACTCTGGATCTGGTTATTAACACGTTCAAAAAGAAGCCCATATATTTATATATGCTCATTTGTGAATATCTCAAAATATTCTTTGATATTCTATTTCAATAGAATTGGTTTTCTTCGTAATCCTACATGTTTTGTTTTTTTGCATTTAAAAATGTTATTCTGGCTGGGCATAGTGGCTCACGCCTATAATCCCAGCACTTTGGGAGGCTAAGGTGGAAAAACTGCTTTAGCTCAGGAGTTCCAGACCAGCCTGAATATCACAGTGAGATCCCGTCTTTACCAAAAGTCAAAATGATTAGTTGGGCATAGTGGCACATGCCTGTGGTCTCAGCTACTTAGGAGGCTAAGGCGGGAGGATGGCTTGAGCCTGGAAGTTCAAGGCTGCAGTGAGCCATGATCTTGCCACTGCACTGCAGCCTGTTGACAGAGCAAGACCGTGTCTAAAATAAAATAAAATGAAAATGTTATTCTGAGAAGGGATCCTCAGGCTTCCCCAAACTGCCAAGGGGCTGCATGGCACAAAAAGGATGTATGCGCTGTGGGTGGGGTGGGGGTGCTTTGAGAAGGAAGAACTCCAAAGTCTGAAAAGTTTGGATGCACAGCATAATTTATTTGCTTCCTGGAAAGTCACAGGGTGAAAATTCTACAGTAAAAAAGTCTGGGCCGGGTGCAGTGGCTCACCCCTGTAGTCTCAGCATTTGGGAGGCCAAGGCAGGCGGATCACGAGGTCAGGAGATTGAGACCATCCTAGCCAACATGGTGAAATACAAAATACAAAATTTAGCTGGGTGTGGTGGTGCGCACCTGTAATCCCAGCTACTCCGGAGGCTGAGGGAGGAGAATCGCTTGAACCCGGGTGGCGGAGGCTGCAGTGAGCCGAGATCGCGCCAATACACTCCAGCCTGGGTGACAGAGTGAGACTCCGTCTCAAAAAAAAAAAAAAAACCAAAAAACTCTGCTCCGCTCATCATTTACCCAAGATTTTGACCTAAGCTTTTTGTTCTCATGATGCCTATTAACACTCTGTGGCATCTGCTTTTTCAGAAGCACCTTGGAAGATGTTGTTTAGAGGAATTAGCCTCTGTCTCACACACTCCCTGGCAGTGTCAAGAAAGGGATTTCCCAGGTATTTTAAGACCAGAATTCCCGACCTCTCATCTTTGGTGTGAGGCAGAATGTCTTTGGAATCCCTTTCATTGCAACAACAGCTTTCCTGGTGGAACCAAAAGTGACAAAGACAGCATCTCTCCTGGGCCCCAAGATGCATGGCGCACATTCACTGTGCTATATGGATTTCCTGATGGATGGATGCATCAATATGCTATTAACATGTCAGTTTCTCATTAAATCTGAGTACAGAACCCGTGTTTGCCTGGCGGGATGAACTCCCCTAATCTGATTTGGCAGAGGCTCTAGCATAAATATTCGTACAAGCTAAGGCTCTTTTAATCTGGGCCTTTGCTTAGGGTAAAGGGGAATGGGGAGAGGTTGCTTGTAAAGCCTGTTTTCTGGGTCACTTCTTAAAACTGCAGTATCAAAAATAATGGCCTCATCATCATGAACCTGTCGTTAAGGAGGATTACACTTTGAAGCTCTTGGATGGATGGAAAGGCAGAGGAGAAATAAAGAGCACATGTTGAGGCTCGCTAAGGATTTATTTGGGTATTGTGCTCCTGGCTTGCTGCTTTGTTTATAATTAATTACATGGAGCATTTACAGGAAGACTTCCAGCCTCAGAGCGCTAATGTAACTCACAGGTTCACAAAGCTCCAGTCAATAAACCTCAGCAGAAAGACGGCTGAGAGGATGCACCAAGGGCTTCCATGACCTGTCCAGGCTCAAGGCAGCTTCAGACCCCAAAGACTTTCAGTTTCACCTAAGGACTCTGCCCTCCAAGATGCACACTTTGTACAGGCTCAGAAAAGCCCCCAGCTGTTAATATTATTACAGTGATTTTCTGCAAATATCAGTTGGAGCCAGGAGGTTGAGTGAGGCTGTAGGGGAGCAAAGGACTCTTCAGGGACAGGTAGAGACTCCAGGCTCGTGTAAGTCTCATGGAAAGAATGCAATTCTGCTCAGCTGCCTCCTGGAGCTGGGGACACATGGAAACACAATCAGTGGGAATTCATGAAGCAACAGGCCTTGGAAGCCTTAAGCTCCTGGTGCCTCAGTTACCTTCTCCTTAAAAAGGGAGCAATAGTACCATTTTCCAGCACTGTTGTGAGCATTAACAAGAGCTAATGCTTACAGAGGGGTAAGTGACAAGTAGAGTGCATATATGATCTCACTTAACCCTTACAGCAACCACATGTGGCAGGTCTGCTATGATTCCCTACTTTTACAGATAGGAGGCCGAGAACAATTAAGTAACTTGCCTGAGACTGCACAGCTAATACGTGATGAGTCAGGTGCCATGCATGGTGACTCATGCCTGCAATCCCAGCAATTTGGGAGGGCAAGGCAGGAGGATCGCTTGAGCCCAAGAGTTTGAGACCAGCCTGGAAAACATGGTGAGGGCCCTGCACAAAAATAAAAAGTCAGGCAGGCATGGTTGTGCACACCTATATTCTCAGCTACCCAGGAGGCTGAGGCTGAGGCTGAGGCAGGAGGATCGCTTGAGCCCATTTCAATGATTGCACCACTGCAATCCAGCCTGGGCAACAGGGTGAGACCCTGTCTCAATAACAATAATGTGATGAGTTATGATGTTGAAGGCAAGCCATTTGGCTCCAGGGTCCTTGCCCCTAGCTGCTAGGCTATCCTGCATTTATTAAGAAGATGACGTATGTAAAACATGCTGAGTGGTGAATCAACAGTGGCTCTTAGCATCATTATAACCAGGATGTGATCTGACCACCACATGTGCTAGAGTCAGCTTTGTCTGTAGCGTAAACTCCAAACTCGTCACCTGCAGAGTCCATGTCTCTCCAGGCTCTCTCTCCCGCCCATTTCTTCTTTGATCCTGCATCCCAGTCACAGGAAGCTTGTCATTACAAAACATGGGCAGTAGGTAAGTCTCCAAAGCTGGCTGCCAAAAATGGCCACCCTCCTGCGTGTGCCTGCTTCTCCTCCAACAAGAGGCGGCATCTTTCCCACCCCTTGAAGCTGGGCTGGCCCAGAGAAGGAAATGCAAGTGAGACTGCCACACCCAGGCCTTGCCCTTAGGAGGTGAAGCTGCCCTCTGCACCCTTTTAGATCTCACAGCCACCATGTTGAAACGGCTACATTGTCTGGGGTATATACCTGGCATTCATTGTTTCTCCCTGAGAAAGAATTCAGGACATGAACACATGTGGGTGGGTTAAGGAGTGGAAAGTTTAATAGAAGAAAGGAGACAGGAAAGCAGCTCCCTGTGAGAAAGAGAGAGAGAGAGAGAAAGGCATCTGAAAAGCAGGGAGGCAGCAGACTGCAGCAGATTTTATAAGCAGGCTGGGGAAGGCTGTGTCTGATTTACTTAGGGCTCACAGATTGGTTCTATCAGGTATGATGCTTACATAGTGTGGAAGGCTGGTCACCCCACCCTAATCGTATTATTCAGATGGACTTTTTAGTTGATCAGCGCCATCTTGTCTGCTCTTTACTGTACACATGGCTGACGAAGAAGGGAAGATGGAGCTGCCATCTTGAACATGTCTAGTCCCCAGTTCCTGCCAGCATTCACCCATGCAAGCTCCCAGCTTGCTTGTCTATGTCTGCAGCTAGACTTTACAGGCTGCTCTGTTATAAAATGAGTTGGCGCTGCTTTTCATTAGAGAGAAAAGACTTACCGAGGACTCCCATACCCTTACTATCTGCCTAAGTGATTTTTTTCTTAATTCCTTTATCAATGTGGGGAAGTCCAGGCTGCACTCCTGCAAGAGAAACCCTGGGGGATGACACACCACGTGAAGGAGAAAGGCTGCATGGAAAAAAACTGAGGTACCTCTGCCCACATTGAGGCCTCAAAAGTATGAATGAGCATTTGGACTTCCAGTCCAGCTCGAGCCCAGCCAACCCACAGAACCATGGGATATAATGCACTCTTCCTGTTTCAAGCCTCTAAGTTTCCGAGGGGGGTTTTATGCAGCAACAGTGAACTGAATAAAAGGCCCTCCCTCTCACAGCTCCATGCTTTTCCATAGGCTGTTTCCTCCAGGAAACTGGAACACTCCTTCTTCAAGATCCAGCTCCCGCATGGTTGTCATAGAGGGAAACATACCGACACACTCCTAGTCTACTGGAGGACATAAGTGTCTTTAGGGTTAGGTTCTACTGCTTATGGGTACAATCCAGAGTAATGATGGGTTTTTCTTTAAAAAAAAGAAAGGCTATTTTTCTCACATAAAGGACACCCAGTGGTGGGTGGTGCAGGGCTCAGACAGGACTCCATGTTGCCACGGACTCCTTCTGAGAGGTGAAGCCAGCTGGGCTTCTGAGTCAGGTGGGGCCTTGGAGAACTTTTCTGTCTAGCTAAAGGTTTGTAAACGCACCAATAAGCACTCTGTAAAAACGCACCAATCAATGCTCTGTGTCTAGCTAAAGGTTTGTAAATGCACCAATCAGCACTCTGTAAAAGCGCACCAATCAGCACTCTGTAAAAGCACACCAATCAGCACTCTGTGTCTAGCTAAAGCATTGTAAATACACCAATCAGCACTCTAAAAATGCACCAATCAGCACTCTGTGTCTAGCTAAAGGATTGTAAACGCACCAATAATCACTCTGTAAAATGGACCAATCAGCACTCTGTAAAATGGACCAATCAGCAGGATGTGGGCAGGGCCAAATAAGGTAATAAAAGCTGGCCACCGAGCCAGCAGCAGCAACCTACTTGGGTCCCCTTCCACGCTGTGGAAGTTTTGTTCTTTCGCTCTTCACATTAAATCTTGCTGCTGCTCACTCTTTGGGTCCGCACTACCTTTATGAGCTGTAACACTCACCGCGGAGGTCTGTGGCTTCACTCCTGAAGTCAGCGAGACCACGAACCCACCAGGAGGAACAAATAACTCTGGACACGCCACTTTTAAGAGCTGTAATGTTCACTGCGAAGGTCTGCGGCTTTACTCCTGAAGTCAGCGAGATGACGAACCCATCAGAAGGAAGAAACTCTGGACACGTCTGAACATCTGAAGGAACAAAGTCCGGATATACCATCTTTAAGAACTGTAACACCTCGAGGGTCCGCGGCTTCATTCTTGAATTCAGTGAGACCAAGAACCCACCAGAAGGAACCAATTCCAGACATATTTTGGTGACCCAGATGGGACTATCACCAAGCAGTGTGTACCATCAGACCCCTTTCACTTGCTATTCTGTCTTATTTTTCCTTAGAATTTGGGGGCTAAATACCAGGCACCTGTTGGCCAGTTAAAAGTGACTAGCACGACTGCCGACTAAAGACACAGGTGTCAGGCTTTCTGGGAAAGGGCTAACAACCCCCAACCCTTCAGATTTGGGAGCTTTGGTTTGCCTGGAACCAGCTTCTGCTTTTCCTGTACTTCTGGGCTGAGCTGAGGGTCGACAGAGAGGAAAGCCATTCAGCTCCAGGGTCCTGACAACAAGTTGGTTGACCCTGCAACCATGAGTGGAACTCTCAAAGTCATGTCGCCCAAGCAAAACTCACCCATCTATCCTATCTATCCTGACCCTTGCCTCCTGAGTCCTAATGCCTGTCAGACAAACTTCCTCTCGCCTCTCTTCTCCGAGGTTAGTCCCACTTCTAAAAACCACTCCCTGTCTCTGGTGCTTTTCTAGTTTCTTCTATAAGAATGATTTCTAGTATAAACTTCAGGATTCTATTACCGTCTTTAGGCACCCAGACTCACCAATCAGAAAGATAGAATTTTTGCCCAAAGCCCCATCAGGGCGTGGAATTGTCTGGAATTTTAGAATCCTTCCTCAGACTAGCAGGCCTAAAAAAAGTGATTCCTGAAGCTAGGATATGGGGAGCTTCAGAAATGGTATCCTTCCTACTCATATAAGTGAGGACAAAAGGCATCACTCTTCCAACTCTGGAGATCCCTTCCCTTCCTCAGGGTATGGCCCTCCACTTCATTTTTGGGGTGTAACATCTTTATAAGATGGGGTAAGGTCCCAGTACTAACAGGAGAATGCTTAGGACTCTAACAGGTTTTCAAGAATGCATCAGTAAGGGCCACTAAATCCAACCTTCCTCGGTCCTCCTTGTGGTCTAGGAGGAAAACTAGTGTTTCTGTTGCTGCATCGGTAAGCACAACTATTCCCATCAGCAGGGTCCAGGGACCACTGCGGGTTCTTGGGCAAGGGGTGTTTCTGCTGCTGCGTCAGTGAGCACAACTATTCCGATCAGCAGGGTCCAGGGACTGTTGTGGGTTCTTGGGCAGGGGGAGAAACAAACCAAAATGGCAGGTGGTTTTGTCTTTCAGATGGGAAACACTCAGGCATCAACAGGCTCACCCTTGAAATGCATCCTAAGCCACTGGGACCAATTTGACCCACAAACCCTGAAAAAGAGGTGGCTCATTTTTTTTCTGCACTATGGCTTGGCCCCAATATTCTCTCTCTGATGGGGAAAAATGGCTACCTGAGGGAAGTATAAATTACAGTACTATCCTGCAGCTTGACCTTTTCTGTAAGAGAGAAGGTAAATGGAATGAAATACCTTATGTCCAAGCTTTCTTTTCATTGAAGGAGAATACACAACTATACAAAGCTTGCAATTTACATCCCACAGGACCTCTCAGCTTACCCCCATATCCTAGCTTCCCTATATCTCTCCTTCCTATTAATGATAAGCCTACTCTAATCTCCCCCACCCAGAAGGAAACAAGCAAAGAAATCTCCAAAGGGCCACAAAAACTCCCATGCTATCAGTTATGTCCCCTTCAAGCTATAGGGGGAGGGGAATTTGGCCCAACCCAGGTACATGTCCCCTTCTCCCTCTCTGATTTAAAGCAGATCAAGGCAGACCTGGGGAAGTTTTCAGATGATCCTGATAGGTACATAGATGTCCTACAGGGTCTAGGGCAAACTTTCTATCTCACTTGGAGAGATGTCATGCTATTGTTAGATCAAACCCTGGCCTTTAATGAAAAGAATGCGGCTTTAGCTGCAGCCGAGAGTTTGGAGATACCTAGTATCTTAGTCAAGTAAATGATAGAATGACAGCCAGAGAAAAGGACAAACTCCCTACCAGTCAGCAAGCCATCCCCAGTATGGATCCCCACTGGGACCTCGACTCAGATCATGGGGACTGGAGTTGTAAACATCTGTTGACCTGCGTTCTAGAAGGACTAAGGAGAATTAGGAAAAAGCCCATGAATTATTCAATGATGTCTACCATAACTCAGGGAAAGGAAGAAAATCCTTCTGCCTTCCTCGAGAGGCTATGAGAGGTCTTAAGAAAATATACTCCCCTATCACCTGACTCACTCAAGGCTCAGTTGATTCTAAAAGATAAGTTTATTACCCAATTAGCCACAGATATCAGGAGAAAGCTCCAAAAGCGAGCCCTGGGCCCTGAACAAAATCTGGAGGCATTATTAAACCTGGAAACCTCGGTGTTCTATAATAGGGTCCAAGAGGAACATGCCCAAAAAGAAAAGTGAGATCAGAGAAAGGCTGCAGCCGTAGTCATGGCCCTCAGAAAAACAAACCTTGGTGGTTCACAGAGGACAGAAAATGGAGCAGGCCAATCACCCTGTAGGGCTTGTTATCAGTGTGGTTTACAAGGACACTTTAAAAAAGATTGTCCAACAAGAAACAAGCTGCCCCCTCGTCCATGTCCACTATGCCGAGGCAATCACTGGAAGGCACACTGCCCCAGAGTGCAATGGTTCTCTGGGCCAGAAGCCCCCAACCAGATGATCCAACAATAGGACTGAGGGTGCCCGGGGCAAGTACCAGCTCATATCATCACCCTCACTGAGCCCCGGGTACATTTAACCATTGAGGGCCAGAAAATTAACTTCCTCCTGGACACTGGAGTGGCTTTCTTAGTGTTAATCCCCTGTCCTGGACAGCTGTCCTCAAGGTCCGTTACCATCTGAGGAGTCCTGGGATGGCCTGTAACCAGGTATTTCTCCCACCTCCTCAGTTGTAATTGGGAGACTTTGCTACAGATCATAAGTATGCTTATCTAATCCTACATGCCCATGCTGCAATATGGAAAAAAGGGGAGTTCCTAACTTCTGGGGGAACCCCCATTAAATATCACAAGGAAACGATGGAGTTATTGCATGCAGTGCAAAACTCAAAGAGGTGGCAGTCTTACACTGCCAAAGCCATCAAAAGGGGATGGAGAGGGAAGAACAGCAGCATAAGTGGCTGGCAGAGGCAGGGAAAGACCAGCAGAAAGGAAAGAGAGAAAGAGACAGAAAGTCAGAAAGAGAGAGAGAGGAAGAGACAGAGACAAAGAGGAAGTCAGAAAGAGAGAAAGAGAGAGAGAGACAGAAAGTCAAAGAAAGAGAGGAAGATACAAAGAGGGAGTCAGAGAGAAAGAGAGAAAGAGACAGACAAGAAGTCAAAGAGAAAGAAAGAGAGATGGAAGTAGTAAGGAAAAAACAGTGTACCCTATTCCTTTAAAAGCCAGGGTAAATTTAAAACCTTTAATTGATCATTGAAGGTCTTCTTCATGACACTATAACACTCCAATACCACCTTGTTGTCAGTGTAAACAAGGGTGTAGCCCAAAAGCACTGAGGCCACTGACAACCCATAGCCTTCCTATCAAAAATCCTTAACCCAGCAGCTTTCCTAACAGGGGATCTAAATCTTAACTAATAACCATACAAAGGTCTGACCAGACCTAGGAGGAACTCCCTTCAGGACAGGACAATAGATGGTTCCTCCCAAGTGATTGAGGAAAAAAGACACAATGGGTATTCAGTAAATGATAAAGAAACTTATAAAAGCAGAGTTAGGAAAATTGCCTAATAATTGGTCTGCTCAAATGTGTGAGTTGTTTGCACTCAGCCAAACCTTAAAGTACTTACAGAATCAGGAAGGAGCCATCTATACCAATTCTAAGTTAATATGGACTGAAAGAGGTTTTATTAATAGCAAAGAAAAATTAAAATCCCAAACTTACAAGGTTTTCAACTAAAGTAAAGTTTGCTAAAAGTTAACAGTGTAACATGTATTATCCTACTAACAAACACTCTTAAAGGATTTCTCAGACAGTTTGCAAGAAATAACGAAGTCTATCCTTACTCCACAATCCCAAATAGACTCTTTGGCAGCAGTGACTCTCCAAAACCGCCAAGGCCTAGACCTCCTCACTGCTGAGAAAGGAGGACTCTGCACCTTCTTAGGGGAAGAGTGTTGTTTTTACACTAACCAGTCAGGGATAGTATGAGATGCCAACCGGCATTTACAGGAAAAGGCTTCTGAAATCAGACAATGCCTTTCAAACTCTTATACCAACCTCTGGAGTTGGGCAACATGGCTTCTCCCCTTTCTAGGTCCTGTGACAGCCATCCTGCTATTACTTGCCTTTGGGCACTGTATTTTTAACCTCCTTGTCAAATTTATTTCCTCTAGGATTGAGGCCATCAAGCTACAGATGGTCTTACAAATGGAACCCCAAATGAGCTCAACTAATAACTTCTACCAAGCACCCCTGGACCAACCCACTGGCCCTTTCACTGGCCTAAAGAGTTCCCCTCTGGAGGGTACTACAGCTGCAGGGCCCCTTCTTTGCCCCTATCCAGCAGGAAGTAGCTAGAACGGTCATTGCCCAATTCCCAACAGCAGTTGGGGTGTCCTGCTTAGAGGGGGGATTGAGAGGTGAAGCCAGCAGGGCTTCTGGGTCAGGGGACTTGGAGAACTTTTCTGTCTAGCTAAAGGTTTGTAAACACACCAATCAGCACTCTGTAAAAACGCACCAATCAGCATTCTGTGTCTAGCTAAAGCACTGTAAATGCATCAATAATCACTCTGTAAAATAGATCAATCAGCAGGATGTGGGCGGGGCCAAATAAGGGAATAAAAGCTGGCCACCCGAGCCAGCAGCAGCAACCCACTTGGGTCCCCTTCCATGCTATGGAAGCTTTGTTCTTTTGCTCTTCACAATAAATCTTGCTGCTGCTCACTCTTTGGGTCCACACTACCTTTATGAGCTGTAACACTCACCGCAGAGGTCTGCGGCTTCACTCCTGAAGTCAACGAGACCAAGAACCCACCAGAAGGAACCAATTCCGAACACACTTCTCTCTGCTGCCGCCACCTTCAGCATATAACTTCTATTTTGTGATTCAAGACAGCCTCCCAAGCAACACCACCAGGACTGCATTTGAGCCAGCAGGAAGAGGGAAGGGGAGAGGAAAGGCCACTCTTTCTTCCTTGAGGATGCAACTTCCGCTTGCACCCCAGGAGGCCCAGCTCAGTCCCGTGGCCATGCAGCTTTAAAGAAAGCTAAAAATGTTTGTCTAGCCAAGCGGGTAACTGAAAATAGGCAGTTCTATTACCAGGAGAGAAGGGAGGATAGATACAGAAGGACAAGTAGCAATCTCTACAAGTGTAAATTAGAACCTTCTGGACGCCAATTTGACAATATGTGGAACCCACATGTCAGCTACCTCTATCCCTTGCTACTCAAAATGTGGTCATCAGACCAGCATCACCTGGAAGTTTGTTAAAAATGCAAAATATCGGGCCTGCCTACTACTAAATCATAATTTGCATTTAAACAGTATCCTTCAGTGATTTGTTTGCACGTTAAAGTTGGAGAAGCACTGATCTAGACAGTGGTTTTCAATTGTGGCTGTACATTGGAATAACCCGGGAACTTTCAAAACTCTCCTGATGCCTGGGCCACACCCAAAGAGCATTGAATTTAATTGGCCTGGTGAAATCCTAGGCTTCTGTGGTTCCAAAGTGCTCCCCTGGGTGATTCTCTTGTGCAGCTAAGGTGGCAAACCACTGCTCTGGGCTATTTGGGGGAAAGGAATTGTCTCACAATTACTCCTGAGTCAGACCCAAACTGCACTTTCTTATCTTCCTTGCTAGAAATCCACTTTAGCTTTCTTCTGCTTTATTTCTTTCTGGAGTGAAGTGGCACAATCACAGCACACTGCTGCCTCGAACCCCATCCCCCATCCCCTGGCTCAAGGAATCCTCCTGCCTCAGCCTCCCGAGTAACGGGGACTACAGTCATACACTACCACCTCCAGCTAACTTTTCTTTATAGCTTTGTAGAGACCGGTTCTCTTTATGTTGCCCAGGCTGGTGTCTGACTCCTGGGTTCAATTGATCTTCCAGCCTCGGCCTCCCAAAATGCTGGGAATACAGGGTGAGCCACCACATTTGTCCTCTTCTGCTTTCTTGACCATACCTCATCCCATTTTCTTCTTGTTTGCTGTGCCAGTGCATATTTAATGATGGTTTGGGAATAATGCAGAAAGTTATCCTGTAGCACAGAGTAGCACATGACCTAAAACTGGAAGTCAGTCACACGTCCCTGCCTTTTAGTGCCCCACCCCGGGATTTTCCACGGGGCCCCTCCTCTGCAGCTGGCCCCACGACACTGCTCATTGCTCCTCCTCTCCCTCCACTCCTCCCTTGAAGCCCTAAGGGAGGTACTCCTTGAAACTTACACATTCTTTATCATTGTGCAGAGTAAATTGTGTCTTTTCTCATTATGTTGTTCCTCTGAGGGCTCTCTTTTCACATTAAATGATTCATTAGTAGGGGCAAGGAGGGGTTGCCAAAAACTCTGCTCTGGAGGGAAAGTATGCCACTCCCTTGGGAGACAGAGCAATTATGGCAAACGGTGTTTTAAATAATAATAATAAAATAATTCCTCTTTATCATTATGCATTTCCAAACTCTTTTAGAATTCATGCCTGACTCAGGACCCAGAAACCATTTTTTGTTTGTTGTTTGTTTGTTTGTTTCAAGATGGGTTCCCACTCTTTCGCCCAGGCTGGAGTGCAGTGGTGAGATCTTGGCTCGCTCCAACTTCCGCTTCCCAGGCTCAAGTGATTCTCCAGCCTCAGCCTCCTGAGTAGCTGGGACTACAGGTGCAAACCACCAACGCCCACCTAATTTTTGTATTTTTTGTAGAGATGGGGTTTCACCATGTTGCCCAGGCTTGTCTCAAATTCCTAAGCTAAAAGTGATCCACCCGCCTCAGCCTCCCAAAGTGCTGGGATTATAAGCATGAGTCACTGCACCCAGCCCAGAAACCATGTAAATGTTGATAAATTGACTTCTTAAAAGTAAAAGTTTTTGTACGTTGAAAACATACTGTAAGCAGAGTCAAAAGACAAGTGGCAAAATGGGGGGACACACACCCCATTTCACAGACGAAGAGCTAATCTCCCCAGGACATGAAGAGTTCTTAAAAAGCAAGAAGGAAAAAGCTAACAATTCAGTTTTTAAATTGGCAGAAGATATGAATGGCTAAAGTTAAGAGAAAATAGAATCAAAGGCACCTTACACATAAAAAATATAAAAATCTGTTTAACTTCACTTATAATTAGATAAATGTAATTTGAAATTACACTGAGAGGTTTCTGTTTTCTGATCCAGCATGTAGTGAGTTTGAAAGTTGTCACTCCATCCTAACAAGAAAAAGCCTGGACAGGCTGAAAAATCAACAACCCTTCTTAGATCTGCCAGAGATTTGAAGTCACGGGGCAAACCATTTCCCAAGCACTGGAGAGAGAGGAAGGTACAGAGAATTCCAACTCACTGAAGTGGAATCCCAGAAGCAGAAACATCCAGTGTAAGTGGGGGGTGGGGGTGTTTCGTTTTGTTTTGTTTTTGTAGAGACGGGGCCGCACTCTGTTGCCCAGGCTGGTCTTGAACTCCTAGCCTCAAGCGATCCTCCCTCCTCAGCTGGGATGTCAGGCGTGCTGGGATGACAGGTGTGAGCCACCATGCCTGGCCCAATGGAAGTAGTACTAGATATGTCATGACTGGCTTTCAACAGAAAAGTGCAAGGCACACTAACAGGCAAAAACAGTTTGAAAAGACAGAGCAAGCATCAGAGCACATTCAGATATGACAGGGGTGTTGGAGCTATTACACTAGGAATTTAAAATAATTATGAAGAGTATGCTAAGGGCTCTAATGGACAACATGTAAGAACAGATGGGTAAGTGGATATCCATATGCAGAAGACCTCAATCTATGAAACTACTAAAAGAAAACAATGAGGAAACTCTCCAGGACATTGATCTGGGCAAAGATTTCTTGAGTATACCCCACAAGCACAGGCGACCAAAGCAAAAACAGACAAATGGGATCACATCAAGTTAAAAAGTTTCTGCATAGCAAAGGAAACAACAGACTAGGCATGGTGCCTCGCAACTGTAATCCCAGCACTTTAGGAGGCTGAAATGGGCAGATCACCTGAGGTCAGGAGTTCAAGACCAGCCTGGCCAATATGGTGAAACCCTGTCTCTATTAAAAATACAAAAATTAGCCAGGTGTGGTGGTGTGCACCTGTAATTCCAGCTATTCAGGTGGCTGAGGCCCGAGAATCGCTTGAATCCGGGAGGCGGAGGTGGCAGTAAGCCAAGATTATGCCACTACCCTCCAGCCTGGGTAATGGAGTAAGATTCTGTCTCAAAAAAAAAAAAAAAAAAAAAAGAAGAAGAAGAAGAAGAAACAATCAACAAAGAAAAGAGACAACCCACAGTATGGGAGAAAATATTTGCAAATTATCCATCTGACAAGAGATTAATAACCAGAATATATAAGGAGCTCAAACAATTCTACAGGAAAATATTCTAATACTCCAACTTAAATATGGGCAAAGGATCTGAACAGACATTTCTCCAAAGAAGACATACAGATGGCAAACAGGCATCTGAAAAGGTGCTTAACATCACAGATCATCAAAGAAATGCAAATCAAAACTACAAAGAGGTATCATCTCACCTCAGTTAAAATGGCTTATATCCAAAAGCAATAACAAATGTTGGCGAGGATGTGGAAAAAAGGGAATCCTTGTACACTGTTTGGGGGAATGTAAATTAGTACAACCACTATGGAGAACAGTTTGGAGGTTCCTCATAAAGCTAAAAATAGGGCTATCATATAATCCAGCAATTCACTGCTAAGTATATACCCCAAAAAAGGAAATCAATATATCAAAGCAATATCTGCACTCCCATGTTTTGCAGCACTATTCATAACAGCCAAGATTTGGAAGCAACATAAGTGTCTATCAACAGATGAATGGATAAAGAAAATGTGGTTACATATACACAATGGAGCACTATTCAGCCATAAAAAGGAACAAGATGCTGCCACTTGCCACAACATGGATGGAACTGGAGGTCTTTATGTTAAGTGAAATAAGCCAGGCACAGAAAGACAAATGTCACATGTTCTCATTCATTTGTAGAAGCTAAAAATTAAAACAATTGAACTCATGAAGACAGAGAGTAGAATGATGGTTACCAGAGCCTAGGCACAGTGGAGGGGAAGAAAGTGGGGATGACTAATGCGTACAAAAAAAAAGTTAGATAGAAGAAATAAGATCTAGTATTTGGGGCTAGGCGTGGTGGCTCACACCTATAATTCCAGCAGTTTGAGAGGCCAAGGTGGGTGGATACCTTGAGGTTGGAAGTTCGAGACCAGCCTGGACAACATGGCAAAACCCCATCTCTACTAAAAATACAAAAATTACCTGAGCATGTTGATGCATGCCTGTAATCCCAGCTACTCAGGAGGCTGAGGCAGGAGAATCACTTGAACCCGTGAGGCAGAAGTTGCAGTGAGCCAAGATCACACCACTGCACTCCAGCCTGGGCGACAGAGCAAGACTCTATTTCAAAAAAAAAAAAAATCTAGTATTTGGTAGCACAACAGAGTGTCTACAGTCAATAATAATTTATTATATATTTTTAAATAACTAGAAGAGTATAATTGGAATGTTTATAATGCAAAGAAATAATAAATGCTTGAGACGATGGATACCCATTTACCTTGATGTGATTATTATGCCTTGTATGCCTGTATCGAAATTTCTCATATGCCCCATAAATATATATACCTACCATGTACCCACTAAAAACTAAAAATTTAAAAAAAAACAGATGGGCAATGTAATTAAGGAGATAGAAATTCTAAGAAAGAATCAGAAAGACAAGCTAGAATTAAAAAACATGTAATAGAAAGCATATATATAAAAATATATATACCTACTATATACCCATTAAAAATTAAAAATTAAATAAAAAAACATGGGCAATGTAATCAAGGAGATACAAATTCTAAGAAAGAATCAAAAAGACATGCTAGAAATAAAAAACATGTAACAGGAAGAATGCCTTTGATGGACTCATTAGTAGACTAGACACAGCTGAGGAAAGAACGTCTGAGCTTGAGGATATGTCAACAGAAGCTTCCCAAACTGAAAAGAGAAAGTGGGGGGTGGAAACTGGAACAGAATATCCAAGAACTGTACATAAGTTACAGTGGGAATACAAAGAGAAGAAAAAGAGTAAGGAACAGAAGAAATATTTGATGCAAAAATGACAAATATTCCCAAATTAATGTCAGACACCAAACCACAGATCCAAGAAGTTCAGAGAACACCAAGGAGGGATAAACGTGTCAAAAAATCTACACTTAGGCATATCATACTCAAACTGAAGAAAACGAAACATAAAGAAAATATTTGGGCTTTGGGTGATAATGATGTGTCAATGTAGGTTCATTGATTGTAGCAAATAATGTACCACTCCTCTGGGGAAGAAAGTTGATAGTGGAGGAGTCCACTGGGGGAAAAAAAAAAGGCTGCAATGGTGCACTGCATTAGAGGCAGAAAAAAAAAAGCCCAGCCATGTGAATTCAGGCTATGTGCAGCTGTCATCCAATTCTTGTTAACCTTCAGGCTAGAATTTTATTTGAAGGACTAAATTTTATCCATGGCTGCCTATACAATCTGCAATGTCTATGCTTCTAAAAAAGAAGTTCTCTAATAAAAATAAAATTATATTCTGCTAAAAGCTGTAATTTTTACATACTGCAGCCCAGACAATTGGAAAGTGTATTTTCTTAAAAATTTCACTTAAAATGATATCATAAGGCACTAAATACTTTGGAGTAAACTGACAAAAGACATGTAAAACCTCTATATTGAAAACTGGCTAGGTGCTCTGGCTTACGCCTGTAATCCCAGCACTTTGGGTGGCCAAGGCAAGTGGATCACCTGAGTTCAGGAGTTTGAGACCAGCCTGGCCAACATAGTGAAACCCCATCTCTACTAAAAATACAAAAATTAGCTGGGCATGGTGGCGGGCACTTGTAATCCCAGCTACTCGGGAGGCTGAGGCAAGAGAATTGCTTGAACCAGGGAGGCAGAGGTTGCAGTGAGCTAAGGTTGCGCCACTCCACTCCAGCCTGAATGACAGAGGGAGACTCTGTCTCAAAAAAAAAAAAAAAAAAAAAAAAAAGACAAAGAAAACATATGTTGCTGAAAGAAAGTTTAAGAGACCTAAATAAATGGATGTATCTACATTAATACCGTATTCCTAAATTTAAATGCTCAATGTTGTCAGTTCTACTAAAATTGATCTATAGATTAAATATAATCCTAAATATAATCCCAGAGGCTTTTTTTAAATTGAAGCTGATTCTAAAATATACAGAGAAATACAAAGAACCTAAGTTAGCCAAAGCAATTTTGGGGGAAAGAAAGAAAGAAAATGTAGAGATGTTTCAGTACCTGACTTAAAATGTGTAATATAATTATAATAGTCAAGACAGTGTTACTGACATCGAGACACACAACTAACTCAATGGAAGCAGAATAGGGTGCCCAGAAACACCTCATTTATATGGTTCTTTGATTCTTTTACAAAGGTGCCAAAGAAAGCAAGGGAAAAGAAAAGTGTTTTCAATAAATGCTATTGGAACAACCAGATGTTTTTAATGAATATTTACCTCTATATCATATCTATGTAAAAATTAATCTAAGATAGATAATAGAATCAAATGTAAAAGCCAAAACTAAAAAGCTGCTAGAAGAAAACATATTCCCAGTTTAGGGGTAGGCAGGAGTTTCCTAGACAAGACACAAAAACAATAACCAAAAATGAAAAAGAACTTGATAAATTCATTTTTAGAAAGAATTAATATTACTCTGTCAAATTAGACAAAATTTCAAACTTTCGCTCCTTCAAAGACACCACAGACTGGGAGAAAATATTCACAAAACATAGGTCTGACAATGACTCCAGAATATTTAAAGAACTCCTACAACTCAATAATAAAGAGGCAACCTATGTTTTTAATGAGTAAAGTTTTGAACATACACATTACAAAGGTAGATACAGGAGTGGCCAAAAAACACATAAAACAGTGTTTAACATTCTTGATCATCAGGTAAATGCAATGTAAAATCACAGAGATCCCCTACGTACCCACCAGTATGGCCAAAAATGAAAAGATTGAGAGCAGCAAGTGTTGGCAAGGATGTAGAACAACTGAAGCTCTCATATAGAAGCACTTTTGAAAAGCTTCTTATAAAACTAATTATGCACTACCCTATGACCCAGCAAGCTCTCCCCTAAATATCAACTATCGCATGTCTACAGAAAGACTTGTAAAACAATGCCCATAGCAGCTTCATTCATAAAAGCTAAAACCTAGAAACTGTCCAGTTGTCCATCAATATAAACACATGACATACCACTCAGCAATATAAAATCAACTACTGATATGCACAACATAAATGAGTCTCAAAATTATGCTGAATATATATATGTTGACTATATATATGCATATATATATGAAATTCTGGAAGAGGTAAAACTAATCTACGATGCAAAAAATCAGAAAAGTGTTTTGGGGATAGGAGAGCTGGAGATTGACTGGGAAACAATATGAAATAATTTTCTGGAATAATCTATTTTGATAAAGGTTTCAGTTACATAAATAGATGCACTTACCGAAACTCATGGAATGAAACACATATGGTTTGTGCATATCATTGCATATAAATATTATGGACAGATGGAAGGCTGGGTGTGTGAACGCATGAATATGTGTATCTACTATCTACCTTCATAAAAATTAGCCAAGGAGGACTTTTAAAAGCACCTTAAGAATGACATATTGGTATATGTAGTCCTATAGATGAATAATTTTTCTAACAAATCTTCAAAGTCTATAAAAGATTTAGTCCATTAAAATGTTACAAAGTTTATTGTTTCCTGCAATATTTTTACAGGTATATAAAAAGAGCTCTCGTCCATGCTTTTGCTAAGTTACTAATTTCATTACAAGAAAGAAACAACAGGGAAGAAAAAGATTGTATACCCCTAAACTGTAGACTATAAATAGGGTTATAATTTGGCACAGGGAAAGAAATAAGGGAAAGGAGAAAAAGGATAATTAGGATGCAAAAAAGGAACATGGTTTATGAATTACCTTGAAAGCACAATTTTAAAATATAACTATTGTATACCCCTAAACTTTAGACTATAAATGGGTTATAGTTTGGCACAGGGAAAGAAATAAGGGAAAGGAGAAAAAGGATAATTAGGATGCAAAAAAGGAACATGGTTTATGAATTGCCTTGAAAGCATAATTTTAAAATATAACTACTTTAATTCATTCCCATCCTGAGACAATGCACAGAATAAAGCCAACAGTTCCTCCCTGGCCTGCTGACAACTTGATTAAGCCAAGTGACTTCTGATGTCCCCATTCAAAGGAGCAGAAATCCAAGCTAGTGCACAATGCGCAAAAGGAAGTGAGAGACGTTAATGAGATGTTGGATCATTT
The DNA here is from genome assembly GCF_000001405.40 of Homo sapiens. NCBI lineage: Eukaryota > Metazoa > Chordata > Mammalia > Primates > Hominidae > Homo > Homo sapiens. Next base: position 36,490,727 of record NC_000007.14, on the reverse strand, counting down.
TGCAGACAACATCAAGGTTGACTAGCTGTGTGGACCAAGTGCACTGCAGGAGTCTCCAACCACTGGAAAATCTGACATTTGCAGAGCTGACTGTTTTGTTCTCCAGCACTGCAACCCTGCTCCCTCCCCAAGCCAGTACGGTGCTCTGCAAAGGTGCCAGCAAGAGCCTTTCCCTCCATCCATCAGAGAGCAAATTGTTCACTATGCAACCATATTCTTTCTCATGGATGCCAAAGAAAATAAAAAATAATGCAGAATATTGGCAAAAAGCCAAACATAGGCAAGGAACTTGAAGTTTTAGCATTTTACTAATTTATAAAGTGGAAACCGATGCAACATTAAGCCTGTTTAGAGCCAGGCCAGTTTGAGTGTTGGCTCTGCCGTGGAACATTAGGAAAGCTACTTAACCACTCTGACCCTCAGGCTCCTCATATTCGTATATCCTTATATTTAACACAGGACTTCTATGAGGACTAGATGAAACA